>NC_000008.11:72177265-72802265 GCF_000001405.40 Homo sapiens | reverse complement strand
TATTTGTCATGTCAAAGCCCTCGCAAATTGTTTTATCTGCCTTATAGGACTGAAATCACCGCATCAGTTGCTGAAAAATATTCAGCTCTGTGGTAGAACGTAACAGCTGTTTAATACCAAATAACAATACTACGTAACAATTGAAAAGAAGCAAGTCAAGTTCTGAAACCAATTAAAACTACAGGGATGAATTAGGTAGGAGGAATGTAATTATTCAAATTGAGATCTGGGCAGGCTAACAGGACTAATAATAAACTTATCTTTTACAGAGGTTTGATAAGGAAATCAGTTACTTAAATTTTATTTTAAATGTTAAGTTTTTCCCTTCTTAGAGCCTAGAGGAACAGCTTAAGTGATTCTACATTTGTTGTAGCAAATGTGTAAAATTGAAAATGAGGGCAGGTTGCTGTTTTTTGTTTTTTGTTTTTTTTTTCTTTTTCTGTCACATAGCCCTCTTTTAGTCCATCTGGGGAACTTCTACTCCCCCTCCAAGCTTCTACAGGCCACCTCTTTGCAGACACCTTCTCAGATGTGCCAAGGTAAAGAACCTCCTCCTTGGTGGTCTTATTGCACCCTGATTCTACCTCTATCACAGTCCTCACTGTATCGTATTATAGCGAAGAGTTTACTCAATGGCTGTTCCTCACTAGGCTTGAGGAATGGAACATGTCATTCATTTTCATTTATCCACTGCTTCAATTCACACTCAATAAATGTATTTTGAAATGAAGAAATGCTTCGGAAAAAAAATTAGGTATGGTGGAAACTATTATGACAACAAAATGACCTACAAAAGTAAAGCATCTTGCTATCTGACCTTCAAAGGATTCAGTTCTAAAACCTGAACTACAATGGGTACAATATACATTTTCCCAAGGGGGCTCACCACAAAAGTGTTCAGAGCTGATCAGTGAGCATGTTCTATTCTTTTTACAGAATTAAAATGTTATGTTTATTCTTTTAGAAAGAAAGGACACTGCTAGCAATAAAGATATCTTAGGTGTTTAGGACAAGCATCTACAAAAATGGGTATATGATGACTACTATGCTGTAAAACAGTACTATTTAAACCAAGTAATGGCATATTTTTAATTCAAAAGACTCTAGTAAAACTTAGTGTTGCCCCCATCCTCTCAAGGTCTAACAGGGGTTTAGCTTGCATTATGTTCCCTGGAGTGGGGGTAGGGGGCAGAAAAACACTCAGATCTCAGTGTCAATTTTTCTTGCTCACATTTTGAGCCGCTAGTGAACCATCTCATACAGGAAACAGAGCAAACATAATGTGAGGGACACTTGTGAGTTCTGGCATCAACCTAGGTTGGAACTGAAGTTTCACTCTTTCAGGAAGACTCTGCACCTATGGGGAAGTTTTAACTTAGTTGGTATTCTTCTTATTGGAAGCCAAACTCTACCACTTTAAGAGCCATTTTTATTATCAGTAACTGTAAATGCAGTGTCACTCCACAAAGTGTCACTTCAGAAACAGAATCTGAAATTCTATCTGTTATAATAATAAACACAACGGCAGCCAATTGCCTCCTTGCCCTTGAGGGTCTGGGGGACAAAAATCTCTATAAAAAGATAGTAAAGATTGTGTCATTGGCAAAAGTTATTTATTGACTCCCAACAGACAAATTAGATATTGAATCTTTTATGGAGCTCTGGGTAATAACCATATTTTTTCAAATATGGAGCCTAAGGGAGGTAGGCACTGATTCAAGTGAGCTATTGGCCTCATTGGGGATTCTTTACAAACACAGAGGCTTTTGTTGAAGAATAAACAAACTACTTCAGGAATCTTTTTATCATACAAAATTCAAATTTATTTAATAACAAAAATCATTAGCCAAGAGACACAGTGGTCTATAGTCAAGAGTCAGGTGTTGAACGCTGTAAACATTTATGAATTGTAGTTGAAATACAGAGCTGCAGCTTGTTGTATCTTCCACAAAATAAATCGGACTGTTTTCTTGAAGGAGGATAGTTATATTCAATGACATGATGCTTCTGCCAACCTTGGTTTCTAAAGGTCTATTTTTAAAATTATCCTCTCCAGCCTATGAAGCCATTCCAAGAAGCAAAACAAAATATGTTTACACACGTATGTATTTCATGGGACCCTAGATAAATGCCTGCTTCTATACTTAAATACAGATAATTCTGATCGTTTCAGTTCCATGCTCAAAACCTTTCAAAGTTTAAGGCCTACAGATGACATTTAAATTGGTTTTCGCCTTGGTTTTCAAGGCCCACCGTGCTCTGGCCTCAACCAGCTAGCCCAATGTTCTCTTATCTTCCCTTTTGCACATGGACCAGGGAAATGGACCGCAGCCTTGCCAGAAAGCACCCCAACAGGTAAACTGTCCTGCTCTAAGCAGGACTGAAAATCTCTTATCCTTCAGGGCTCATATTGAACACAGCCTCTTCCTAGAAGCCTTTCTGACTAAAATTAATCTGGGTCCTCCCACAAATCAAATTTCTCCTTCAATTATATTTTTTATGTCCACGTCTTCAGATACCTCCATCTTTCGGTATCTGGTACAGAGCCTGCAGGTACTGAATACGTATTTGCTACTTTTGTGTCACTTGTCCTTCTTTTCCTATCTTTTTAGATACCTGACAGACCAAACATTGTAACTCTATGGTCATGGACATCATTGTCTTGTCTGATTCCCTACCCTTTCTTAAAATCCACAATGTGGTTTTCGAGCTTCTAGAAACATAGAAAAGTGCTAAGGAAATTTGTTTCATCAGTGTTTTGAATGTAAATTATTTTTGTTTAAAAGTGTGAATATCGCTATGTTTTGTGGAGTTCTGAAAACCAAACCTGTATTGGAGAATAATAATAATAAAAAATAATAATGTGCTCTTGAACAGTGCATTTTATTTAAAAAGAGTTGAGTCCTTAATGCGTATTTATTGGTTATTTATTTAGTTTTTTAGATGGGGGTCAGGAGGAAAGTGTTATTTTAATTTTCTAGTTAAGAAAACTAACATTGATTTGCTGAAGGAGACAGCACTACACTAGAATGTAGGAAAAACTTATTCTCTAGTACTTTTCACCTGGCTCTCTGAATTGTGCAAAACAAGTGTGATGATGTGACCAAGGGGCCATCTATAGAGGTGAGAAGATGGTGATGGGGCACTCTCATGTGGTCTTCACACAGGGACATAGCTTGGGTGTCTTCCGCATTTTGGAACTAAAGCCTATAACTAAGAGAGCTCTGCTCTGAGACTCCCGTTGAGATACTTCACAGTGATAATGCCCCCAGAGATGGTGGTGCTCTGTTGGCAAATGTGGTCCTGGAGAGGCTTGGCAGTCAAGGGGCTGCAAGAAGAAAAAAGATAGCGAGAGATTCTCTTCACTTTTTTGTCACTTCCTTGCCCCACCAGATAGTTATCTGGTAACTTGCTCATCCTGTGCCTCCTCCCCTAAAACACCAGTTCTTAAAGGAATCGGGCTTTTCGTATTAATCCACTGGAAACCTACAAATCTGTACTACATGGTAGACTGTCTCTACCATTAGGGGGAGTAATACTGTGAGAATGGGTCCTTGATGAAGTAAGGAAATAGAAATGGAATACCAATGTGTTTGGTGGGAGATGGGAGGTGGGAATGAGCCAGGGGAAGTTTTCTCCCACCAAAAAGACACCACTCTTTATCAACATCTCTATTGGTATGTGTTTAAATTTGACCAGGATTCCCAAGTTACGGGAGGTAGGTTTTAATATTTAGCTATTTGGGGGTTCCCAGGAGTCGAAGGGCAGAAGGTAGAAGTAGAAGGGCCACTTTCACAAGCACTTAGTGAACCACTCTGTGAGCAAGGCATTATGCTGAGTGCTATGGTAGGATGATATAAGAAATATACACAGAGCCTGCCTTCAGAAAAAGCTCACCTTCCAGTAGGCGTGTCAGGGCATTCATGCTTGTGTCACTGAAGAATTGCATGTTTGTTTTGGATTACAAAATCATTGAGATGCAGAGATTTGGGATAAAACTCAATCTTTGTAGGCTAGTCTTAAAACATAACAGGAAAGTTCCTATGGGTATCACTAATCTAGGCAGAGCTTGCAGATTTTCAAACTAGGGGCTATTTTCTTAAAAGTCATAAAAATGCAGAAGATGTAAGTTGCTGCTTAGCATCAACGGCAAATGCAGAATTGCTATGTGTTTTCCAACCTTGACCCATCATAAACCATCCTGATGAAAATACTTTGAAGGAAAGAGTTCAGTGTTGTATATGAAGAAGGGAAATGGTAGGGAAAGAAATGAGATAGGAAAACAATGTTGTAAAGGACAAGTGAGATAGGAAATGGGATCTAAGACATGGTTAGACACAGATATAAAATTTTAAAAGTTTTGGTCATGAAAACACATTAAAAAAATTGCAACGCACTGGGAGTCCTCTTTCAGCTGTTTGCCACCCTTCCCACCCTCCAAAAAGACATCCATGGGGTATGCCACAGTGGCATTACACGCAACCCCTGGGAGTTGTCATGTATTCACAGCAGTGGGCATAATCATAATCTAGTTCAGGCCATGTCCCTGTAAGCGATGTGGATAATTGGTTTCACAGAGCTAAGCTTTGTCAGCATGGGTTATCCCAGATGGATGAGAAAATGCTCTAAACCTGGCAGGTGCTAGATGTTGAATCTCACAAACTTCATTTCACTTTATTAAGCTACTCCTATTTGTAGCACATTTTCTCAGTGATAAAGTTAAAAATATAAGTGGAAAAATAAACTGATCAAACTGACAGGAGGTAAAAGCTAAACTCTTGTGGCCTCTAGGGTGGGGAGAGCAGCCCCCTGGCCTGGAGGTGTTCCGCTGTTAATTTAAATGAGGTCAATTTTTTATTACACAAACAGGTTGGGAGATAATTTATTGGCAGGATTATGTTTATTAGTAAGCCATGGAAGTTGGAACTTCTGGTTTCTGAGGTGACAAAATGGGAAGACTCATTTTAGTATATAGTACGTTTCCAGAAGTCTTTGAGCTGACTGTATTAATAGACTCTTCAAAAATCTTTTAAGATACTTTTAACAATAATCTTTGCAAATTCAGGCAAACAAGGATTCTCTTTTAGAGATTACAAATGTCATCCCCAGCATCACCTGAATCATAAAATAAGGAGCCCAGTAGAATCTGAGGCTCTCATTATTAAATCATATCATATCAAATGTCATATCGTACCATCGTTATTGACCTGGAGAGGTCATGATGCTCAAATAAATAGAATTATTTGTAATTTACAAAGCACTTTCACACACTTGATCCTAATTGGTTATCAGATTCACCTAAAAACATTTCTGAGAGTATCTAGCAAGCTTTCTCTGCTCAGGAATTATCAGAAAATAACTTTACAGACACTGCAAAATGGAACTAAAATTTTCCACATAAGACATGCACCCCAGAGTATACTTTTCAGTATTCAGTTGATATCATTTTGGTGACAAACCAAAGTTCTCATACAATTATTTTAGCTACTATAAGATCGAAAATATTTGTTTGGCTTATTTATTCTGTGACAATGGGCCAAAACTGTTTCCCTGATTCATTTCCAGAGGAGTTTTTAGGGCATTTTGATTTACACTTTTTAGTAAGTTAGAGTAACTCTGATTTGATTGGATAGGTACATTAATCCCAATCTTATTATCTCAAAAAAATGACCTATATATTTCTAAATTCTCCCACAGCACCAGTGGGAAGCTGAAAACCATAATTACTTTTAAATTTGACATGAATCTGTTTTCTGAAACCATCTAAAAGTCACAGAAATAATGATAAAATAAATTTATTTTTTATATATTTGGAAAGTTACCAAATCGCTGGCTGTATGATTAACATTAGCCAGCTGTTTACCTCAATAAAAAAGGAGCAAACATATTTATCTTTATATCCTTTAATACATAAGATCATGTCTTTAATTTCACCCTTCTGTATTTGTGATGAAAACCCAGGGAGATATGAGAAATGCCAGATTTTGGCTGTAAAGAGCAAACCTGAATCTGTGATAATTCAAACACTGACTATCACATCGGCTCCAACCAGGTGGTCACCCCACGACAAACAAACCTGAACAAATATTTCCTTCAGTAAATATTTCCTGGTGATACAAGAGATCATGGGTCATAAATGTGGCTGCCTAATGTAAGGCATGCCAGATGGAGCCTTAAAAGGGTAACTATTATGATCTATTTATTATGTAAGAAAGGAGCTTTACTTTATTGGGTATACTTTTTTCTGGGCGTTACACACCATATTGCAAGTTGGACAATGGTTTCTGGGGGCCACATATTCATGTATCAGTCATTTGGAAAAAGACTTTACTGCTTTCAAACTCTTTCAAATTATAGAAGCTAGTTTGGTTTTTGATGCATAATTTTATGCCTCTCTGAGAGGGATGCTTGCTTGTTTGCGTGCTGTATGAAGAATAACAGGAATATGTTGTTCTTTACCATCAGTATGAACAATGGTTGCACAAATGTTTTTGGCTTTGTTTGGTATGTATTTAGAGCCATCTTCAGGAATTTTACAATGTCTCAGCTCCCTTTCCCAGTTCACACTAATATGTATGAGGCATTTTAGGACATTTGAAGGGTGAAATTCTAATTTTAGTTTTTTGTTTGTTTGTTTTTGGAAATGAAGCCCTCTGATGAACAAAAGGCTAAGCTCAAGGTAACTGTAATCCGATTTCCTGTGTCATTGAAACATCTGGCTCCTTGTGTGGCACATGGATTTGCTCATGCATTGTATTTTACTTTAAACAAATTCAGGTTGCTTTAAAAAATAGCTTACCATTCCATTCACATTATACAACTTTCAGTAGCACTTTTAAAGTAGTGGCAGAAAATATTCAAATCATTTATTTAAAGGGTCATATTGTGGAGTTGCTCCCCTAGTCCCAGAATAGGTCATTTTACGGATTGAAATTTCTAGCCTAGCCCACAACTGTTGTATCTTACATATCAACTCTAGGTCCAGTGGAATTTTCTTTTAAATAGGCAAGTAGAAAATACGTAAAATTTATTGAGTCACTATTTGTCTACTTTGTAACACATCCACTTTTTCTACTTTAGAAAGAAATGTGATCCATATGCTTTTTTTGTCTGGAGTGGTATTAAAACTCTAAATCTTACTACCTCTTAATGATCTTGTACCGATCCCACACACACATCTTTACCATTTTTACCTATATATTTTCAGTCCAGGGCTATTTTGCCAAATGTATCTGTTAACATGTAGAAAGAATCTTATTGTCATTACCAGTATTTCCTATGGTGACCATATTTCCTAAACCCTAAAATGGAGACACAACTTTTTTTTTCCAGTGGTTACTTCTCTATTAGACCCTCAGCAGTATTTGGCCCAGCTGGCCATTCCTTTCTGCTTTAAATACTTTCTCCTTTGGCTGCTTTCTCTCCAGATACTCTTAAGCCATCTCAATGACTCTGAATAGTTTCTACATAATGGGGGCTTCTAAATTTGTATCTCTCACCTCAATCTTGTGCTGAGCTCCATAATTATCTATTCAATTGCCTATTAGATCTTGTCACTTAACTGACCAATCAGCAAGTTGAATGACAGATTCTACATATGTATATTTTAGTCACCTACCTTTAACCTACTCCTCTCCTAGCCTTCTCTATCCTGGTAAAGAATATCACCATCCATGCCTTTTTTTTTTTTTTTTTTTTTTTGAGATGGAGTCTTGCTCCGTTGCCCAGGCTGGAGTGCAGTGGCGCGATCTCAGCTCACCACAACCTCTGTCTCCCGGGTTCAAGCGATTCCCCTGCCTCACCCTCCCAAGTAGCTGGGATTACAGGCACGTGCCACCACGCCCGGCTAATTTTTTGTATTTTAGTAGAGACGGGGTTTCACCATGTTGGCCAAGATGGTCTCGATCTCCTGACCTCGTGATCCACCCACCTCAGCCTCCCAAAGTGCTGGGATTACAGGCGTGAGCCACCGTGTCCGGCCACCATTTTTTAACCTTAACCGTAGAAGTCATCCCATCTCCAATCCAGTAAATGTTGTAGACTCTACACTTGTAACTATGCCTGCAACATGACAAACCTGACCACTTCTCTCTACTTGTTCCAAACTAGGACAAACCACCATTGCCTCTCTTCTAGAATACTGCAGTTGTCTCTTAACCGCTTTCCTCATTTCTGATCTTGCTGAGTTGGCCCAAATCCATTTTCCACTGAGTGGCATCACTTCCCTTCTTAAAGCCATTCAGTTAGTTAATTCTCATTATACATAAAACAAAACTCCATTTCCTTACGTCCTTACCCTGGCCTTCAAAGGCTTACTTAAGTGGCTCAGTCCTTTCTGCACATGGGGAACACCTAGAGAAATCAAATGTTGAAACTCTCTGATGAATAAATGACTAAGCTCAAGGCAACTGTAATTGGATTTCCTGTGTCACTGAAACATTTGGCCCTTTTTGTGGCACATGGATTAGTTCATGCAGTGTATTTTCTGTTAAACTGGTTAACGTTGCTTTAAAAATACCATTCTATTCACAGTACACAACTGTTAACAGAACTTTTAAAAGTAGTAGCAGAAAACATTCAGATCATTTATTTAAGGGGTCATTTTGTGGAGTTACTCCCCTAATCCTAAAAATTCTGAATTGATGGACTGGGGTGGGCCTAGGCTTTGGTATTTTTTTTTAAAGAGATCTGGAAGATGCAGTCAGAGTTACTATAGAAACATTGCCTACATGACTGGTTGACTGCCTACCTCCACATCCATGTCTCCTCTGATTCTTGCTTTCCTTCGTGGTATTTTAGCACACTAAGCCCATTCCTGCTTAGGGAATTTCTGCTCCAAATGTGTTCTCCTTAGATTTTCACAAGGCTGGCTCCTTCTTGTCATTTGTTTCTTGGCTCAATTGTCACCTCCACAGATAAGCCTTCCCTAATCACTAAATCTCAAGTAACTACCCATTAGTATCTGTGACACACTTGTTTTTTTCTTCCTAGCACTAGTTTTTTTCTGGTTCATTAATTTGTTCATTTCTAATCCTCCCTCTAGGATGTTAAGTTTGGTAAAAGCAGAAACCAACCCCAGTACTTAGAATCTGATAGGTTCTCACCAAATACTTGAATGAACACATAAATGTGGTATCCGTGTAATCATCAGAATACGAAAGGATATTTGAAATTGATGCTGTACTGGAAAATCCAGGACATTTTAGTTGCTTAACAAACAAGAACATTTAGAATTGTCTAGCTAGTCACAGGTTTCAAACCGTCATTCTTTGGTTTGAAGAGGGGAGAGGGAAAGGGTGTTATTGTTCATTTTTCTTAAACATTTCAACAACTTAAATTCTAAGATATTTAATCAGAAGGATAAAAAGAATTCCGGGACCTATGGTTTTATTGATAAGTGCTATTGATTCTTCACTATGCTATCTTCCATATGGCTGACATTATATAAAAGATCAAGGTAAGATACTTAACTGGGTAGGCTTGGATGTCTTATAAACACATGATTTAGCTTTCAGGCTATCAGTAGAGCTATCAGATTGTGGACGTCAGTGGTTTCCAACTCTAGTTGTACCATAGAACCCTCTAGGAAAATTTAAAAATATATATATGCCTGGATTCCACCACAGGATAATTAAAATAGAATATCTGAGTATGGGATCCTGGCATCAGTATTTTTTAAAGTTTTTTCCCTAGGCTGCCCAAGTACCATGCAACCAGTTTAAATGCCACTGACGGTCAATACAATTTGGCCTGGGGAGAAGGGGAAAATCTGTTAAATACATAAATACATTAATACAGGTAGAAAATATTCCTAACAAGAGAAATCTTTTGTTGATAATAAAGATGGTTAGTTTTTACCTTGAGACAAATTGATTTTTACTTCATCATCTTAGCTTACAAAGTCACAAATGCTATTAGTGGTCATAAAAAGTAAACACACAGCTTGGGAGGTGGGGAAAAATATTTTTAAAATGCTGATTAAGCCAGAGAAATGTGGGATGTGCAATCTACTGAGAGGCACAAAGGGGTTTTGTTAGCTTAACTATCTGGCTACAAGAAGGCATCCTGGAGCAAGGCGGAGACCAGACCTCAGGCCCAGAGCCCTACATTGGACACTCTGCTATTGCCAGCTCTGTGACCCTGGACAAACCACTGAGTTTCTCAGCCCCATTTACTGCTGCTAAATGGGATGAAGACATCCTTCCTCATTGGATTGCTATAGTAAACATGAACCATGTCTATAAAGCCCCAGGCAATCCTTGTGATTTTTCTCTTTCTCTCTCTGAACTGTAGGTACACTCACTGGTAGGATTGTGCCTGGCATATAATAAGTACTAAAGAAGTAGGCCTATTGTTACTAATAGATTTTTAACATGGACAAATCTTACTTCAAGCCCTAGAAGATATTATCTCAACATGTTACTTGAGGTCTTTTCTTTTCTTTACTTTGCAAAGGTGCTTGGATCAGTTTTGGGGCCTCTGGAACAGATAACCAAGCCAGAAAAATTGGAGAGTACTGGCTGCTCTCAAATGATTTTCAGTTGGCATTTCATGAAGAGAGGTGGCCTTTCAGTTTGAACTGATGAAGATGCTTCATCAAAGGGAACTCTGTATTTCACCAAGGAGGGCCTTCTAATCCAGTTAATTAATTGTGTTTCCTCTAAGGAGTAAGTGAAGCCTGGATCCAAGAGTTCTTTCTTTCTTTCTTTATTTTTTGAGACAGAGTCTCACCTGTGTCACCCAGGATAGAGTGCAGTGTCCTGATCATGGCTCACTGCAGCCTTGATCTATTAGGCTCAAACAATCCTCCTGCCTCAGCCTCCCAAGTGGCTGGGACCACAGGTATGCATCACCATGCTTGGCTAATTTTTTATTTTTTGTAGAGATAGGGTCTTGCTATATTGCTCAGGCCGGTCTCAAACTCCTGGCTTCAAGTGATCCACCTAACTTGGTCCCGCAAAGTGCTGGGATTATAGGTGTGAGCCACTGCACCCAGCCCCAAGCATTCTTTACAGCTGTTTGGCATCCCCATAGGATGCCAAAATGGGCTACTTGCAAAGGGTACATCCCTGTTTCTTAGAACTGTAGATCTCTCTTGTCTGAAGCTTAGAAAACTGCCTGAGTCTCTAACATCTTGCCTCATACTAATCACTCTGAACATTTCAGTCACATTTTAAGAATCTCTCCCTGTCAATGCTCTGAACATGCAAATCCTTGGGAAGAGTCATTTGCTGACTGTTTTTTCCCCAAGCCAGTCTGTTTATTCATGGAAATGCTCACATAGGTTGTTTTCTTCATTCTCATCATACAGTAAACACAAATTAAATAACATTAACAGATTTAGAATATGTTTGAATGAAAACCAACAGAGAAAGAGTATATGAAAGCATTCTGAACTTGATACTCCTCAGGAAAGACCAGTTTATTAAGACTTTTATGTCAGCTGGACATAGAGTAAGTATAAGAAAATCTTCTATACAAATTACACATACAAGCACATTTTATTTATCACTAGCAAATGAAAACTTTAAAAAGTATCTGTAAGGTGTTTTTCAAAGACCTGAAAAATTAGGATATTGTTAGAAATATAAGAGGTAGTAGGAGAAAAAAAACCACCCGTTCTCTCTGGGTCCTGCTTCCCTGCTGGCTGCTGTCACAGAACAATCCTCCCCTCGAGTGCCAAAGTTCTTAAAAACATATTCTTTCTCAAGGCCTGCATTTCCTCCTCCCATTACCCACTATAATCTGGCATCTGTCCCCACATTCTAACGACGCCACT
Organism: Homo sapiens; assembly: GCF_000001405.40. Taxonomy (NCBI): domain Eukaryota; kingdom Metazoa; phylum Chordata; class Mammalia; order Primates; family Hominidae; genus Homo; species Homo sapiens. The sequence goes on along the minus strand of NC_000008.11, from coordinate 72,790,486 downwards.
TCTGCAGTGTCATCAGTGACCTCCTACTTGTCAAATTCAGTGGACATTTAAAAAATCCTCACTTATCCTCTGTGGCATTGAGTCCTGTTACCCTGTTGAATTCTCTTGACTTCCAGAATGCCACTCTGCCCTGGTTCTCTCCTGTGTCTCTGACTCCCCTGGTTAGTGTCTCTTCATTTACTCGAGTTCCTCTGGGTGCTGACCTTAGCAGGGTTCTCTTTCCCAAGCTGCTCTCCTGGGGTCTTTCATTTACTACCTTGACTTGAGGTCAAGGCCTATGGATAATTGGTTCCAAATCACCACTTCCAGCCCTGACTTCTTTCCCTGGGCTTCCAGAATTGCATTTAGTGTTGTCTTACAGCAACATTTACTTATATATCACACAAGCAACTGAGAGTATCTAAATGGAATTCTTTCATCCACTCTGAACCCACTTCTCCTATTTCCCCTCTATTGCTTCTGAGCATCATATTTCACCCAATTCTTTGAACTAGGAACCTGGGAGTCAGTCTCACCTTCTCACTCAATTCATTTCTCATCTCTAATTAACTGCAAACTACTGGCAAATCTCTTTCTTAAGTATATCTTTTCAACATTCTCCTCCCCAGTTCTACTCCCATTTCCTGAATTCAGATTAATATCACCTCCTGCTTGGCCTACTATAGTGGTGAACTGGTATTCTTCTTTCTAATATGGTGCAACTTTCTGATATACTGCCCTCTCCATGCCAGAATACCCCGTTAGGGCACCCATCAGAGTGCCCTAACAAAATACAAAACTTATTTCATTTTATGTTTCTCTCCTGCTCAAAAAACTCCAGGGTCCCCTGATGTCTTGAGGATAAAGCATGGTCCTCTCTGTGTTCTTGATCTCACACAGGGCCATTCCCTGATATAAGTCCTACTCTCCATGCCTGAGTAAGCTGTGTTCCTTCACGGCTTTGTCTTCCTGCATGCCTGCCTCCCCCTTCTCTACCTGGTCAACTTCTCTTCATCCTTCAACAGCCAGCTCAACAGTAATGTCTTCTGTTAGATCTTCCATGGTTCAAAAAGATTTAGATAATCTTTTGTGCTCCCAGAGCAGGGAGACAGTGGAGACTGTGGTTATGAAAATGCACTCAAGAATTGGACACAACTGAATTCTCACCTAAGGTCTATTGCTTTTCAATTATGAGCCGTTGAACAAGACACCTAGTCTCTCTAATCCCATAAAATGTTGTTAATAACAGTATTTAACTCAATATTATTGCAAACATTAGATGAGATGGTGAATATAAAGCATGTGCCATGGTAACTGGGATATCATAGTGAGCACCCAACAAGTGATAGCTATTATTACATTTTCATGGCATTTAAATTTGCAACTGTGTACTATGTTTCTGGCTCGTCACAATTACTTCTTTACATGTCTCCCTTTCCCAGTGGCCTGTGAGTCATTTAAGGTCATGTTCTAGAAACTATTTCTTTTGTACCCATAGTGTCTGGCACATGGTAGGTAATCAATACATTTTTAATGAACAAATGGAAGAATCAATAAAGATAAAACCAAGGAGAATAAGCTTGTTTTTGCTCCTTGGAATTTACCTTACCCTTTCCAGAAATTTCAGACTAGTTATTGTATTAAGCAGTGTTATGTTAGTCCTTTATACATCCTTTGAAGCAAGTAGATGATGGGCTCATCTATAATTAGATTTAATGTGTGTATCTAAGAAAGAAGGAAATTACGTAATTATTGCAATTTCATATAGTGAATGGTAGATTTAAGTATGGAGTTCAGGTTCTCTAATTCTCTTCAATTTGGATCACTGTGGACTGAAACTTGTCCTCTTTTTGGAGAGAACTCTTTGGAGTTCATCCTTCATGACGGGTCATTTCTGCTTCCCAAGGCTACTCTACTTTTTATAAGTAGAGTATAAATGTACTAGTGTTTGAACCAACTTGAGTCTCCCCAAAAATAATATGTTGAAGCCCTAATGTGACTATACTGGAAAAATGGCCTTTCAGGGGGTAATTAGGTGAAATGGAGTCATGAAGCTGGGCCCTAATCCGATAGGACTGCTGCTCTTGTAAGAAGAAGAGACCCCAGGACTCCTTTTCTTTATGTGCGCACAAAGAAAATGCCTTATGAGGACAGAATGAGAAGACATCATCTGCAAACTGAGGAGAAACACTTCACTAGAAACCAATCCTGCTGGTACCTTGATTTTGGACTTCCACCCTCCAGAATTGTGAGAAAATTAGCTTCTGTTGTTTAAACCACTCAGTTTGTGGTATTTTGTTATGCAGGCCAAAGAGACCAATGCACCTGGGTTACAATTTTCGCTATAAAATATCTAAATTGATATTGTTTATTACGAGTTTACTGTGTTGTCAGAGATGAACAGAATGCCAAGTCCTTAATATGAATGATCTTATTTAATCCTCTTTACAAACTTAAGAAGTAGATATATTACCATCATCATTTCACAAATAGTGACATAGAAAATCAGAGTAGTTAAGCAGCTTGCCTAAAGTCACAAACAGTAAGAAGCACCAGATCTGGATGTCTGTCTACAGAGCCTATGTATTCAACCACCTTGCTATGCAGGAAAGCTGACTTATCTGACATGAGTGAAAATAGTAGTAATTAAAGCAAAAATTGGTTAAAGTGAGAAAATCAGTAAAAAACATAATACATAATTTAAAAATGTCATTTTAATGTAAAATGCATAAAAGACATTCATTTGCCAATATTTTACTGGGGTGGGGGTTAGGGAAGAGGCAAGGCAACTCTCATTTCTTTGATATAGACAGTTAGAATTCTGCATTATCTTTCTTCCAAAACTTTACTCTGAAATCTACCATTTCCAATCTCCAGTTGTAATTCCTTCAAAGTGAAAAGAGTCCTTAAAGACCCTTGCTAAGCAATTTGTGTGAAGATCTGTCTGGAGTTTTATACTCTTCCTCTCCCCAATCTTTTAAAACTGCCATACTTATACTAATTAAAAAGAAAAAAAAAATTCAGCCACACACTCTTCCTGAATATCTTTAAAGCACTCACTTTAGCTTACATAAAAGCAAAAAAAAAATTCAGATGTATTTATTTATTTTAGAGACAGAGTCCTGCTCTGTTGCCCTGGCTGGAGCACAGTGGCATGATCAAGGCTTACTTCAGCTTCAAACTCCTGGGCTCAAGCCATCCTCCCAGCTCAGCCCCACCCCAAGTATCTAGTACAGGTGTGTTCCACCATGGGTAGCTAAGTGAAAAAAAAAAATTATAGAGACGGGATCTTTCTATGTTGCCCAGGCTTACCCATTCATTTAAATGTCATATTTGAGGTTTTCATCTCAGTGTTTTCATGGAGTGTTTCCTGTTCTTAGGCAAAGTGCTTATCATTTCACAGTTTACTCCCTGTGTCAGGGGAAAGGTAGACTCATTTTCTAACTAGAATCAGAGGCAAAAATGATGAGTACTTTATCAGTAGCATAGTCAGCAAATGATTGGTGGGGAAAGTACTAGCATGAAGCAATGAAATAAGAGCTCTAGGCATTGATTTATTGTCACTTTCATTTGTGAATTTATATCAAATTTGATATCCCTGAGCCCTGGGAGTGTTACTCTGCAGACATAATGAGAAGAAAATGGAAAATGAGATGTCTGTTCTTCCTTAAGAGTCTCTTTTTCCAATGATTATTATTCTCACCCATTTTTATTACAGTGCCTTTAAAGACTGTTTTTACTTTGAGATAGACATCATCAGTTTGAAATATTCAGAATTAAGCAAATCAGAAGATATCCTCAAGTTCTCCTGGCCCTGAAGATGATTAACCGAATTGTCTGATCATGTAAAATAATCTGTCCAATGAATCAAACAGAGAAGTATTGAGATAGCAATGCTCCAGTGATAATTCACAGCCTCAGAGCTGAACCCCAGCTGAATTTACCTAGTTGTAAAGGAAGAGGAGAAAATATCCCATGGAAAATCCTGCAGTTCCAGAAACCAATCTCATATTGCAGTCTTACAAAGTACTTTAGGATGGTTGTTTGAAAATCAAATACACAGACAAGGGAGAATAAAGTATAAAGAATAAAGCATTGGGTAGATTCTTAAACATGGGTACTCTTCCTGAGAGCATTTCAAATTCACCGAACAACCTTTGCTGGGCCATTTATCATATATTGCTCATGCTAAGATTGTGGCTAATAAGAGATTTGTCATAAAATGCCTAAAGGATTACGGGTATTCATGAGCAAAATGTGCTCTGGGTCTCATCAGAAATGAGTGCACATATATTAAATAATACGGCTAGGTCAAATTATACTGTAAAGTTATTTTTGTGCTTGTAGGATTTGACATGAAAAGCTAGTATAATTTATAATTTTATAAACAGATAAGCAGTGAGCATACTAAATGTGAAAATGCGAGTGAAGTCTTTTTGCTTTTTTTTTTTTTCGTTTTTGGGTTTTTTCTCCCTTCACATTTAATTATAAACAACTTTATTTTTGCAGAGAACTATTGACCTTTCTGTGTCTTCAAGTCACATTTCAATATGGAAATAGTTATGAATTTAAAAATGGAATTGGCCTTTTCAGTATGCTGGTTATGGGGAAATATATCATTAAATATGAAACCCATGATGTGTCTCATTCAGCACCTAAACCAGTGATTGATACACAGCAGGCACTCAGTAGTTACTGAATGAAGGAATCTCATCTTCTACATTTAGTTCCTGAATCTATTTAAACCATTGCCAAAGGAAAAACGGATTTATGGAGACAAAGTTACTTTGCTTGAGAAGACAATATACCAGAAATTTTAGAAATACACTAACAAAACAAATGACTTATTATTCATAGTAGATATCTCCAATCATATAAAACAGGATGTCAAAAAAAAATCCCTGATTAAATGGTATCATCTCTCTTAGGGCAAAACAACTTGTTTCAATTAAAGAGCATTATTAAATCCCTGTCATTTTTCTTTCTGATTTTATCTGAATTGCTAACTTGATTAACTTTATTTTCTTTCCAGAGAGTGAAAGAACCATAGCAGAGTGTATTTTATTATTTCCTCAATGGCTCTCATCACTCCCAAGGATGAACTTGACAGTCCTAGGGAAATATAAGAAATGGATAACACAAACGTAGGCAATTCCCAATTATTCAGGAGCTTATTTGGGTTGTTTATAATTGCTTTTTTCCCTGCCTTTCTCTCATATTTTGTTAGGAAGACAAATGTACAGAAGTTAAACTCATATCAATTTAATTCCTTATTGGTTAGCAGCTTTGATCCAATGTTTGGTGTAATTAATTTCTAAAATGGGGTTTGTGGATTATTTGTGGATTTAGGTTATCCCTAGCAACCACTCAAATTATCTACTCAAATTATTTTTAAAATTATAGCAGCAAGCCACATTCCCTTTATGTTGAAAATAATTTAAATTGAGACATTAGATTATAAAGGTGTTATTTTTAAAAAATCTGAAAGTCTAAATAATTATTAGTAATGAAATGTGGACTAAAATATTAATGGCTGCCATCTGTAGAACACACAATACAACTTGGCAACATAGTCAACTATAGTCAGAAGTTTAAGGTTCCTTTCTCCTTCAACAAACTTTTATTGTGCAGGGGATGAGGGGCAAGCTCAGGGCTGGGAAAATAAAGACGAATAGTCCCTGGCCTTCAGTAGATCCCTGTCTCCTGGAAGAGCCCAGTGATATGGTTTGGCTGTGTCCCCACCCAAAATCTCATATTGAATTGTAGTCCAAATTATAATCCCCATGTGTTGGGAGTGGGACCTCATGTGAGGTGATTAGATCATGAAGGCAGTTCTCCCATGCTGTTCTCGTAATAGTGAGTGCTCATGAGATCTGATGGGTTTATAAGGGACTTTACTCCCTTTGCTCTGCACTTCTTCCTGCCATCATGTGAAGAAGGACATGTTTGCTTCCCCTTCCATCATGATGGTAAGTTTCCTGCGGCCTCCCCAGCCATGTGGAACTGTGAGTCAATTAAACCTCTTTCCTTTAAAATTACTCAGTCTCAGGAAGTTCTTTATAGCAGAGTGAGAATAGACTAACACACCCAGCAACCAAACAAATAATGATACAACATTGTGATAAGAGAAGTAAGCCAGACACAGAAAGACAAATACTGTCTGATCTCACTTTGGAATCCAAAAAGGTCAAGCTTACAGAAGCAGAGAGTAGAATGGTGGTTACCAGAGGTTGAGTAGGGGGTTGTGGGTGGTGGTTGGGGAGCTGCTGATCAAAAGATACAAAGGTTTAGTTATAAGATGAAGAAGTTCTGGGGATATGATACATAGCATGAGTGGTGATGGATATTTAGGTGGTAATCATTACACAATGTATATATATAATATATCCAATCATCCCATTGTATATCTTGAATATATTAAATATTTCCCAATTAAATATTTTAAAACACAGTGGTAGAGATTGCAGGGAGCATGATAATATTAGAATATTCGCTTAGAACTGGTTATGTATCCAGCCTGAGGAGGTTGGATATCCTAAATGGCAAGGCAGCTGGACTGGTTTTAAAGGATGATAGGATTTAACCAGAAAACAACAAACAGCCTTTCAGGTAAAGAAAAGCATAGGAATGAGGTCATGGAATCATGAATATCAGGGCATGTTCACAGAAGCAGGAGCTTGTTTCCATTCTTGTGTGACTAGATGTAAGTTTTATAAAAACTTGGATCATAATTTCTCATTCATCCAAATGGCTACGTGCCTGGTGTACGCAGGAAACAAAAGGCAGGTCCCTGGTCCCATGGAGGTTACATTTAGTGGATGACAGCAAGCAAGCAAACAAGTAAGTGACTTCTGATAGTGATGGATTCTGTGAAGAAGACAAAACAGTTAATGGGATAGAGATGAAGATTTGTGGGGAGGATGGGCATCTTCAGATAGTGGCTCAGCAACAGCCTCTTTGACAAGGTGACATTGAATTGTACCCTGAGCATCCAAAGACTCAGGAAGGGATTTATAAGCAGAGGGACCGGCAATTGCAAAGGCTTTGAGATAAGAGAAACCTGCATACTCAAGGGCCTGAGAGATTAGCAGTTTGAAGAACAGAGAGAAGAGGCGAGAAGCAGCATGAAAAAAGTCTGGAGAGAGGGAACCTGAGGTCAGTCTTGCAAGACCTTGTAGCCTGGGGTAAGGGGTTAAATTTCACAGGAAGTCACTGTAAGGACATGACTTGACTTATGCTCTAAAAAGATCACCATGGCTATTATGTAAGGAATAAATTACAGGGAAGGGGTTGAAAGTAGAAGTTGGAACCCCTTGAAGAAGCTAGAAATAATGGTGGGTTGACTATTTTCTTGTGAAGTGGAAACAAAAGGATTCCCATAAGGTATCTGTAAAGTTCTTAGAACTATTGCAGTGAACAGTTCTGTAAAACAGAAGATTGGATGTATCTATAATGTAGAGTAGATTGAAGCATCAGATGGTGTTGCAGAAGGTAAACTTTAAAGTTACTTACAACTCTAATTAGCTCTGAATCCATGACCATTCTTATGAATAGTAAAAGCAATCTCTCTCTTATATTATAATGGTAACAATTGCTTGAAAGGTTCTTAAACTAAAGCTTGTAGTATAATCAAATGCAGAAAAAGAAAAAGAAAAAAGGCCCAGAGGGAGAAAAACTTAATAGTTAAATACTGTCCTCAAAAACTCTGCCAAGGTCAACAGAAATTTTTCAAAATGGAATTGAACTTCAAGTTGAACTTCACTCACAGCCAGCGAGACAAATATTGGGAAAATTATTTGAGGGAAGTGGGTCTTACACAGGAGTTATTCAGAAAAAGTGGATGGAAAGAGCCACTTAGAATGGATAGCTTAGAAGGATGGGGGTCTCATAAAAGCAGTGGGTCATAACAAGGAGCTCCAGGCTTGGGGTCTTCTCAGATGTTTTAATAATCAAAATGAAGCAATAAGGCATTCCTTGAACACTGTTGTTGTGTCAAACCTCTATTAACCTCAGTAGGTAAGGCACCAAGTTCAAGAGGCCAAAGAAGAGACCCAGAGCCAGCAAACGAGACATGGGATTTTATTAGGGGGTTTCATAGAGGGGAGAGAGTCGTGGTGGCGAAGGGGATTCTCTAGCTCGGAACACACATTCAGATGTGTCTGCCGTCTCAGGATATGCTTGTTATTGCTATCAGGTGCGTTTACCCTACAATTTTTCCCTATATCTAAGCAACTCTAAATGATTAAGTGGACTTCCCTGGAATTCTTAGTAACACTATATGAGGAATAGACATCTTGGGAGTAAGTATAATAAAAACTTCATGACATCTCACACCAACATGCTGTTTGGAAAGGGTGGCCTTTCATTTTTTAAATTTTTTAAATTTAATTTTATTTTAAGTTCCAGGATACATGTGCAGGATGTGCATGTTTGTTACATAGGTAAATGTGTGCCATGGTGGTTTGCTGCACCTATCAACCCATCAACTAGGTATCAAGCCCTGCATGGATTAGATATTTATCCTGATGCTCTCCCTCTCCCCAGCTGCCACAGATTCCAGGGTATGTTGTTCCCCTCCCTATGACCCTGTGTTCTCATTTTTCAGCTCCCACTTATAAGCGAGAACATGCAGTGTTTTGTTTTCTGTTCATGTGTTAGTTTGCTGTGGATAATGGCTTCAAGCTCTATCCAGGTCCCTGCAAAGGACATGATCTCATTCCTTTTTATGGCTGCATAGTATTCCATGCTACCATTGACATTCATCACAAAATTAGAAAAAACTACTTTAAAATTCATATGGAACCAAATAAGAGTCCATATAGCCAAGACAATCCTAAACAAAAAGAACAACACTGGAGGCATCACTCTACCAGACTTCAAACTATACTACAAGGCTACAGTAACCAAAACAGCATGGTACTGGTACAAAAACAGACACATAGACCTATGGAACAGAATAGAGATCTCAGAAATAAGACTGCACACCCACAACTATCTTATCTTTGACAAAACTGACAAAAGCAATGTGGAAAGGATTCCCTATTTAATAAATGGTGCTGGGAGAACTGGTTAGCCATAAGCAGAAAATTGAAACTGGACCCCTTCCTTATACCTTACACAAAAATAAACTCAAGATAAATTAAAGACTTCAGTGTGAAACCCAAAACTTTAAAAACCCTAGAATAAAATCTAGGCAATACATTCAGGACATAGGCACGGGCAAAGATTTCATGACAAAAACATCAAAAGCAATTGCAACAAAAGCTAAAATTGACAAATGGGATCTAATTAAACTAAAGAGCTCCTGCACAGCAAAAGAAACTATCATCAGAGTGAAGAGACAACCTACAGAATGGGAGAAAATTTTTGCATTCTATCCATCTGACAAAGGTCTAATATCTAGAATCTACAAGCAACTTAAATTTAGAAGAAAAAAACAACCCCATCAAAAGTGGGCAAATGACATGAACAGATACTTCTCAAAAGAAGACAATTGTGCAGCCAACAAACATATGAAAAAAAGCTCAGCATCACTGATCATTAGAGAAATGCAAATCAAAACCACAATGAGATACCATCTGACTTCAGTCAGAATGATGATTATTAAAAAAATCAAGAAACATCAGATGCTGGTGAGGCTGTTGAGAAATAGGAATGCTTTTACACTGTTGGTAGGAATGTAAATTAGTTCAACCATTGTGGAAGACAGTGTGGAGATTCCTCAAAGACCTAGAACCAGAAATATCATTTAACCCAGCAATCCCATTACTGGATATATACCCAAAGGAATATAAATCATTCTGTTATAAAGATACATGCACACATATGTTCATTGCAGCATCAATCACAATAGCAAAGACATAGAATCAATCGAAGTGCCCATCAATGATAGACTAGATAAAGAAAAGAGTGGACTTTCAATGTGATTTAAGCACAATATTAATCATTAAGAAACTTTGGACTGAAGGAAAAAAAATAAGAATTTGTTAATGATTTGAGATTTATGCAATTAACTCATACTTAGGAACAGACTTAAAATCTGGTTCCAAGTTTGGAAAGCTCTCTGATCTTGAATACTTTGTTTTTCAGATCTCTTTCTACATGACAATATTAAAATTTTTTCAATAGCTAAATGATATTTGCACTTATTTGATAGAGGAAATAGAAGAGGAATAATGCAAAGTGAAGTGGAAAGCATATATTAACCATATAATTTAAGATAAAATGATTTCAAGATCACATTCTTGCAGATATCTTGGTCTTCATTTGTTAAATTGGCCTCAGATATTCAGTTGTTTCCAAGCACAGAGACAGTCGTAAGTTATACATAAAGTAAAAGTGTCTGGGCTAAGAGGGCAGCGTAAAGTATTTGGCTCTTAGCTCTGAGTGTGAACCACTAGATTCCACTTACAGCTTTGAACATTATTAAATAACACTTTAGACATAGAGGCTTTGATTTATAGTGAAAAGGCAGCTTTGCAGGACAGCTTTATCGGGAGCAACCACCCAGAATAAATGGAGAGGTCTATTCCATCACCCAAGCACTGTCCATGGTGATTGGAAGACAGGTGCTAGATAAATCTCAGTAACATTGTCAAACTAAAGGAATAATCCTGAAACGCAGTGGTGGATATTGAATACCGAGTCACTGGGAAGCAGCAGTCATTTTTATACAGCTCTCATTATTCAGTTTTGTGCTGAGCTGAGAATAATATTCAGCTGACTTACCCTCAATATCATTCAATCGCCACAGTTTTACATGTACTGACCTGGCACCTTTTCCTCATTTATCAGTAATTTTCTATTCTAAAATTGACAAGTTGCTTTAAAAAAGAAGAGCTCTAGCCAGACGGTAAGATTTTCAGAGCCATAAAACTCACTAATTGAGTTTTGCAATAATTCCAGAAATGGGAAAATGAAAATTAATAGGATCAGAATTGAAGAACCATGTCAGATATATTTTAAACTTTTCTTTTCATGTCCTCACTGGTGAACTCAGGTTCTAAGTAGTTTTCAGCTGGCTGGGGAGATTTCTGGCAGGAAGGCATCTGGTTTTAATTCAGCCTGAAGTATAAAGATGCCAGCCTGCCTGGACATTCTGCCCAAGAAATAGGAATATTCTGTGTTGAAGCTGTCCTGCATGCAAATATTTGGGTGGCTGCAGTTTTATCCTTTGTTGCTATGGTCAGCACTAGGTGAAATTGAAGAGAGACCAATGCCTTCCTTTAATGGAGGCAAAAACGACTGCACCATAGGATAGAGAAGTGAAAGAAACGCTGCACTATCCTTTGGCTTTGCAGGCTGAGGATGCAGTCCAGCTTTCTCTTCTCGAGTCTCTCATGCCAAAGCCTTGATCGGCATCTACTCAGAAAGTGACAGACTAAGCTGTGACTGAGCCACAGGTCAGGAGGGCACTGGCTCCTTTCCAGCAGTTTGTGTACTTGCTGTGACTGGGGCACAGGGAATCACCACAGAGCTCAGCAATCCAACAACTTCCAATTGGCTGCCTAGGTGCGACCTGGCTTCTTACCACCACCTGCTCTGCAGGTAGCACTGGCAGCTATGTTTAAAAGAGAACACGCCAGCCAAATGCTATACTTGGCTTTCCAAGTGACCCAGCAGGAAATGAGGCTACGAGGTTGTGTTGGGATATAATATATGACTCTGATATCTCGAACTTTATTTAATTGGAAAGAATTCTTTCTTTTTCTTTTTCTTTTCTTTTCTTTTTCTTTCTTTCTTTCTTTTTTTTTTTTTTTTTTTTTTTTTTTTTTGCTCGCTCTGTGGCCCAGGCTGGAATGCAGTGGTGCAGTGGTGTGATCACAGCTTACTGCAGCCTTGACCTCCTGGGCTCAAGTGATCTTCCTGTCTCAGCCTCCTTAGTAGCTGGGACTATAGGTGCATGCCATCACACCCAGTAAATTTTATTCTTTGTAGAGACCGGGTTTCTCCATGTTTCCCAGGCTGGTCTCAAACTCCTGGGCTCAAGCAATCTGCCTGCTTGAACCTCCCAAAGGGCTGGGATTACAGATGTGAGCCACCGTGCCTGGCCCAGAAAAATTTCTAGAGAAAGGAGACATGGAATCATTTGAGCCACCTTTTAATATTCCCCCAATAAAGAGGTGTATCTTCTTCCCCTCCCTCAAGGAAGGTGAGGTAACTGCTGCACCGAAAGGATTGGTAGGAAGCCAGGGGCCAATGGAAATAACTTTCTTTTCATAAATCCTCATTTTCCAGGGTAGTAAAAACAATAATACCTCTGTGTGAAAACTCACTCTTTGTTTCCATAATTAGAAATCTAAGCTGCAGAACTGTTGGCTGGAAAGGAGAGAGTATTAATTATAAATATCACACAGCAAGTGATGGTAGTGTTATATGGTCCACCCACAGGAGCTATTAACTCTCATGGATGCTATTTTAGACAATTCATTTTTAGTCTAACATTAGTTTATAACAAAACATGGAAACAGCAGCACCTCTAATATCCCATGCTAAAGAAAAGACGGGAAGAAAGGCTGACTTTAAGAAAGCTAAACAGGCTGTCTGGAATAATGGGACAGATAGTATAGGAGAAAACTTCAAATGAAAATCCAGTACTGGATTTTTCCTCAGAAGCAGTAACAAATTGCATGCTCTATAGCAAAGCAAGAAATGTATAAATTCCAAAAACATTATACCAGCCAACTTTTTTGAAGAGTGATATATATGTTTCTTGTCTTAAAAATGGTAGAATGTCCTGTATTATACTACTTCCTCTTTCTCTCCAATGACCACTAAACCTGAGTGTAAGAAGTAAATTAGGTATTTTAAGCATACTGACACAAACACAATTTTTAAAGAGTATATTTAGTAATATAACCATATTGCACATTCATTTATCACTTTGTAAACATCTGGGATTCTGGAAATTCTTAGAAAAAACATGGTGGCAACAATTAACTGGGACAATACTTTTTCTCACACCAAGTTTATAAACCAAGAACTGGAGACCAAATGAGAGTGATTTTTCTAAGGCACATTGAACCCTTAGGCCCCTGACTTCCTGTGGTAGGGGTTACCTTGGATGACCTGGCCTGCTGAGACACTATTCAGTCCTCTCACAGTCTCTATCATTTCTAAATTGGAAGAGCTTCAAGAAAACGTCATCACCCCCATACCTAACAAACCTAAGGGTCTTGTCCTCTCATCTGCCAAGTGCCACATCATACTGGTTCATGAAATGTCTTAGTAGCACTTACAAATATGCAAGGCTAAGATCACAACAAATTGACAATATTATTCACCAGTCTGTTGATCTTTATGTTTAGATAGCACTATTTCACCTCTAGACACTTGATTCATTGGTATATCAGTACACTACAAAAAGAGGAAGAGAGAAGATACTGCTTAAATTAAGTCACATGAGAATTTTTAAAGTCTTGGTGCAATGTGGATTAAATTAAATAAAGAAATTCATCTTCTTTGCTTTAAGATGATGCCTACATTTCCTGTGTATTTTCTGGGGGACTATTCCATTTAAATCATCATATAGCACTAGATAAAAGAATACAGTAATGAATCATAAAGTCCTAGAATGTCAAACTGGAAGGAACCTCAAAAGTCATTGAACCCTCTCATTTTCCAATCAAAGGTGGAGAGCTTAGGTCCAACGTTGCTCAGCTGATTCAGCAGGCAGCAAGGTCTCCTCTCTCCCTAAAGACCTTTGCTCCGGAGATGGTCAAGGAGATGCCACAACCTACAACTAACTGATTCACAGCACCTGGATACTGCATGCCGATCTCCGAACGTGTGTGTCATAACCGTCACCCTACACCCTTTTCTTGGCCATGTTAAAGATTCATCTGCCTCAGGCCTAGCCCTCAAGTCCCTACCCCACATATGTGTGTAAAGGAGACTTGTTAGCAGCAATCATAGAAACACAAATAAGATGCTGTGAACAAGAAATCCCACACTGAAAGCGCCAAAAATACTCACCAGCAGAGTTGATAGCATCCTCTTGAGATCCCAATGCCCACACAAACCAAACATATGTAAATTAGAACAGGAGGATAAATAAAGAGCAATGTGTTTTTAAAAACACAGGAAATAATCAAATGATTTTTTAAAAATTATACTTTAAGTTCTAGGGTACATGTGCACAATGTGCAGGTTTGTTACATATGTATACATGTGCCACGTTGGTGTGCTGCACCCATTAACTCATCATTTACACTAGGTATATCTCCTAATGCTATCCCTCCTCCCTCCCCCCACCCCACGACAGGCCCTGGTGTGTGATATTCCCCTTCCTGTGTCCAAGTGTTCTCATTGTTCAATTCCCACCTATGAGTGAGAACATGCGGTGTTTGGTTTTTTGTCCCTGCGATAGTTTGCTGAGAATGATGGTTTCCAGCTTCATCCATGTCCCTACAAAGGACATAAACTCATCCTTTTTTATGGCTGCATAGTATTCCATGGTGTATATGTGCCACATTTTCTTAATCCAGTCTATCACTGATGGACATTTAGGTTGGTTCCAAGTCTTTGCTATTGTGAATAGTGCCGCAATGAACATATGTGTGCATGTGTCTTCATAGCAGCATGATTTATAATCGTTTGGGTATATACCCAGTAATGGGATGGCTGGGTCAAATGGTATTTCCAGTTCTAGATCCTTGAGGAATCACCACACTGTCTTCCACAATGGTTATGATTTTTAAAGAAAGGCACAGCCTAAGATTTTGTAACCCAAAAATGTGGCCTACCTGGCTATTCTTACCTGTGGGTCATTTTTTTTTTTTTTTAAAGCTCATTCATATAGCCACTTAATCTCCCCTGTTTATAATAGAAGGCTGGAAGGGGGGAGGGTCAGGAGGCAAAGTGCTTCTCTGCTGTTGCTCCAAGGCTGAGGGGTGTTGCCATTGGATTGTTTACTGTGAGTCACGAAGTCAAGTCACGCATCTGTGTTTTTAAAATATATATTTACTTAAAGGGAGAATACAGAACACGCTTTTAAAAAATACGCGCACACATCTTATTATTGAAGGGAACGCCACAGTTCCTCTTAGGTCAAACTGTTCTCTATTCTGAAGGAATTCCTTGGGCCTTCTCATTCTGCGATGTTCTAACAGGGCTCAAAATTGGCAGCCTGGGTCCACAATCTGGCCGCAGATGGCTTTGCTCTGCAGGCACAGTATTTTTAAAAATTAGAATGTCAGTGTTGCTTGACTTTACCTGCTCTTTCTCCTTCTCTTTGGGGTCCACCACCACCTCCAGATGTGGGCTGGGCTAGCCCCTGGGTGGTTGGGTTTTTCAGTCACTGTCTGTTCCAGGGAAGGACTGCAGGCTGTGGAAGGCCCTGACCGGAAGGGCAGAGCTGGTCTCACTGTCCTTCCTCTGCCTCAGAGGCCATGGGAGGGGGAAGGTGAGGAGCTAGTGAGGTGTGGTCTGTGTCAAGAATTCCTTTGGTGTTGGCATCAGGGATGAGCTGTGACTTCTCTGGTCCCTTGACACCTCTCTCACATCCTGATCTCAGCTGCTTAAATGCTTCTTACCTGGCCAATTGTTAATGGGCTGCTCTCCTTTCTCTTTGTAATGCAAACCGGGTTGGGTTGCTGTCTGTCTCTGGAGCCCAGGAGATTTCATTCCTGAGCTACACGGATAAAGAATTCTAGCAGGTCTCTAAATAGGAGGCACTGGAATTAATACTAGATCCTCACATTATTTTATTTGTAGTTACTGATCTAAACATATTGCAGTGTATATAACTCAGGGTAATATAAATTTATAGTAGGACATGAGAATTCTTATTTATGTTTTGATCAATATAATTTTTATATATGTAAATTTTATATATGTGTATATATAATTAAGATGACAGGGCTGGGTGCGGTGGTTCATGCCTGTAATCCCAGCACTTTGGGAGGCCAAGGTGGGGGATCACTTGAGATCAGGAGGTTGAGACCAGTCTGGCCAACATGTGGAAACTCCGTCTCTACTAAAAATACAAAAATTAGCCAGGCGTAGTGGCACACACTTGTAATCCAGCTACTCAGGAGGCTGAGGCAGGAGAACTGCTTGAACCTGGGAGGCGGAGTTTGCAGTGAGCCGAGATTGCGCCACTGCACTCCAGCCTGGGTGACAAAGGAAGACTCTGTCTCAAAAAATAATAATAATAATTAAGATGACAGAAGATGACAAAATATTTTTAAAAGGGTGGGAAGTAAAACTGTAGAAATATTCTCCTTTGGTTCATTTATAAGAAAAATGGGCAGAATGGTATAATCAGGATGGTTCAGACTCTGAAGTCAGGTTGCCTGGGCTTCAATACTTGGCTAGCATTTAAGCCACCCACTAACCCCATGACTCATCATAGGCAAGTTACTTTCTGTGCCTCAGTTTCCTTATTATACAATGGGGTTAATAACAGTAACAATCTCAAAGGGTTATAATGGATTTAATGAGAAATGCATGTAAAAGCCCTTGGTCCAGTAGCATATAATAAGCCCTTGATATTTTAAAATTATTGTTATTATTGTTACTATGTAGTATAATTAATAACTTGACTTGAATGATACTCTTTTTAAGAATCTGAGTTCACAGGACTTTCACTCTAGGTTCTTGAATTTCTCACTAATTATTATATCTCATATCAACCACAGCTCAGACCTTACAATGAATGAGCAACTTGTAGTTGCATACAAATATTTTAGCACATAGTTCTATAGTTTAAGTCTGAAAGTTCTTAGGTACAAAATTAATTGTGAAGGTAAATGAACTCTAGGAAAATAAAACCTGACCAGCTCAAAATATTTGATAAGTTGAAAGATTTTACTTAACATCACAGATAATACTTTAGTAATAAAATTTAATACAGCCAAAAACAGCTTGGGCAGACTTTAGGCCCCTCCCCACAATTTCTATCAGTACCCTTAAATCTATCCCACACCAAAAATAATCTGAGCAAAACCTCTACTATCTCCCTCCCACCATGGAGAAATTCTGGAGCCAGCCTAATGTAATCTATGTTAGTAAGAGGATGAAGGAATAATTGAATGGTCAAATTTGAGTCATGTTCTCCTCAGGAGACCCACACAGCCTCTACAGGGCTTTCTATGGGATTGCATGTAGATCTCTGACAATCTATTAGTATTGACATGACTGGATTAGAGTCTGCTTTCTTCCACCTTAAAAAAAACTCAACCTGTTTTCACCACATGGGGGAAGACATATGAGTAGTTGGCAGACCTGGGCAATACAAAGCAGGCTGGGTGAGTTTTCATGACGTGCAGCTTAGCAGGGAGGCAGCTGAGTGACTGATTCTCATCTATCAAATAATTCACACGACAGATGCTAAGCAGTGCTGTCTAGAACATGACCGGGCCAAGAAAGATGCTAATGCTGTTAAGATCTTATGTGTCACTCTTCCAGATTAGATTCTGGCCAATTGAGAGGATGGACTAAAGAGGAGGATTATTATGAAAAATTCCCCCTACTGGGCAGGGTGAGCTGGACTTGTCACCATTGCCACCTGACCCTTGGCCATTTTAAGCATTAATGACTAGCCAGCAAGAGGGATATTTTTGTGCCTAAGGGCTTTAGAATGCCTTAGCTGACATCTCAGAGACAGGCATTGACTGGAAACCAGTATTGCAGAGCCACCTAACCTAAAATGGAGTTCCCCACAGGTCATACTTGTGTTTGCATAGTGCCACTGATGCTTTGGAACAGAACATCTTTCATCCAGGTATTTATGTGAAATGGACAGACCGGTGTATTTTGTAACCATCACCTTGTAAATCACATGTAGGTATATAACTGTTTCAGGGAAAACACTGAATACTGTAGATATTTCCTACCACCACACTACAGAGGAGTCTAGAAAAATGACAAACATGACCAGAAAAGACCTGGTGCTTAAGAATAAGAAGGTCTTCTGGGAAGTCCAAATAGAAAGGGTGGGGAAGACAAATTTAATCAGCAACAACAGCAAAACAGAAGCTCTGAATGCCTAATCCTATACTTGGCTTTTCATCTCGGGATTCCTCAAACTCAGGGAGCTACCCCCTTAACCCAGTGGTTCTCAATCAGGGGAAATTTTGCCCGCCAGAGGATATTTAGCAATGACTGATTTAACCAATTGGAGACAATTTGATTGTCATGACTGGATGCTAATGGCTGGAGGCCAGGGATGCTGCAGCCTATGATGTACAGGAAAGCCCCCACAACAAAGAATTATCTGGTCCAAAATGGAGTAGTGCTGAGTTTGGACAACTGTGGCTTAACTCACGCCTGTGGGTACGACCTGCTGTATATCGAGGATAATGTGACCCTGCTCAGGGTCCTCCAGCCAATGCCTCTGGCTGAAGAATCAGCCTTGCAACTTAGACTGCTCTGCCTTTGATCCACTGTGCCTGGCTCTTGCCTCCTCTCCATCCCGTGTCCCTGTGTTCCTCTGCTGGCTTCCTAACTGGTGTTTTGGTGGGTTCATCACCAACTGTGGTCTTAGCTTTCTTCCTGACTCCTTCAGCAACTGAAGTCCTGAGTCCCACCTACTAGTCCTCTGGGCCAGCACTCTGTGGCTTTCCATGGAATCTTCTTGATACTAACTAATCTGTGCTGAGGATATCTCCTTCATTTCCCGCTCCTAGGCCTTCCTGAAGACCCTATGATGACTGAATAAACATGCTTACCTCTCAAATTTCAAGGCCTGGGCTTTCTTTTTATAATATTATATCAAAAGGTCTGCTCTTTCCAGCTCCTTGAATACCTGGCTTTTGACCCTGGCAAGACTTCCCTCATACCAAATCTTCTGACACCCTCTGCTTGCACTTGTCTGATCCCAGAGGTTTCCTTGGTCTCTGCGCCTACTTGCTCCTTGCCTGGCCTGTCACCTACTCAATGAGACTTGGCTATCACAGAACCTAAAATTCCCCTTCTCAAACTTATTATTTAATGAAATTAATGGCAAAACTGCAATTACTTTTGCACCAACCTAATATAAAAACAGTAGGCTGACCTCACCGTAATTAATATTTATCAGATATGAGTTTCTATTTAAAGAATCCAGAGAATAATCAGCTCCTTTCAAAATCAATTCATTTAATAAAATACAATTTTGAAAGTTGATGTGATGAAAGCAGAACTCCATAGCTGAAATAAAAAATATATAAAAAGGAAATCACTTTATCTGCAGGCAGGCAAATTAAATATTTAAGAAAATGCCACAGCAAAACTCCCTGCTTTTCAAATGAGCAGTTCTGTGAAAGGAGGCTTAGGTAACCGCTGATGTTAACTGTTGAAAAGGTTAATTACATATCATCTTCCTCCTTTTTATCATCACAACTTTTTGGTTAATGTATCCCTTCCTTAATTATACAGATTACATCCATATCTGGTGTAGTAATTGCAACCTCAGATGATTTTTCTGGAGAAACCACAGACTTCAGCTTGAGCTACTCCAGGTCATGTTTCTTAGCCAATAGCTGGGAGCTTTTTTCTGCGACAATACATAAATAATCATACACAAATGTAGCTGAGTTCCTATCACAATGGAATGTTTTTAAAATATCATTTGGAGCAATACAAGAACAGTGCAATTTGCCCAGAAGTTAATGTATGTTGCTTAAGGTGAATGTGCATAGCTGTGTGGTTTGGCTATCGACTCAGTTCTGAAGCTTTTATACACAATGAATACACATAATTATTTGCAGTATACTGCATCTATATTGATTTCTGAAGTGAAAACACAAACTCTCTTTGTCCTAGTAATAATAATAGTGATCATTTATTGAGCACTTAATTTGTGCTGGGTAGCAAAGCCTTTTACATGGATTATTCCATTTAATCCCCACAACAGCTTTATGAGATAGGTGTCATTATTATTTCTTATTTTAGAGATCAAGGAAATGTTGCCTAGGAAGTAACTTGCCCTAGATTATATAGCCGGTAAGTGACAAACACCAAGTTTAAATTTATATAGCATGACCATGCTCCAATACTTCACTGCTATGCTACCCTCCTCACTGCTAATTTTGAAGACTGTATTTCTCTCTTGCAATGTTTAGGGACATTTTCTTACTCTGTTTTATGAACAACAGCACTTGGACTTTCCTCCTTGGAGCTCAGATTGGACCTTATAAATTGTTTCCTTAAGAGGTCTTCTCAATTAAGCACACACACAAAACCTATGTCTTAATAATAGAAATCATCCAATACCATTACAGTCTTTGGGGACACAGATGGCACATGGGGTATAGAGAATTACAGGTAGGTGTCTGTGTGCTGACTCCATCTGCACAAGAAAAACACTTTTTATTGTTTTCTGGGCTATCCCATGACTGCTGATGAAGGCATATTTTTTAGTTGCTGTAGCTATAGGCATAAGCTGTGGATTTCTGGAGCTATGGTGCTCCTATAGTTTGAAGGGCTGTTATTCCCTTCTACAAAGAATAACTAATATGGGGACTGACTCTCCAATTGATGAGAGTTGGTTGGCCTCTGATGAGAAGTGATTCTTTTATCTTCCCCAGGCTTTGGTTTTATCAGGGCTCTGTATAATGAAGGAAGCTTGAGCTGTGATTGGGATCCTTAGGGTGGAAGATTTCCTAAGGGGTAACATATTAACACCTGACACCAAACCATAAATATGGGTTGGAAACAATGAAAGTTCTATGATTCTTGGTCAGTGATGCTAGATCTGGGATCACTTCTTGCCAAAGCCAGATGTCCAAAGAGGGCTTAGCAACCTCCCAGAAATTCACAAAACCACTCCTTCCCTATGGTCCTTCAGTGGCTTCCTCTTGCCCATAGAATGGGGCCTAAACTCCACAGGAGGCATGCAGAGCTCTTTCCAATCCGATTGCCTGTCTGTCTCTTCTCCAAACACTTTACACCATCCACTCACTCTCCAAGCCTCCAGTCCAGTGGAACTCCCTGAGGGTCGCTTCCCTCCATTCCACTGCCATTTCCTTCTCTCAGAAGTGTCTTTCCCACCTTCCAAGCTGAGCTCAAATTGCACCCCTGGCAGAATTAATCACTGGACTACTAATATGTTTCAGTTTTGTCTGTGCATATCTCTATTAGAACATTTGCTATAGTGCAATTTTTTTTGTTTGTTTATCTGACTGAGAGACTGGATAGAAATTATGGTTAATTCACCTTTCTAGCCTAGAATCCAGAACACAGGAACTACTTGATCAGTGTCCAATAGAGGCTGAATTAGGCTCTTAAACTACTCTAGGATGTTAACAGTGTCCAGCATACATATCCACCTTATCTAGTTTGCAGTGAATCTTTTAATCAATGAAAATATTACTATTTTGTCTTTTTATGTCACTTAATTTTCTTTTTTTTCTTTCTCTTTTTTTGAGACAGGGTTTCACTCTTGTTGCCCAGGCTGGAGTGCAATGGCACGATCTCGGCTCACTGCAACCTCCGCCTCCTGGGTTCAAGCAATTCTCCTGCCTCAGCCTCCCGAGCAGCTGGGATTACAGGCATGTGCCACCACGCCTGGCTAATTTTGTGTTTTTAGTAGAGACGGGGTTTCTCCATGTTGGTCAGGCTGGTCTTGAACTCCCAACCTCAGGTGATCTGCCCACCTTGGCCTCCCAAAGTGCTGGGATTACAGGCATAAGCCACCGTGCCAGGCCATGTCACTTAATTTTCAAAAGAATGAGGAGGGTGCCAAGACAATTTAATGGGGGGAAAAATAGTGTTTTCAACAAATGGTGCTAGGACAACTGGATGTCCACTTGCAAAAGAATGAGGTTCAGCTCCTTCCTTATGCTATACATAAAAATTAACCCCCAAATCAATCATAGAATAAGTGTGAGAGATACACTATAAAATTCTTAGGAAAAAAACCAGGCATAAAGCTTCATGATCTTGGATTAGAATGATTTCTAATGATTTTCTACCTATGACACCAAAAAGTACAAGCAACAACAACAAAAAAAGGATAAATTGGACTGGGACTATAGCAAAATGAAAAAAGCTTTTGTGCTGCATATAATACAGCACCAAAAAAAAAATTACACTAAGAAAGTGAAAAGATGGCTGGGCCCGGTAGCTCACGCCTGTATTCCCAGCACTTTGGGAGGCAGAGGTGGGCAGATCACTTGAGGTCAGGAGTTCGAGACCAGCCTGGGCAACATGGCAAAACAACATCTCTACTAAAAATACAAAAATTAGCTGGGCAATGGTGGTGCATGCCTGTAGTCCCAGCTACTCAGGAGGGTGAGGCAGGATTGCTTGAGCCTGGGAGATGGAGGTTGAAGTGAGCTGAGATCATGCCACTGCACTCCAGCCTGGGCAACAGGGTGAGACTCAGTCACAAACACACACACAAAGGTGAAAAGACAACACACAAAATAGGATGAAATATGAAATATTTGAACAACATAATCTCATAAAGGATTTCTATCCAGAATATATAAAGAAGTCTTACAACCCAATAATAAAAAGTTAAATACAATTAACAATAAGCAAAGGATTTGAATACACTTTTCTCCAAAGGAAATATACAAAGGCCAATAAACACATGAAACGATGTAAAACATCATTAACCCTTAGGGAAATGCAAATAGAAATCACAATGAGATACCTCTGCATACCCAGGAGGATGGCTATAATAAAAAAGACAAATACTAACAAGAGTTGGCAAGGGTGTGGAGAAACTGAAACCCTCTTTCATTGCTGGTGGGAATGCAAAATTATGCAGGCATTTTGGAAAACAATTTGTCAGTTCCTCAAAATGTTAAACATGGGGTTGCCATGTGACCTAGTAATTCCACTCCTAGAGAACTGAAAACACATATCCACACAAAAACTCATACATGAATGTTCATAGCAGTGTTATTCATAATAGCCTCAATGTGGAAACAATCCAAATGCCCATCAATGGATGAATGGATAAATAAGATGTAGTATAACCATACCATAAAACGTTATTCAACAATAAAAAGAAATGAAGTAGTGACACATGTTATAATATGGATGAACCTTAAAAACATTATACTGAGTGAAAGAAACCAGTCACAAAAGATCACATATTGTATGATTCCATTTATATGAAACAGATTAGTGGTCACCTAGTGCTGGGGAGGGAGAGAGGATGAGGTGACTCTTTAATAAGCATGGGATTTCTGTTTGGGGAACAAAAATGTTGTGAACTTACATTGTGGTGATGAGTGTGCAACTTGGTGAATATACTATAACAATTACATTGTATGCATTAAATAAGTGAATTTTATAGTAAATACTATATCAATAAAGATATTAAAAAAAGAAAGAAAGGAACTAGCACGTATTAGTGTAAAGATAACCTGGTGGATATACCATGTGATATGGTTTGGCTGTGTCCCCACCCAAATCTCAACTTGAATTGTATCTCCCAGAATTCCCACATGTTGTGGGAGGGACCCAGGGGGAGGTAATTGAATCATGGGTGCTGGTTTTTCCCATGCTATTCTCGTGATAGTGAATAAGTCTCATGAGATCTGATGAGTTTATCAGGGGTTTCCGCTTTTGCTTCTTCCTCATTTTTTTTCTCTTGCTGCTGCCATGTAAGAAGTGCCTTTCGCTTCCCACCTCCTGCCATGATTCTGAGGCCTCCCTAGTCATGCGGAACTGTAAGTCCAATTAAACCTCTTTTTCTTCCCAGTCTTGGGTATATCTTTATCAATGGCATGAAAATGGACTAATACATGTCTCAGACAATGAAGGAATAATTCTGTTTCCTTTATATACTCCTTATAGATCTTCTTAGCACTCCAAATGGATCTGACAGTCTAGGTGAGTATTTCCTAGGTATCTATGGATCATATTCAGAGCTGGTTGCAAAATCTGATGAATATGTTTCTTTCCAGAAAACATAAGTGCACGCGTTAATACATTCACATATAAGCATACACACAATTTTATGGGGTTCTCTGAAATTCACTCAAGAAAGTGCTCTTAGAAAAAGTGTTCCCTGGTGAAACTGTTTGGGAAATCTCACAGGAAAAAATTGTGATGTGAAGAAATATATTAAGGACCCTGAGGCATCTTGGTGTCAAACAACCTAGTAACTTTGTTTAACCCAGTATTTCTTGGCTGTGTTAGATTAGAAAAATCCACTTATAAACATCTGGTGGACCACAAATTCTCTTGTGGAACATAGTTTAAGAAAGAAGAAATTGGGAAGAGTTTGTTCATAGGCTATCCTTTCAGAGCAGTGATTCTTTGGCTGGATGTGAGAATCTCTGGGAAGCTTTTACACAATATGTCCAGGTTGCACTTAAATCAATTATATCACCATCTCTGTAGCTGAAACCTGGGAATCTGTGTTCTTTAAAGCTCTTCAAGTGATTCCAACAGGGAGCCAAGGCTTGAGAATAAGCATCACAGGGCAGTTCAAAGGTGTCCCTAGGAAGCTTGTTCATCACTCAAGGCCTCAGATTCATAGATCTGAGATAGACCCCTCTCATTGTGCACAAGCATCCAGGTGAGTTGGGTGTATTTGGCCCTATGCCATTCTTTGAGAAGCAGCATTAAGAATGAAAGAGAAAAATATCTGTCTCTATCAATTTATCACCAAAAACTACAATTTTAAAATGATATTAATAGTTGTTGGGATAAAAGAGAAGTTCTCACAGCCTGGTTTCCAGGGCAGCAGCAATCAACATCACTTTGTAATGCGTTAAAAATTTAAATATTTGGGCCCCATCCCAGATCCAGTGAATTAG
The DNA here is from genome assembly GCF_000001405.40 of Homo sapiens. Taxonomy (NCBI): domain Eukaryota; kingdom Metazoa; phylum Chordata; class Mammalia; order Primates; family Hominidae; genus Homo; species Homo sapiens. The sequence goes on along the minus strand of NC_000008.11, from coordinate 72,765,803 downwards.
AAAGTCTGGGGCTATGGCCCACCAATTAGTGTCTTAACAAGTCCTCCACGGTGATTCTGATGCATGCTGCAGTTCGAGAACCACTATAGCATTCATTACCTATGTGTTTTAAATAAACTAATCAGTATATTGATTATTTGATAATCAGCTTGTCTGTGCTTATCTCAGCTCTACAGATAGAGGTCCCAATCATCTTGAAAGTGACTATTTTCCATTAAACTTATTCTGACCCTCAAAATTGCTGACAACACACACAATTTAAATTTGTGATATTTTTGTGAAAGAGGTTAAAACTGAGGAGCCTCTCAGAGATAAAGATTTGGATATGACTACACTCACTGTGGTTTGGGGAGAAATATTCCTTTTAACTACATCTGAGCACAAAGGAGACTGACTGAAATTAGCAGAGAATTGCCATTAAATTTGGGTTAATAAGGTTTGCCAGAAAAGATAGTGGTGGTGAAACTAATGGCATATTTATCAACACAGCACACAAATGGAAGTCAGATAATTCCATCTGAAGGCTTCACAGGTTTAGGGACTTTTCCCAGCAATTATCTCCCCAATAGGAGGAAACTGTTGACAGACAACTCTGGGTGAGAGTCCATCCTAATTGCTGGGGCTCAGCTTGGCTGTGGGGAATAATGAGTGAAAGTTTAGGGCATCATTTCCTGCAGTGTAGTTCAGGCAACTGGGATCCAGAAACAAGGTTTGCTGATGACTAGACCTAAAATTCCTCACAATTAAACAGAGTTATGTCAGTCTCTTCCTATTTTATAGATTCCTGGGATATTCTGCAATTGAGAACCACTAACTTCATCAACTTAAAAGAATATTTGTCATAGCCAGTTCGTACTCTGTGCTGGGCGGGGGTACTCCTGTCATCTCCTGTCAGGGAATTTCTCCTTGTGAATTTGGCAGATATATTTTGCCCAGAATAGACACTAATTCTGGTCTATGCTTCCGTTGAGTGGAAAAGCACTGAAAACAAGCCAGCCTCTTAGTGCTCATTTTCTCTTGATAAATTTGAGAACGTACTCTCCTAAATATGTGCATAAGCAATCAGGAATTGGGTAGGATTATTCTGTGATGATTACTATTGCCTGTTTTCTTTACTAAGAAAGAACATAGGCAAATGGAATATAAGACTATATATGATGGTCAAAACAAGGGGCCTTACTCACTGTGTGAGGTACACTAGAGGTACACTGTGTACATCAACTGTCCAAAAGGCAATTTGGGGCCCAGGATAGACTCTACTTAGAACTGGATGCCAAGTGGATGGCACTGCCTGTTTCCCATGGCTGTCCTTCCTGACCATCACACTAGTTGATAGAACCATGAGCCCTGTGTGTTTTATCCCTCTTTCAGCTCTTCCAACCCCTAGGGTCCCCTCCTTGGCCATTTCTACTGTGTCCTTTGGAATACAGTTCCCTTACATCTCCAACCTCTTTGTGAGGTGTTGTCTCCACCTCCTTACCTTCTGCAGGCCCTCATTCTGTTATTTGCCAAATCTTGAATAAAGGTGGCACATTCTCCCATATCTGCTCCAGTCAGGTGCTGGTTGCCTATCATCCAGCAGTGAAAGTCATCTTATCCATCCTGCCTTTCTCCGTCACTGTGCTCTGCCAACTCTCAGGGCACTGCGCCTCTTTCCTTAAGGTCATTGGCATCTAGCTGAGTCCTCCTTTCCACTTTCACCCCTGAAATCATATTCCAGGATCTCAGTGGTTGTTGGTTACTGGCCCTGGTTTCTGTGGCTTTCTCTGTGGGACTATGGGACTCCTGGCATGGAGAACTACTTGTAATTCCTGAACAAGACAAGGTCTCTGCTGTGCCTGTGCCTTGTATATTCTGTTTGCTCTGCCTCGGATGCTGCTTCTCCTCCACCTTCCTACCAAAGCCCAGCTCCTTCCCCAGGGTCTCCTCCTCTGGGAAACCTTCTGTTTCTGTTTTCCAACAGTGTGGCACATAGGCCTTTACAATAATACTTATTGTTTAAGCTTATAATACATTCTTCTTGGTATTTAGTCTTTTATCATATTGAGCACCTAAACTGTGCCAAGCAGTACAGGACTTCAGTGATTCAACCACATATTTGAGTAATCGTTTAAAGAATTCTGTTTTTATCAATGGAAACTATTGGCTTTACCCACAGACACTCAGTTTCCAATGTCCATGCTAAATTATTTTTGAGACATTGAAGTCTGGGTTTTAAATAATCACAACCAAATGGTGCCTCTCTCCTTGGGTTTTGTGTTTCAGCAAATGGCTCTCCAATTCATTAACTGCTCCAACCCCCCATTTAGCTCCATCTCAGTTTTAGAGGATCCAGCATCTGTCCGATGCCCATCTAGACACTGGATTTTTCAAAAGCATATCTGTCAACATGTAGCCAGAGATAGCAAAAAATCAGTGGTTCTGATACTTCGGTGCTTGTTGTAATTGCCTTGGGGAGGAGGGGGAGTTAAAAAAAAAGGAGACTCAGGATTCCCTGGAAATTCAGATTTCTTAGGTGTCAGTTGGGCCTAGGAATCTGCACCTTAGTGAAATACCCAAGTGGTGCGGGTGAGCTATGTGCACTGCTCCAGAGTCTTCAGGTTCTACCCTCGAGCTAACATACATCATTAGTGAGAAAAACTCTAGAGAGAAGCCCTTTCTCAGTTACTACCTGATATCAGTTCCTCAGCTTTAGGATAGAAATGACCCAAGAACAGTTTGTTTAAAAGCATTTCTTTTTCTGTTTTTTTTTTTTTTTTACTTTGCAAAGTTCTCGTTGAAGATAACTTAATTCAAAGAAAGGATTTTTCTGCCTATATACATACATATGCCTTATTTTGCCATTAAAATGAAAAATTCACTTATTGTATGTATGTATGTTTATGAGTATTTGCACACTATATATATATATATATATATATTTGTTAATATGATTTACTTTTTGCTTTGTTCTGTTTTTTCCTTAGCTACTAGGAAACAAAGTCAGCTTTTCAGTGCTCAAATGGAGAAACAGAAACATCAAATTATTGAGCTTTAGGCTTCTTGGAACAGATCGGCATACACAGAATAATAAGAGCTAACATTTACTGAACACTTTCTATAGGCAAGCTCCCTGATATATTATTATTTCATTGAATCCTCTGAAATCCCTATGAATGGATATGAATAATGTATATCCTCACTTTACATATGAAGAAATCAAGGGATGCATCCCTTATCAGATAGAGTAAGGCCCAAGGTGGTGTGAAGACATTGTGTACCCAGGACACAATGTTGAGCACCTAAACTGTGCCAAGCAGTACAGGACTTCAGTGATTCAACCACATATTTGAGTAATGGAGATGTTAAGCGTGGAGGAGAACTCAGATGGGATGGATTCTAAGTGAAATTCCATTAAAAATTATTTTCTTCTCAGTTTTGCTTTCAGCAATATTAAGGCAATTTGTCTAAACATGTCAGCAGATCCCTTTTAGATTGCTGATATGCTTATACTGGAATAGGTACAGATGTCGTATCATTCATGCCTGGAAAATGTTAAAGCTATAGCCTCAAATCCACAGCACATCCCCCATCGATCACAGAACACTGGCAGAAAGTCACATTGGCTGCGAAGCAGGTGGTAACTTGAAATGGGTTTCTAATGTAAATTCGGTGACATGGTTGCATGTTTGTTTAGAGCAGGAGGGTGGCGCTACTCAGATTGAACTCATTGGCAGGTAGTACAATGTATTTCATAAAGAACTTACAGAAATACAAGTATCTCTAAACCCCAAAAGTAATGCCAGTTTAAAACAAATTTTTGTTTTAGACTTCTAACATAAATCTAACTGCTAGTGATCTTATTTATAGACTAGACTCTATACTATACTATAGAGTCTATAGGCTATTGATTAAGATATACAAGTTATCTGTGCCTTATGAAGGGGATATACTTTTGCAAGTAGCTCTCTCCTGAGACTTGTACAGGCTGTCAGCAGTGGAGATATTAGAATATGACTTCCTTTTTTTGTAACAGTATTTTATTCTAAAATCAATGCCGTAACTTTCATAGCTAATGGATTTTGTTGGTATGCATTCATTTGCTGCAGAGAAAATCATTGCTTAGATCAGGTTGCTCCAAATAGGATTGACTAAAGCAAGCAAGATGGTATTCTTGTCAAAGCCACCTCATATTCCAATTGACATATTGTATTCTAGTGCTGACAGCTGAAGGCTAGAGTTTTGATTAATCCATTTTCCTCTCATTATAAACACAATCTCTCCTCCCTGAAGGTTCCAGCAATCACTCTAGCAAGTGTTGGACCTTGACAGAACAATGCTTATCCTTTGGCAACCACAGTGTGTACAAGAGAGAAAGAGCTGGGTTTTTTCCCCAAATCTCCTTAGGCATTGTTGGAAGGGGCTCATTTGTGAATGCATGTGTTTCAAGCTCAAGGCTGTATTTTGTTTTTCTCTCACATGGAAGGACTAGAAGAGAGAGGGAGCAGGTGTGCAGGTAACCCATAGCATGACAGACGCCTGCTGCAGAGTATTTCAAAGTCCACAGTGAGGCAGCACCCAATGCAGGGCCCCCAGGATGGATGCAGGGTAGAGAGTGGGGCAGCATCTCCTCCGAGTACACCTCTGTTCTGGACTATGTAAGTCAGATATTGCAGACTGACCTTGCTCCCTAAACCCATAGGCTAAACTATCAAGGACAATTGGAAGCTTACCCTCTGGGCTGCTGCTGTTGATAGTCATAATGGTTTTTGAGAATCTGAGGTTGTACAATAGTCAAAAGCATCCCAAGTTACCCAGTGACCACTTGCTATTCAGTCACCAAATACAGCTGGGAAGAAGGGAAAGAGGAGGTGATGGTGCTTCATGCAGCAGGGAGGTGATGAGCTCTGTTTCTCAAACCTGATTAAGATACGTGATCCAACATATGGTCTGACAGTAGAAATAATTTGGGAAATTACTGTTCTCCCCAAGTCCAGGACTTTGGTACCATGATGATGTGGACCCCACTTGAGGCCAAGATCATGCAGCTCAAAGTAAAGTACTGCCAACACCAAGTCAATCTTAGTAGGTAAATATGAGGCTGTACTTAGTATATGCTGCTAACTGAGGCCTGTGAGCTCCATACCTGTCATATACTGTGAGTTACTGATCTGATTTACCTTCATACAATAGTTTTTAAATTTCATTTTGTATCAAAATAAGCTGGAGGGCTTAGTGAAACATAGGATCCCATCTCATGTGTTTCTGATTTAGTAGGTCTGGGATGGGGCCTGAGTGCCTAGGTGATGCTGTTGCTGCTGGTCCAGGGAGCAAATTTGGGAATGATGGTTTGAGGTGTTGGGCAAGAAAATGTTTTACCTGCCCCATTTGAAAAATGGGGGACTTCAGTACTGGCCTACATGATTTCAGTTGTTTGAATGTCTATGCATGAATGGGAAAGAGAAATATTTATTAAGACACTCTTATGTGCCAGAAACCTCATACATTACCTCACTGAATGCTCACAGCAGCCTGATAGGTAGTTATTATTGTCCTCACTTCCAAGTTAAGAGAATGGAAGCTCAGAGAGGTCAGTTAACTTGCTTAAGTCCATGAAAGTAGCAAGTGCTGAGGCTGAGGTTCACCTTGGTTGATCTGGCTCCAAATCTGTAGACTTTCCATGACATCTGGGCTTGTCCTTACAACAACTTGTCTCCTTTTTGTAAGAAGGATCTTTTAAAGCCCCAAAGAAGGACAAAGTAAGGCTAAGTAAAAGCATGCATCTCGGTTGACTATGTGGACCACTGATTTATTTGTTTTAGGAAGAGGCTGTCCAAACTCTAGACACTACACCCCCAATCACACTGAGTTTCCTTGCTTCTGCCAGTGACACTGGTTACCTTACCTGAATTCTGGTGGCTTTGTCCCGACCTTGACTCTGATCTCATCTCATTCAGCTATCCAGTCAGCACTCCTAGCCTTTGAATAACGGGCTTATCCTAAAAGGGTTCCTGATAAATCCTCCCATGAATGATGATTGCCTGCTGAGCCACCTTACCCATGAGGATGCCATTCAGAACTGGGGCAGACTGAACCTTGTATCACCTTCTCTATCTCTATCTCTATCTCTATCTCCAAGGCCCTAGTTATCACTGCTTCCAAAGTACAGGAATGGTGATTTCTATTACTTTTAATGGTTAGTGTGGATCACAGCATTCTGGATCTGCCATGTTGCAGTTTGGTTAATTCATCCCACAAAAAGATGAGAATATAAGTTCTTTTCCAAGCCTTGCACAGTGTGGTTGCATAATTTTGGGTAACAGTGGTAGGAGAAAGAAGGCAGCAGAGTTGGAGCAGAGAACCAAATTTTAATTCTGATGGCCACCTATTAACATACAGCAAGTGCCTATAGGAGGCATGATCCTTTGCAGGATTCTTCCCAGATTACCCAGGGGTTTTTATCATAAATTCCCATTAAGATATTTTATGTCTTAATTTCCAATGAATATAGAGAGGTGGTATTCTTTTCTCCACAGGGCGAGTTTCATTTTCCGTATTTTATTATGTAATATAGTATCATAAAGTAGAATAAATGAGCCAAGAACGAATTTTTTTCTATTAAAACAGAAAAGATTCACATCCTTCCCTCTATCCCTCTTTTTTACTGATTAAAATAAGCAAGGTTCTTTTTAAAACAAGAGGGAGTTCAACCTTACCCTCTGCCTCCACTCTATCCCCGTGGCCCCAACATAACACTTTCATTAGTTCAGACTAAGTTCATTAAACACAGGAAAAGGAGCCCTAAAAGTTCTTCTTATAAAATATTGGCATGATTTTATCCTCATTCTCCAGCTGTCCCTTAATTATCCAACAGAGCTGGGGCATATAATAAGGTAATCCAGATAAATAGCACTTGGCTTATTTTAAGTAAATGTCAAACCAGGTTAGTCAGCAGAGTTCTGTTTTTTCTCCATTAATGAAATGCCCATGGGAAATAACCAATGTTCTTTCTTCAAAAAATATAGAATTGTGGGCCCTGAGTTTTCAATGACTGCCAATTAAATCACTATTTAAGCATTAGGTACTCACTGCAAAAGTACCGCTAGAACTTCAGCTACCTCGCTATCTGCCTGATAACCGTTCAACAATGAGAAGAGAGAGTAGAATATTCTCCTTTCAAAATGGAAATGAAGACTCAGAGGTTTGTGTAATAAACATGGAGCAGATGAGCATCTTGAATAAAACAAACAGGAGATTTTACTCTCAGAAAAGTGAGAAAATGCCATCTAAAAACAGGCTTGGATTAATTTTCATAATTGTGAGTCATTCATTAGCTATGTAAGTGCATGGCTATATTTAGATCTATGTTTATACACATTTGTTTTGAGCCTGTTCGGCTTGGTCTTTTCCAGCATCCTTGCCTGCCTGGACCCTGGACTTTGCCACACCTGCCTGGCAGGATGGATCTCACAATGCTGTTTGTTTGCTGCTACACCTAGGCTGCCAAGTGCAAATGGAGACAATAACTCAACCATGAGGACTAATGCCACTACATATTGCTAGTCTCCAATTTCAGCTGGACCACTCTTTTATTTGTCCTTGGTCAACTTCCTTTTCGAATCTTCTCAGTGGCCGTTCCAGAACTGTTCCTTTCTCCTGCAGTCTCCTTACCAAACTCCTGCCCCCTTTTGCTCATCAGACACCATGAGTCCTGCCTTGTTCGGAGCAGAAAGAAAGAGCCACTCTGCAGAGGGCAATCTCTCAACTTCCTGTGCTCTCCTTTCAGGCCAGGTAATGAATAACAAAGCCTCAGCTCCTAGGAGTCTCCTTATTATGCCTTTGATTCCCCTCTGCCATGCCATGCACACCCCACAGGGCATGTGGCCTTGGCTTGGTATCGTAATCTTGGCCCCACTTGTAACCTTTGAACTTGAAGACCACTCTTGACTTCCTCAACTTTGAAGCTCAGCACTTCTTGGGATTTGGTTTGTGCTCACATCTTGGCTCCTCTGTTACTGAAAGTCTCACTTTTCCTTTGCTGTCAGTGCCCAAACTTCAGCATCAGCCCCCATTGTGCCAACCCTGGCCTTCTACAAGGAGGCTCAAATAAAAGTGTGTTGATACCATAATCTTCCCTCAAGAAACCCTTTTTGTTTCTCTAGGATCACACACACACACACGCACATAAAATAAATAAAACAAAGGGGTCCCTTGTGCTCAAAGTTCCACTATCTCTAAATACCTATCCCTCCCTCCCACTAAGGATCCTTGAGGTATCAATTACCCATCTCTCTCTTGGAGTTTCAATCTCTTTATTGGTAAGAGTTTCAATCTCTTTCCCTATACCTTATAAATTCACCAGATAAAGAAAATTCCTCCCTGAATTCTGCCTTTTCCTCCAGGTACCACTGAGCATCTCTCTTTCCATTCACAGCCATGTTTTTCAGAAGAGTAATCTGTATTTGCTGTCTCCCTTTCCTCATTTCCCTCTCCAACCCCATTGTGGTCAGCTAAAATGCTCTAGTGTAAGTCCCCATTGACCTTCACATTGCCAATTCAATAGACACCATACTGGATCTAGCAGCAGCATTGGACCTGCTGAGTTCTCCTCCTGAAACTGTCTGCTCCTTTGTCTTTCATGACAGTTCTCATGGTTCTCTTTTTATCAGTCTGCTTGGCTGGCTTTTCTTCTGCCCTCCCATTAAGCACATTGGCGCTCCCCAAGGTTCTGTCCTTTCCACTCCACTTGCTCTCCTAAGATAATCTCATTGACTCCCAAGCTTCTAAGTATCATGCTCTGCCAATGATTTCCAAATTATATTTCTGGCCCAACTCTCCTCTGAGCATCTGACAATGCCACCTGGATAGCTCCAGAATTATGTGACATCCAACATGTCCACAACCAAAACTATTTTCCTCATCTTCCTGCCTTCCTTATACTGATTTAATAAAATCTGAATGTATGGCCTCCTCTAGACCCCTCTTTGACTCCCTATTCAATGACTCCTGAAAGCTCTGGTCTGCTGACCCCACCTTTCATGATCACTCAAAGCTGTCCCACCTCTTCATCACTACTGCTGTTCTTATCCTCTTACCTGACCTACTGCAGGAACTTTCCAACTGAGCTGTAAGAAGGGTCAGAGGCTATAGCTAGACCAATAACTTCCCTACTTTCCTCTACTGTGCTTTCGATTAAATCGGTGGCTTTTTAAGCTTGGCCAAACATTGGAATCAATTAGGAAGCTTTAGAAAAATACTGATGCTTGGCTCCCAATTTCCCAAAATATGTTATAATTAGCCAGGGCAGTTCTAGGCATTGGAATTTTAAAAACTCCATAGGTGATTCAAGTATGTAGCCAAGGTCAAGAACCATGGGTCTAAACTGTTGTTCCAATCACTGTCTTTGCACTACCTCTGTCACATAAAACCCAAGCTCATATACAGGACATAGGATACTGGTATAAGATATCACAGAGGTAAGACTCAGAGTGGAGGATAACTGAGGACTGGGGCAGTGTGATGGGACAGGGTATAGGGAGACAGGAAGGGAGGGATAGAGCAGCAATGGCAGGAAGTGAGAGGGAGCCACTGCTCCTAGCAACTCACTAGCCTGTGTGGTGTCACAGGGCTCCTGCTTCGTGGAAGGCTGTGACCTGCTTCCAGGTGTTTCAGAGCCTGCTCCTGACTGCGGACCCCAAGGAGTCCTTCCCACTACAATGAGCTGGGCTTTTCTTGGCACATGAGGCTTATACAGACCACTTCTCGACTGATCCACTTGTGAGAAGATCCAGACCTTTTCTGGTAGTCATGGCCAGAAAGCAGCATCATATGTACAGCTGAGGAGGGCTACAGGAGCCAGCTTTCCCAAGCTGGCAGGACTCCTGGACACAGCTTCCCCAGCCAGCCTCCCTGCAGGATGAAGATGCTACCGGTTCCTATACCCGTCCTGCACACAGGGAGGTGTTGTAGTGAGTAGGGAGTTGGGTGCGGTGGGGGAACCGTTTTCCTTGTCAATGAACTTTCAAGAATGGAAAGTTTCTCTTGGCTTAAGAAAGCCAAAACAGTTGCCTTATAAAACAAGCAGCAATCCTTCATTCGTAAGCACACTGGGTACAAATGACAACTAAGACCTCTTGGATTCTAGAATTGTGTACTGTCGGGTATTGTGTAGTAATATCTAATTGTGGTTTTAACTTGCATTTCCCTAATGAGCAAAGGTGTTGGGCAGTTTTTCATGTGCTTATTTGCCATTCATATATCCTCCTTGAAGAAGTGTCTGGTCAAATCGTTTGCCATTTCTTTTGCCTTTTAATGTAATTTTAGAAAATAAACTTTATTTTTTAGAACAGTTTTAGATTTGTAAGAAATTTGCATATATTGTAGAGTCCCCCTACATCATGTCTTCAGTTTCCCCTGTGATTAACATCTTGCATAAAAAATATGGTACATTTGTTCCAGTTAATGAAGCAATGTTGATGCATCATTATTAACTAAAGTCTACACTTAATTCAGATTTCCTTTCCTTTAACCTAATGTCCTTTTTCTGTGGCAGCATCCCATCCAGGATACCACAGTACCTTTAGTCATCATGTCTCCTTAGGCCTCTTGGCTGTGACAGTTACTTAGACGTCCCTGTTTTTTTGATGACTGTAATAATTTTAAGATGTACTGGTCAGTTATTTTATAGAACACCCCTCAATTGAAATCTGTTTCATGTTTTTCTAATTAAATATTAGACTGAGATTGTGGGTTTGGGGGAGGAAGGCCACAGAGGAAAAATGCCGTTCCCATCATATCTTACCAAGAGTATCTTCTACCAACTGTTGATGTTGGCCTTGATCATCTGGCTCAGGTGGTGTGTGTCAGGCTTCTCCATTGTAAAGTTATCCCTCCCCCTTTCCATAGTGCACTCTTTGGAAGGAAGTCATTATGCACAACCTACACTCAAGGAGTGGGTAGTTCTGCTCCCTCTCCTTGAGGGCGGACTTATATAAATTTCATGGAATTCTTCTGATTTGCTGATTTTTCAACTGAATGTGTTTACTTACTCCTGAGTCTTAAGAGTTCTTTATATGCTCAGCACACAAGTCCTTCATCAGATATATGAATTGCAAACATTTACTTTTCGACCACAGTTTGTCTTTTTATTTTCTTAACAGTATTTCTGCAAGATAACAGTTATAAATTTTACTCAAGTCTAAATTATTCATTTTCTGTCTTCTGGATAGCCGAAAAGCTGGGGTCTAGCCACAACTCTGCTGCAACTGCACCTACATTCAGGGCTAAGCAAGAGGGCAGAGAGGTGGTAGGTCTTCCATACCCTTTTGGGATTACAGCTCCTTGAATTACAATGGAAGGGTCCCCTCCCTCAGGGTTTTAGGGACCTGCAGACTAGACTCCTGTTGTGGCTGCTGCAATGGAACTGTCTGGGAGTTCAGGCAAATAATTGAGAGGAAAAAATTTCATTGGTTTTCCCTTTTGCATGTCTTGAGTTAGACCTAGGGGGCTTCTCCTGGCATTCTCTCTGTCCATACTCAAGGTCCCCTTCCAGGCTTTGGGCTGCCTTGATTCCAGGCTGCGAAATTCCATAGGAAAATGAGAAACTGCCATAGTGGTACCTCAGGTTCTGGTCTTGTTCCCCAATTGGCCTGTTACAATTTATTTTTCAGAGTCCTCCAGTAGTGATTCCATGCATCTATTCAAACTTGATAGCTCCAGTTCAGAGTGGGCTTGATGAGTCTTAAGGGAGTTCCAGGCCAAGCTCTTGCCAGGAGCCAATCTGTCTTTGTACTTTCCCAGGGAGACTCTGTTCTCAGGCTCCACATGGGCAGTACCTGAACTGCAGGCGCCTCCCCTCACCCAACAGGTGCAATGCTGCAGGACTCCAGATCCCAGTTCTCACAGATTCAAATAAGCAGAAAATCACCAAGAACATATTGCTTAATGTGTGTTCTGTTGGATGACTAGAGAGGAAAAAGGAAGAGTTTCTAAGGCTAATTTTTGATTGGCTAGTGACTAATCCTCCCTTTTATCCATACCTAGGATTAATTTCTTCTAAATCATGATTGCTATTCTGCAGTGGTTTAGTGGAAAGAGCTTGGGGATTGGAACAAAAGGTTTGATTCTAGTCCTGAACACTTATTAACTATGAAGGCAAGTCTATCAAGCTCATGGAGCCTGCTTTCTCAAACTTAAAATGGGATAACCTATTGCACATAGTTGATATGAGGGTCAAATAAAAGCTGTTCGCTACTGACAAGCTACTCAATTGGTTACATCCTCTTCTTCCAGGTTCCTATAGCATTCTGTACTTCCCAGTGTGTAACTCTCAACCCAACTGCAACTACTTTTTCAATGACTCTTCTGGACTAGACTATAAGCTCCTTGAACAAGGCAGACACTGCGCTTGCCTGATTCACTACTATATTGCCAGGCATAAGAGTTGCTAAATAAAAATGTGTTCGATTGTACTATTATAAAACTGATGTTGCTAAAATGATCATTATGATGTTATGTCACATATTTAATATCATATTGTGGTATCAACGTAAACTCATTAGTAAGCAGAACTAAAGACTTTAAGTCAAAGGAAACAATGAATGAATGAAAATTAATGTTCTGAAGAAAACATGGATTTTTACCACCACTCCTACCAACAAAAATCTATTCAACTCTATTCAAAGATCCAGGTTTGCTATCCAGATACCTCTAAAAGAAGAAAATACAGCAGTCTTAAGAAGAATGCATATTTCCTCACGTTGTCAGCTTGACATATTCAGGACAGAATCTCTCCTTCAGTGCTTAACATTTTGATTCATAGACTGAGGTCTCAGAAGCTAAAAAAATGGAAATATGTCATCTAAATGTCAGCACTGATTTTATGATATTCCAGAAGGAAGCAAATGGGAACTCATGAGAGCTTAGGTGTCCTGTCTGAGAGTTCAGTGCACAGTGTCTTGGAAGAACCTGAGTAGAGTGTGTGTGATATCTTGGAAGGATTGGAAATTGGAGTAATGATCATTTATCTTGGTAAAAAGCCCTTAGCTTCTGTGTTATTCACAGTTCTCCAGAGAGCAGACCAATGGGAAATATATCTATATCGATATATGCATATAAAATAAGAAATTAGCTCATGTGATTATGGAGGCTGAGAAATCCCACGACGTGCCATCTACAAGTTGGACTAGACTCTAAGCTCCTTGAACAAGGCAGACTAGGAAAGCTGGTGGTGTACTTCCAGTATGAGCCCGAAGGCCTGAGAACTAGAGGAGCCAATGGTGTAACTCCCAGTCTGAGTGCAGTAGATGATCAGAAGAGATGTCCCAGCTCCAGCAGTGAGGGAGAAAAGAAGGACAAATTCCTTCCTCTGCATATTGTTCTATTCAGACCCTCAATAGGTTAAATGATGCCCACTCTCATTAAAGAGGACCATCTACTTTACGGAGTAAGTACTAATCTCCTCCAGAAACACCTCACCAATACACCCAGAAATAATGTTAAACTAGACATCTGGGTACCTCTGATCCAGTCAAGGTGACACATGAAATTAACTATCATAGCTTCTATGGTAATAGCTACAGAGTTTTATGATCATCTTTCATGGTGGCTTTATTTTACAGCCATTTTCACACTTGTCTATTTAACTAACCATGTTTCCCTTAAACCTATTCTTCCCCCATTTATTATTTTTCCTGGCAAATGATACCACCTGGCCATCCAAGCCTGAAAGTGGGGAGTTCACCCAGACCTCACCATTCACTTCTATCACACCAATATGCACTGGGCTACCCAATCATTTGAATCCTGAATATTTCTTGCATCCATCTCCTTCTTCATGTTTCTCCCAGGTACACCACAGGCCTCGCTCTGTCTAAAGAAGACACTTAAAGTTGTTGGATGAAATGTTTTCTCCTTCTTCCCTCCTGGCCTCCATTAGCTTTCAAACTTCTTGAGGGTGGGCAATATGTCTTTTTTTCATTTTGTGTGTGTATGGGCATATGTGTATATGTGTTCATGTGTGTACATGTGCATGTAGGTGGGGGCTCAGATGGCAATCCAAAGAGTTCCAGGCACATAATAAGCCTCACATGGGTATTCATTTAATTAAGTACTAAAATGTCTAAGTGGAAACATTACTAAGCTAGTTTTTCAATGCTGAATTTGGAATTCTGAAGTCAAAGACGATTGCACAATATATATTTTTAGGGGAACCAAGAAGTCCTGAGGCATCTCCTTATGACTTGCCTTGGTGCCAGGTCTTTACCTTAGCATAGTTAGTTTGCTGAATGAAGGCAGGGTTTCCAGAAGGTTCCTGTTAAGAAGACGCAGTATAGGGAAGAGGCTAAACTTTTGGGTTCTGTTGTCAATAGACTTGAGTTCAAATTTCAGCTCTATCACTTTTAGCTATGAAATTATCAGTATGTCTGTAATCTTTTAGTGTCTTCATCTATAACATTGTAATGAAATATTAATATCCATGCATAAGAATGTTTTACAAATTAAATAGGATAATGTATACAGAGTGTTTAATAGAGTGGTCCATTTCCTCCATAGGAAGAGGGAAGAGCTATGTGATTGTTGTGAGTCTGGCTTGCAATGGGCCATGGCTTCCAGAGATGGGGTTGCTACACTGAAATGTAGGGATCCTAAGTCTCCAACTCTTGTCTGTCTGTCTCTGTCTCCTGCTTCCTACCTGCATCCCTTGAAGCTGAATATCCTTTCCTCCTTAGCTTCTTGCTACCAAGCTTCAAGCTTCTCAAGTCAGGGCCTGACCCCTGATACAGGCAGGGTAGCCTTCTTAAGTTTCTCCAGGAGTAACTGGAGACAGATTGAATAAGGATGGGGCCAAGTTTTTCCATTTCTCCAACGCAATTTTACAAGCAGAAATGCGATATCATATCTCGATTTCACTTGTTTCCTGGCTGAAACTGGAGAGAAGGATAAGTGAGTGACTGATATCATTTGATTTTTATAAATGTTAGTCAATATTATTACTGTTGATAAGGTGGTTATTGCCCCTGTATAAGTAGGAAAGTACATGTAGCCATTAACGCACGTGTATTCAGGAAATAAAAAACAAAAACTGTTGATGGAACTAATTATGGAAGAAAACCTTAAGCACCTGGTGCTTGGTTGGAAGGGGCATCTGTGAGCAAACTAAAGTAAAACCAAGTAAAGAAACCCAGAAGACAAAATTAATGTGCTGTAATGACCTTACTAAGGCCTGAAAGTCTCCTCTGGAGACCTTGAAAAGTAAGTAACTCACAGAAACAAGTATTCCCAATCAGTTCAGTGATGCAAACATTAATTATTCCTTAGACTGCTAAGTTTGACATACAAAGAACCAATGGGATACATTGCTGATGAAGGAGAAGGAGGTCTAATCACTTTGGAAAACAATTTGAAATTCAACTGTGCAGGTGAGCATAATAAGCATAACCCATAACCCAGGAATGGAATTCCTGGGTGTAAGAGAAACAATCATTTATAAGCACTGAGATAACAGCAAGTGACTGGAAACAACACAAATATCCACTGCTGGGAGAACAGGTAAATTGTGATGTCCACATAAGAGAATGCTGTACAATAGGAAAAAATGAATGAAGTTCAGTGACATGTAACAAAATAGATAAATATTTGACACATAATGTTATGGAGGAAAGCAAGTCACAGAAGGTTATATACAGTTGTGACCATGTAGAGTCACTATGACACTATGTATGATGTCACTTTTTATAATGCTCAACAAGAAGCACAGCTAAGGAGTATGTAGTTTAAGTCTGTAAATATAGATGGTAAAATCTTTGATAAACACAAAATTCACTCTAGTGGACCTCTGTGAGTGTGGGGAGGCAGGGAAGGGGCACATAGATATTACTAATATTCTACACCTTCATTTGTTTGGTTGGTTCATGAGTATTTAATTTATTATTATGTTTTAAAACATGGATGTATATATATATAAAAATATATATAATATATACAAAATTATATTGTATATATCATATATAATTATATTATATATTATATATATTATATATAATATTTGTATATATACAAATATATATTGGCATATACAAAAAAGTAATATGTATTATATTATATATATATATTACTTTTTTGTATACGCCAAATATTACATAGTAAAAAAATCTTTTAAAGCAATATCATGGTTTTTTGGGTGTAAAATGTTACCTCTCTTGTCTGAATAGTTCTAGGCAATAATAAGTAGGTTGGCTTATAAGTATTTATATTTATGTTTAAAAATAGTTTCTTGTTCCTTTGCTGAGATGGGCAAAGGACATTATATATGGAGTCCGTAAAAATACAATGATCATTTCTTATCATAAAAACACATTCACCAGCTAAAAATCATTTTTTTCACACTCTCAGAGAAAATGACTGGTTCAGGCCACTCACAGTGGGTCACTCTTGGAATCCCTTGCTGAGTTGGGAGGACTGCTTGAGCTCAGGAGCTTGAGACCAGCCTGGAAAACATAATGAGATTGAGACCTCGTCTCTTCTAAAAAGAAAAAAAAATTAGCAGAGCATGGTGGCATGTGCCTATAGTCCCAGCTACTCTGGAGGGTGAGGCATGAGGATCAACTGAGCCCAGGAGTTGGAGGCTGCAGCAAGCTGTGATCATCACACTCTGTCCTGGACAACAGAGTGAGACCTGGTCTCAAAAAATAAATAAATAAATAAAATGAAAACGAAAATGATTGGTCAGAGTAGAATCTATGAGTGGACTAGAAAAGACCCTGAGGTTCTGGAGTACTATACACATTATGTACATCAGAAAAAACCATTACGAGGAAGGGTGTTGGGAGGTGTTGGTCAAAGGGTACAAAATTTCAGTTAGACGGGAGGAATAAGTTCAAGACATCTATTGAATAATATGGTGACTGTGGTTAATAGCAATGTATTGTGTTTCAAAAATTGCAAAGAGAATAGATTTTTAAGTGTTCTCACTGCAAAAAAATGGTATGTGAGGTAATACATATGTTAATTAGCTTCACTGAGCCATTTCATAATGTATGCATATTTCAAAACATCATGTACACAATAAGTATATAATATTGTTGTCAATAAAAATAAGAAAGAGTAAATAAATTATAAAAATAAAATTTAAAAAATCAGAGATTTTTAAAATGAATAAACCATTATAATAAAACTCCATGGTTTTTGGCTTTTAATTTCAAAAAAAAAAAAACAACAAAAAAAAAACCAAAGTGAGTTCAGTACTCTGTAAATTCAGTAGGATTGGAAAAATATTAATTTACTTAACTTCATCCTTCTTCTCTAAGACCCTTCCCCTCAAAGCACTGAATGCTTACAGATCTTTGAAATAAAAATAGCATGAGATTTATCATGACAAAATTCAATATTATAAAACGAATCAATGACAGTTTGCTCCTCTAATGGATTTGGTTTGCAATCATCCAGAACAGAGAAAGGTTGGGAGGTCTGTTGAAGCTTATCTGATAGAACAAGGCTGAATGACATAAAATCATCTTAGAGGCTACATTTACTTCAGTAAGTGTCTTCAGAAGGAAAAAAAATACTTCACGTTTTTCAGGTCAATGAGACTTGAACCAATGAGGAAATTAACATGAAGGATGTTCAAAGAAGTTATAACAATAAAAATTAAACTCATGTTAAATTAAGATAATCCATGTCCACTTTTAAATTATATTGCTTATTTCTTCTAATCATCTTATTTACTCCTTCTTTGCCTTTTTTATTATCTTACTATCTGTGGGTACCACCCTGTTTTCATTCTAATTTCACACTTGACCAAAGAGCAGGGGAGCTGAACAAAGCTGTTGATAAGTAAATAGCAGTTTTGAAGATGGAAGCACCAGATTGTTCCTAAACAGAAGAAAACTGCAGTTGCTTTATTTGACTGAGTGGATAAAAAGGTGTCAACATATAATTTCAATTGCTCTCTAAAATAAAAAGTGCATCATCTAGGTTTGAACTTTATGCTAAGCATGACAATATTACAGTAAGTTGACAATTATCTTGTTCGTTTCCTTTGCTTTTAGAAATAATCACAGTATTCTTTCAGAAATATATTTTCTTACTGTAGTTTCAGATTTTGGATTTGCAAAGTCAAGGGGTTTTATTGATACAGAACCTACAGAATCTCTAATTCAGGAAATAAATTAGGTTCTTTGTTTCTTTACTTCTCTAATAAACTTGCTTTCACTTTACTCTATGGACTTGCCTCAAATTCTTTCTTGTGAGAGATCCAAGAACCCTCTCTTGGGGTCTGGATTGGGACCCCTTTCTGGTAACACTTTGAGATTTGAGACCTTGCTGACCTGGAAGGACTGACCCTGGAGGGAATGCCTCTGTCACAGACAGTACACAACTTGTCTTGGAGATTGCCTTTCATGTGCAAACCAACCAGTCAGAGCCCATACCCCCAACCACCTCCTCTATGGAGCTCAAGCTCTTACGATCTGGGCCACTCACTGTCCATCTGCCCTAATCACCATGGGGCCAGGCACCATGCAACTAGGGACAGCTCCTCTTTCCCAGAGCCTGCTGAAATTATTCAAACTAGCCAGTACTAAACCTGTTTGCCCTGCCTTGCCCGTTCCTTTGGCAGAAACCACAACAGTGGCTTCTGCTCCTTTTTCTTCCCTCTCCCTCTGCTTCCTGACACAGCCCCTGGGGCTTCCCTTTGTGGTGGTGAAATATGTGTCATGCCTTCCATTTCTAGGGATCTGTGAGTATAAAAAAACTTCTTTCATGACAATCATTTCCATGTCGGTTGTCTTTCTACATCTCAATAAACAAATCCCAGGTACCCTTTTAAAACACCCCACTAAACCCATTAAGATGACATCAGATTTCCTCAGGAATTGTGATCAGAAAAACCTTCACTTGGAATGAACTGGAATAGTGAGAAGGGGTATTAAACTGAGGCGCCAAGACAATAAAATTTAGTTTGAAGAAAATCTAGTTTTCTGGATGGTTGGTCTACTCACTGCTTGGAAACATTTGGGTGATTCAATTTTGTGGCTCTCCACCTCAAATTAGCCGTCATGTGGCCATCATCTCCCACAGAGTTCTTCAGGTCAGTGCAGGCCCAGCAATCACAGAAAGATATATTGCAGCCGTTCAAAGAGCAGTGCAATCATTCTGAGGCTGTACCTTACAGCTGTCACACATGTCGGGAAGCACAGAAGGCAGTTTCTGTGTATTGCTCAAGGTCATCTGGAAAACCAGTAGATGAAGCCACATGTCTCCCAGACCATTAGGCCGTCAGACATGAAATTCTCTGCATGATCTCCCCATTGAGTCACCCATGTTTGTTTGTTTGTTTTATATTTCTTTGTTTGTTGGTGTCTTTTCTTTAGTAGACAAGAACATTTTAAAGAGTTTTCAGCAGCTTCTGGTTCTAAATGTTAAGGACATTGAGGTTCTATTTATGACCACTCTCAATTGGACAAAAGGACAAGCTAGGGTTGCCTTTCACCACTTTTCATAATATTGATGTCATCTGCTCAATGTAACATTTGCCAGGTATAGGCAAATATACAACATGCACTTGGTAGAGGAGAGAGGTAGTAGCATCATGATGCTTGTCAGCTAGGAAAGAAGCACACAGAAATACTGCTTGGGAAAGGGGTGCTTAATGCCTAGGATGAATAACAAAAATCTGTAGTACTTTATAATGATGCCTTAAATCCCACAGCTCTAGCCTGCCATGAAATTCAAGCAACAAGTACTGCTTCTGCAATACTCAAGCAACCTAAATTGTACTCAGGACTAGTACACAGAACAGATAATTGATTACAAATCTGATTTGAGAGTTTTAGTATGCAAGCAAAAATTTGACTGGCTTTTGTCCTTGGTTCTTGGGAGGTAGCCTCTAAACCCTTGAAATTTTCAGAGTGATAAGAGTGTCTTTGTTATTCATGGTGGGCCTCTGAGCCGGTGCCTGATAGTTTATGCAAATGAAGTGACTCAGGAAGGGAGGGGACTGGCTATGCCAGGAAGACCAACTATGTGATTAAAGGGTGGGAGCTCCAAGCCAGGTGATATCAACTCCATCTCTGGGGAGGGCAGCAGGGGCTGGAGATCAGAGATCAACCTTCTGATCTCTTATCCAATCAGTCTTGCCTATTTAATAAAACCCCATTAAAAACTCTGGACAGTGAAGCCCAGGTTGAATGTCCATGGTTGGCAAATCGCTGCATACTGTCACATATCAATGTGCTGAGAGGGGAATGATGAAAGTTTCATGGTTGAAATCACCCTAGATTTTGCCCTATGTGTATATGTTCTAATTTGTATTTTTTTCAGTAAGACTATAATCACAAACACAGTGCTTCCAATGAGTTCTTTCTAGTCAATTATCAAACCTACAAGGGTAGTAGGAATGCCTGAATTTGTGGCCAGTTGGTCATGAGTGAGCGTGGCTCTGGGGCTCTGAATTTGTGGCTGGTGTCTGAAATGAGGACAGTCTTATGGAGGACTGTGCCCTTAACCCCTGGGTAACTAGGAGCATGCATGCCATAAAAATATGCATGTTCATTTTCTCTTACATTCCTTCTCTCCTAATTAACACTGCACATATTTTTAGGATTAAAAAAACTCCTTATTGCAGATTTATTTTATTAGTGCAGCTTTTCTACTTGTTAGGTTTCTTTCCCAAGGTGGGGTGGGTAGTTGGCACCAGTTCTCTCTGGATCAGGGAGGTGGAGGGATCCCAACATGCACATTTAATTCAGGAGGTGAAAGAGAGAGCTGCAGTAGCAGTGTGCTGGGTTCTTTCTGCCTATGTCCTAAGTCTCTTTGGACTCTGTCAACCAGGACCATGCAGCTCAGCGAAGCTGGCAGTAGCCACAGCAGTGGGAGGACAAGACACACAGGATCCAGTGGGGCAGCCTATAAGCCCATTGCAAAGAGAATACATTTCAAACAACTTTCCTGGCTGTGGGCCCTCAGGATCTGGCTTACCCCTATGGCTTTTTCTTGTCATTGTGCCTTAGGCTCCAGCCACATTAGCCTTTTTACTACTGCTCAGCTGTTCTCAGTTTGTTCTCGCTTCAGGTCCTTGGCACTTGTGTTTTCTCTCTGGGATGCTCGGCCCTAAGCAATTCACGTGGCAGTTCCTTCTCAGCATGGACAGTTTAGCTCCAATATTACTTCCTTCCAGAGGTATCCAGAGGGAGTGGAAAGGCTCCCCATCTTTCCTCTATTTAGCCCCATCCTGGAGCTACTTCCTAGCCCATTACTTGGCTTATTTTCTTTAAAGGGCTTACTGCTACAGATATTATATTATTCCTATATTTTGTTATAAATATATTTCTGTCTCCACCTCTCCCACACAAATAACCCTAACATAAGCACTGTGATGACATGGGCTTTACAGCTACCTTGTTTACACTGTGTCCTTGGCCCATGGAATAGTAACTGGCAGTTATTACTGGATGAATGGTGGAATAGCATTCACCAAGTGCTGCTCACTGTGGTAGGTGGTATGAGGCTTTTAGGAAATGCACAATACTCATTTCTTCTCTTAAGAAACTGTGGAAACTGAGTCACATACACATATGAAAGAGCAAACTGCAGTCATTTCTGTGGCTCCTTCTGCTCTCTACTAGGTCTCATTCAAAGTCCTGCACTTGGTCTTCTCTTATTCCCGGCTTTATGGATCTATCCTCTCCCAGATTTCAAATAGTATCCCTAAATCACTTTCAACCGTCTCAACAAAATAGATAAAAGGCTGGTTTCTTTTTTTATATTATTTTTAAAAGTTAATATTGTCTCTCTGGAAGCATAAAGCCCCCCGCCCAATAAAAAGAAGAATACAAAATCTGATAAAGAAATTGGTGAAAAATATATAGGAAAATAAGACTTAGGGCTCCCGAATTCACTAAAACTACATTATGAAATATAAGGCCATCTTAACTACAGGAAAAAGACTTATGGAGCAATTATTTTCTCATATTTTTCTAAGGGCAAAGTTTTAGTAGGATTTTATCTGATGTGATTGACATATTTTAAAGTATAGTTGAATCTGTATAATAATATGTGAAACTTACAGGAAATGTGATAGTATATATACAATATGTCATAATTTCACTGTCTTGTGAAAGACAGAAAAAATACCATTGGTTGGTTGCCTGTCTCAGAAGAAAAAATACAGAAAGCAAGTAATTTAAATGAGTTACAATTTATCCAATTTAGAATCAAATAAAAATGCCATGGGCTCAGCGCCAAGGATTATTCTTGGATTGGAATTTGTTCAACACCCTAAATTTAACTAGCTGCGATCCCTTTTAAACTGCCATCCAATACAGTCTTTTGAAACAAAGAATGTGCTTTTAAAGGGAAATTGGCATTCCACCTGAATATTTATTCTCTAGATAAACACACGCAGTCTTTTGCAACACACTCAACGTATACTAGGGAAGGTACAGGTCACAGTTAGAGATGACACACACAAGTAGTCATGTGTTTTCTCTCTGGGCCATAACTGCCTAGAATATTGCCACATTTATAACTCGATTATGGACAGGCAACTTTAGTGTCTAACATTTCATAAGGAATTGTCTTAATGTTTCTTAAAGTCATAGTATACTACAGCTAGAAAATATCTTTCAGAATGTTTAGCTGCAATTCAAGGTCCTCATTTTATATATGAACAGGCTGAGGCCATCATTCTAATACTAGTAAGTGACATATCCATGGTTTCACCTGGAGCCCATGTCCTCTTTCTTTTATTTATGGATGTAGACTGCACTTCATTAAAAATAAAATATGACTAAGAGTCGTCATCTGCCTGAAAGGTGCTCATGGCTGAGTGAGACATAGCCCATACCATGTTTCTAGTCCTGGGAACATATGGGACAGAGCTGGTATAGATTCCACCCCAACCCCAATGGCAACATTTATAAATGCTGTTAAAGTGTAGCTATCATTTTTTAAAAATACAGAGCCAAGTCTGAAAGAAGAATTTATCGTCAGACGTCATGGGTAAAGTCATAGGCTGACTGCAGGATCCCGTGCATTGGCTCTGGCCCACTCTGCCAAGGATGGGAGATGTGAGATGTGAGTGGAAGCTGCAATGAAGAATGCTGCAGAAAGCCAGGTCTCTGGAGAAAATGCCCCTTCCACGCACAGGAGGACAGGAAACGTTCTTCTGATACAAGTACCTAAGGGGATGAGGAGGTTGATCACCACATTATTTGTGGTGTGGGAAGTTAGAGGCCACCTGGATGCCCATAGCTGGCATGAGGGATCAGCCAGCCAGAGAGGCAGCAGGCCAGCGTATTCTGCCTGTGGCTCTGAAATGTGGTGAAGTGGGAGGTGTCTCCAGTGATAAATAGAAATCCCAAGGCTGCACCAGCCATGGGTGTAAAGTCTTAATTTATACCACCCTTATGGTATTAGGAATCCTAAGCAAAGACAACCCCTACCTAGCTAAACTGTTTTTCAAGTGAGAAAGCAATATTATAAACATGTTCAGAAAAAGACTACACGAATTTTTACAGACCTGTGCTGAATTACTAAAGAATGTACTTCAAGAAGGAGAAACTTCTACTCAGATGGAAAGAATGGGATTCAAAGATCAATGGTGAACAAATACAGTTTTAAACTATGGCAAAATCTAAAGAAGCCTTAATTGAAACCATAACAATATAATGTAAAAACAGGGTAGCAGAAATATACACAATTTGAAATATAAGCACATGTTGGTTGATGGGCATTTAGGCTGGTTCCATATTTTTGCAACTGCAAATTGTTCTGCTATAAACATGCACATGCAAGTGTCTTTTTCATACAGTGACTTATTTTCCTCTGGGTAGATACCCAATAGTGGGATTGCT
The DNA here is from genome assembly GCF_000001405.40 of Homo sapiens. Lineage (NCBI taxonomy): Eukaryota > Metazoa > Chordata > Mammalia > Primates > Hominidae > Homo > Homo sapiens. The sequence continues at coordinate 72,741,972 of NC_000008.11, read as the reverse complement.
AGATCAAATGGTAGTTCTACTTTCAGATCTTTAAGGAATCTCCATACTATTTTCCATAGTGGTTGTACTAGTTTAAATTCCCACCAGCAGTGTAGAAAGTGTTCCCTTTTCACCACATCCATACCAACATCTATTATTTTTTGATTTTCTAATTATGGCCATTTTTGCAAGAGTAAGGTGGTATGGCATTGTGGTTTAATACTACTCAGCCATAAAAAAGAACAAAATAATGGCATTTGCAGCAACCTGGATGGAATTGGAGACCATTATTCTAATTGAAGTAAGTCAGGAATGGAAAACCAAATGTCATATGCTCTCACTTACCAGTGGGAGCTAAGATATGAGGATGCAAAGGCATAAAAATGATACAATGGACTTTGGGACAAGGGGGAAGAGTGAGGGGGTGGAATGAGGAATAAAAGACTACACACTGTGTGCAGTGTACATTGCTTGGGTGATGAGTGCACCAAAATCTTAGAAATAACACCTAAAGAACTTATCCATGCAATCAAACACTACCTGTTCCTTCAAATCTATTGAAATAATAATAATAAGAAAAGAAATATATGCACAGATAAGAGAGTCACTAATTCTACCTGGGCAGTAAAGAAAGAGTTGATTTTGAACTGAGTATCAAAGGCTGAGTAAGAACTTAGCAGGTAACAGGGCAGAAGGAGATTTTCAAAGGTAAGGCTCCTAAGTACAAAGGTACATGGAACATTCTAGAAACTGCAGGTAGTTCACAAGCCAGTGCTCGTGGGGAAGTGGCAGAATACAAGGCTGGAAGGCAGGCTCCAAATCTGGTCTTCTTCCTTTCAAATCAATGTGTTCAGAATCAGCTTCTATGAAATGTCAGATTACAATCAAAAAGGGATATATAGAAAACACATGAAATTAAAACATAATGGAAAGAGAAAACTCTTCATTTTAGTAATCAACAGTATTTCGGTATTTCAGTTCACAGTTTGAAAATGGATCTGAAAAGTAAACATGTCTTGAGAATAGAGAAATACAGATTACAAACTGTGAGACATCTAAGACATCAATTAAAATACCCAAAGTTACAATATTCAGGATGTAAACCATGGAACAATTTATAATTCATTTTTCTCTTGCTGCAAATCTCTACCTGTCAATATTAAAAAATAGTTAAGTCACATAAATTTCAAAATGCTTGATTGTAGTTGGAAGAATTGACAAATATAAGATCTTGTGAGAAGAAAGGTCAGTATTTAGGATTTAAAGATAGGCTGAGGGATTTTCTTTGGCTGTAATTCAGACTAAAGCATTCAAAGGAGAGTTCAGGGCTGGAAGCACATTGTGAAGAAAGTCAAGATTGTATTTCTCCATCTAAGCCTTTTCCTGCTCTGCCCCTTCCTTTTGGCAGCCATTTGTTCATGGGCCTCTCATCTTTTCCCCATGAGAACTTGCTCTTTGGGAAGGGTTTTATAAGCCTATTCATATGAGATATGAATGACTACTATGGCTTAATAGGGTATCTTCCTCTGCCATATTCACTTTTTAGTAGGGGACAGTGGCCTCAATTTCTTATTGAAGAACTTGAAGCCTTAGCCAGTTACGTTGAGAGCTGAATCTTGATCTGAGGCATTCCAAGAGCCCTACTGTTCAACACATGGGTCCCTGTTTATATCCCCTAGCCATAAATCTTGTTCTGAATCTGTTACAGGAATGATCACCTCATTTTCTCTTCTGGGTCAGTGTCAATATGTCAATAAAAACAGTACCTGTTTGATATGACACAATTTCAAACATCATACAAATAATTCAACTTGATCTGAATTTAACTACCATTGAATATTAGCCAGGCTCAAAGAATATCAATATCAAGCAAATTTAGAAAGAAGATACAACACATACGTTCACAAGGAAGTATTTTTTTTCTTAACAGACAGACTCTGAAACTCTCAGAAGAGTATTTACAAAATGCTATTCATTACATCATTATACTAGGCCCAAAGTATAGCTATCTAGAAGCAGTTGTACTGTTCCAATAAATCAATCAGCAAATATTCACTAAATGTCTGTTTTGTGTACAGTATTGTACATGGCACAACTTTATGTGGTTTCTCTCTTCTGTTTAGTTAGAAAGTTAGAATTCCCATCAAACAATCAGAACAAAAAATAAAAGGGTGAACAATATGGTACTACTGATAGAACTGATGATTGAGTACCCTTTCTATTTCTTCCAAAGCTTCCTTTGATCTACAGGACAAAGTCCAAATCTTTTGGCATGTTTTAGGGAATCCTTTTTCTTGGTCTCTATTTATTTTTCCAGGCTCATCTTCTAGCACATTCTTCTATAAACTCAAAGCCCCAGCCATACCAAACCATATGTAATTTTCCAGATTTATCATCGTTTTTGCACCTCCAGACCATTCCTTCTGCTTGAAATGCACTTCCACTCGCTTTTGCTTAATTCCTACATGTTTCTTTAAAAGTTTTCTCCTCTAAGAAGTCTTCTCTATTCCCTAAAAGGTTTTGTGCCCTCCAATTTGTTTCTATTGTATCTATGTCTTTAACCCTATGCCAGCAATTTCACAAAGTATTGAAAAACTTCTCTACTCGTCTAATTCCCCTGTCACCATAGTTTTCAAAAAGTGAGTAAGGATCCATACCTCATTGATATTTTTGTCCCCAGTGCCTAATGTGAAACCGTGGCACATAATAGGTGTTCAATAAATATTTATTAAATGAATTCCAGTTCTCGGGGGTGGGGGTTGGGAGGAGACAGATGGTAGGCAGATTTTCTTCCAGAGGGTTGAAATATTTGACTATAAAAGAAGAAACTTTGAGTGAGAACATAGTAGGTCAGAGTGATTATGGGGTGATATCTATGAAACCATATAGGATATAGGTGAGATAAACAGATACACTGAAACCCACAATATATCCTAAAGCCAGGATCAGTCACTTGTTACTTGAAAGGTAAATTCAAAGAGAAAGAAAAGAATCTTTTAATCCTAATAAATGGTATAGTTGGAATATGTAAATAATTTTTTTAAAAACCTATTAAACTTGATGTCAAAATGAAAACTACATCCTATGTCAAAATGTTCCCAGATGCCCCTATTGAAGAAAAACTCTGGCTAGAAGATAGATGTTACTTAATATGATAAAACTCTTTTAAACTTAACTCTTGGTTCAGTGTATTATTATCTTGCCAGGGATGCTCAAACTTGACCCTCTGTGCCCTGGTACTGAGCTGCATTTTGCCAGAACCACCAAGTCTCAGCAACCAATTAATCTTAATCACCACATGCCAACTGTGTGCAGTTACAGCAGGACAGCAAGGAGTGGAGTAGAGATGACTTGCTTTTCTCCCAGGGATTGGCAGAGGGCATCAAGGGCTTTATGTGGCTCCCCACATTAATGCATTGGCATATTCAGTGACACATAGCCGGGGCTGGCTCTGAAGGATAGACGCAAACACTGGAGAGAGCTGAGAAGGAGGAAACAAACTTGGGGCTGGCAGTTGCTATCTTAGAAGACAACTTAGACAACAGTCCTTTAAGCATCAGGAAACAATCTTAGAAGTCACTTTTGATAGAATGAGCACTCAGGTTATGATTTGGTGATCAATTCCCAGAGGGGCTTCCTGCCTACAGTCAGAGTTCAGGGTAAGTTAAAGGTCGGCACAAACTTCTAATAAAAGCAGAAAGATACATGTTTGTAGTTCAGAAATTGTAGGTAGCCATTTCCTCTAAAATGAGGGCTCTTAACCTTTCTTGAGGTGTCATGGAGCCTCTGAGAAGTTGGTGGACATTATGGATCATCTTCCAGGAGAAAATACACAATTCTTACATATAACAGAGCATTGGCTACCCAAACCCCATCTCTCAGAGAGGCCCTCAAGTTGAGAACTCTTTTAAAGAATCTCTGAAAACTATATTGGTTTAGAGTATGTCAATTTGTGTAAACGGGTATATTTTTGATATAAATAGTCTGGAAATTCTTGGATTATACATGCATGGTGCAAGGCTAAAGTGGGTCTAGGGCCACCATTTCCAAAATGAGGAAAATCCTGCATCTCATTTGGATATTTTTTTAGTGGTACCTGATAGAGGTGTTTCTAAATTATAGTAGAAATGCCATCAAAACTAGGGAATCTGAAAAACAAATGTTAGGAGTTAAAGGCTCTGTAACCATGAAGAACTGAGTTTTGTGTATTCTTCTGAGGAGAAGGAATGCAGACTATTGTCTGTTCTTCAACCTACAGCAAGACAGTCCTCCTCAACTGTTGCCCCAGTCCACCCCATTGCCACGTCCAACTACTAGTTAGTACTAATAAATTTAGTAATCTTCCCATCTTACCGCAGAGGACTCAATTTGCAACTCAATACCTCAATCATGATGTCTTCCATGCTGCCATGAAGTTTGCCAATTATAATAGCTGAAACTAAACATTGAATCTGGCTATGTACTAGAAAACATCACAGAAGGATCTACATTCTCTTTAAATACAACTATTGAGAACATTTATCTTCAACTAATTTGCATTAATGAACACTGCTAAGTAGCCATGTTTACAAGCTGTGAAGGTGTAACCTTGTCCCACAGTAACTCTGAATTGAAGCCAAGATTTTAATCAGAACAGGCTATCAATTTTGCCCAAAGAAGCATTTATTGCTTAATATAGTTGGTAAAATCCAGATATGATCAATCACAACTAATGGTCCTTAGTTGGAAGGCAAGTACATTGCTGTTTATTTAGTTCAGAAATTATTTGCAAACTAAACTATAATCCAAGCTTATGTTAAAAAATCAGAACTATCATTAGACTCTTTCACAAAGCTTATTTTATGCTTAAATATCCTGAGAAAGAGTATTTTTTACTAACTGTAAATTTTCAGTCACCTTGGTTTCTTGTGTGCCTAATAATACAAACAAAAACAACCATAACAAAAGAGCAAAAAAAAAAAATAGCAACTACATTTCAATGCTGCACAATTGTAAAGCACAATTATAAATTATTTAGGTTAACATGTAACATACATAAATGTATATACAAGGATAGAAAAATATTTATATATGTATATTCTTTCAAGGAGCATATCTTCCAAGCAATCACCAGTACATTTACTACAGCAGGAATAATATTAAATTTCTCAGCAGTTGAGGTCCGCTGCAGTAGAGTGCTCCCAAAGAAATCTCTGACATCATTCCAAAATAACTAATCACATGTTATGTTAACTTGGCTCAGTTTTTACCATTGTATTTACCTTTATTTCAATTTCAGTTATAAACTTTAGGTTAATTTAGAATGCATTATCCTTGTATCTTGTTAGATAGAGACTGAAGCGGGGGTGCTGAAAGAGTTGGCTGGAAGGTAGGGGATAATAAGAAATGAATTTGAAAACCAAGCAAACTCTTCTTTTGTTTGCTTCAAACATGGCATCTTGTCAAACAAATGTAAGGAGAATCCATGGTTGAGTAATGAATGAACATTAACACTTGTCATGGATTCTTAAGACGAGTTAATCATTTTAGGTTTCAACTAATGAACCTTGGAAACTGATTATCTTGTTGAATTTTACTAATAACAACTCTTGGGATAAAACCAAGGTAGGAGACAAGTCCTCCAGTTCTCCATCGTCAAAATAGAATAATATATTTCTGGTCCACAACCTCATATCCAAACATCTTGGGGCCAGATATATTTTAGATTTCAAGCTTTTTTTTTTAAATGATAGAGGGACAATAGGTTATATATATTGAATTTGTATAATATGGCCATCAGAGAATCCAAATCATTTATATTTTTTCAGTGAAATGTTTCAATTCACATTAAGTTGTGTAATTATACAATAAGTAAAGGCTATTAGTAGCCTCACATCAGTTCAGGCCAAGTTTTGCTGTCAAGTGAGTTTTGGTGTAAAACTTGAGAAATATTTCAGTTTTCAGTGTTGTTGGAATTTTGGAATCACAGATTAAAATCTTGTGGGCCTGCAAAAATATATGGAAATTGTTTCCATACCGTATTCTCTAAGCAGTAGCAATCATCAAACAACTTGTCTATCAACTTGTAGTTTGATTTACTGGGAAGCTATAATTTATATGAAAGATGAAATTTGGCCCACTCTGCCCAGTTTCTGCGATACATCTTAACAACATCCATTAACAGCAATCTTGTTGGATCTGAACAAATCAAAAGACTAAGGGACTGGCAATCCATTTAGTAAAAGACTGCTATGCATACTGTGTCTATTACATGCATATTCCTACACAAACTGTGCCCTACTGCTCCCAAAAGACAGACCAGGATTGTTCTTCTTCTTAATATACTAAGCAAATAAAATTAGCTAGTCCAATATGTATTAATACCTGGAGAGAACATACAGAATAGAAAGGTCAGCCTTGATGAAGTAGGAATGAGCTTCAGTGTCTGAATTTTTGCCGATTGTACTAGATGACATTACCACACAGTAAAGTTTGAGAATCACTGATCTAGACAATACCTTGTTACATTATCACCTCAGCTGTTTTTGCATGTGAGACCTTTACCCGAGCTGAGTATCAAGGGTGATGTACAGATTTCTTGCGGGGAAATAGGAAATTATTGCCATTTTTTTTGGTAAGATACACAATGACTTTTATGAGCAAAATAATGTCTTTCTGGGAAATGATGTGATTCTAATCAAAGTACTTTTAAAAGCCTCAATACTTATCTATAGCAAAGCACAAGAAATAATAAAAAAAAGTCACTTCCTGGTGACCAATTCTTATTTGTACAATTTGTGTTAAATAATGGAACTTCACTCCTGGATGCCATTTAGAATTGTGAAGACGGTGGATTGGGGAGTCTGTGATTTAAATAGCTGGGTTGGTATAAAGTGACTATAATTTGACTATGAATCATGGTGATGCTCACAGGAAGATTGTGACAAGGAGACAAAGGGGCCCTGCTTTCCATTATAAACCACTGAATTGCCTTCAGATAAATGCATCTTGTCCTTTGAGTGGAAGCCACCTATCAAATTCCCCCTGCAGCCTGTTTTGTTCATAGTAATGAAAACGCACTTCTTACAGTACAAGCTGCCGAATTCATTAGCACAAGCCTGCATGGACCACCTGCCTGGCCCTGGTGGGGAAGAACAAGGGAGAAAAGAGTTCAGAGTTTTCTGAAATGGCTGACCTTTATCTGAAGCTGTCGAAAATCTTCCTTGTTATTATGAGGTGCTCCATGCACCATGCAGCCAGGTAATCCCCTAGAGCACGTCTTCACTGACTGACACTGATTTCCTCTTTCAAGACGTAGTGTTCAGTCTACTTGGTATTGAAGACATTCAGGGGGCATGGCAATGAGCCTCATTCAGCTTTCTTCTCCCGGGGAATATTCATTCATGGTTACCAGAGACACACCTGGTATCGTATTATGGATCCTGTAGTTCAGGCGTCATAGTAGCATCCAGCTTCTTAAAAATACCTTTTCAGTGTGTCAATACAGGTAGGGAAGATTTCAGACAATTCTTTAAAAAATATTTAAAAGCACCAAATGACACAGATGTCCTCCCTTTATATCCAACAGTTTGTAACTTCATATACATGCTCTTTGGAAAGAACTAGGGGATTCTAAGTGAACCAGTCTGAGTGATAATAATGGGGACATATTTTGAAATGGTTGAAGTCAAAGTTTCATTATAAGAATAAAGACAATAGGCTGCTGGGATGTACTGATGTTGGCTCTTATTTTCACCAAAGCTGCCTGTACAGGTTGAGCCTAGGCTGACAATATGAAGCACCTTTGAAATGATAATGCTGTGTTTGTAGTCTTTATGGATAAAATACCGTTACACTGAATCTATGCTACAGTTGATAATGAGACTGCTTTTACATCTTAAAGGAGTATCTAATTACTAATATAAATGTTTTCTATTCCAGATTGCAGATGATAAATACTCCGTAAGCAATCTTCCAAATCAGCTCAGCAGCCTGGGAGACGATTGAGGAGAGTTGCCTTTAAGAAAAAGCAGCATCTATAAAAAGAGCTGGATCAAAAGTAGACGCCCGATCACACACCCACTGTGGCTGGGCTGACAAAAATAGCCACTTGCACAGATTTAGTTCACTTCAATGTCAGGCTTCCCCCTCCAACCACCCTGTCCCCCTTCCCACCTCCAAGAATTCAGTGCTCATAGCAGGTGCCTTCCGAGTCATCCACACCAAACGGGGGGCTACATCAAAAATCAGGGGCTACAATCAGAAACTGCAGCTTGGGGTGATCAGCTCAGAACACTCCTCTTCCTTGCTGTCCTAACGACTACCTTCCTGGAAAGGGATGGTTTTGGAGTGTCAACATGTAGAACATGTCTACAGGGTGCCGGGTACCATTCTGAATGCTTTACAGGCAAAACTTCATTGAGTCTGCTGACAGTCCTATATTACAGTCATTATAATCCCTGCTTTACAGATGAGGAAATGATGACTCAGATAAATCACATATTCAAGGGCATATATTTAATTAGTGGTAGAGTAGACTCTGAACCCAGATCTGATTGCAGAACCCATGCTTTCACCCATTATGCTAGGCTGCCTCCTGTTTGGTCAAGAATGGAAGACTCATTGCATGTCCTGGTTGAAAGTCCATCCTGGTTGAGGTGGAGTATGTCAATTATCTACACTTTGTCTCACCAAAGCCAAAGTCAAAATTCTTGAATCTAGTTGGCTTGTATTTTAAAAAGACAATGTAAGTGAAAAGTAAATAAAGGGATATCATTTTGCTAAATCTTTATTTGAAAACTGAACACACTATGTGAACACATAGCTTAAAGGTGATAAATGAAGTTACAACTCTTAGTATAACATCTGCTCAGACTAAATAACAATAACCTTCACGTTTGTATGACCTTCCCTCCTTCTGTTCTACTTTCTTCCATACCTTCTCTCTATTTTCCCCTCCTTACTCCCTTTCTCTTACATGTTAATTTATCTTTTCATGCATTTATCTGTTCTGTTTTTTTTTTTAGCATCTTCAACACATCAGGCAGAGTGCTAGGTGCTGGAGATGCAAAGATAAAATTACTACTCTCAAAGTGCTTACATTTTAGTTGGGGAGAGAGGTGAGCCACAGGTAAGTGATAGTGCAGGATGATATACTTTATGACAGGGACATCTCATGGAGTACCATCATAGCACCAGGGCTGAGTAGGCAGCCTAGTCTTAGAGAGGTACAAGATGCTCTTACACATCTTATTTTTAATATAATGCCTTATACTTAATATTAATCTCAAGCATGGTTGAAAAACAGTTAATAGATGGAAGTCATGCTTATGCAACCTACTCCTTTCCCCAAGTCCACAGGATCACCAGCAATGGCTGAAACATCTCAGTTGCTGTAAATATGGGCTGGCTAGGTGCTTCTAAGTACTTTCTTAGCTCATCAATTCTTGCAGTCAAAAATCCTTTGAAAAACAAATCTAGCTATCAACTAATATCTCAATTCTGTTAGTCACATATTCTTGCAATGTCTAAATGTTCAAAGGATAGAAAGTGACCAGCACAATGTTGCCAGACATTTCCTAGAAGCCTGTGGGCTGCCTCTCAGCAGCAGAGTCAGGGAGGAGTGAAGACTCACTACACCACTACAGCTTGTCACACAAGCGGGCTCTGCCTCACATTCACTTGTAAAGTTGGAGTTTGAGTTGACAGACCGATAAACTGTAGTGCTCACAGGTTCTAGCTAAGGAGTAGCACCTTCCAACTAAAGACCTGCAGCTAGACATATAATAAGCTGCCTCTGAATAGACAACTGTACAGACAAGTAAGAAAGCTACTATGGCAGACAGCTCAACTCCCAAGGCCAACAGAATAAAAGAAAACATATTCTGTGGGAAATAAACAAAACACCCTGTACCAGATAGAATCCACTTGGCTGCAGTGACTTCCAACAGAGGCTTCCTCTTGGCATCTGAAGGAGGAGATTCAGCAGGGAACTCACATCTAACTGTGTAGAAACCTTTTCTATTCTACAAAGATTAATTAGCTAAACTCATGGGTGCTACCAGATGCCACATATGACTTCAGCAGAGACAATCTTTAGGCAGCTGGTTCCTAGGAAACCAAAGTGGCCCCAGACTCACAAGACTGAAATTGGCAAAGATCTAGCTTACCAGGCATGACATCAAAGAATCAGAATTTCTAAAATCAATTATCTGTACAAACATAGAACACTTTCCATTAGAAGTTCTGTGACATATATTGATTTATGATCTGTTTTTCTCTCCTCTTCATTTCTCATTGTTGTCCTGAGAGGAGTGGCCTTAGCATTCCACATTGCCTGAGAGGCAACGGAAGCTGAGAAAGGTCAAATGATATGTTCACACTCACATTGAACACTGCCTCTCACTTGTGACTAAGCGCCACACTGCATCACAGTATTTATCCTTGAGGAAGTGGCCTTGCCCAAAGCAGCTCCTAAACTAGTAACTTTTATATGAAGCTGCTGTCTTCTTGTCTGTGAAATATTTTTAAAAGCACAGTAACACTTGGTTAATGGGCAAACTCTCTTGGCAGATACTTCCATGTTTAACATACAATGATGATTAATGTTCAAAATGAGGATTGCCAGATTCTGAAATGCCTTCTGAATCATTAAAAGAAATTAATTATGTCCAATATGGTTTTGTCTTCAGTGTATTTAATTGTATGTTAATTCTTAAGTGAACTATTCATCACTGATATATATGATGACTTTCTTGCAAGTGAAACATGTGAGTAGCCAAAACATTTCATCCTCTGAAAGTATAGGATAATACATGTACGATGCAAGATGTTTTCCTCTTACTCTCTCCATCTTCCCCACTCACTCACTCACCCTTCCATCCAATCCACCTTTATAGACCAGTTCTTTGAAGTGTGAGTTTCTGGCCACTGCAACAGAATCATTCAGGATCCACATCTCACATCCAGCAATCATTTCCTAGCCCTTAGTGAAATGACACACAACAGAAGGGAAGGAATAGGAAGAACGGTTAACCATGGCTTCCTGGTCAGGAAAGCTAAACCCCTGCACCACTGCTTTTGTAGAGGAGAACATCTTCTTCTGGTATGAAGTTTTCTCATTTTTTTTTAATAGTCTAAGGTGGTTTGTTTTAGTGAGAGTTATCTGAACAATTTCTTAAAAATACGATTATAAGAAATTGTCCAAGTTGGCTGGTCTTCAGTAGTTCAACATTGGGCTTAATTACACGTTATGATTCTGATGTTTAAAAAATTATATGCTATATTCTTTCTCTCTACACATACTATATTTTACTTAGATGATTTAACTCTGCCATTTTATCTTTGGAGGTTCAGTATTCAAAGTAAAAGTATCTAAGAAAGAGCTAATTGCTTTTTTCCCTTCACATCTTAATATTTATTAAAAAGGGAAAATGAAAAAAATGACATTGACTGTGAAGGAACCAGGACAAATGAATTAGTTTGTGAGTTACTGCCTTATTATGAACTCAGTAAGACTTTGCTAGATTAATAAAAAAGGCAAATCACAACAGGTATAATTAATCAATCATTAAGATAAGCATGATACACTGTTATTTCCTAATATGATTTTAGTATTCAATTGACATTTAATTTGAAATTAATACAAATTAATCTAGATTTCATCAAAGGCTCTTTTAGATATCCAGGTTAAAATTTATTGAAATGTATTTGGAATGGCAGTTGACTGCTTACAGAAAAGAAAAGTCGCAAGGGGAGATGCATCGAAAGCAAAACTATAAATGTACTTTTGGCTCTAGTTGGCCCTTAACAAGCTCAACTCCTCCCCCACCCTCTAGGCGACAATGAAAGTTTTGCTACTAATGTATAGCATAAGTTCTCCCCTCAGGAGCAGACAGAATTGGGGGCTTCCTATGTGGGATGATGTCTACGGGCATCAAGAAGGAACTTTACATTAAACAACACCAAAAACAACAGCACCACAGAATTATCAGGAAAATTTCTCTCCCCATGTTTATCAAAGAACTGAAATGACCAAATTAAAAGTTTATTCTCTGCCCCCCATTAAGACCATATATTTATATGTAGGTATGTGTGTATATATATATGTGTGTAATCTTTTTTTTTTTTGAGACGGAGTTTTGCTCTTGTTGCCCAGGCTGGAGTGTAATGACACATGATCTCAGCTAACCGCAAGCCCCGCCTCCCGGGTTCAAGCGATTCTCCTGCCTCAGCCTCCCAAGTAGCTGGGATTACAAACATGTGCCACCACACCCAACTAATTTTGTATTTTTAGTAGAGACAGCGTTTCTCCATGTTGGTCAGGCTGGTCTCGAACTCCTGACCTCAGGTGATCCACCCGTGTTGGCCTCCCAAAATGCTGGGATTACTGGCATGAGCCACCGCGCCCGGCAAGACCCAAATATTCTTAGGAGATGGAGTTGTGAACATTGTCAACTGTCTTCGTACTTCATAAAATGGATTTGTCTTCCTCAAACATTTGCTAAGAGGAAAGGATGTTCTGGAATATACTGATATCAAGTGAAACTTCACATGTGACAATTTACTGCAGATTTCTCTTTCTGAGAACCCGTGTATGGTCAGGAAATTGGCCTCCCTGTGAGTTTGCATTTAAGAGTCAGTTTTTAACCTTCAGGGTCCTCTATATCCAAAATGCTGGAGCAGAAGCCCAAAGTAATATTTCCAAATTAAAAAAATAGAAAATGGACCACTGGAATAGTATTGGTGCGCATTCCTAGCAGAACAATATGCAAAGTCAATGGACACTAGGTCTGAAGGTCAACTGAGATTTCCTCAGCACTTCCTATGGGCCATGTGCTTTACACCATCTTTACCACAACTCCATGCAGTGGGAACTCCTCATTGTGCAGATGACAAACTGACACCCAGAGCTGGAGCACAACTAAATAGTGATCCCAAGTTACAAAGAGTTTCTTTGATCACTTTAATTGCCAGGACACAGGTTTATCTCTCAGTTTTTGTTAACTGTGAAAGACATCATGGTCTTCACATGCATCCTAATCTAAACCCAGTCTTTAACGTTGTACTCTTGTTTATAGTTTCCTAACACTAAAGTTTTATTTATTTACTTTATTGCAAGATAAACCACTTAACTTAAATTCACCTCAAATTCTTTGAAGAATAATGTCAGTTATAAACAAATGGTTTATTGCTCTTTTTGCAATACCCTGTGTTGCTTTCTCTGGCAAAGACCTCACGATACTTCCAGGCCCAGTCTAAATGTTACTCCTTTTCAGTAACTTCTCTTGTATTACTTTCCCTCCCCTCTCCCTTTGCTTTACAGGTAAAAAATTAATTATTAATTTAGGTGCAGCTAATTTTCCCATATTTATATTAATACCTCCATTATAGTATGTATCACATTATATATTATATCATAGATATCTATCTACATCTGCTGGTGTCACAGACCATGGCTACAGTCTCATTTTATATTTTAGAAGAGTATGGTGCTTGAAACATAATACATGTAGGTGTTCATTGGTTTGTCTGATCTAGTCTTTGTTTTAACTAGTCCTGAATGATTATTCATTAATCTAGCTCTTATAGATGAATGTATAGATCAAAGAAACAAGACCAGAAAGCAGGATTAACAGGAATAGGATGGAATGCCGTGTATGACATTTCTTGATCAGCTTCTCTGTGAGGAATAACTGAGTGCCATACCTAACCAGGCTAAATGAAAGCATTATAAATAATACAGATATTTGACCCGAATATTTAGTCAACAATACATGGGGTTAACGTTTATTTCCATTCTCTCAAGTTAAAAACTGAGCAGAAATGTCTGGAAAACAGAGGCAAACTGAGAACAGGGACATTTCTGGAAGCCCTGGAATTAAAAGGAGAGTTGGCCTCCATTCTTCTGCAAGGTTTCATAACTGCAACATGGTTCAGGTAACAGGACAATTACAAGTTACCCAACAAGGAGACTGCATGCTGTTTTCTGCAGTTTTGAACTGGTTTTTATGCTTTCCAAATTAGTTTCATTTTCCTTGCATTTTTGGATATATAATTCTGGTAGTCAAATAAAGTCTATAAATGGAAAAATGTGCCGTATTGCTAAGACTATTATTTATGTGCACTCCATAAAACTATGCTTTAAAATAGCTAAAGAATCTGTAATCAGTTCCTAGAAATACTAGCAAGTCTATTTCCTTCTTATATAAAGGATCTTCAATGTTACATTCTGTGTTTTTCAGTCATGATATATGATCTCTTGTCTAATCCTCCTTGTGACTTATTGTACTATGAATTTGTGTGCCATCAGCCATTTCACAGGAAGTCCATGTAATTCTCCTGGCTAATGGTTCCTTCACATACTTTGTGACAATGTAAGAGAACCACAGCCTTTCCCATTATATACAGACTTTGCCAATACTTCAAACAAGATGCCAAGGTATAAAGACTTTATCTATGCTGAGGGCTGAGGGTCACCTAGCAAATACATAGACTGGTAGCTCTACTTGGCTTTTGAATGTAAGCTATAAAAATGCTTCCACTTTATAACACTGCAGTAAAGTTATACATATGTGCTACTATAATGAGCTGTACGACAAAAAAGAACAAAGAAAAGAGGAGCAAAAGTCTTGGTTAATGAGCTTACTACAATAGCGAAGGGAAGATGAGGCCCTTATCCCTATTTCTGAGTTTTCAGTTTTATTGCTAAAATATTTGATAGCTAAACAAATTTTCAAACTGTGTGGAAATTAGGCAAATGAGTGAGTGTACTGGGGATTTAAAATAGGTCTGGGGGGGACGTATAAAAAAGCCAAGTCATTTTCTGCTTGAAACATTTCTCTTCATTTCGTTTCAATTTCTAAAGGTCTCTTTAGCTCATTAAAAAATCTTTCTGCTTCTACTTGTTAAAGATTTCCTGACTCTTTTTTAGCTTACTAGTCTTTTTAATCCAATGAGCAAAAATATCCAGGAAATTGGCAAGTGAATAGTGATTAGATAAAAAGCAGAAAGAGAGGCAAATAGAGAGCATTTTCATTAGGTGAGGTTCACGTTGCTATCAGAGCTCTGAACTCTGTCTCTTAGTACATCAAGAGGCTACTGGCTGGAGCTGGGAGCTTTCTGTTCTCATGCAGCAAGACTCCTGGGTCTGAGAAGGTACCTCCTGAAGGTACCTCCTGAGCTGCCTCTTCATTTTCAATGTCACTTCCTGGAATGGATGTTGGCTCATTAACAACAACCAACAAAAAAATCTCTTAATTGATTTTCCTGATTACAAAAGTAAAAAATATTTAAAATGCAGAACTTGTAAAAGCACAAAGAAAAACGAAAGACAAATAACCTGTAATTCAATCTCTTAGAAACAATTATTTGTTCACATTTTGATATGTGACCTTGTATTTTTAAAATAAATTGGATATGTCGTATGTGTATATAAATTAGTTTTTATAAAAAATAGTACCATAGTTAATACTGTCTTATAGTCTGGCTTTTCACTTAAACATAATGAAAATGTTCCCATATTACAAGTCTGCTAAAGAATGACTGCACAATCATCTATGTATGTATTTACTATCATTTATATAACCAATTTCCTACTCTTAGATATTGGTCTGCGTCAGCATGGGTTGCCGTAACAAAATGCCATAGAGTGTGTGGCTTAAACAACAAAAACTTGTTTTCTCACAGTTCTGGAGACTGGAAATCTGAGATCAAGGTGCCAGTATGGTTGGTTTCTGCTGAGGGGTCTCTTCCTGATTTGTGATTGGCCACCAACCTGCTATGTTCTCACATGGCAGGATGAGATAGAGAGCAAGCTCTCTGGTGTCTCTTCTTACAAGGGGACTAACCCCATCATGGGGGCTCCACCATCCTTATTTCATCTTAACCTAATTACCTCTTAAAAGTCCCATCTCCAACTACCAACACATTGGGGGTTAAGGCTTCAACATATGAATTTGCAGGGGGACGCAGTTCACTCCACAGTAGATGTTTAGGTTGTTTGCACTTTGCAGTAGTATAATAAAGTTGTGATAAACATCCTTATCACATATCTTTGCAAATGTAAAGTCCTCTGTACTTGGCATAAATTTATAGAACTGTTGGACAAAAGGGTATGTGCTTTTAGAGGCCTTTTAAAAAATTAATTTAGGATAACCAAATCCTATACTCAGTTCATTCAAAATTAATTTAGTGTGCAAATCATTACTAAGGGCTTACTATGTGTAAGTTACTGTGCATACAAGGAAAAAATAAGATAAACCTTGCTCCTATGGAGTTCACAGTCTGGGCAGAAGGACCGGGGCTGGAAAGGAGGTCCGGCAAGCAAACGATGAGAGCTGAGGCAGTTTAGTTTCTCTCTCTCTACAGAAGTGGTTCATTTCAGAAGAATGCATATATATATATATATATATATATATATATACATACATATATATATACATATATATACATATATACATATATATATACACACATATATATATATATATATATATATATATATGAAGACAAAGAAAGCAAGCCAAATATGCCAGTCCACCTTCTAGAAAACTTACAATGCTCCCACGAGCAGAAGAGAGAGCCGACTTCCCTAAGTGTTAGTTCAGTTTTGAAAATTTGCTAGATTGAATTTGACTTTCACTTGGCCCTAACACTACAACTCTTCTTGTTCTTTTAAATTGTTAGTAATCAATGTGCTGGCTCCATGCCTAGAACTGTTACAAATAATGATAGAAATATCTTTCATTAGACAGAAAAGGAAATAAAATATGTGCATTTACCACAAATACCCTGTTTGAGGTACAATCAAGATATGAAAATTTCAAAATATCTGGCATTTCTTGCCTATATTTTAATTTTGGAATAATCTGGTGGGGGAGAAAAATTATTCTTTTGCTGCAAACAAAATAATAATTTTCTTTTTTAAACATATTTTTTTAAATGGAGAAGGGGAGTGATTGATTTTCTAGAGATGTAAAGAGAACTAAACCTTAAAACAATTTTGTGGAAGTAAATGTGATATCTCCAAGGTTAGGAAAATAAAAAATAAAAAGTAGCATGTCTTTGGTGTTAAAGCTCTCAAAACTAAACCATTTCTCTGAATAAAAAATATTATTATCAGAATGACAACCTGTGACTTCTAGTAATGGGAAGGGAAATTAATATATTTACTTATTGTGTGTTAGGTATTATGCTAGATCCGTCCATTTACATTATCTCAGGAAATTGCTTTAATTTCTCACAACTGCCGTATCTGGTAGAATTACCAGAATTAGCAAGAAAAAATACAGGATGCATCGTTAACTTTGAACTTCAGATATACAACTAATAATTTTTTAGTATAAGTATGTTGATGCAGTATTCGAGACATACTATTGTTATTTATCTGAAATTCAAATTTAACGTGGTGTCCTAATATTGTATTTGGCAATTTTAGGTAGGTATGGTGATTCATATTCTACTTTCCATATCATGAAAATGATATGGCCGGAAAAGAAATCAAATAAAGGTGCAGCTGTTTGTCTTAAAATATCTGGACTTTACCAATTAAGGCACTAGCTCTCCTCCAACACTCAGATTCAAAATCTTATGGCATATTTGGCTTGCTTTCTTTATCTTCACTTTGATTTAAGTTTTTCCAAAGTGATACATTCTTTGTCCTCCATTTGTAAGCCAAGACACACATTAAATGGAGGAATAGCTGTACAACTGGCATTGAAATATTAATTTGTTTAAAGATTGATTTTCCTGGCCATAACCACTCACTCATATTTAATTTACAGAACTGTGGGTACACAACAAAAATACAAAGCAGACAGTGACACGTGATATCCTCAAGGAAGACGAAATACCGCTATAACACCATGACAAGAGGACAGAACAAATAAAAGGACCAGAGAGTAATTGAGCAGAAGATGAGAAGCTCTAACTCATATGAGGAAGGTACTCTGAAACTGAATAAAGGAATGAGGAAAGCAGTGCCACTTCCCAGGCACAAGATGTAAACATTGTGATAGAACAGCCAGGGAGAAATTGGTTACTCATAATCTGCCCAAAAAAAATCGATACAGGAAGTGATCATGGTAGAAATGCACACATAGAGAGTACTTGCTCTAATTTAACAAGTCACGGCTAAGCCCTCTAGCCTCTTCAGATAATTGCCAGTGACAGAAATCTGGTTCAGAATGTTTCCATAACTGAATGTCCTAGGGTGGGCTTGGAAAATTCTACCATTTCTTGGGTCTCTGAAAGAGTGCATGTCCAACAGGTTTGGATTAGAAAATATGACCACACCGGGCCTTTTGTATTTGGGGCCCTTAGATTGTGAGAGTAAGGGAAGCAATTCTACCTAGTGTCTGAGGCTAGGTAGAGGAGGGACTGACACCAGAAGCTGAGTGGCTACCAACATGACAACAGAGCCCACTGGGTCTCCCAGGAGTGGGAGTGTGGGACACAGGAGGGATTGGGGCTCCAGGGAGGCCAAGAGGACAATCACTTCCTGTGTCCAGGGAGACCATGAGGACAATCACTTCCTGTGAGAGCGCACACAGTCTGAGGTTTGCCAAGAGATGGTTATTATAGTGGACACTGAAGAAATAAGGATGGTCAATTCATTTGGGACAACAAGATGTAGTTTTTTAGTGACTATTAAGAATTTTAGTTTCTTTAGTTCTAGTGTTACCCCATTTTAAATATGTTTTAGTTCAAATAAGCACCTCGTGCAAAGCATACTCTCAGCATGCATTAATGCAATCATTCTGATGTTCTACTTAAAGTGAGGCATGGAGGGTGAGTAATTTAAGAGGAATTTCACTTCTGTGCATCTCCCTGTCCAATTGCCAATTTAATTAACTAATCATTTCATAATCAAACAGTATAAAAAGCAAAAATTCCAAATTACTAGACATATTCAAATCAAATACTTCTCAGTCCTCTCAGGCAAATGTTAATTCTCGCAAGAATATGCACTGTTTATAACCTCACTAATGTCAAAAGAAGAAGGGAGGTTGGCTCTTCTCAGCACTTTGGGCAGTTTAAATTTTCAAGTGACTGGTGAGAAAAAGACAGAGCTCTTTCTAATGATGAGGTTTTCTGTGTGCATGGACTAGGAGAATGTGAACAGGGCTTGGAGTATGTACAAAATCTAGCATTCTCCATAGCAGGCACTAAATACTTTTGTTGAATTTGTTAATCAATAATACATATATTGTATTTAATGTAGTTGATTTTGTCAATAGATTTCTAGGCATGCTTATTTTAATTCCCTAATTTGTCTGAAACAAAAGAGATATTCTAGGCATCTAGAGCAAAGTGTGCTTTAACTTGCATATGCCTAGAACCATTTTGTCCATTTATTTAATCAGCATTTACTGTCCCAGGTGAGCAGAAAGAGACACACCCTGGACTTCTGGAGCTTACAGACACTGATTCGATGACCCCATAAGATACAACTCTGACAAGTACTACAAAGGAATAACAGGTGTTAGCTAGACAAAGAGAGTGGTAAGAGCAGTCTGAGCAGAGGGCCCAGCGCATGCAAAGCCTCTGGGCTAGAGGGGAGCACTACATATCCCAGGGAAGGAGGGAAGGCCCCATGGCTGGTTCAGAGGATAGTGGGAGAGGGAGGTAGGCAGCAGGTCCTTTGGGCATCATGGTGATTTGCCTTAATTGTGCAAGCAATGAGAAGCCATCCAACCATTTGAAAGGATCTTGGCAGGTAAGATTTACAGTTTGGAAGATCATTCTGCCTGCAGGGTGGAGAACAGACTGGAAGGGGGGCCAGAGAATGTGCAGGAAGGTTGGTGAGGAGGTGCATGCTGCTGGGGTTGTTGGCCACCAGGATAGCCTGCACAGATGATGGTGGTAGAGAAAGTGTGGTCAGATTTGAGAAGATATGAGGAGGCAAATGTACAGGATTTGATGATAGCTTTCATAGATGTGGCAAGGGGACTTCAGGGAGGATCCTGGGGTTCCCAGCTGGCATAGCTGTGAAAACTAGGGTGGTTATCACTAAGACAGCACATGCTGGAAATGGATCAAGCACGGACTCTCAATGGAGAAAAGAGTGCATTTAGTCTCGGACAGCTTGCTCTTGGGCCATTCAGGGGAAAGTGTCCAGTTGGCGGCTGTATATTTAGGTCTGGAGCTCAGAGAAGGAGCACAGAAACCATTGGTTCAAGTTTCTATTGCCCAGTTATGTCAAAGAGGAAGGTGCATGTTTGCTTTTTGGGGTCAGTAGTGGGTAGAACAAGGAACTTCAAGCCACACAACTGATTCCAGACCCTCCCTGCTCCATGCAGACTCAATGTCTGCATTTGTTAAATGAGAATGATGGTGCAGGGTGGGGTCTGAGTAAGGTGATTTCATGTCTGTGAGGGCACAGAGTTAACTGTAGAGTCCTGCACCAGGGATGAATGGCTCTATACTGACCACTGAGCCACTGTTACCTTCCCATTCCTTCTGCCTTTGACATCTTATTTTTCTTTTGTTTCTTACATTAGCCCAGTCAATAACCTTACTCTCACTTTCTTTTAGGTAGCAGAGATGTAACAATATTGAGGATGTATTATTTACCAGATTTCTTGCTAGATAGTGGGAATATGGCTGGAATAAAGAGAAGAGGTCTTTGTCCTCATGACGCTTCTATTTTAAAGGAGAAAAGAGCACACTGAACTCATTTCCACATTATCACCATTCAGCAGAGTTCACCAGCAAAGACAGCAACCCCCGGATGATGTGGTGTATGTGGGCTGGGCTTGAGAGAGATCCAATAAAGAAACGTGTGTCATAGCAATAGCAGTATATACACCAGAGGCTGTGTGAGCCAAGAACGGGATAAAAGGATGATGTTAGATGATGTTTCAGTTTCAATTTTAAAGTTTCAGTTTTTTTAGTGTATCTTTAATGTAGGCATAGCCTCACTTAGAGATTATGACAAAGTCCAGATTTGGAGTTCTTTGTGAATTCAAGGCCAAGGTTAAATGAAACTTCATCTCTCTCTTACCAATCTTTAAAAAGCTCTGATCAGCTAGTTTTATTGTATCTACACAGTACAAAACAAAATGTGAAGACTTAATAGAAATGGAAGAAAACTTACTCAGAAAATTTATGTCTAAGTAATAAGTACTTGGAAAAGCATGAGAGTTATAACGAAAAGTATTTAGATTCACTGATAATTTATAGTATCTAGGGTGGATCATATGTTATTGAGATTGAGTACCGTGGCATGCAGTAGTTGCTCAATAAATGTCTGTCAAATGACAAAACCCAACCTATGTTCATTATGTTCATTCACTCATTCAACTAGTTTTTATCAAGTGTCTACTATGTGCTAGTCACTGTGCTGGGCCCTGGGGACACCAAGATGAATGGACCCATGACTGAGTAGGGGAGAGAGTGCAGACAACTAAGTGTAATGCACTATGATGAAGGTGACAAGAGAGGTAAACAGAAAATGTGACTACAGTGAGGAAACAAATATGATGGGAAGAGTGTGGAGAGTCGGGAAAAGTTTTGCAAGGAGATAAACTTGACCATGAAGGGCTTTTGAAAGAAAGATTCCTTTTGAAGATGAGTTTAAAGAAATTGGGGAAGACACACTCTGAGGGAAATTTAGAGAAACCACTGTCAGGTGAAGAATTACAGCAAAACAGCAAGGACTAAGATGCAGAGAGGTTTTCTCCAGAACAGATGAGGAAATGGAAAGAAGAATACATGTCTTCTATACATGACCATTATCTCTTGCTTTTTGACACCTCCAAACTGAGTCTCAGTAAACTGACCGGCTAATATATCTCCTTCCAAGCACCAAGATATCAGTGTACCTTGAGAGATCGGGACTTAGTCATGTTTGGAGTTCAGTGGCTAACAGCTCATCTCTGAAGAAGACAGCATAAATATATACTTAAAAACTTATGGTACAGTGTGTTGATGCGAGACTGAAACGTGCAGGGAGATAAAATGGGTAATTAGCCCAGGCTTGGTCATTAACTGCTTTGGGCTCCATTTTTCATAGACATCAAGGAGCACCATCATGAATGCTTCAGAGCCTCTGAGGGTTTTCTTCAGAATACAGACAGGAAAGACTGGCCATCTTACCATCTGTTTCTTAACCATCTTCTTTTTCCTGTTATATTTTCTTATGAAATTCATTTTTCCTAGGATTTTCCTTTTGTCTTTTTGGCTCATTGTTTTTCAATTACAATCAAATATTCTTTTTTCATTCTTTTGTTTTGTTTTATTTTTTTTAAGCCACTAAAGTACTGCAAGTGCCAAATGCCACTCCCTGCTCATGATGCCTCCCTGGTAGATGGTGAGGGAGCAGAGCAAAGGAGGAAAGTGTGGAACCTTCAGGCCCAGAAGCTTTTTTCTACTTTTAAATTAAAAGGAAACCAATAGGAGGACATTTATAATGACTTAGGCAGATAGAAAAGTAAGAGGTAATCTAGAGTTTTTTTTAATATACATATGAAAACGCTAGCCACTTGGCATACTAAATTGGTAAGTGCCTAATTGCTAAAGAAATCTATTTAGCAATAAACACAACAGGATATTTTCAGCAGGAAAGATCTGAGATGAAAGGAATGTCACTATTCTCTGTACATTAAAAGATAGACAAAGTAGATTGTTTTATGCTTGTTGTCCCCAAGAAAATTGAGTTTCAGAGACTAAGAGAGCAGGGCCATATCTTCCCAGTGCTTCCACTATTTCCACAAGAACATGGAAAAGTCAGGATTTAATGGGAGCTGAGTTTTTCCTTATAGATGTGGCTAATACCATGGGTTATGTGCAGGTCGAGGGAAATATCAAAAGGAGTTTAAAACAGTGATTAGAGAGAATATTCCATGTATTCCCATTGCAAGGTTAGACTTGATTCCAGGTCTAACTTACCAGCAAAAACAAACAAACAAACAAAAAAACAAAGCAAAAGAACAAAACAAAAAAAAAACACTGTTGCCTCTCTTCAGATGTTTTCTTCAGATGTTTTCTAAAGTCTCTTGTTACTACTATTTGCCATAACCCTTATCTTGACATTTGGGGTAAGTATTCAGATCTACCAAAAGGTGGGGGAAAAAAATCTCGCCTTATGACTCGGCCAATTTATTCCCATAGTATTCTCTAAACCTCGGTTTTCTTATTCAGAAGAAAGAGGGGAGGAACCCCATAACAATACTCACCTGTTTTTATTTTATTTTATTATTATTATGCTTTCAGCTTTAGGGTACATGCGCACAACGTACAGGTTTGTTACATATGTATATATGTGCCATGTTGGTGTGCTGCACCCATTAACTCATCATTTAGCATTAGGTAGATCTCCTAATGCTATCCCTCCCCCCTCCCCCACCCCACAACCATCCCTGGTGTGTGATGTTCCCCTTCCTGTGTCCATGTGTTCTCGTTGTTCAATTCCCACCTATGAGTGAGAACATGCGGTGTTTGGTTTTTTGTCCTTGCGAAAGTTTGCTGAGAATGATGGTTTCCAGCTTCATCCATGTCCCTACAAAAGAGATGAACTCATCATTTTTTATGGCTGCATAGAATTCCATGGTGTATATGTGCCACATTTTCTTAATCCAGTTTATCATTGTTGGACATTTGGGTTCGTTCCAAGTCTTTGCTATTGTGAATAATGCTGCAATAAACATACGTGTGCATGTGTCTTTATAGCAGCATGATTTATAATCCTTTGGGTATATACCCAGTAATGGGATGGCTGGGTCAAATGGTATTTCTAGTTCTAGATCCCTGAGGAATCCCCACACCGACTTCCACAATAGTTGAACTAGTTTACAGTCCCACCAACAGTGTAAAAGTGTTCCTATTTCTCCACATCCTCTCCAGCACCTGTTGTTTCCTGACTTTTTAATGATTGCCATTCTAACTGGTGTGAGATAGTATCTCATTGTGGTTTTGATTTGCATTTCTCTGATGGCCAGTGATGATGAGCATTTTTTCATGTGTTTTTTGGCTGCATAAATGTCTTCTTTTGAGAAGTGTCTGTTCATATCCTTTGCCCACTTTTTGATGGGGTTGTTTGTTTTTTTCTTGTAAATTTGTTTGAGTTCATTGTAGATTCTGGATATTAGCCCTTTGTCAGATGAGGAGGTTGCAAAAATTTTCTCCCATTCTGTAGGTTGCCTGTTCACTCTGATGGTAGTTTCTTTTGCTGTGCAGAAACTCTTCAGTTTAATTAGATCCCATTTGTCAATTTTGGCTTTTGTTGCCATTGCTTTTGGTGTTTTAGTCATGAAGTCCTTGCCCATGCCTATGTCCTGAATGGTATTGCCTAGGTTTTCTTCTAGGGTTTTTATGGTTTGAGGTCTAACGTTTAAGTCTTTAATCCATCTTGAATTGATTTTTGTATAAGGTGTAAGGAAGGGATCCAGTTTCAGCTTTCTACATATGGCTAGCCAGTTTTCCCAGCACCATTTATTAAATAGGGAATCCTTTCCCCATTGCTTGTTTTTGTCAGGTTTGTCAAAGATCGAATACTTGTAGATTTGCGGCATTATTTTGGAGGGCTCTGTTCTGTTCCATTGGTCTATATCTCTGTTTTGGTACCAGTACCATGCTGTTTTGGTTACTGTAGCCTTGTAGTATAGTTTGAAGTCAGGTAGTGTGATGCCTCCAGCTTTGTTCTTTTGGCTTAGGATTGACTTGGCGATGCAAGCTCTTTTTTGGTTCCGTATGAACTTTAAAGTAGTTTTTTCCAATTCTGTGAAGAAAGTCATTGGTAGCTTGATGTGGATGGCATTGAATCTATAAATTACCTTGGGCAGTATGGCCATTTTCACAATATTGATTCTTTCTACCTATGAGCATGGAATGTTCTTCCATTTGTTTGTAGCCTCTTTTGTTTCATTGAGTTGTGATTTGTAGTTCTCCTTGAAGAGGTCCTTCACATCCCTTGTAAGTTGGATTCCTAGGTATTTTATTCCTTTGAAGCAATTGTGAATGGGAGTTCCCTCATGATTTGGCTCTCTGTTTGTCTGTTATTGGTGTATAAGAATGCTTGTGATTTTTGTACATTGATTTTGTATCCTGAGACTTTGCTGAAGTTGCTTATCAGCTTAAGGAGATTTTGGGCTGAGACAATGGGGTTTTCTAGATATACAATCATGTCATCTGCAAACAGGGACAATTTGACTTCCTCTTTTTCTAATTGAATGCCCTTTATTTCCTTCTCCTGCCTGATTGCCCTGGCCAGAACTTCCAACACTATGTTGAATAGGAGTGGTGAGAGAGGGCATCCCTGTCTTGTGCCAGTTTTCAAAGGGAATGCTTCCAGTTTTTGTCCATTCAGTATGATATTGGCTGTGGGTTTGTCATAGATAGCTCTTATTATTTTGAGATACGTCCCATCAATACCTAATTTATTGAGAGTTTTTAGCATGAAGTGTTGTTGAATTTTGTTAAAGGCCTTTTCTGCATCTATTGAGATAATCATGTGGTTTTTGTCTTTGGTTCTGTTTATAGGCTGGATTACGTTTATTGATTTGCGTATGTTGAACCAGCCATGCATCCCAGGGATGAAGCCCACTTGATCATGGTGGATAAGCTTTTTGATGGGTTGCTGGATTCGGCTTGCCAATATTTTATTGAGGATTTTTGCATCAATGTTCATCAAAGATATTGGTCTAAAATTCTCTTTTTTTGTCGTGTCTCTGCCAGGCTTTGGTATCAGGATGATGCTGGCCTCATAAAATGAGTTAGGGAGGATTCCCTGTTTTTCTATTGATTGGAATAGTTTCAGAAGGAATGGTACCAGTTCCTCCTTGTACCTCTGGTAGAATTCGGCTGTGAATCCATCTGGTCCTGGACTTTTTTTGGTTGCTAAGCTATTAATTATTGCCTCAATTTCAGAGCCTGTTATTGGTCTATTCAGAGATTCAGTTTCTTCCTTGTTTAGTCTTGGGAGGGTGTATGTGTCAAGGAATTTATCCATTTCTTCTAGATTTTCTAGTTTATTTGCGTAGAGATGTTTATAGTATTCTCTGATGGTAGTTTGTATTTCTGTGGGATCGGTGGTGATATCCCCTTTGTCATTTTTTATTGCATCTATTTGATTCTTCTCTCTTTTCTTCTTTATTAGTCTTGCTAGCAGTCTATCAATTTTGATGATCTTTTCAAAAAACCAGCTCCTGGATTCATTGATTTTTTGAAAGGTTTTTTGTGTCTCTGTCTCCTTCAGTTCTGCTCTGATCTTAGTTATTTCTTGCCTTCTGCTAGCTTTTGAATGTGTTTGCTCTTGCTTCTCTAGTTCTTTTAATTGTGATGTTAGGATGTCAATTTTAGATCTTTCCTGCTTTCTCTTGTGGGCACTTAGTGCTATAAATTTCCCTCTACACGCTGCTTTGATTGTGTCCCAGAGATTCTGGTATGTTGTGTCTTTGTTCTCGTTGGTTTCAAAGAACATCTTTATTTCTGCCTTCATTTCGTTAGGTACCCAGTAGTCATTCAGGAGCAGGTTGTTCAGTTTCCATGTAGTTGAGCGGTTTTGAGTGAGTTTCTTAATCCTGAGTTCTAGTTTGATTGCACTGTGGTCTGAGAGACAGTTTGTTATAATTTCTGTTCTTTTACATTTGCTGAGGAGTGCTTTACTTCCAATTATGTGGTCAATTTTGGAATAGGTGTGGTGTGGTGCTGAAAAGAATGTAGATTCTGTTGATTTGGGGTGGACAGTTCTGTAAATGTCTATTAGGTCTGCTTGGTGCAGAGCCGAGTTCAATTCCTGGATATCCTTGTTAACGTTCTGTCTCGTTGATCTGTGTAATGTTGACAGTGGGGTATTAAAGTCTCCCATTATTATTGTGTGGGAGTCTAAGTCTCTTTGTAGGTCACTAAGGACTTGCTTTACGAATCTGCGTGCTCCTGTATTGGGTGCATATATATTTAGGATAGTTAGTTCTTCTTGTTGAATTGATCCCTTTACCATTATGTAATGGCCTTCTTTGTCTCTTTTGATCTTTGTTGGTTTAAAGTCTGTTTTATCCGAGACTAGGATTGCAACCCCTGCCTTTTTATGTTTTCCATTTGCTTGGTAGATCTTCCTCCATCCCTTTATTTTGAGCCTATGTGTGTCTCTGCACGTGAGATGGGTTTCCTGAATACAGCACACTGATGGGTCTTGACTCTTTATCCAATTTGCCAGTCTGTGCCTTTTAATTGGAGCATTTAGCCCATTTACATTTAAGGTTAGTATTGTTATGTGTGAATTTGATCCTGTCATTATGATGTTAGCTGGTTATTTTGCTTGTTAGTTGATGCAGTTTCTTCCTAGCCTTGATGGTCTTTACAATTTGGCATGTTTTTACAGTGGCTGGTACCGGTTGTTCCTTTCCATGTTTAGTGCTTACTTCAGGAGCTCTCGTAGGGCAGGCCTGGTGGTGACAAAATCTCTCAGCATTTGCTTGTCTGTAAAGTATTTTATTTCTCCTTCACTTATGAAGCTTAATTTGGCTGGATATGAAATTCTGGGTTGAAAATTCTTTTCTTTAAGAATGTTGAATATTGGCCCCCACTCTCTTCTGGCTTGTAGAGTTTCTGCTGAGAGATCCGCTGGTAGTCTGATGGGCTTCCCTTTGTGGGTAACCTGACCTTTCTCTCTGTCTGCCCTTAATATTTTTTCCTTCATTTCAACTTTGGTGAATCTGACAATTATGTGTCTTGGAGTTGCTCTTCTCGAGGAGTATCTTTGTGGCATTCTCTGTATTTCCTGAATTTGAATGTTGGCCTGCCTTGCTAGATTGGGGAAGTTCTCCTGGATAATATCCTGCAGAGTGTTTTCCAAGTTGGTTTCATTCTCCCCATCACTTTCAGGTACACCAATCAGACGTAGATTTGGTCTTTTCACATAGTCCCATATTTCTTGGAGGCTTTGTTTGTTCCTTTTCATTCTTTTTTCTCTAAACTTTTCTTCACGCTTCATTTCATTCATTTCGTCTTCCATTGCTGATACAATTTCTTCCAGTTGATTGCATCGGTTACTGAGGCTTGTGCATTCATCATGTAGTTCTTGTGCTGTGGTTTTCAGCTCCATCAGGTCCTTGAAGGACTTCTCTGCATTGGTTATTCTAGTTATTCATTCATCTAATTTTTTTTCAAAGTTTTTAACTTCTTTGCCATTGTTTCGAACTTCCTCCTTTAGCTCGGAGTAGTTTGATCTCCTGAAGCCTTCTTCTCTCAAGTTGTTAAAGTCATTCTCCATCCAGCTTTGTTCCATTGCTGGTGAGGAGCTGCGTTCCTTTGGAGGAGGAGAGGCACTCTGATTTTTAGAGTTTCTGGTTTTTCTGCTCTGTTTTTTCCCCATCTTTGCGGTTTTATCTACCTTTGGTCTTTGATGATGGTGATGTACAGAGGGGTTTTTGGTGTGGATGTCCTTTCTGTTTGTTAGTTTTCCTTCTAACAGTCAGGACCCTCAGCTGCACGTCTGTTGGAGTTTGCTGGAGGTCCACTCCAGACCCTGTTTTCCTGGGTATCAGCAGTGGTGGCTGCAGAACAGTGGATATTGGTGAACCGCAAATGCTGCTGCCTGATCGTTTCTCTGGAAGTTTTGTCTCAGAGGAGTACCTGGCCGTGTGAGGTGTCAGTTGGCCCCTAGTGGGGGGTGCCTCCCAGTTAGGGTACTTGGGGGTCAGGGACCCACTTGAAGAGGCAGTCTGCCCGTTCTCAGATCTCAAGCTGCGTGCTGGGAGAACCACTATTCTCTTCAAAGCTGTCAGACAGGGACATTTAAGTCTGCAGAGGTTATTGCTGTCTTTTGTTTGTCTGTGCCCTGCCCCCAGAGGTGGAGCCTACAGAGGCAAGCAGGCCTCCTTGATCTTTGGTGGGCCCCACCCAGTTTGAGCTTCCTGGCCACTTTGTTTACCGACTCAAGCCTGGGCAATGGCGGGCGCCCCTCCCCCAGCCTTGCTGCCGCCTTGCAGCTTTATCTCAGACTGCTGTGCTAGCAACGAGTGAGGCTCCGTGGGCGTAGGACCCTCCAAGCCATGTGTGGGATATAATCTCCTGGTGTGCCATTTGTTAAGCCCGTTGGAATTGTGCAGTATTAGGGTGGGAGTGACCCAATTTTCCAGGTGCCGTCTGTCACCCCTTTCTTTGACTAGGAAGGGAATTCCCTGACCCCTTGCACTTCCCAGGTGAGGTGATGCCTCGCCCTGCTTTGGCTCATGCACAGTGCACTACACCCACTGTCCTGAACCCACTGCCCAGCACTCCTCAGTGAGATGAACCCAGTACCTCAGTTGGAAATGCAGAAATCACCTGTCTTCTGTGTTGCTCATGCTGGGAGCTGTAGACTGGAGCTGTTCCTATCCGGCCATCTTGGCTCAAGAGCCAACAATACTCACCTTAAAGATTTATTGTCAAAATGAATAACTTTATGACAAAGTCGTTATTAAATGTAAGAATATTGAAGCACATTAAACTATAACACATGTAAAGCTTGGACCACTGACTGTGGCATTTAATAAGCATCCAGTCAGTGATAGCTCCTGTTACATAATTGTTACCAAAGAAAACCACATTATCCAACTAAAAGTTAGCCCAGGTCACAGGACCAGCCCATAGAGGAGTTTGGCCTTCTGAATTATGCCACCAGGCCAACTTTCTTCAAAACAAAAAGCATATCATAAGATAAAAGAGGGTAAGAAACCTTCCAGTGAAATAGGAACCTGTGAGTAAGACACTACTATCTATTCCACCAGTAAGACTGGGGGTAGGCCTTACAGCCTGATGTGGCACCTGGCATGTCCTTAAAAATATGCTCCTTCTTCTCTCCCTTTTCCTTTCCTCTCTTCCTATCACCTCATTGCCTTCTCTTTCTACACTGAGCTTGCTCATATGAGTCTACAAGATAAAATATCTATTACCAATTATGTGCTTTTTCTTTTATAGAAAGTGGTCATCATTAAATGAAGGCAAATTAAAAGGATATTTGAGCATACATTTAGAATAAGTAACATATTAAATAAGTAATCCATTAGGACAGAAGGCAAGTTAATTCACTTTTTCTTTTTCTTGAGATGGAGTCTTGCTATGTCGCCCAGGCTAGAGTGCAGTGGTGTGATCTCAGCTCACTGCAGCCTCTGCCTCTCAAGTTTGAGAGATTCTCCTGTCTCATCCTCCTGAGTAGCTGGGATTACAGGTGCCTGCAACCAAGCCTGGCTAATATTTTTTGGTATTTTTAGTAGAGATGGGGTTTCATCATGTTGGTCAGGCTGGTCTTGAACTCCTGACCTCAAATGCCGCCCACCTTGGCCTCCCAAAGTGCTGGGATTACAGGCGTAAGCCACCGTGCCTGTCCCAAGTTAATTAACTTTTTAAATGGTCCCCTCAAGATCCCGGTGTTTGGCCTCTGGACATGCTGTGCCCTCTGTCAGGAACCCTGTGCACCATCTTTGTCTTTGCCTGGCTATTCATCCTCTAGGGTACATCATAAATATAATATTATGTTCTCTAAAAGGCCTCCTGTGAATCTTGAAAAATGAGCAAGGGTTTCCCTCCTATATGCTCTTGTGTATCCTTTATTGCAGACCTTATTAAATGTTACTGAAGTTCCCAGTTTATAGATAGACTCTTCAGTGTGAATGCACAGGCCACAGCGGGAGAGACAGTGAGCCTGGACCTTGTAGGAGGCCTGGCGCATGCAGGCATGGCATGGGAGTCACGAGTGCTGCTCACAGATACTTCTGGCTCTTGGGAGTATTTGCCACCTGGGCACATGGCAGTATTGCACTTCCTGGCCTGCCCATGGTTGTGTTGGGCTATGCAGATGCTCTGGCCAAGTAGTTTTGTGTGGAAGCAAAAGGTACCACTTCTGGTCCAGAGTAATCAATTGTCAGTCCAAGACCTTATTCAGCTGTCTTTTCCTCTGCCATGAGAATCAGCAACTTTCTAGATACTGGCGCTCCATCAGTCAGGGTCCTGCAGTGAGAGCGATGCTCAGAAGAGCCCCTCTGCTCAGCATCATTGATGGACACAAGAGCAAGAAACAAATCCTTGCCATCACAGACTGCCGGGATTTTGGTATTGTTTGTCACTAGCATAACTTAGCCTATGTTGATCGATGAAGTTCATAATATTGATGAACGAATAAAGAGGAAATAGCACTCTGACTTCTCCATCCACTTAAATAGCCTTGAGAGGCCTTCTAATCCATTGTTTCCCATTGAGGAAAACCTGTACTTTCATTTTAAGATGAAATTTAAATTTCTTTCTAAAGTATCTAGAGATTTTCAGAAGTATATTTGGAGGTTTAATAACATCTTAAGAAATTTTTCTTTGTATCTAACCAAGGAGGTAACGTAATACATAATACAGCATCTCTGGCCATACTGAAGAGTCCTGGGTAGTTTCACTATGTGATTGGGTCCGGGATACTGTAGCCAGGCCACTGGTAAGTCAGCTCAGTGTGAGGCTGACTGTTGCCATTACTGAGGTACATGGGCCTGCTTGCTCTTCCTATCCACTTTTCCTTTAGTTTTTGCTCTTCCTCAACACACACATACGCAAACACACATACCCTTCTTTAGTTTTATATATATATATATATGCAGAGCATGCACGATAACTAAGGCCTCATTTTTGGCTCTAATTGGTGTCTTTAGTTGAAGTATTTATCATTTTCAAGTATTAGTTTCCTATTTGGGGATTATTATATGATTTGAAAGAGATGATATATGAGAAATAAAGTAGAATTGCAAAGTATTAGCCACATCTTTTGGCATGTGATTTGAAGGGGCCCAGATGGCATAACTGCCCTTAAAACACCAATGTTCCTTTGTGTTAGGGTCTCTGAGAAGCCCTTATAAAATTTAAATAGCTCACTCATGGATGGTTGAAAATTTATTCCTTATTTCCCTAAAATATCTGCCAGCTAACATGGTCCTGAGAACATGGGCACGCAGGATAACGATGTCTTGATGGATGATGGGGAGTGGTTCAATAGGCTCCCCGGACTGGGAAGTGCAGACTGAAGGCCATGGACACCTGGGGTATGGGTTACTGAAAATGCAGGAGGTGACAAAGTCAACAGCCCCTACTTTACAGCTTCATTCAGGATCAGGCCAGGCATTTCCCATGACTGTGCAACCACTCAGCTCTAAGAAGCATCTTTGGAAGAAACATCTGTACATTCGGGTACATAGTAACTTAGTGGCTTCATTATCATGAAACAGAGCCATGCTTGACAAGAAAGCTTGGAGACTGCAAGAATCTGGTTATTTAAGAAGGTGATATGGTTTGGATGTTTGTCCCCTCCAACTCTCATGTTGAAATGTAATCCCCAGGGCTGCAGGTGGGGCCTGGTGGGAGGTGACTGGATCAGCGGGGTGGATCCCTCATGAATGGCTTAGCACCATCTCCTTGAGGTGATAAGTGAGTTCTCACTCAGTTAGTTGAAGAGTAATCTGGTTATTTAAAAGTGTATGGCATCTCTCCTCTCATTTTCTCACTCTCTTTCTTGCCATGTGACACACCTGCTCCCGCTTCACCTTCTGCCATGAGCAAAAATTCCCCTAGGCCTCCCTAGAAGCCAAGCAGATGCCGGCACCGTGCTTCCTGTACAGCCTGCAGGACTGTGAGCCAATTAAATCTCTTTCTTCATAAATTACCCAGTCTCAGGTATACCTTTATAGTGATGCAAAAATGGTCTAATACAGAAGGCTAGCCAAATTTCACAGTTAGAAATTTTGTTTTGAGAATCTTCTCTTGTCCTTACCACATGCCAATGTAAATTTAAAAATTTTTTGTTTCACAGAGAAAGTGATAGAGACAGCTTAGGGAGATTTTTCTTTTACTTTTGTTTTTCTTTCTGAAGAAAAAATCTTATTTCTGTTCTTCTAGATACATTTAACTGAAGAGGTTAGGCTCAAACAGCTGGCTGCTTGATGAAAATATGTAAAGGGGAAGTAAATAATGTTAGTACTTAGAGCAGTATTATCAAAGGGTGAACGATGTGTCTCTTTTTTCAGTGCCTGCCATTTTTTATTAGTGACTCCTTAACAATCTGGCAGGATATATAGCCAAGTTACATGTTTGGCTATTGATGTCCACAAGGTAGAAAGGGGATCCTGGGAGAGAGTTTGATTTCTAAAATCTCTCATGTAACTAAGGCTGCAGATAAAAATAGGATAGGAATAAGAATAACCTTATGCCAGATTCTCATTCTTTAAACTGTGTCAGACTTTGGAAACATATTGCTCCCATTATTAAGAAAAAATAGAGGCAAAAAGACATTATTGTGAGTTTCAAAGGTAGGAACTAGGAAAGATATTTAACCACAAGACTGACATAAAACAAGTCTGCATTTGATTCTTGGCTGAGGGGAGTGAGGAACAGGCAGACTCATGGAGATACTGAAATCAAAGACTGAAAAGTAATCACTCTTTCCACTGTTAAAGGGTAAAATGTCTGAATAATTAACACTGGTACAGAAAAGCTTGCAGGGAGATTTGAGGCTTGTTTCAACCCTTGATGAGAGAAGCATTCACTCTAAGATAATGCACCAGAAGATGGCATTCTCTGAAATCAATGGCAACTTCCAGACCATAGTCAACTATTGATTCCTTATTGTACTAGGATAAGTCATTTTGGATGATCTCAGCAAATTAGAACAAAATTGCAGATTCACCTCCACGAGCGCTTAGCTGTTTGTCCAACAATTGCACTGTTGAAATAATGTCCTTTCCAAAGAAAAAAAGAAACTAAGCCAAATAGAGAACACAAATTCTCATAAGAAGCCACATTTCTTCTTACCATCTGTGCTGGAAATCTTTCATTTGCTCCCCAAGTTCTCTCCCCACCCTTCCCGATATCTTGCTCTGGCCCTGGAAGGCTACCTGGACTGGACCACAGCAGCAGGTTCCTTTGCACTCCAGCATCCTGTTGGTTAGCCACTGGGTGTGCTGGGGAGAGACTGGCTGCAGTGGGCTATGGTGTCACATTGGTCTGGATGCCTCCATGGCCCCAGGTCTCAGCTCCTGTCTGGGCCTCTCTATACACAGTCCTTCTGTGGCTGGGTTCTGGTTTCCTCAACTCTTCAGGCCTTGGGGTAGGAAGAGAGCAACTAAACACCACCTCTTGGGGCTCCCCTCTCCCTCTCCACCTTTGTAAAAGGTCCCTTTTTTTGCACTGCCCTCAAATTACCCTAATGCGAATGTGTTCTGTGGTCTGTTTCCTGCTGGCTGATACCTTAATTGATGATTTCCTTGAAAGCAAAAGTGTGTATTTCCCAAATCATATCTAGATGATTAGGAAAATTAGAAAAGAACAGCAACAACACTGTGAGCAGGAAAAACGTTAAACCTTACTCACGTTCTGTTTTCTTATTTAGACAGTGTGCCACTTTTCGTTTTTGAGTTCTGGATAGCCTCTTTATGGGTGTTGAATGTTGGCAGGACTTCCGTATGTGTGGAGATGAATGCTCCCCTGAAGCATGTGTTTGTGGGAGTGGGGTCAGGCCTTCTGATACTGTCTAGCTCATATCACTGACACACCATGCCTCCTTTTGTTCCATTTGAGGCTCTGTGGAAATGGAGATTAAAGAAAAGACCCAAGGAACCCAACCAAACAAAAAGCTATGCTTGCAGATCAATGATCAGGTCGTTAAAGGAGAAGCGAAATATGGGGACAATTAGGAGGTTCCTTTGGAACATAAAGGCATCCACCAACTATTTTTCATCTTCTCTGGGCTCCCAAGAAGAATTTAAATTGCAGCATGAGGAACCTAAATTAAAGATTTTAAGCAGAGCCACTTTTTGTCTGTGAGGGTTATTATTTTTGTGAGGGTTATTATTTTTTAAACATTAAAGTCGGTTATAAGGAAAGTTGTGAAATTACTTTCTCTGGATGTCTTTGTAATTCAGGTTCTTACCTCTCTGGGATGGTTTACTTCTGCCTTATGAAGGCAAGGTTTGAGATTAAATAACCTCTCGTGGTTCCTACATATCCCATTAAGTACTAATTGGAAAGCACCAACTTTTACAAGGTAATATGCAGAGTGGAGTACAAGGTTGGTATTTAACAAAGAAGTCCCAGAGCTGATCACAGGAAGTAGGCAGCAAAACAGAAGAGCAATTCAGCAGAGAACCAGTCAGGCAATGAGCAGCACAAACCCTTAACAAACAGATTCATGAACAGAGACTGGGACTGTGGGTAGGTTAAAGCAGGTTAATTTCTGGAAATATGTTTTTGAGAAGTATGTGATTTAAAGCAATAAGGCCCAATTGTTATTTTTAAGAAATTTGTGGCAACTTTGCCCATCCCTATTCTTCAAAGGGGATTTTATAGTACACAAAAATTATCAGCATATTTTTTATTATATGTGAGACAATGAAAAGACCAGTCATGTTTATTTTCCTAACTCATGGAGTGTTCAGCACAGCAGTGTGCATAGATAGAAACAATAAGACTCCAGAAATGGTTTTGTAAAAAGCTATAAATCCCTGTGCCTATATGCATGAGGAAAAACCTGGCACCATGACACTAACTGGTAATTTACCTTTCTGGGGAAATTAAACAGCAATCCTGATGCCTGAACAATTCACAGTCACCTTAAAGAAAAGGCATTTTATTTAATATGGGTCACTGTGGACTACACTTATATTTTTTTACTTTTTAAAAATGTTGTATTTGATGGTTTGAAACCAACACTCTGAGCCAAAATCCATGATGCACTTCCATCAACAGATCTATAACCAAGTATCAATATTTAGCTATTAGAACAGTGCTACAATTATTTGTAGCAATTATTTTTAATTGTGGAAACTCTGGACTTTGGCTGAGTTTAGTGAGAGGAGGGAAGGATCAGAGTCTTTCTTCAGAAGGGTTTTAGACTCATTTCAACAGATACCTGCACTCTATGCTGACCAGATGCAGGCTTCTTCACAGTCTTTCAGTTTTGCCTTGGCCCTGGAGGGGCCTTCTCTGGGAGTCGCTGTTTGCCATCTTTCCCTCCCTAGCCAGGTCTGCTGTTGGCTCCTTCTAATAGAGGAGCCTCAGATCTAGGAATGGGCCTTCTGCCCTAGTCCTGTAACCAACTCTCCATATAGTAGCACAATCAGGAACCTGGTCCTCTTCTTGTCTCTATAAGTCTGAACCTGTCTGAACAACCTGCATAGCACCTCAGGTCTTTACAAACTGAGCCTCTTGTTTGCACTCTCAGTTCTCCCATTGAGGGTGCTTGGGGTGCCATTATCTGCTATCAGACACCCTGGTAACAATCACTTCATTCTCATGCTACACATGTCACACAAACCAACTCTGGTGTCTCTTAAGATCCATGGACACCCATATTCTCCAGATGCTGTGGTTTAGTTGGCTTGATTGTCTTCCTCCACCAGCCCACAAATTTTGAGTGAGTTCCTCCTGTCTACTGAGCTACCCTACCACTACACTACACCCAAACTTACAGCAGGTTGGAAAAACACCTCCCTCACTTCCATCTTTACAGACACTTGCACAACCTGCCAGTGAGATTTACTTCTGCCCAGGCAGAGTGTCTCCAATGTTATTAATCTTCTCTCCATGAGTGAGATCTAGCTTAAATGCCTTCTAATGTCATCTGTCATTACTCTGACTTTACATTCTATCAGATAAACTGGATTGGACCATGTATGGGAGGGAATTCCTTGATGAAGTTAATGGATGGGAGATGGTTCCTGCATGTAAAATCAGGACAAGATAACTAGGTGGGCTTAGACAACTTTATTAAGCCTGTATGCAACAGAGAGGGGCCATCTCAAGAAAAACGTTCCAGGGATAACAAATCTTCAGCCAAATCACCCTACTGGTAAATAGCTCAAGCTTCAGTCCCCAAAAATGATTAGCTGAAGAACATAGTGAGGAAGTGAGAAAAGATGTCAAAGGGACTCACTCATGCAGAAAGAGAGGGTCCATCTGAGCTAAATAAGATTTAAACCACCCTAGGCTTTATTACCTCCCACAGCTTCATACAGTCAGCCCTCTGTACCCATGGGTTCTGCATCCAAGGATTCAACCAGCTACAGATGAAAAATATTTGGGAAAAAAGCAAGGAAAAATAACAATACAATAAAAAATTAAATTAAAAAATATGGTATGACATGTTTACATAACATTTACATTGTATTAGGTATTATAAGGAATCTAGAGATGATTTAAAGTATAAGGGGGGTGTGCATAGGTTATATGCAAATACTATGCTGTTTCATATAAGGGACTTGAGCATCTGCAGATTTTGTTACCTGTGGAGGGAGAGGGAGGGTTGGAATCAAGTACTGTGCATACTGAAGGATGACTGTATTTGGAGTCACTGCTAAATTCCTCATCTTTAAAGAGATCACTCAAGACAGTAACTCCTGATTTATCTTGAAGCCTACTCCATAGTTTTGGTGCTAGGTAGGAGAGTCCCTCTGAAAGCTGAGGTCCTTTTGGGGACACACTGCTCATCTTATCTGTGCCCTTTGTCTAGGATTACTTGGCTGTTTCACCAATACACACACACACACACACACACACACACACACACACACCAGCTTTCTCTGACAGTATCTCCGAGAGAGCTGTAATAGTTTTGCCATTTCAGTAACTCCTTTCAGATGGAAGACCCCTGGCAAAATTTTAGGGTAATAATAGCCCTTAATAGTTGATTTTGGGCAAGTTACTTGCTTTTCTGAACTCCACTTTCCTAATCTATAAACTGGGACACTAACACAACTCATTAAATGAGATAAAATTATGCTAAAATGTTCTATAGAGAATGAAGAATGAGCCAAATGTTAGTAGTCATTAATGCCATTCCACTTTGGTAGTGCCCTACAACCTTTATATAAAAGGTTATTTGCTCAATAAATGCCACTGACTAAATGACTGATAAAATAATTGGGACTTGAACTCTCTCAATTAACTCTAGCAGCAAAGATCTGTTTTTCATGGTCACTGACATTATCCAAGAATAAATTTTGAGCTGTGAGATTTACGTGTGGGATGACTACCCTCTGGAAACTGTACACTGAAAACTCAAATGCAGACATCAGCTTTGGTTCTAGTTCTGTGAACTTCATCTACTATGTTTACATTTTTAAGCATAGAATCAAAGGCAACATACTACTAACAGTGAAATTAATAGAATGATGCGTGGAAGGATTATTAACTCTCTAAGAATGACATATCCTTCAGTCCAGTGCTTCCTTCCTAATCACACATCGTTTTCATGAGTTGTTTTTATGGCATTCAATGAC
The DNA here is from genome assembly GCF_000001405.40 of Homo sapiens. NCBI lineage: Eukaryota > Metazoa > Chordata > Mammalia > Primates > Hominidae > Homo > Homo sapiens. The sequence continues at coordinate 72,703,792 of NC_000008.11, read as the reverse complement.
TTCACATCTCTTGTCCCAGAGCTACTCCCATGGTTTTATTTTAGCCACCTATTACAGTGAGATTTTTTTGTGTGGGGGAGTAGCTATTCTTTATAGTAGACACTAAGGCATGGCCCAGCTTCTCTCCTACCCTGACCTTGGCACAGAAGCCCTCATCCTCTCTGATTCTGAAAGTACATGCAACCAGCAGCTCTCAGCTGAGACCCTCTCTGGGAACTGTCTGAGGCTGAAGAGAGCTACTTGGTCGAAGATCATGGGACACACTGTACCCAAGGACTGGTCAGTGTAGAGGTATACAGGCCCAGTGCCCCTTGCCCCAACTGCTGACAATTGTGAAAGATCACCCTAGCTCTAGACCAGCTGGAGGTTGTGGCAGTGATGTTGAAGTTCAACTTCTTCCCCTGCCCAGTCCAGCTCTCTGTGCTCCTCTATGTTCTCCCACAGGTGTTGAGTCCAGGGGCACTTCCTAATCACTTACTGCCTGCCAATCTCCATCTTTGAGAGGCTTCCCAGAAGCTGAACCTTGCTACTCTTATCTCACAATAGTGGGAGTGTTTGTAACATTCTGTGTAAGCTGATGGTTAAACTCCTGCCTCCCAATTGCACCAGACTGAGCTTAGAATTATGGAGAAAATGGCATAGCTAGGAAAAGAAAAGGCCTTTAATTTCTATACGCTGATGTTGCTGGCCTTCTGATTAAGCATTCATTGATATTTACATAAGAGCTCTCAATTGTTGCTCCAGCAAGATGAAAAACAAACCTAAAAGCTTTCTTAATAGAAATGGGCTGCGGAAGTGGTCCCTTAATGCTCCTTGTCAGTCTGCAGGTGGGTCCAGGTCACTGTGCAGAAGGGTAGTGCAGACGCAGTGCACAGAAAGCAGATGGAAAGACATGCCACGGGGAGTGGATCCCTGGAAATCCATAGGACACCTGGCATTCTCCCCTAACACCTGGTGACACAGCTGCTTCCAGAGCCTCTTCTAAGGTATAATAGCAGCTCCACATCACAACTTCCTGCCAGAGCTGTCAGCCAGGCTGAAAGGATTCCCTTAAACAAACCACAACATTTAACAGCTCAAGTCCACTATTTTTTTCTAGCAGATTCCTGGTGGAAGCTGACTTTTGAATTATATGAACATCATGGTTCAATATTTCCACATTATTTCTTTCCTTCCAAGAGTGGTGGTCTGAGACAGTTTGGGTCTGATAAGGTCAGCCCTCCCCTCCTTTCCAATGTGCAAGGAATCCAAGCTTTCTGAATGGCCACTAGCAAAGTAATTGACTTCATGTCCTATTTTCCAGACTCTGGGGGACATAACACAAAATGAAAACAAAACCAGGCCACCTATAGAGCATGTTTATAATTTTAGGATACTGGTACAGACTCCATACTGCTGGCACAATTTGTTTGGTGTTAAGATGAGCAGTGCTGCTCATGTTCAGAAACTCCTCTATGTCTTGGTCTCAGTGGGGAGTTCCCTGGAAAATGACAAGCGGAGGGTAGGGAAGAAACTGAGTTCGCTGGAAATGAGAGCAATGCTGAGCGAGTTCCTCCAACCTCAAAAAGGAGCTGGCACAGAATTTGAACCCAGGAAAGTTAATTTATGTTTTGGTATGTGCATCCTCTGAGAAGATCATGTTGTGACATAGTGCTGGGGTGGGATTTTGGCTTCATTATCAGTGACAGAGATGAAGATGAATTTGTCTGATGTTCTGTGTTCTGCTAAGTATTTTTTTTCCTAAGTTAAGATAATCATTGTAGATAACTTAGAAAATACACCTAATTGAAAAGAAGAAAGCTAAAATTTCCTGTAATCTTAATCTTTCAAAAATAATCATTGTTAATGTTTTGGATAACATACATGATGTTCAAATGTACAATATTACATATCTATTCTATATGAAAAAGTACTGCTTTGTAAGTTTTTCTACTTAATAAATAATGATATGTCCATATAATTTTAAATGGTTGCGCAATTTTTCCTTTTATGTGTGTTGCATAAATCACTCAACCATTCCCCCAACTATTGGACATTTAGATGTTTCCCATTTTTTGCTATGATAATCACCCTCAATTAATGTCCTTATACCTGAATCTCTGTACACTTGAACTCATGCATAATTATTTCCTTAGGATAACTTCTTAAAAATAGTATTGATAATGATAATTCTGCCTACTCCAGCCTATCCTCTTTCCTAATCTAGAAAGTATGAAAAAAATGGAAGTAGAGGAAAGTTTTTAAAAAAATCTACATAAAGGGACAGGTGTAAGGTAAAATACCACAGCTCATACTGCATCTCTGCAGTATCAACATGTTGTGGAAAGCAGGGCAATGAAGATGCTAGAGGATGGTGTTATGAATAGATAACTTTGTCATTAAATGACGTCCACTGCTATGAGATGTGCTTGCTTTTATGTAACTGGTTAATTTCTTGACTATTAAGTGTAAAGAAAATGGTTAAATAACATTTTAAATGTGTAACCAACAGTGCCTGTTTGGTTTTGGTTTGAAATGTGTTCAAGTGGTCATTTTCTCTCTTTTTTTTAAAAAATAATTTTAACTTTTATTTTAGACTCAGGGGGTACTTGTGCAGGTATATTTCATGGGTATACTGTGTGATGCTAAGACTTGGGTACGACTGATGCCATCACCCAGGTAATGAGCATAGCACCCAACAGTTAGTTTTTCAACTCTTGTTCCCCTCCCTCCCACCTCTAGTTGTCTTTAGAGACTATTGTTGTCATCTTTACGTTCATGGGTACCCAAATGTTTAACTCCCACTTATCAGTGAGAACATGTGGTATTCTTGTTCCTGGGTTAATTTGCTTAGAGTAATGGCCTCCAGCTACCTATATGTTGCTGCAAAGGACGAGATTTTGTTCTTTTTTATGGCTGTGTAGTTTTCCATGGTGTATATGTACCACATGTTCTTTATCCAATCCCTGATGGACACTCGGGTTGATTTCATATCTTTGTTATAGTAAACAGTGTTACAATGAATGTGTGAGTACATGTGTCTTCTTGGTAGAATGATTTTTTTTCTTTTAGATATATACCCAAAAATGGGATGCTGGGTCAAATGGTAGCTCTGTTTTAAGTACTTTGAGAAATCTCCAAATTGCTTTCCGCAGAGGCTGAACTAATTTAAATTCTCTCCAACAGTGTATAAGTGTTCCCTTTTCTCTATAGCCTTGCCAGCATTTGTCATTTTTTGACTTTTGACCAATAACATTTGTCATTTGTTTATTTTTTTGACAGCTATCTGACTGGTGTGAGATGGTATCTCATTGTGGTTTTGATTTGTCTTCTCTGATTAGTGATGTTGAACGTTTTTTCATATGTTTATTGGCCACTTGTCTGTCTTCTTGTAAGAAGTGTGTGTTCATGTCTTTTACTCACTTTTTAAATTAAATTAATTAATTAATTAATTTTACTTTAAGTTCTGGGATACATGTGCAGAACGTGCAGGTTTGTTAGATAGGTACACATGTGTCATGGTGTTTTGCTGCACCTATCAACTCATCATCTGGGTTTTAAGACCTGCATGCATTAGGTATTTGTCCTAATGGTCTCCCTCCCCTTGCCCCCCAAACCCCAACAGAACCTGGTGTGTGATGTTCCCCTCCCTGTGCCCATGTGTTCTCATTGTTCAACTCCCACTTATGAGTGAGAACATGTGGTGTTTGGTTTTCTGTTCCTGTGTTAGTTTGCTGAGAATGATGGCTTCCAGCTTCATCCATGTCCCTGCAAAGGACATGATCTCATTCTTTTTTTCTCGCTGCATAGTATTCCTTGGTGTATATGTGCCACATTTTCTTTATCCAGTCTATCATTGATGGGCATTTGGGTTGGTTCCAAATCTGTGCTATTGTAAATAGTGCTGCAATAAACATACATGCACATGTGTCTTTATGGTAGAATGATTTATAATCCTTTGGGTATATACCCATAATGGGATTGCTGGGTCAAATGGTATTTCGGGTTCTAGGTCCTTGAGGAATCGCCACAAATTGTCTTCCACAATGATTAACTTAAAATGGATTAAAGACTTAAATGTAAAACCCAAAACCATAAAAACCCTAGAAGAAAACCTAGGCAATACCATTCAGGACACAGGCATGGCAAAGACTTCATGATGAAAACACCAAAAGCAATTGCAACCAAAGCCAAAATTGATAAATGGGATCTAATTAAACTAAAGAGCGTCTGCACAGCAGAAGAAACTAGCATCAGAGTGAACAGGCAACCTACAGAATGAGAGAAAATTTTTGCAATCTACCCATCTGACAAATGTCTAATATCCAGAATCTACAGGGTACTTAAACAAATTTACAAGAAAAAAAACAAACAACCCCATCAAAAAGTGGGCAAAGAGTATGAACAGACACTTCTCAAAAGAAGATATTTATGCGGCCAACAAACATATGAAAAAAAGCTCATCATCACTGATCATTAGAGAAATGCAAATCAAAACCACAACGAGATAACATCTCATACCAGCCGGAATGTCAATTATTAAAAAAGTCAAGAAACAGTAAGTGCTGGCAAGGCTGTGGAGAAATAAGAACACTTTTACACTGTTGTTGGAAGTGTAAATTAGTTTGCTCACTTTTTAATGATGTTGTTTTTTGCTTATTGAATTCTTTAAGTTCCTTATAGATTATAGATGTCATACCTTTGTCAGTTACATAGTATGCCAATATTTTCTTCCATTCTGTATGTTATCTGTTTACTCTGTTGATAGTTTCTGTTGCTGTGCAGAAGCTCATTAGTTTAATTAGGTCTCACTTGTCAGTTTTTGGTTTATGTTGCAATTGCTTTTAAGGAGTTACTCATAAATTCTTTCCCAAGGCATGGTTTTTCCTAGGTTTTCTTCTATGATTCTTATAGTTTGCGGTCTTACATTTAAATGTTTAATTCATGTTGAGTTAATTTTTTTATCTGGTGAAAGGTGGAAGTCCAGTTTCTTTCTTCTGAACATAGCTAGTCAGCTATTCCCACACCATTTATTGAGTAGGAAGTCTTTTCCCCATTGCTTATTTTTGTTGACTTTGTTGAAGATCAGATGGCTGTAGGTGTGCAGCTTTATTTCTGAGTTCTCTATTCTGCTCAGTTGGTATATGCGTCTGTTTTTGAACCAGTACCATGCTGTTTTGGTTACTGTAGCCTTATAGTATAGTTTGAGGTCGGGTAATGTGATATCTCTGGATTTGTTCTTTTTGCTTAAGATTGCTTTGGCTATTCTGGTTCTTTTTTCAGTTCCATATGAAATTTAGAATAGTTTTTTCTAATTCTGTGAAAAATGATGTTTGTAGTTTGATAGGAATAGTGTTGAATCTGTAGATTGCTTTGGGCAGTATGGACATTTTAATGATATTAATTCTTCTACCCCATGAATGTAGAATGTTTTTCCATTTGTTTATGTCATCTATGATTTCTTTCAGCAGTGTTTTGTAGTTCTCCTTTTAGAGATCTTCCTTGGTTACATGTATTCCTAGGTATTTGTGTGTGTGTGTGTGTGGCTATTACAAATGGGATTGGATTCTTGATTTTGCTTGAGTTTGCTTGATTTTGAACATTATTGGCATACAGAAATGCTACTGATTTTTGCACACTGATTTTGTATCCTGAAACTTTATTGAAGTCGTTTATCAGTTCCAGGAGCCTTTTGACAGTCTTTAAGGTTTACTAGGTATAGAATCATATTGTTAGTGAGGAGAGGTAGTTTGACTTCTTCCTTTCCTATTTGAATGCCCTTTCTTTGTTTCTCTTGTGTGATTGCAGAATGGTGATTCTCAAACCTCACTACATCAGGATCACCTGGAGGGCTTGTGGCTCAGCTCCAATCCCAGAATTTCAGATAGAGAAGGCCTGGGATTGGGCCCAGCATTGGTATCTCTAACAACTGTCAGATGATGCTGATGCTGCTGGTAAAAGAATCAGACTTAGAAAACTAGTTTTAGAGGAATTTATTGAAAGAAACTGTAATTCAAATGCTGCTTCATGTTAGAAAAAAAATCATTTTTTTAATGAGAATAACTGCTTCCCAAATTATCTGTTCAGTTAATTTTAACTCTCTGAAATTGAATTTTCTGGAATAGTGGACCCTATTTATTTTTCTTTTTTTCTGTTTTCTTTTAGCGACTGAGGCCTCACTTTGTTGCCCAGGCTGGAGCACAGTGGCTATTCACAGGTGTAATCATAGTTCACTGCAGCCTTGAACTCCGGGCTTAAGCTATCCTATTGCTTCAGCCTCTCAAGTAGTGATTAGCTGGTACTAAAGGCACCTGCCACTGCACCTTGCTGCTATTTCTAATATAAGTCCAATTTTTAGGGAGCGATGACTCCCTAGGTAAAATCTTTGTTGAATAGCATGTGAGCAGCATTTAGTTGGAGAATTAGGTAATGAAAAGACATAGATAATATCTCAGGTAAAAGTAGAAATATTAATTAATGATGATGATGACGATGATGACACTTACTGAGTGCTTACTATGAATCTGAGGCTTTCCCCAAGCATTTTACAAGTATTATCTCAATCTGCACCAGAGTTGTAGGAGCTGGCTGTTATCCAACTCTTTCCTAAGACAGGAAGGCTAAGGCATGTTTCACATATTACGGAAAGAGAATTGTTCATTTAGTAGTTGTTGTACCAGTCTGTTTAGTTTGATTATAGGCTTTGAAACACCCCCAATAATGGCAAAGGACAGCATAATAAGCTTCAACAATAAGGCAGTAGTGATATTTACACTGATTAAATAGTAATTTGCTGTGATCGATACTTTTTAGTCTTGCATATGAATGACGGATAATATGAAGTAGCAAAGTTTCTTGGGAGGATAACTCCATTTTAAAAGAATGCAGAAGTGATCTTGAAAAACAACAAATTAATTACACAGAGCCATTCTTTTTTGTTTGCCTTTCCCATAGAAAGACTAGCATATAGAAAAAATACACCCTTCTCCATAGAGGAAAACAATAATGGATGAAAATGAATTTTATCTAAATGAGAAACTTTTAGCATGTCCATGGTTCATAAAGGTCCCTAAAGTTAGCAGAATGATTTATACAGAAAACCTGCTCTTAGATAATACAGCAGAATCCAAGATCAGAATGGGGCTGTTTCTGAAGATCCTTGTACTTACTCCAGGTGACCTCAGGCTGCTCTCTCCATCCACGGGTTCTTCCACTATACCTTTCCCATCCAAATCCTACCTGATTTGAAGGCTCTAGTCCAATACACATTCTCTAAGAAAGAGATTCTTAACCCAGGGTCTAGCCACATCATAACCCCCCAACACCACTTCCAGTGGTGCCATGAGCTCTTTGAGATTATATACATAATGGGAGTTATATTTTTCTGGAGAAAGGTCTGTTGTCTTTATCAAGTTCTCCAAGAGATTAATGTTTTCCTTAATTCCCCGAACTGAAATCATCTCTTGCTTGCGAATTATCCTATTACTTTATGCAACTCTTAGGCCACTCAGCACATGCATCCTCCTTATGCCTGCTTTATCTCCCAGCTAGATTATAAACTTCTTCAGGGCAAGATCCACATCTGATTCACTCTTGAACTCTTGCCCAAGCACTTAGCACAGAGAAACCCCTTAATAAATATTTATTGAAGGACGTAAAAATAGAGGAAGGAAAGCAAGGAGGGAAACTTCAAAAACCATCAGATTTATCATCTCGTCTCCTGACAAGGTTACACCAATCTGCCTCCAATAGATGACTCTGCAAGTACCAGTTACTAAATCGCTTTAGGAAAATCACTTTCTCAGTGCGGTTCATGGGCTACAGCCGAGGACCCTGATTCAACTCAATCTATATTCTATCTCTGTTACTAATTTGATGTGTCACCTTGTGCAACTAATACCAGATTTGCAAGAGGTCTTGGAAAATACATAACAGATGCAGAAAGCATTAAGTAATCAGGATGAGGAAATTGCTGGAATAACTTGGCTCTGTTAAATAATGACCAAAGTTTTGTCAGTGATTCACTCAGGGATTATGAATATACTGATGTGTCAAAAGTCAGTTTCAGGAAATACATTTGATGAGGTGAATTAGACAATAGAAAAATCATGCCAGAAAAAAAAAGAGTAGGTATTTGGTACTGTTGTTTAATTTGCTGATGGCTCTACCTTTATCGTTTAAAGAAACCTCTTCCTTTGAACATAAGATCATGAATGAATCAGAGGAGATGTCCAATATAGATTAAGAAGACTCTCTTTTTTTTAAATGCACATTTTGTTAGATTACTTGATTAATATTTAAAAATCTGTCATCTTGGATAGCATTTGTCATAGTCACATAATCATGAACATGGACAAACAGGTCACTCTCTAAGTAAACTCTATACTTATTTAAATACCTGGTCCCTAATTTTGAAGAAGATATTTTATTTCTAAAACAGGAGAAGAAAATTACTGAAGCAAACAATTTCTGATGCTGACAGGGGCTGCTAAGTAGAAGACACATTGTTAAAGACTCTTCTACTTCATTAAAATGTGAAATATTTATCTCTTCATTTCCTTCCCAAACTGGAGGAAATAGTGGGGAGATGATAAGAGAGGTTGATAGTTATTTATATCAAACAAACTGTATGCATATTTTGGGCACTGCCTTTATGCCAAACACTGTTCTTTACTTAATGTTGATTATATCATTTAGTCCTCAAATGATTCCTCTAAACTTGGTATGTTATTAACCTGTTTTACAGGTAAGGGAATACAGGCATATAATGATGAAGTTTTATCATTATTAAATTTTATAAAGATTCAGCTTAATACAGTTAAGCTAATAACCTACAGTTAATTTTGACAAAAATGTAGGTGCCCTTGTTGTCAGAGGAAAAATATCAGTTTAAGAGCTTGAAACATAGAGTTCAATAAATTGAACAAATAAGGTATTTATTTATTCTATTAACTATTTTATTTTATTAATAATTTATTAATTTATTACTGTTTGTTTTATTAATTAAAAGTGTACTTTTACCTTCTTAATGAGAAAAAGATGGCCATACAGATGCTCTAAAACTTTTTAAATTGAAAACAACCACTACCATTAATTGTTGCTTGATCCAGATTGATAATAAAGGTAATACAATTCAGTATTTTTTAAAAATATGCTTATCAATGACTCATACTAATGAATTAGTATTTATTTTCCTTTATTTTGCTATCTTTGGGAAGATATGAGAACACTTTTTAAAAATGTCTGTCTATGTAAAAGTCTCCATCTTTCAGAATATTTTGATCAAGAGTTTCCATACACATTTAAAAAAATTGTTGTTAACTAAGAACTGCTACTACATCATGGATTTATTTTTGGTCTTTAGAATGATCGATTAAGGCAGATTTCTCTTTATAAAATTCAGGAATACATAAACAGGACAAATGCACACGGTATATAAACTCTGGTATTTCTGAATACTGAGGAGGGCTTCCAGTTGGAGAGACAAGAAGAAAGGGATATATTTGTGAGTATATATGGCACGTCTCACATGCAAACTCACTGATTTGCCTCTAAAAGCCAGTCTTTGTCCTAGCCACCTTATGCAAAGTAAAGGGCTTTGCATGTCTGCAAGAGGATATTTTAAGAAATAACCTTTGAAGAATAAACAAAAATTAAATTAGGCCTAGAGTACTTCCATATCCTTTAATAGTTCATGATGTAGTTATGATACAATTAATTATTTCTCTTCTCATGGGGACAGCAGATAATATTAAAATGCTCAAATTTGATATCGATTTTCTATTTTCTTTCCCAATGTAAATATATCATTTGGTCCTTAAGATAAACATTCTATATTATATTTGGAATCGTGTTCGATTTGATATAAGTGTTCCTGTAGTTTAAGAAATGAAAAAACAATGTCGAACTCTAAGGCACAGTATTATGTTTGAGGGAAATCCAGATTTAGGATAATTTGCTGATTTTTAGATAAGCAGGGTTGATAGTTCTTGAATGCAGGGAATGACAGAGACAAGGAATATTGGTACTCTCTCCCATCCCTGGTTCTTTCTCTTTCTGCTTCTCCTTTTATTTCCTCTCAGGGCACATCCAGCCCAAACTACAACTCTGTGACTATTGGGAGAGCAGGCGTCCACAGATAAGGTTAAACTGGTTAACTTTTAAGTCATTCTGAGAATATTTCTGGAATATTACGAACTGCCTATATATTTCTGAGCCTGGGACCCATTTGAGGCCAAATGACTGACAATTTGTACAGGGAGTTGTTGCTTTTTTTAGAACACAGAGCTTGCCCTCTCCCCAGCTGTGAGGTGGACGTGCAGGTTGACAGACAATAGGATTTATGCTCCCTGTATGGCACAGTCTCTCAAGCCCCTGAGAACCTTGTACAAGAGCACAGGAAGGACAGAACTTCACATCAGCAGGTATACGCTCAGACACAAGAGGTGTCACAGGAGTGCTTTTGCAAAAGGACATCCGTGCACCAAAGGAGTGGTCTCCACTTTGTTCAAAGAACAGAGACAAACTGGGGTAAGAAAAGTGCTGTGGGAAGTTCATGCTCCCAAGCCCTGCCCACCCTTCCCATGTAAACACAGAGACACACATATCATCCACCATGTCTGGCTGTAACTGCAAACTGGCCCGCAGCAAACGAGAGAAGGTAAGGCAAAGGGCACCTAATTGTTCTTCATTTGTTCAAATTAGACAAGGCAGCTAAGACTGGTGGCCAGAAGACAGCTGTCACAGGCTAATGATATCACAATATTATGATAATCACGATATCTTATTTTTTCATTATCAAAAGTAAGTTATATAATTTTATCATGAGCAAATCCTTAAAACAAAACAAAACAAAACTCATGAGACTCATGTTACCAGCAGTATTATTATTGGACTTAAAATTTTTCAAAGACCTAGGCTTTGTTCTTAGTTCATACTCTTGGAAAAAATCTTGCATATTAGAAAATACATAATATATTTTAAAATATAAATGAATATAATGAATAATACAAAATAATAAATAAATAAATAATTAAATAATAATTAAAATATAATGAATAATAAAATATTTAGCACTAATAATGCCAAATTAGGAATTAAAACCAGTAATATGGAATACAATTATAGAAATATAAAAGCTGTCTTATATAATCTGTGAAATTATGTACGTGAGATGGAATGACTTTATTTGTGGGGAGTAGTTTGGTGGGTACAAGCCTAGAATTCAAATGCCTCTTTATCCCAAAATATAATTCTTGGATGTTGGCATAATGTTAGACAGTTAATGTTATAGAACATTGGAGGAGAAGAACTTTCACACTAAATTTTACAAATAACAACAAACTATATTCTCAGGTGGGAAACATGGGAACCTGTCCATTCTTCCCACTAACCAAATATCTCTGGAATGGGGCAGTGTTTCTTAAACTATCTATGCTGAAGAATATAATTCCCCATCCTACCTCCAATCCTTCACAGGATTGTAAAATACAATAAAAATTAATTAATAGAAAAATCAATTAACAGACAAAGATGTACAAAATATAAGCTTCCAATTTTTTTTTTTTTTTTTTTTTTTGAGACAGAGTCTCGCTCTGTCACCCAGGCTGGAGTGCAGTGGCATGATCTCGGCTCACTGCAAGCTCTGCCTCCCAGGTTCATGCCATTCTCCTGCCTCAGCCTCCCGAGTAGTTGGGACTACAGGCACCCACCACCACGTCTGGCTAATTTTTTGTATTTTTAGTAGAGACAGGGTTTCACTGTGTTAGCCAGGATGGTCTCGATCTCCTGACTTCGTGATCTGCCTGCCTCGGCCTCCCAAACTGCTGGGATTACAAGTGTGAGCCACCGCACCCGGCCAGCTTCCAATTTTAAAAATTAGATTCAGCAGATATAATCATACTGTGATATATCAATGCTTACTGCCCATTTCTGTATTTATCTCATCACAAATCACTGACAAACAACGAACTTCAAGTTGCACTGGAATAGAAAGTTAGTGGTGTTTAATCATCTCACATGGAAATATTGAAATTACAGAAGGAAACAGTAAGAAATAGAAATGAAATAGAATGAAGCATGTAACTATCAATGGGAGGATGAACCATGACAATGAAGCTGCATTCAAGTTCCCTGATGATTAGCCTTGGAAAGTCAAGAAACTGCCAGGTTCTCCATTTGAATGTCTGGGCTTGAGAATTTTTGAGGATATCAAATTTTTAGTAAGTTGCTACACTTGTAGTTGCAATGTGTACTTAACATGTGGCACCTGCAGATGTTGAATATTATTACAGCAAACAGATTAGCTTATTATGCGTGAAAAAAAACTACCAGTTACATTCACTAAAATAGTTATAAGACTTAGACCTTCTGAGATTTCAGTGTCTAAAACTGGTATCAGCTGGAAGGAGTTTTCCATCGTGGACTGAAATGGCATTAGTTCAAGTACGTAAGACTTTTCTTTTTATGGCAACTTCAACATTGGCTGTTATGAGAGGATTTAAGTCAACTGGTAATTTGGTCCAAAATGGTACTATGTGTCCTCACAGTTACACAACTTCATTTTTATGCTGTGAGAAAGTCTGGTACTCAGGGAGGTACAGTGATGTCCGTTGCTAGAGTTCAAATCAGAGTATTATAGAAAATGACAGGCACTGGGGAAGACAAAGCCTATTTTTTAAAACGTCAAGTTATATAAACACTTAATTCAAAAGGGAAACAGATTAAATGCCTCTTAGCCTGGGGGAGTCGAACCAGCCCATCATATGAAAACGGGCACCAAGTCGACTTGACACTTGGCTCCATTGATGCAGCAAGTTCAGGGGCAGCCGTGGGTATTTCAAATACGACAGGCATCTGCATACCCTCAGGACTTCTACACATTCAGTTGTCATTACTTTCAGGAACATGGAGCCAGAGGATTCTGCAAATGTGAAGTCAACCGTCCCTTTCTGATTTTAAAATGTGAGAGAATTTATGAGATTCTTCTTTCACCTGTGACATTAAAACATACTGAAAAGACAGTTCTACATGCTTCCCTCATGGGCATCTGAATTAAAGAAATAATCATAATGTACTTTTATATTTTTAAGTTAAAGAAGTATAGCTATGTATTTAATAAAACAATGAAATAAAATGGTCACATAAATTTTTGTGGTAAGTTGTTTAAAGTCCTATGGAAACCTGAAACTGGGCACTTCCAGAAATGATGGTCCTAGCCAAGTAGGACTTGGTTATGTCTGCAAGAAGATTCCAGTCTAGTGGGACCAAGAATTACAGAAAGTGCCAAGTGCTATGAGAGATGCACGCATGTGTATTGGACTATGCAAAAGGCAGGAAGACTTCTTGAGAAATAGAACACTTATTTTTGGCTTTATTTCCCTAAAGGAGGGATCCTCAATTGGTCTACAGACACAAAGATCGTAGTTTATTTAACTGATGACATTTGGTAATGACAGCAATTTGCTTCTTGGGAGCAATTTGCTTCTTGGGAGCTTATTGGGAAACAATAATTATGGAATCATATGGTTGCTCTTACTGGGCAGCATTTTATAAATCTACTTTCAAAGGAATCAAGATGTCTCACACATGTCCATTTCTAAACAGTGTACGATTCATGGGAGCGAGTGACATGAAATGAAATTCTTCCCAGCTTTCAAAGCTCAGTGAATGCAGAAAATATGGCAGATTGGCTTCAGAAAAAAATATATTTCTTATAGCACCCTACTACAGCTACCTAGCTTTAAATTGTTAAGAAGTTTGATTTTTTTTTTTTTATGGCGAGGGCAAGGTTTTAATGCAGACCTGTTAATGGAATGAGTAATTTCAGGAAAACTAATAGTTTTGTTCTAGCATCACAAATAAAAGAAATTAGGCCCCAGTCTAGTCACCGAATGTAAAATAAAGACAGATTTCATAAGTAGCAATGCAAAACATAAGCCAGACTCACGATCAGAAGAAGTTTTTTTTTAATTCCAAAGTTCTTAGCACAAAAAGGGAGACAACCCAAATGTCCACTAACTGGTGAATGGATAAAATGCGATATATTCTATAATGGAATGCTATCGGGTAATAAAAAGGAATGAAATACTGATATATGCCACCACATGGATAACCTCAAAAACCTTATGCCAAGGGAAAAACCCAAACACAAAGATCACATACAGTACCATTCCATTTATGGAAATGTCCAGAAAAGGCAAATCTATAGAGACAGAAAGGAGATTAGCAGCTTCCTGGGGCTGGGAGTGGGAACGAAGAGTGAGTGACCACAAATGGACACAAGCTTTCTTTTTGGGTGATGAAAATGTCCTAAAATTAGGACATGGTAGTCCTTGCACAACTCTGCAAACATACTAAAAATTGTTATATATACATTTATAATGGGTGAATTTTATGATTTGTAAATTTAACCTCAATAAAGTTCAATGTTAAATGTAAAATGTTAAAGTTCAAGACTCAGTTTATGTTGACCACAGTACTTATCAAAATGTACTACATTTATTGCTTGTGTGTCTATTCATTTCCACCAGAATGAGTTTTGGAGACAGGGCCTGTCTCTAAATGACTTTCTCTCTATACTGCTAAGCTCAGTGCTTGTCACATAACAGTTAGTCAATCCATATTTATTGATGAACAATTACACAAATGAAATAACTTTTAAAGTACTATCTCTCTCTCTCTATCTCCATTTATATCTACTTCCATCTATACCATTTATTTATCCTTCCTCAATATGTGAAAGTTATTTATAAACATAATGTACCACAAATTAAAATAATGAATAGGCTGGGCATGGTGGCTCATGCCTGTAATCCCAGCAATTTGGGAGACTGACACAGACAGATTGCTTGAGGCCAGGAGTTTGAGACCAGCCTGGCCAACGTGGTGAAACCCGTCTCTACAAAAAATACTTAAAAAATTAGCCAGCTGTGGTGGTGTGCCCTTGTAGTCCCAGCTACTTGGGAGGCTGAGGTGGGAGGACTGCTTGAGCCTGGGAGGCGGAGGTTGCAGTGAGCAGACAGCACACCTCTACACTATAGCCTGGGTAACAGAGTGAGACCTTGTCTAAAAAATAAATAAATTTAAAAAATGAGTAAATTAAGCTTCCTCCTTTCTTTATAAAATTATGGTAATTACACTCTAAAGTAGTTAATTCATTTATTCAATATTTATTCAATTATTTATTAAGTACCTTGCTAGGCACTGAAATGCAAAGTAAAATGAGCCCTGGTCTCTGCCCTTAAGAAACTTATGGTGCAGTGGGGAGACAGACAAACACTAAGAATTACAGAAAAACATGGTGAATACTATCATGAAGGCAGGTGTAGGGTATTGTTGGGGGAGATATTTTTTCAACCCAGCCAACCCAAGGAGGTTAAGCAGGAATTAGCTAGATGATAGCCCAAGAAGAATAGGCATTCCAGTGGAAAAACCCACAGGGAGGGATGAAACAGCTTGATGCACTTGGGAACGTTGAATAGGTCCTGGGGGCTACAGCAATGCATGCAAACTCAGAGAACAATAAGAAATCAGTTCAGAAAGCTAAGGAGCTCAAAAGGGCTCTCGGATTTTTTAACCTGAAAGTTACAGGACCATGAAGGATTTCAAGTAGGTACACGACAATCACATGGGTATTTTACAAAGATCATTTTCATATTAGTGTGGAGGACAGATTCCAGGATATGCTTTATGTAGGAGCTGCAAATACAGCGGTGCTCTCAGTGAACGCTCAGGGCCCTGCCTCTCAGGTTTCCAGGCTTTGGTTCTATCTCCAGCAAAGAGGTTCTATCTCCAGTAAAGAGGAGATTCGGCCTCTGGTCTTTCCACACTTTGTCTCACAGACTCTGGCCTGAACTGTGCTCCATAGCCCAAACTTCTCCAGCTGCCCCATGTAGGATCCCCTGCTTTTGCCTAGGCTGAGAGAAACCCAACTCCCAACTATAGCTCCTTAGGGCAGGCCATTTCTGGGCCTCTAAAACATGGAATATGGAGGCATCATGCACCTTATTTTAAAAGACAGTCAAGTAAAAGCATATGGATCAATGTCTCCATTTCCAAGGCTCTTTTATCTTTCTAGAATATGACACTGTAGAACCATCACTTGCATAAGGTCAAAACAAAATTACAGAAACAAAATTTTAGTTTGAAAGAACCAACTAATTCTTTAACTATTTGAAACAATTGAGTTTGTGGCCTTAGGGTTAACGGCACACTACTTAGACTATGGCTTATTTTTGTATTTTCATTGCTGCAGTTTTACCCTTTATGAGTTCCATCGTTGTGACCCCTCCCCACTGAGAAAACCACATGTCCACCCCAAGAAAGCATACTTGCTGGAATCTCCTTAGACAGCTTTCTCACCACTCACTGGGGGAGAAGGATGACAGGTCCAGCTTGAAAATAGGCTAAATATAATATACCCACAAAATAAAATTACATTTTAGCAAGGAAAATTTTCTGCTATTGTCACAAAGGCTGTCTAAAATTTCCATTGGGTGATGACAACAGAGCTGAAAGAAAAACACACTGTTCCAAAAAATGCTCACCAAGTCATGAGAAAATACCATGAAAAACACTGTATTGATTAACTGAGTTTCTAAAAATTGCTTTGTTTTTAGAAACAGATATTCCAATATGTTGCTATCAGAGACCATCCACATTAAAGAGTAAATTGAATCATATTAATTCATTCCAAATATTTATGAAGACATTATCAACTTCCTGTCAGTGAGAGAGGATGCTTTTTATTATTCTCAGTAGCATTCTCAAGTGACTTCCCACAGAGCTCCCTAGGTAACTGATGCTATGAGGTGAGCTCTCCTGTGAATCAGATTTCTCCAGGGAATTCTACAGGAATGTGGAGACAGCCTATCCTCATTATTTCATGCCATCCAGCTTGGAAGAAGACCATTGTCCTGGAGAATAAAATAATTTTAAGATGGCTATTTAGGTCATACATTTAATTCTAAGTATTGATCTGGATAAAAATGACGTGGGTTTAATCTCTGAGTTTTGTGCCCAGGACTCTGTTTCTAACCCAAATCACCAAGGATATGTAATTCTACCATAGGGTGAACAATCCCACATTAGTCTTAGAAAATTATTTATCACCCAGTGACAAGAAACAATTTCTGAGAGGTCATTACCGAACACTCGATGATGAATTGTGTTTGAGGTTGTTTTCAGGTTGCTTACTATGCTGGCAAGATGATTTATTGATTGCTCTCTTCAATACCAACTTACTGCCCTGTAGCTTTGCTTCTCTTTCCCTTTCATGTTTCTTAGATAAGAAAATTGCCTGGCCAGGTGTGGTGGTGCATGCCTGTAATCCCAGTACTTTGAGAGGCTGAGGCAGGAGGATCACTTGAGCCCAGGAGTCAGAGGGGCCAGTAAGCTATGATTGTGCCACTGCACTCCAGCCTGGGCAACAGAGCAAGACCTTGTTTCAAAAAAAAATATCCAAAAAAGGATGATCATATTCTGTTAACTTGGAGAAGCCCAAATAGGCCTATAAGACGAATAGCAGGACACTGGTCGCCCAGGCTACACTCCAACAAGCTCATACTGCAGACTCTATCAAAGGGATAGAGTATGTCTTTCTGTGTAAAAAGGTCAAAGTCTTGACAAAGCAATATACTGAGATATTTTGTGTTTCAAATGGGAAAAACAATCTTATAGATAAACATCTCAAAAAAAAGAAAGGATTGGCATTAAGAGAGCTCTCCTTTTCTTGTGCTGCCCTTCAGGCATCTTGAACTTATGTTTTCATACAAGTGCCCAGGTGCCACGCTGTCTGACATCTGGACCTTCTTTTTTCTTTTTTGAGACAGAGTTTCACTCTTGTTGCCCAGGCTGGAGTGCAATGGCGCGATCTCGGCTCACTGCAACCTCCGCCTCCCGGGTTCAAGCGGTTCTTCTGCCTCAGCCTCCCGAGTAGCTGGAATTACAGGCATGCGCCACCACGCCTGGCTAATTTTGTATTTTTCGTAGAGACAGGGTTTCTCCATGTTGGTCAGGCTGGTCTCAAACTCCTGACCTCAGGCGATCTGCCTGCCTCGGCCTCCCAAAGTGCTGGGATTACAGGCGTGAGCCACTGCACCCGGCCTGGACCTTCTTATACTGGCATTCCTTTGCCTTCCCATTCAGACCGTGACTCAACCGCTCTGCCACTCATCTTCAGGTCTTAGCTTCAACATTCCTCTTCTATGTTACCTTCTTTGACCCCTACATTTAGTTAGGTAGGCTTGTTACTCGTTCCCATGGCTCTCTGGACTTCCAGTGTCAGAGCACCCATCACTCCTCATTTTTAACACTGTACATTGTCTTTCCTTGCACTGCAAACCGAGAGTACAGGCACCGTGTTGGTACGATTCAACATGGTACATCTAGCTTCTAGGACAAGGCATGGCATATCGCACGAACTTAATAATATTTGTTAATGAATTAATTAACACTGCCCAAGTCCTTATGAACTTATGTTTTATATATATATTTTTCAGAACTGGAAGAAAAAAAACCCTGAAATTGTTGAAAACACCCTAAGAATATGGGGTGCTGATTTTAAGAGTGATGTTTCCCCAATGCCAAGTCATTCCTTTCAGATACAAATTCATTTCTATATGAATACAAATTCATTTCTATATGGCCTGCCACAGTTGGCTTTATGTCAGAAGTTTTCTTCTGACTTTTAAGAAGGATATAATATTCTTAAATCCAACATTTGTGCTTTAGAACAGCAATGAAGTCCTGTTGTACTTCAGAGAAGAGTTTCTTCCTTTTCCTTGCCTTAGTGAAATTATAATTTTTTCTACTCCATGGAAACCTCTTAAATTTGTTTTGACATAAATTATCTAGAGAGGAAACATTAATAGTGCAAAGGAATAAAGATGACTATATTTGTTCACAGGGCTGAAGCACAATAAAATTGACACTTAAATTATGTTGGGTGGACCCCATAAAATAAATCTGTGTGAATATCTCAGGGGAGAGGTGCACATCTCAGAAATCTACTCAGTGACTTTCTACTCTCAATACAGGTCTGCCAGTCCAGTTCTTAATAAATTCTAAGCCTCCTAGTGATAGTCTGTTTTAACTGTTGGTCACTGATCAAATACTCTTTTTAAATCTAACATATTCAAGAGTTCCCCATGGTACCAGGATATACTATACTAGGGCTTTATTTACAGAAAAGGACATAATTGAATCTCTACAGATTTCTCAAACCTTCTTATCATTTGAGGGTAGGTGGGGGTGAGGAGGGGGTGATGCAGGGGCAGCTAACCTTCCTTCTTTCCTCATACCCTGCTTTCTTGCTCCTGCGTCTTAAATACTGTGATTCCCAAGGACTCTGACTCTACACCCCTTACTCCTACCCACTCTGCCCCTGGTTCAAGGGCTTTAACTACCACCTATATATACTGTCAGCTGCCACATCTGCAGCCCTGACCTCTCGCTGGTTTTCACATCCTTCTACAACACTGCAGCCTTGGCTAGTGCCACCCAGATGTCCCAGGGGAACATCAGATCAATGAATCAGATACGGTACACCTTATTTTGTATTTCTTCTATTAGTGACCACACGCTTGGCTCAAGCCAGGAACTTGAAAGCCACCCAGAATCCTAATTCTTCTTCATGTCTCATGGTCAATCAGTTACCAACCCCTGTAGATTATAAGTATCTCTAGAACCCATCCCTTTCTAACTCCAAGGATGCCGTTTTTAGGCCACTTCTCACCATTTATTCTAACTGATTACCTCACTCCAGCTCTTACCTTCTAATGTGCCCACTGCCTCATCAGCAGACTAATTTTTCTAAAGTGATTTTTTTCATTAATATCCTTCAATCTCTACCCATCATTCAAGGGAAAAAGTATAAACTCACAAATATGCCATATAAAGGCCTTCATGACCTAGCTCCTGCCAACGTTTCCAACCCCATCTTCCGTGGCCTCCTAATGAGTTAATTTCCTCCTCCCTAAGTGCCCCATCTCTGCACTCCTGCAGCACCCTGCCCATGTCTCTAATTATCTGTATCTCACACTGTAAGACAAATAGCACCCACTTAGCCTCCTCTGTAGCAGGCACCTGCTCTTTTTGCCTGTACAGTATCTGTTCTCTTTTCTTTTACTAGCAGAACTTGGGAGCTCCTCAAACTCCACTGGAGGACCTTTCAATCAAGGTGTCCTGCTCTCCCTGACCAAGTGATGGGTTCCTGACCTAGGCCAGGCCAATCAGAAGCTCCTTCCAGTAGAAGGATACACTTCAGCAGCAGTGCCCTGATGAAGCTGTGCATTCATTCCTGCTACCCAGATCCTACGAGTTAGCCTAATTCGTGGCATTCCTAAAACTTAGTTCTTCTTTCGATTCTTTAATTTTTTTAAGTTGCTTGCAAACTCTCCCCCTACTTCAAATAAAAATGGATTTTATTGTTTTCTTCTTTCTTTCTATACTGGCCTGGCACAGTGCCTAGAAATCAATAAACATTTATGGAATAAGTAAATGAATTAATGCTTACATGCATGAATAATCAAAACCTTTGAAGGGGAATAGAAAAAAAAGTGTCAGAAGCAATGGAAAAGGCTTAGGGACAGTGCCAACATTGTTCAATGGTGATAGCTACTTGTGTCTTTTACATCCCTGCTGTTTACGTCATATTTCCTGACATTACATAGGAAAGAATAAGAAAGTTCTTTCATTATGCCAGGATAAACACTGTTCAGAAGGATCCACCTATTATTAATCAAACCAGAGCCTGTGATTCTTTTAATTCTCTCTCCACTTAACATATTATATAGATACACGATAAACAAGAACACAAAACAACTTTTTCTAGTATTTGGAAGCAATCTTATCTCAATGATGTTATTTTATCAAAGTTGCCTAGGTGACAATTAGAATTCAACCTTAGGCTAAGCATGGTGGCTCATGCCTATAATTCCAGCACTTTGGGAGGCCAAGGTGGGTGGGTTGCTTGAGCTCAGGAGTTTGAGATTAGCCTGGGCAACGTAGTGAGACCCCCATCTCTACAAAACAAAACAACAAAAAAATAAAAGTTAGCTGGGGATGGTGGTATACACCTGTAGTCTCAACTACTCAGAAGGCTGAGGTGGGAGGATTGTTTGAGCCCAGGAAATTGAGGCTGCAGTGAGCCATGATTGTGCCACCGCATTCCATCCTGGGAAACAGAGTGAAATCCTCTCCTTTTTTTTTTTTTTTTTTTAAATTCAACTTTAGTGTCCATGACTTCCTGGACAACTGTGTTGACAAAACTCTGAGGCAGAGTCAGGCAATACAGCAACAAAGAGCCCCAATCAAATATGGGATTTTTTACTTCCTGGGATTTACTAGAATTGACTTTAGAGCTTAGGAAAATTCCTGGGTGAACATAATGATATTAATATTGTAATTAGCAACTCCTTTATAATACTAGTTAGCAGTTTTCTTAAATTCCAAAAGGTATGGTATAATCAATAATATATATAATTTAGAAAAGTATAAGATATTCTTTGCCTTGGTCTATAGCCACCCAGTAAGTCATGTTGAGCTTTTCAGGAGACTATGCTACGTATGTTAGGTGGGGTAGCCATGCTCCAGAGGACGTTTATCATGACCTGAACACAGTATAATGTATTTCAAAAGCTAAGCTTCAGTTATTCTCTAAAATGAATTAGTTTTTACATACAAATCGTATAATCAGACAGGTTAATAGTAACATGCTATCTCAGGAACACTAAACATACATGTCTAGAAAACATGAAAATAAAAACCCTTCTTGTTACAGTCTGTGAAGTCAAATGTCGTTTAATTGAGCAAAGTCAAAGACTTGAAAACACAATTTTAATCCCTAGATTTAGGAGTCTTCTAAAGAACACTCATTGAAGGACCAGGGGATGTTAAATCACTACATAGTCATGTGGTGCATAACAGAGCTTCAGTCCTTGATGAACCACATAGATGATGGTGGTCCCATAAGATCATAATGGAGCTGAAAAAATTACTATCACCTAGTGACATTGTAGCAGTTACAATGTCCTAGCATAATGCATTATTCACGTGCTTGTGGTGATGCTGGTGTAAACAATCCTACTGTGCTGCTGGTTGTATAAAAATAGAGCACATACAATTCTGTATAGTACATAATACTTTATATTAAATGACTATGTTACCGGTTTATGTATTTGTTATACTATACTTTTTATTCTTATTTTATAGAGGGTACATCTACTTATTTAAAAAGTTTATTGTAAAACACCCTCAGGCAGGTCCTTCAGAGGTGTTCCAGAAGAAGGCATTGTTATCTTAGGAGGTGACAGCTCTATGCATGTTATTGCCCCTGAAGACCTTCCAGTAAGGACAAGATGTGAAGATGGAAAACAGTGACATTGATGATCCTGGTGCTGTGTAGGCCTGGGTTAATGTGTTCGTTTGTCTTAGTTCTTAGTAAAAAAGTTTAAAAAGTAAAAAATTAAAAATTTTTAATTTATCAGCTTCCAAGAGAAAAAAAGCTGTCTTTTTTTGTTGCCTTTTATATTCCTACTGTCTTTTTTCTATTCTAAAGCTGTCTTTTTTCTATTCTTAAAATTTTTAATTTTTTGTTACACTGTTTCTTCAAGTTTAACATCACTCACATTGTACAGCCTTGTCCCCCAAGCCAAACTCATTCAATATCCTGATTTCCCTTCTCTGCCAGTGTAACCATTTTGAGGGTCGTCTTTGACTTATTTTTCACATTGTCTTTAATATAAAACCAGTTGTCATTCCCATCTGTTCTTCTCAATTGTTGCATGTTTGCTCCTTTATTTCTTTGGCTCCCAGTCTGAGGCTATCACAGGAGGGTAGAGGGCATACAATTGTGAGCACATATCGGACACTTAATATATCTAATCTTTACAACCAGCTTTTGAGGCAGGCTCTGTAATTCTCCCCATCTTCCAGGGAAGAAGGTGCAGCTCAGAGAAGTTAAGGATTGTGCAGCAGAACCCAGCAGCCCATAGTAGTGAAGCCAGAATGTAAACCCAGGCAGTAGGTTCAGAGCCTCGCTATGCTACTCTATCTCGTGCATTTCTGAGGGCCTGGCATGGCACTCTGCTAAACATTATTGTATTTTATCTCATTAGTCATCAGTATGACCTTGTGAACTAGGTCACATCCTCACTTTATAGATGAGGTCTCAGAGTCAGGAGGTAGCTCCCAAACCCATTCTCCTTACCCTTCAATACCTCACTGCCTCCCACCTGGACTATGGGACAGCCTCAGCTCTGCTTTACCAGCTGTTCCATGCCACAGCAGCCCATATAGGATTCACCAATCCACGTCCATACGATGCTGCTTTCATCATGTCCCATTCTGGATCAAAAGCTTCCAATGGCCTCACCTTGGCTGCATTGTTGCTTTTACTTAATGAATTGCAATTGTGTCACTCCAGCATTTAGGGCCAAGTGAGAAGGTAAGATGTGCATTGCCCCATGTACATATCTGACCTTTCCTATCTTTCTGAGTTCACCTCCCACACTCCCTCAAACTGAGGTTCTCCATCCCCCTAACCCATCTGCTTCATTTCTTCACACTTCCACCCATGCCTTCCTTGTAAGCTCTTCCTTTAGGGTACCTCAAATGGTTCATTCCCTGTAGCACAGGCCCAGGAAAGCCTGTAAAAGAATTAGAGTTGAAACTGTGTTGTAGTGCTTGAGAAGTACAGATAATTACAATCTTATTAGGTATTCAATATTATTACACTAAGTCTTGTGCCAAGGTGAGTGACACCATAGTAAAACTTGGGTATAATGTGAACCTTCAGGATGTTAGTTGCATTATCGATCTTAGCTTAATAGAACAGGATGAATAAAACAGGACCCATTACACAGTGATGCATCATTCCATTAGAGATGAGGATTGGATCAGACAGAAAGTTATCAGCTGCCAAGAGCAGCCATATAATCAGGGAGCAGTCTTCATAGGCAGTTAGTTTGGTTCAATAGTTGCTAGAGTCACATCTAACAAGGATGGTCAGTGCTGCTGCTGTCCAGAGATTGTGCAGTGAGCCCCAGATCAGGCATTTAGACTGATGCCAGGTCTCAGGGGCTACACAAAGCCACAAGACAATCATGGTTCATCTTCAGTTTCCTTTTGAGGATTCAGGACAAAATATAGATAATTTAACTGGAAATATCTCATAATATTTTATGTCAAAACATAATAAAAACTCCAAGGCTTATTTGGAGTAGAATGGAAAATTCCATAAATTGTAATAATAAAACACTTTTGAATTTGCTGTTAACTTCTTTGGTTTACATAGCCAGACCCTTAGGAATGCATGTTGCTCTCCTCTGATATTTGAAGTATTTCAGTGGAAACGCTTGAGAAATACTGATGTAATGTGCTAAGTGTTGTGGACCAAGACCAAGTGGAATCTCATTATCATGTGATGAAAGGCTCTTGCCAGACATGAAGAGCATGTCCCGTTAATAAACATGAAAGGAACAAAGTTGATACTTGCCTTATGTGAGTCTGTGTATGAATAAGAACATAAGAACACTGTCCATACTATTCCTTAAAAGTTGGATGTTGCGTTTACTGCTTTAGGTTATTTAACTGAGGTTTCACAACGTACTTCCAAAACATGTTTTAGCTATCACATTTTGGAAAATATTCAATCTAAATCCCCTTAAAGCAAACCTGCCATGAAATAAGATCACAGCCAAAGAATCAATTTGGGTCAGGATTATAGCTCAAGACTCAAAATCAAAGGCCTAAAAACCAACTATACACTTAATCATTAAAAAAATCATTCATTGACCATGTGATGGGCACTCATCTAGACACCAAAAAAATAAAGAGAAAAAAGATTCCTCAAAGGGCATCACCACAAGAATCTGCACAGAGACCCATGGCAAGGTCCTAGGCAGGATAAAGAGAAGCAAACAAAGGTTTACATTGAGGTGCATAGTTGGGCAGGATGAGCACAACATAGCATTGAATGAAGTACAGAAACCTCAGGCTATTCCTGGAAGTCTCACCTTATCAAGCCCAATCCTGGATCATTCAGTAATTCACTCAACACATACTTATGTGCCAGGATCTGTTCTAAATGGCCCATGATACAAACAAAATCCCTGACGTCATAAATCTTTCAGTGTTGTTGTTTTGAACAAAATAAGGCAAGAAGGATAGAGAATAACTAGGCAAGGGTTTTATCAAAGAATGCTCTCTGGTAAGATGATATTTGAGCCAGAGACTTGAAGGGAATGAGGAAGTGAGCCATATGGCCACCTGGCAGAAATGCATCAGAGGCAGAGAAAAGTGCAAAGGCCCTGAGCTAGAATCATGCTTTTCTAGAATGCTTGGGCGGAGGTCGGGGGTGGGGAGGAAGCAAAGAGGCCAGATTGGCTGCAACAGAATGAGTGAAGAAACAGTCACATGGACCCTGCAGGACTCTATGAGGACCTGATAAAGACTTTGGATGGAAGTAACATGGAAGCCACTGCAGGTGGTAATGTGACTATGTTTTAAAAGGATCTCCCAGGCAGCTATGTAAGCTACAGGGAAATTATTAATGCAATATGGTTTCAGTTAGGATGATCTTGCAATAAACGAGTTAAGAGACAATGGTGGCATAGACAGGCAGCAGAGGTGGTGAAAAGTGCTTAAATGTTATATGTTATTTTCTCATATAATCGATGTGGGGTATTACAAAAAGGAGGGCTAAGGATGTGTCCAAAAATTTTAGTTCACACAACAGGAAGAGTAGAGTGGTCATTGTTTAAACTGAGGAAGAACCAGTTTAGGGGAGGCAGCTTTAATTTGAGTTGCTTGACACACATAGATGTCTAGTAACAGATAGACAATTCTTGAATTGAAGAGTGAGGTCCAAGCTAGACACAAATTTGGATGCCTTGGTATAGTGGTATTTTATCTAAAGCCAGGAGGACTGGATGTTTTAATTTAAGAATGAATGTAGATTCAGAGCATCTTATTAGGTCCAGGAGCCGAGACCTGAAGCACTCCACTATTTGTTTATTTCTATAAAAGCTTCATTGAGATATAATTGAAATACAAATGTTTAAGGGCAGCAAAATGGAAGGAACCATCAAAGGAGACTAAGAAAAAGTGGCCAATGAGTTATGAGAAGCACAAAGAGAAAGCATCCTGGTAGCCAAACAAATGCTGCTGACAGATGGCATAAAATAAATACTGAGATATGCGCCCTAGATTTGGCAGCGTGGAGGTTAAGAGCGGTTTTGAAAAAAGCCTGATTGGAATCAGTTCCAAAGAAAATTGAGGAAAGAAAGTAGAGAGAAGGAGTGTAAGCAATTTCTTCAATAATTTTGCTATCTGAGGGAGCAAAGAAATAGGGCCATAGCTGGAGGTGGCTTACAGCATGCCTATGTGCTGATGGGAATTCCCATGCAGAGGGGAAATTGTCCTGAGGATCGAGAAGACAATGGCTTGGTGCTGAGAGGTTGTGGCCTGTAGTAGATTCCCAGGGCTGCTTTAACAAAGCACCACAATCCAAGTGACTGAAACAATACACATTTATTGTCTCACAGTTCTGGAGCCTAGAAGTCTGAGATCAAGGTGTCAGCAGGACTATGACTGCTCTGAAGGCACTCTGGAGAGATCTGTTCCAGGCCTGTCTCCTAGCTTCCTGTAGTTGCCTGGCTTGTGGCAGCATGACTCCAAGCATCACAGGAGTTCTCCATGTGTACGTCTGTGTCCAAATTTCTCCTTTTTATAGGCATGCAAGTCATATTGGTTTAGGGGCCCACCCTACTCCAGCATGACCTAATTTTACCTTAAATAATTACATCTGCAACACCATATTTTCAAATAATGTCATTGTGTGAGGTACCGAGGGGTTAAGAGTTCAACAGATGAATTTGGCAGGGGTGGGGGGAACAGACAAAATTCAGCCCTTAATAGGATCCAATATAAAGTGGAAGGGCTGCAGGGAAGGAACAGAATGTGTATGGATTCAGATGCATTGAGGGTTAGCGGTGGTAGTGGGATCTGTGGAAGTTCTCCTGTGATTGCTTAAATTTCCTCAACGAAATACAAGGCAACAGCATTGGAAAGTTAACCCCTGCTTGCCCAACTAACCTAAACCTCTGCTGAATACTGGCTAGTCAACTTATAAGTGAATTCCGCTAATAGTTAATACTTTTTCTTCAGAGATTCTTGTTCTAATCCACTAATATTTAAATGTAAATTCTATATATCCCCCCAAATCAGCAGTGTTCTAACTGGAAATACAATCTAAGAATTAAGGAGTTATGATCTAGTATGTGAAAAAGTTCTTAATACCACCTAGAATGGTGGATTAGTGGATGTGTAAGGAGAAGATAATAAGAGCAAGATTATAGGAACCAGAGAGGGCAGATCAGAGGCAGGAACTCTCACCAAGTCTGGAGGAATATGGTGGAGTCTTTCCACGATGCTTTTGGGAGAGAAGAAATACTGCACGTGGATTTTAACAACCCAGAACAGAGGTACAACAATTTCATTATCCATAGTAATTTAGGTGAATGCACATTGATTATTGGACCCAATTACTTTCTGATTTAAATGAACTGTTTTCAAGTTCTTCATGTTTAGCAATTCCATACTTGGTTTTGCAAAGGAGACCTTGACAAAAGAAATATTGTCATTTCCTCAAAATTTGCACCTCTAAATTTGAAGTTCCATGCATATGTGAAAACTAAGTAGGTTTGGGAGGTAGAGGAGATATATAATATGAACAAAAACAACTCAACCAGTTTGCAATGTTTATTGCTGCTTTACTGAAAATATCCCTGTCTTTAAGTGAATGTTTTCAACACTACACTTTTCTGAGTCTTAATTCTTCTCCAATGCACTCACATAATTGCTATTAGCATTTTTTGTCTGTCTTGAATGTGTAACAAAGGACAATGGAGCTCTTACATCTGATAGAATGATCTCATTCCATAAACAAAAATCAGACTGCAGGCCAGGCGCGGTGACTCATGCCTGTAATCCCAGCACTTTGGGAGGCCGAGGCGGGAGGATCACGAGGTCAGGAGCTCGAGACCAGCCTGACCAACATGATGAAATCCCGTCTCTACTAAAAATACAAAAATCAGCCGAGTGTGGAGGTTCGTGCCTGTAATCCCAGCTACTCAGGAGGCTGAGGCAGAAGAATCGCTTGAAACCAGGAGGTGGAGGTTGCAGTGAGCCGAGATCACGCTGAACCCAGGAAGCGGAGGTTGCAGTGAGCTGAGATGGCACCATTGCACTCCAGCCTGGGTGACAGAGTGAGACTCATCTCAAAAAAAAAAAATCCGACTGCAGATTGCCTTATTTCTGCAACAAGCCTCCCATTAATGTCAGGGAAAATGGTGGGAGTGAACCAAGGGTAATATATGGCCTGCAACCACCTAGACTTCTAGACACAGGGAAATGGAAAACATCTATTATATTGTCAGATAGTCCATACCCTGGGGACCAGCACAGAATTTTTCTTATTGCATATTTTGTTCAATTTTCTTCAATATTGCTTTGAAACAAATTAAGCAAAGACTGCTACTCATTGCTTCCATCAGGAAACTCATAAACATAAAAGCTTTGATTAAAAAAATTCTTGGCAAAGATACTTAAACACTTTTTATTAAGTTTTTTTTCCAATATACCTAGATATACTACCTTGCTTTGTGATGAAAACAATCCATTTTTTCCTTCATAGTGTTCTCTTGCAATATGTGTTGTAGCCCCATTAGTCATTTCTACATTTAGTTGTATGCAAGAAAAGGTATGACTAAAGGAGCAAATAGAAGTCAACCCCTCCAGCAAAGTGAAACCATAACATTTACTTTTGGGTTGTTATAGGAACATGTTTTATTTCTCATACCTACATAATACCTTTTTTTATTTTTACACGAGAAAAAAATCTTTATTTTTTTATCACTATATAGTTGGTATCACTATATCCAACACTCTGCAATAGCAAGAAATAAACTTTTCTGACAATTCTTTCAACTACTGAACTTCCTTTGAAGGCTTTATGCTTCCAGCACAATTTCATTGCTATACCCTGCAGTTTTCTATCTACCCTTCTCTAGCAGTCAGAAGTTAGTGTTTCTTCCTTCCATGCAAAACATATATTAAATACTTAAAATATGCCAAATACTAGGGCTACAAAGCAAATGGCATGTATCTATTGCTAGTGATTTAAGCATATAACTTCACATCATCCTTATTATTAAAAGAGAATTACAATCTTTATCACGATGATATTTACAAGGCATCTTTTTATTTATATTGAACTTTGATAAGCTAAAGTTGCTGAAGAATAAAAGTATGTTTATAAAAGTCTATTTATTGTACACTGCTTCTTCAAGAGCCTAAAGCTGCAAATGGGAAATGCCAGTATACTCTTCCAACACCTAAGTGGACCTTGATATGTCCTTGATCTTTAAATAAACTTACAACTTTAAATGTTGTTAACATAAATGGTGTTTAGCAAACCAAAATGAAGAAAATTCAGAAGGCTTAGTGAAAAATAACTAACACTTTGAACTCCAAGATGTTTAATACTTTAAAAACACCTTTTTAGGTAGATATTATCATCACCATTTACAGAACAGACAATTAAGGGTAATAATAGGTTAATTAACTTGCCCCACAGTCATCAGAGTTACGCTTAGGGTTCAGAGTTATGCATCTGACTTTATAGCCTATGCCCTTATCACTATCACACCACATCATGCTGGCTCTTCCAATAGAGAAGGGCTATCTGGATGCAGAGGGAAAATGTCCCCACAATGACCATGGAAGGTATGTGATGCCAATGAAACTACTAATTCATAGTTTTTTCTCTTTCATTTTTTAAATTACGGTAAAATATACCTAACATAAAAATCACCATTTAAATAATTTTTAGGTGTACAGTTCAGTGGCATTAAGCACATTCACATTGTTGTGAAATCAAGATCACCATCCATCTCCAGAACTTCTTCATCTTCTCAAACTGAAACTCTGTACCCCTTAAAATAACTCCCCATTTCCATGTCCCCCAGACCCTGGCAACTACTATTCTACTTTCTGTCTAAATGAATTTGTCTATTCTATGTACATCATATAAGTGGAACAAGACAAACATTTGTCCTTTTGTGCTGCTATTTTACCTTACATAATGCTTTCAAGGTTCACTCATGTTGTAGCACATAACAGAATGTCATGACTTTTAAAGTCTGAATAATATTCCATTGTAGTCTATAACACATGTATTAGTCTGTTCTTACACTGCTAATAAAGACATACCTAAGACTGGGTAATTTATAAAGGAAAGAGGTTTAATTGACTCACAGTTCCTCATGGCTGGGGAGGCCTCAGGAAACTTACAGTCATGGCAGAAGGGAAAACAAACATGTTTTTCTTCACATGGTGGCAGGAAGGAGAAGAACAAGTGCTCATCAAAGGGGGAAGCCCCTTAAAAAACCATCAGATTTCATGAGAACTAACTCACTATCACAAGAACAGGACGGGGGAAACTGCTCCCATGATTCAATTATCTCCACCCGGTCCCTCCCATGACATGCGGGGATTATAGGAACTACAATTTAAGATGAGATTTGGGTGGGGACATAGCCAAACCATATCACCACACTTCACTCATCTATTCATTTGCTAGTGGAAATCTGGGCTTTTTCCACCTTTTGTGAATAATGTGGATTCACCTATTGTGAATAACATTGTTATGAATATTGGTGTACAGATATTTGTTTGAGTCCCTGCTTTCAATTCTTTTGGGTATATACCCAGAGGTGAGATTGCTGGATCATATGGTAATGTTATGTTTAACTCTTTAAGAAACCATCATATAATTTTCCACAGCAGCTGCAGCATTTTACTTTCTCACCAGCAAGGCACAAGAGTTCTAATTTCTCCACACCTTCACTAATGCTTGTTATTTTCTGGATCTTTTTATACTACTACTAATTATTTTTAAGTTGCAATGTATCAATAACAGCATGCATGATATAAGTTATAAGACTGTGAATTGTTTTTAATGGTCATGAGATCCTCACTTATCTAGGAGTCAGGAAGATTGCACTTGAGTTTGAGATTTATGCTTCCAAAGTGCCAGTACATTTGAGGAAAAACCTTAACAATAAACAGAAGACTTTGGACACCTTAGAAGCAGTTGCTGTTATATTAAAAAAAAAAGAGCTCTTTTGTTAAATTCAAGACATCAAAAACACCTTTCACTATAGATTATATTAAATATCAGTGAATGATAATAGGACCAATTATGATAAAAATACATCTTAATTTATCACAATTGCCCAAAGGCTTATGGTGCCACTAGAATTATTTCTCAAAGAGTAATGTCAAATTGTCAAATTTTATGAAACCATCCATAATTCAGGATGTGTTAGCATGTTGATAATTGCTGGTGTGGAGAAGCAGCCCATGTTAATTTGCTGCAACTGTAGTGGAAATGTCTACATTAATTAACCTGAGGGAAATGAGTTAGTTAAGTATTATCTCTTTTACGTTTCTAAATAGAGAAATTCTATAGGATCCAAAACTGCCCTTTGTATTGTTCTAATTCATTTAACCTAATTTAATGCAATAATTTTGTAACAAAATATACTTTTCAGAATATCTTTGTGTATTCAATGAATATTGGATCTAGCCACCTTTAGATATTTAAACAAACAAGAAACCACTACATTTGAATGAATTGTCACTTCCTTGCTAGGGAAGGATTGAGGATTGTCCTCTCACTGTATCAGTTATCTATTGCCACAAAATGCTGCATAACAAACAACGATTCAACCACAGTGGGATGCAATATCCATTTATTTAGCCCATGAGTCTGCCAAGACTGATCTGTCCTGGACTTAGCTGAACTCACATGTCTAGGACATGTTACAACTCAAAAGTTACAACCCAGGACAGTTACAACTCAAAAGATTTGGGGAACTCAGCACTATCTTATTCTCCAGCAGGCTATTGTCAGTATGTTCTTGTGATCATGGCAATGAAGTAAGAGAGGAAACAGAGGCGGGCAAGTGCATTTTCAAGCCTCTGCCTGTAGCACAACTGCTAAGATTATATTGACCAAGGCAATCCATGTGGCTAAGCTCAGAATCAAGGGGAAATCAGATACACTACACCTTTTGAAGTAAGAAACTACAGAGTCACATTGAAAGAGAAACTAGATACAGGAAAGGATGGAAGATGGAGGCATTATGGCTGGCAGTCTGCTGTATTCTCCTTCATATATTAAGGCTGTGATGGAATTTTTCTTATCATAATTTCAGTGGTAAGGCTCTTTTTCTCTTTGGTTCAATCACAAGTCTCATAATAAGCAGGTTGCTAATCTGTAAGTACTCCAAGGCAATAACCCAACACAGTGCCTAATACAGAGTAGTTGTTCAATAAATGCTGGATGAATGAACCAATCAAAGAATCAAGGTTTTGCAGGCTGTAATAATGCTCAACATTATTAACTTACAACAGTATTAGTAACTTGCAACAATATTATTAATAAGAAGAGTATTTGTACATCTACAATCATTTTTCCATGTTGAGGTATTTGCATCCAATTTATCCAACAAATATGGAATGTGCATTGCCTTTGTGCAAGACATTATGGTACAAAATTGGGAAGGTGAGTGATAGTATCTGTAGTGAAGGCAACAGGCTAGATAAAAACTCAACCTCCATCCCTGTTTAGAATTCTGTAGGATGCATAAAACATCTGTCAAATAAGAATACTCTGTAAGGTTTCTTGCAGCTCTGAAATTCCGTAACTTTATTATGTAGGTACAAAATAATAGAAGGCAGAATATGAGCACTATGGGAGAGGCATCCATAATAACAGATGAATTTAAAGGAGAGAGAGGTCATATCCATTTGGAGTTGGAAAATTAAGTCTTCATGTGAGAGGTAACACATCTCAGCTGTTTTGGGAGAGGTAATATTTAAAAACTTGCAGAACTTTAAAAACTAATGAGGGTGATGAAGGTACAGAGGTAGCTGAGGCTGGACGTGGTTAGGGCCAAGGGGTGATCCAATTTTCCTGGAGCAAAGGCAAATGATTAATTCCTGGGAGATATACCTTAAAGCCAGGTTGGATTTATATTGTTTATGTCCTTGAATGGCAAGCCAAATAATTTGTACTTATTTCTACAGACACTCTTACTTCTGGAATATTAATCTGATCACACTGCACAGAACTGCCTTGAGTAGGGAGAGGAAATGGGCAATCATATAGGCATTGAAACTGTCAAGGTGGGAGACAATGAGGATCTGAATTAGGAATATGGCAGTGAGAGTGGAGAGGTTCGGAAAAAGAGAGAGCTGTGGGTAAGAGATGAACAGCCCAGACTGTTCCCATGAAATCTTGTTGATAGGAAGCCAGACAAAGTGCATGCAAAGTTCAGATATTCTACAATAAATGATAGTTCTCAAAATTACCCCAAAACTTTCTATCAGAATTAATCTATTCCAAGTCCAGGTTCTAGCAAAGAGAGTAATTAGCCTTGGAGGCACCACTAAAGTAATGAGAAGTTCAAATTGATTTATCTCTAAAAGCAGTGACCACTCATTAGAAGCAACTTGCTGGTCATTCACCTTTGATGAGGTTGAATTGTTCACGTGGGTG
Source organism: Homo sapiens (assembly GCF_000001405.40). Classification (NCBI taxonomy): domain Eukaryota; kingdom Metazoa; phylum Chordata; class Mammalia; order Primates; family Hominidae; genus Homo; species Homo sapiens. Next base: position 72,670,185 of record NC_000008.11, on the reverse strand, counting down.
GTTGAGCACAATTGAATCTCTTGATAATTAATGAACTCCTCCAGATTATCGACACAAGGAAGATAGTACCCAGGCTTTTAGAGCTGGAAGCAATTTGGAGATAGTCTTGTTCAATGTCCTTATGCTACTAATGAAAAAACTGAGGCTCAGTGATCTGTAGTCAAGCGATCCAGCTAATAAGAGGAAGGACTGAGACCAGAGCTCAGCTCTCCTCATGCCTGGCAGGTGTTCTCTGTATGATGCTAATTAGCTCTTAGGCACATTCATGTTGTTCATATGTTCAAGTCAATATTCTCAACCCTGGGGGTTCCAGCTAGACCGTAAAATATATGAGGGCTGGAAAAAGTAGGCAACGAGGCTGGCATGGGGTAGTCCTAGGTGACTGGAAGATGAGGCTGTACATAAAAGCTGGTTCTTAATTCTCTAGATCCTTGAATGACATGCCCAGGGTTTTGTACTGAAATAGAAAATGTGCACTCACAGAAGGTTTTTACAACTCTGCTTTACTTAAAAGTACTACAGTCTCTCAAATTCTTGTAAAAAATCTGAATGAAATACATGTCACGTGATTTCATTACAATAAAAGAATATTCTGAAAATTGCCATGGGCAATTAGAGGGTTTTTTTTAAATTTCAAAACTGAGAGAAGTTTCTGTTTATTACAGTGACATTTCCAAAATTATACACATCACTATGAATCAGAATCTTTTGAATGTATTTATCTCTTTTCTGTCAGTTTTTTTGAACTAAAAAAGATACATTTTTATTCAGTTATTTTTATAGTCATCATTAGTTAAATATATTAGTCAAATTCAAAACAAAATGTCATACTTACTTTAAAGTCTTACTGAGCTATGATACATTAATTCTAGGAAACTCACTGAATAGCACTGGTTCAGTTGAAATGCAAATGCCATACACATGCAATTCACAAAGCAAATGGAGGGATGATCAAAGGATCATAATGGATCTTGAGCTATGCCAGTAATTCTGGAAAGGAGCTGGAAGAACAGGTAGCTTTCTGCCTGGTCTCTCTCATTCCTTCAGAAAGTGGGCAGTTTCATAAAGAAACACCTGGAGAGATGGAAACTAGAAATTTCCTGACCAGCCAGGTCAGTCTAATTAACCCAAGAGGTTACAGATATAGCAGACAGAAAATCCTTACCTTTGAATGCCAAATTAGAAAGATTTATAAAACATTCACTAAAATTACTAATAAAATCCAAGGAGAAAAGACACACACACACATGCATGCACACACACACACAAATATATAATATAAAAATAACAGCTTCCATCATTCGACAAATGTCTTTTGAATAACAATCATGTCTCACACAATGTGTGAGGCACAGGAATAACATGAACCCTGTCCTCATGGATCTTCAGATCTAGTTGGGGAGACAAATAATAAACAAGTAAATAAGAACACACAAACATAATCATGACTCAAATCTTTCAAAGCATTCCAACAGGATTCTGTGATGGAAAATAATAAAGGGAATGGACCTACTTATGTCAGGTGGTCAGAAATGGCCTCTTTGGAGAGGTGATATTTAAAGTAAGATCTGAAGAACGAGGAGGAGGCACACAGGACACTGGCCCAAGGAGGAAAAGGCTTTGGTCTGCTCTAGGAACTGCCGGCTGGTGAGTGTGCAGTAAAGGATTAACTTAGCAGGCCTGGGTTGTCCAAACTCTGTATATTCCAAAGGACAGTCTGACCTTTGACCAGCTCCTAAGAAACTACCTCTAAATACTTGGAATACCCTGCCTGATAGTGGTGTCTTTGTCTACAGGGGCCATAATCCACACTAGAGAGTTTATGTTAATAATGTGATTTATGGTGGGGACTTGTGGTGTCAATGTGGCCTCTGGAGAAGCTGGAAACTGAGGAATTAAGGTCAGCTACATGGGTGCTTCATGCCTGTGTGGCTGATCCCCAATAAAAACCTTGGACATCAAGGCTCAGGGCAGCTTCCCTGGTTGTCAGTATTCCATATGTGTTGTCACATACACTGATGCTGGGAGAATTAAGTGCTATGTGTATGATTGCTGGAAGAGGGCAACTGGAAGTTCATGGCTGGTTTCTCCTGCATTCCAAACTATGTGTCTTTTTCTTTTGTTGATTTCAGCCCAAATCCTTTTGTCACAATAAACCATAACCATGAGTACAACTAGTTTTCTAAGTTATTTGAGTCCTTCTAGTGAATCACTAAGCCTGAGAGTGGTCTTGGGGACCCCCAACACAGTCAGTGAGAGCAGGGGCTAGTGAGTAAGGAATTCATGATCATGAGGAATCTCTGACGTGAAGGTTCTAAAGGTTATGGAGTTTACGTTTTAAGTGCAACAAGACTCCGTTAAATGGGTTTTAAGTAAGAGGGTGACATCTGATTTACATCTTCCAAAGATCACCATAATTTCTGTGTGGGGAAGGCATTAGAACTGGGTAAGTGTGGAAGCATGGAGTTCAGGGAGCCACGCAGGAGATGATGGTGATTTAAATGGGGCTGGGGTGAGGGAGGTTAGTGAAGATAAAGAGACATGGCAGATCTGAGATATATACTGATATGGAGGAAGCAGAATTTGGTAGTGGGCTGTATTTCAGGAGGGAGGGAAAAGATGAATCACAGATGATTCCTAGGTTTCTGTCTTAACTAACTGAGCAGATGGTGGTGTTATTTACCAAAACGAAGAAGACTACAGGAAGAAAATGCTTGTGGGATAAAAAAAAAGAATTCAAATTTAGACATGTTAAGTTTGAGATCCTGTGAAACATCTAAGCTGAGAGGATCAAACACATACATTTAGGAGGTGAAAGCAGGTGGACAGATGAATAATACTTAAAGCACAGTAATGGGTGTGGCCACCTAGAGAGAATGTGTGCACATACAAGAGAGAGGAATCAGCACCAATCCCTGAGGACCTCCATCATTCAGAGGACAGGAAGAGAATAAAGAGGCAGCTTATTATGCTTCAGGCCCAGTATTATCTGCTTTCCATGAGCTAACCCAGGTAATCCTCACAAAGACTCTGCCAGGTGCTTATCATTATCCCTGCTTTTTAAAGGATCAAACCAAGACATAGAGAATTTACATAACTTGCCCGAAGTATCTCAGTTTCTCTCTTTCTCTCTATCTCTCTCTGCTCTCTCCATCCCTCTCTGTCACTCTCTCTCTCTCACACACACACACACACACACACTTATGTGGAAAAAACAGAATCTGAACATCCTGCTCCAAAACCTGTGTTCTTTTTTATTCTACTTCAGTGTTATAAGTAGAAAGGAAAACCAAAAATAAAAGCAACAAAAACAGATAAGAATTGAAGAAATTTCTAGTAGTTATAATTTTCATGTTCAGGAAAAAAAAATTAATTATTAACTGAAGTATAAAATCTTTCTATTTTTTCAGGAGGCTGAGGCAGGAGAATAGCCTGAACCCGGGAGGCAGAGGTTGCAGTGACCCGAGATTGCGCCACTGCACTCCAGCCTGGGCGACAAGAGCAAGACTCTGTCTCAAAAAAAAAAAAAAAAACTTTTTATTTTTTATTTGAAGGTCACTGAAGAAAATAGAAAATTGTCCACATTTCAGACAACTTACTGAATAAAACAGCACCACAGAATACTGCTTCCTAAACCTTTCATTTAGAATTCAATCAAAGCTTTTGATATTCTTCTTTACAAAATCAAGATAGTGGTATGAAAATTACACTTGATAATGTACTCAAAAGTGCTTTTCAAAGTGTTACAGATATTGACCATTATTATTCTCCTAAAGTTTTTAGAGAATGGGCAAAATCACACTTTCTCAAGGTGGGAGATATATAAAATAAAGTGGAAGGGCCTTTTTTCCCTCTTTTAAGCAGCAGAAAGAACTATGAAAAAGGGATCGAAAATGTAGCTTGCTCATGTAGGCAGATGGTATCAGGTGTGTACTTCTGAAGAGAAAATAACGCCTACCAGAAGCATCTGCATAAAGAATCTCATTGTATTAATTGCATTGTTATTATTTTTGTTTGTAAAGAAAAGAAAGTTGCAGGCTCCCATAAAGCAATTTGAAAAGTTCATAGTGTCAAGTAGTCTTGAAAAGGAACACATCTTTCCGATTTTACTTAAAAAAAAATAGACACATGGTCATAGTTGGTCATAGTAGTGGAGCTGTGGCAAGTTAAGAAAAGAAGGGACGCTAAACCCTGTCCCAGGGGACATGGGGAGCCAGTTCCCTCCTCTCCAAGTGTGTACAACTCCACCCGCCTCATTTGCTGTGATAACCAGTTTATTTTCACAGCATGTCAGCTGGTTAGGTGGGGAAAATTTGACTGTGGTTAGTGATTAGCTTGATGGGAGGCAGCTAGTCTGTTTTGGCTGGGGCTATGGTTGCTTTTCAGTTGAATAGAACATAATCATCTGAATAGAACTAAGTTTTTGGCTGGGAGTAACACAACCCTATAATTTGTAAATATCCATAAAAACAGGAACGATTTAAGAACAAACTTACATGTTAGTCTCCACACTGGGAAATCCGATTGAACTCAGTAACTGCATACCCATGAAGTACTTGCTCTGTGCCAGGCCCACCTTAGGTTCTGAGGGTATAATGGTGAATAAGAGATTTTTCCCCAAATACCCTGATGATACACCTCTATTATGTTATTTATAATGTTGATTAAAAATATTTGGGAATTTCATATATATATATATGGATGTTCTAAACCATTTTCTTTCACTTTTTAAATGGGGATAGGAGGGACAAGCAGCAGGTCTGTGACAGGCCTGCTCTGTTCTTTCCTCCCCATCCGACTTCCCCAGCAGTTTCCCACTTCAGGTGATGACAACTCCACCCTCCCAGCGGTTGCAGCTAAAAGCCTTGGAGACCTCCTTGTTTTTTCCAGTCAAGCCCTATACCAGTATCCATTGACCTCTCACCATCCCTCCAGCAAAGACCGTGGTCCTCTTGTTTGGGTTATCACAAATGCCACATGTCTACTTATTCCTTCTTCTCCTCTTCATCCTATTAGTGCAGCACCTCAAGCGGTCATATGCAAAAGCAAGTGAGATTATGGCAAGCACACAGCCCCAGTCAATACCCTCCGGTGGCTTTCCAGCTGATATGGAGTAAATGCTGGTGCCTACCTGGGCCTAGATGTTCTTCCCCACTTCCTTTCCCCTTGGCCTTTTTTGCCCTTTTCCTTGGCTCTCAGCACTGCAGTCTCTCTGGCTCTTTTTTCTGTCTATATTATACTGCAGGCATTCTCCTGCCACGGGCTTTTGTCTTTGCTGTTTCCTTAGCCTATCTCGACATGGTTTGCTTCCACAGCCTTCCCTGATAACCTTACTTAAACTTACAATCCCTAATGATTCCAAACTAGTCTCATGCATTTGCAGTTATCGTTTTCTAACATATTGTGATTTTACTTATTTACTTTGTCTATTTCTCTTCACTGGAAAGCAGTACTGGGTGGGTAGGGATTTTTGTTTTGCTTACTGCTACATCCCTAGTATCTAGACTACTGTCTGAAATGTAACAAGTACTTAATAAAGATTTGTTATGTGTGTTAATGTTATAATGAAAGAGATGCTTTCTATCTTTCAAATCAGAAAGGGAAGTCTTTCCTTTGAAATAACAGATTCTACAGAAGCAGTCTCTGTAACATAAAAGGGTTTTATTTGGTAGAGGTGGCATTTTATGCTGACCCTCGCCAGCAGGCCATTAATCGAACCAGAGATGATGAAAACTGCTGGAACTATTGGGGGAGAAGTGACAGGTGTTTGTGGATGTTATCTCTGGATGTGTTTATGGCACTTTATTCTCAAGCACAGAAATGCATGCTGGCTTGAACTCAAATTCACCCCTTGCACAAAATGTAGGAAACTCTTCCTTCTTCAGACGCTGACACTTTACCTTTACGTAATCCCTGGGCTGGCCCTGCATAGAGTACCAGTGCGGACCTCACCTGGGAGGGCGCTGCAGAGTAAAAGAGCCAGGAGCTGAGCTGACACAGGGTATCCGCTGGACAAAGACAGGCCGGTAAGCCTCATTCTGATCTCCTGGGATCTTACAGCTTTGAAAGCCCAGGTGAATCACATAATTCCTGCAGTGAGAATGAATTCCCTGTTTTACTTTAATCTAAAGCAGAAAACTGGAGCATATTGAAAAGCTAAAATGGCCTGACATCTGCTTTCAAAGAGAATTTCATTTAAGGCAGGGCTCCCTTTGAAGCAAGAAGGAGGAGGACCATTTATTTATGGAAAGAGGCTCAGAAGGAGGCAATGATGTTACACTAACAAACAGACAAACTGCAGTTGGTTTTTGGAAGTAATACTTTAAAATGTTTAAGGTCTTTGTTTATAAAATTAACAATAAAAATACAGAAATATGAAAGCTATTATTTTTTCAGTGTAAATACCATCCTTTTTGATTGTCCTACCTTTCCTGTTTCCACACCAATCTATCTCACATAAATATCTGCACCTTACTGCAGCGTATCTGGCATCATGTATCTCCCCTCTCAAATAGCTCCAGTGACTTTTCATTGTTCCAGACAGCAGTCAAACTTTTATACTTAAGCAATGGAACCCTTTCTTGGAAATGAGTGTTATACTAAATTATAATAAAGATGAAAGTAGAAATGCTTTGCTTTAAGTAGGGTGGGAGTGGTGAGCCTATAGACCAAATGACTGTCTAATACTCTACCCCAACACCCAGCATGGCACACATTCAGAAACATCAGAGCTTAGCGAAGCAGTGTGCAAAACTCCAGCCTGAAGAATTAAGTAGATTTTTAAAGAACACTGCTACCCAAGATCTACCACAAATAATGATTCCAAATTACCTTCCCACTATTCTCTGATGACATCCAACATATATTCCATATTCAACCAAAGCACCCTACTTGTTACTTGGAATACTTCCTCACTTTCAGTCTTCCATGTCTTGTATTATTTAAAAAAATGGGTTATAATCAAGTGTCTACTAGTTGTGCAAACCGTAGACAGGTTATAGAACCTCTAAAAGCCTTTGTCAATCCACCTACAAGAACTAAAAATATAAGCACCTATCTCATAATGTTGTTATGAGCTAACCCCGGTAAAGCAATTGGTTCCCACCTGGAGTGCAGAAATGTCCCATAAATGTTGGTTAGTATAATGTGCCCAGGGACAGCCTCCATGGTAGGGAGGAGCTCAGGTGGCCCAGCACTCCTGCCACTGCATCAAAGATGATCATTCTGATCATCAGTTTTCTGAAGACTTCTATGTCATCAAACATTTCACCATATTCAAAAAGAGTCTGAAAATCATGCTTTCCTTGCTCATAGTTGAATTGCACACTCTTGAAATGTATGGATTATGAAAATCTCACTTACTTCCTCTTTCGTTTTTAAATGTAAAATGAGTGAAATAAGCCAAACCTTCCATTAGCCCTCCTGTCCCACTCCCCTTGCTATTCAAGGCAGGCCAGACACAGAACAAGGAAGAACCGAGAGCACAGTTTTCTGTGACCTCCATAAGTAGGATGACATCTCCAGGACTGCAGAATGAAATATTTACTCAAGAAAATGAAGAGCACTGACCAGGATCAGGGGCCTGGAAATCCTCCACCACAGTGTTGTCCAACCAGTAACCCAAATGGGTTATAGTGTGACATTGCTGCTCTTAGTTGCCTGAGGGCCTGGGGTAGCTGGAGCCCCCAGCCATCATCCATATCCTCCAGTAGCCTCAGTTCATATTTCCCAGTGTCATGCGATATTATCATTACCTAGGTATTTCGTGATGTGGAGAATGTTGGGAGAAACTGTCCTCCCTCCCCAGCCCCACTGAGGCCTGTGCTGGTTGCCCTATACTGGTTTGGCCATGGGTAGCATGCTCCCCAGTGCCCTCTACAATCTGTTGTGGCCACTGAGTTCCTGAAAAGCAGGGTCAGGGCCATGGAGAAGCTACAGGTGGTCATGATCCTTTGCACTGTGCTGGCCCTGGAGATCAATGCCAGGAGGCAGTAGTGCTGCCAGAGCCCTGAGACCAGACCCAGAGCCCATGGATTGCTATGGGAGTGGTGGCACTGATAGTCATGGTAGGATGTTTAATCATTGGAAGTTTACTTTAAGCAAGCAGGATGAAGAACTGGATGCTGGAATTTCTGCCTTTCAAGGAGAAGACATCAAATTCTTGAGAGGCTTAACCTCTTTGAAAAAGAAATTTGAGGCCTTTAGTCAACTTTAATGGAAGCCAGACTCTACAACAAATTATCAGAAAGAAAAGAAAACAAAACAAAACCAAAGACAAAACAAAACTGAGATCATTAATAAAAGACTGTAAGTCTCCAGGTCTCTACTTGGGTTTAAAATAGAGATTTTTAGAGCAGGCCTTTGAGAAAAGAAATCTAAACATTTAGAATAAGTTGAGCTGACCCCTGACATGACAAGAAAGATTCAGTTTTTAGAAGATGCATCAACACACATCCAATTTTAAGTAGCTGCAACTAAAACAGCCTTCAAATATATCAGAGAAATGAAGAACAACTTCAGACAGCACTAAAAGATGCTGTGAATGAAAATTCTACTCCTCAAGGAAGTTAAAGTGGCTTTCATAAAACGATGAGGAATGGAAAGAAACAAACACATTAAACAGAGTAAAATGGCAGAGTATCCTAAAGTATCTATGAGACAAGTTTAAATGACTACGTCAAATGAGGTTTCTAGATGATCTCTTGCTAAAGATGAGACTGGGTTGCTATTCTTGAAGAAGACAATACGAATGGTGAGGACATGTGGAATTGGATATAACAAATGCATCAGAGAATGCAGACCTCTTAGAACAGAAATCAAAAGGAGTTCTGAAGAAAACAATTGATATGGCTGAGTCAAAAATGTATTTGAGGTAAGGCGCAGTGGCTCAGCCTGTAGTCCCAACACTTTGGGAGGCTGAGGCAGGTAGATCATCTGAGGTCAGGAGTTCAAGACCAGCCTGGCCAACATGGTGAAACTCTGTCTCTAATAAAAATACAAAAATTAGCTGGGTGTGGTGGCCGATGCCTGTAATCCCAGCTACTTGGAAGGCTGAGGCAGGAGAATCGCTTGAACCTGGGAGGCGGAGGTTGCAGTGAGCTGAGATCATGCCACTTGGGCAATGGAGCATGACTCCATCTCAAGAAAAAAAAATGTATTTGAAAAATAAAAAAGCAACCGAATGTACACTAAATTAACTGAATAAGACAAAATAATGGATGCACTTAATGATCAAATTAGAAATCTTAAAGCTGAGAAAGTATCCCTGTAATTAGGGAAAAGCATTAGAAAGGAAGATGCAAAAACTCCAGGAGAAACTTTAGCTCCTTTCTGAACTATATTAAAGAATGAATTTTCATTAAATATCCAATAAATAACAAGTTTAACTCATAAAAACAGAGGCGAATCTATCCAAAACTGATGACAAGATCAGCTATCCATGTAAAGACTGGACATGTATAAAATACAAGCCAAAATCTGTCTACAAAAACTCTAGTAAATTACTGTTATCAAAGCCAGCTATTTCCCATGAAAGAAAAGCTCATGGTGATACTTTGAGAGCTCTGACAGCTGAGAGAAATCTCAATAACCTAAAAAGAGAGATTAAATCAGACAAAATTTATCATGGAAGAATTTAAACATTCCAAAAGGCATACTTATGTCTCTGATGTTGGAAATGAGGTATTTGGTAGGGCTTGTGAGAACCACCAGGGAATCCTCTGGGTGGCCAGGTCCTCAAGGAAAAAGGAGCATCTGGTTGTGATGGCACAGGAAGTCAGGTCCAGCATCCCACGTGAACCAGATGCCACCCTGATGGGGTAAGGACTCTCAGGCAGGATTCCTTCATCGGACCACCTTCATCCTCTGCAAGGGCACTCCAAAGCACTTCCCGGGGCTCCATGCGCTGGCAGACACTTGCAACCTTCTTTAGTTTCAACCTTCCCACTTGAAAAAAGTAAGCCACCTTCCAAGTTCATTCTCCTTTAACAAGCATCCTTCTGAAGGTCTAGAACCACAGCAAGAGGCTTTTCACCCACAAGATGAAAATAATTTTGATGTTTCCTCTATTAGTTATATTGCTGTTAAGTGATTATACAATGGATCCAACTGAAGCTTGGTATAACTATAATTCTCAGTATAATGTTTTATAATTAGAGTATTTAAATGTGAATGTCATAGGTTAATTGTGTCCATTTAATTTTACAGGGATACCTTGGAGACATTGCAGGTTAAGTTGCAGATCACCACGATAAAGTAAAAATACATTAAAGTGAGTCACAAACTTCTTGTTTTTCCAGTGTACAAAAGAGTTATGTTTACACTATACTATGAAGTGTGCAATAGCATTATGTCTAATAAAAAATGTACAAGCCTTAATTTAAAATACTTTATTATGAAAAAATGCTAATGATCATCTGAGCCTTCAATGAGTTTTTGCTGGTGGAGGGTCTTGCCCTCATTGTTGATGGCTACTGACTGATCAGGGTGGTGGCTATGAAGGTTGGAGTAGCTACAGCAATTTCTTAAAATAAGACAACAATGAAGTTCGCCATATTGACTCTACTTTCAATGTGGCATGAATCTCAATGTGCAATGAAATTTCACAGTTTCAATGTGCATCTCTGTAGCATGCAATGCTGTTGATAGCATTTTATCCAACAGTAGAACGACTTTCAAAATTGGAATTAATCTTTTCAAACCCTGATGCTGCATTATCAACTAAGTTTATGCAATATTCTAAATTCTTTGTTGTCATTTCAACAATGTTCACAGCACATCCATCACCTCAAGAAACTATTTGCTCATCCATAAGAAGCAACTCCTCATCTATTAAAGACAAATCGTGTCATTGCAGCAATTCAGTCACATCTTTAGCCTCCAATTCTAATTCTTGTTCTCTTGCTATGTCCACCACATTTGCAGTCACTTCCTCCACTGATGTCTTGAACCCCTCAACTTATTTCAAATTCCTGTTAATGTTGATATTTTGACCTCCTCCGGTGAATCATGAATATTCCTAATGGCATCAAGAATGGTGAATCTTTTCCAGAAGGTTTTCAATTTACTTTGCAGAGATCCATCAGAGGAATCACTATCTATGGGGGCTGTAGCCATATAAAATGTATTTTTTTATATAATAAAACTTGGAAGTCAAAATTACTCCTTAATCCATGGGCTGAAAATTGAATGATGTTGTGTTTGCAGGCATGAAAACAACATTCATCTCCCTGCACATCTCCATCAGAGACCAAGTGCATTGTCAGTGAGCAGTAATATTTTGAAAGGAATCTTTTTCTGAGCAGTGAGCCTCAACAGTGTACTTAAAATTGTCAGTAAACCATGCTGTAAACAGATATGTTGTCATCCAGGTTTTGTTGTTCCATTTATTGAGCATAGGCAGAGAGGATTTAGCATCATGCTTAAAGCCCCAGAGTTTTTGGAATGGGAAGTGAACTTTGGCTTCAACTTAAAAAGTCACCAGCTATATTAACCCCTAACAAGTGTCAGCCTGTTCTTTGAGGCTTTGAAATCAGGCCTTGACTTCTCCTCTCTAATTATCAAACTCCTAGATAGCATTTTCTTCCAACAGAAGGCCATTTCATCTACAATGCAAATGTGTTGTTTAGTGTAGCCACCTTCACCAATGATTTTAGCTAGATCTTCTGGAAAACTTGCAGCTTCTGTATCAGCCCTTGTTGCTTCACCTTGCACTTTGATGATACGAGGATGGCTTCTTTCTTTTAACAGCATGAACAGATTTCTGCTAGCTTTAACAGTTTCCTTACCTCTCTCAGCCTTCATAGAATTGTAGAGTTAGGACCTCGCTCTGGATTAGGCTTTAGCATAAGGAAATGTTGTGGCTGGTTTGATCTTCTGTCCAGACCACTAAAACTTTCTACATATTAACAATAAAGTTGTTTCTTTTTCTTATTATTTGTGTGTTGTCTGGAGTACCACTTTTAATTTCCTTCTAGAACTTTTTCTTTGCATTACCAACTTGGCTGACTGTGTGGCTCAAGAGGCCCAGCTTTCAACCTGTCTTGGCTTTGACATACCTTTCTTACTAAGCTTAATCATTTCTAGTTTGTGATTGATTTAAAGTGAAGAAAAAGTGACTCTTCCCTTCACTTGAACACTTAGAGGCCATTGTAGGTTTACTATTGGCCTAATTTCAATATTGCTGGGTCTCAGGGAATAGGAAGTCCATGGAGAAGGAGACAGATGGAGGAAGAGCTGATCGATGGAGCAGTCAGGACACACACAACATTTATCATTTAAATTCTCTGTCTTATATGGGTGCGAATTGTGTCACCCCCAAAATTATCATTTTAAGGAGAATGTTTTTAGATATACGTTATATAAATGTGAATTTTATTAGTGGTTACATCTTATTTTGTTTTTATATTGGCAAATGTTCTTGTTAGAACTATTTAACGAGTCTCTCCTATTGATCCAGAAGCATAGAAACTTTTTTTCTTCTTTTCCAAAGTAATTTCGAATTTCCTCTCATTTAGTTTCAGTGCTGTAGTTGAGTGAGTATACAATTGCTCAGTGGAAACTGGATAGAATTGTATTTCTTAGGAGACTGTTTTATAAATGTACCTTCGAAGTGAATTTCATGAATAAATGTTCCATTTCCTTCCTTTACTAGTTTCAAGATGATATTTCAATTGTTGCTGTTTAACAACTTCTCCATAACGTGAATGTAGTAAGAGTTTTACAAGAGTAATCTTGAAATTGGAGATATTAGAAACTCAAAGTATATTTTTGTGTAACTAGGGCTACACTTAAGATTAATATGTTATTAACTGAATAAATTTTGATTAAAAAAATCCTGTCCATCTTTAAAATGTTATCTTTAGTGGCTTCTTTTCTAAGAATTTGCTTCAGATCTTTTCCTGTAATTTCTCCCTACAAACTCTCAAAGTACTTTATACTTCTTTAGTTGTATATTATCTTGCTAAATTCCTGTATAATTGACCACTATTCCTACAGATTATAATTCTGTGGGTTTGTGGAGTAGTAACTGTATTTCAATCTGTGTAGTTTGCACTGTGCCTACCATATGTTTTAAACACAGAAATATCCGAGGAGGTCAATAAATATTTATTAAATTGAATTAAAAGTAATTTAGTTAAGTGAATTTGAAGATATACTGGGTGGTTTTCTACCCTAATGAAATAGAGCCTGTGGCCAGTAACAAGTTAGAGGCTGGGACTTCCATCCCACATATGGGTTTATGGACATGAACCATCAGCTTTCTGTCTCAGGCAACACAATGCTTCCTTTCTGGTAGCCCGATAATGAGAAAGTGAGCTGCTGGTCCTAAGCTGGATCTGATGAGATAGTCACTGAGGAAATCTATGACCTCTACTGAAAAAAAACTAGGTTCCACGGTGCATGTGCTATTGTTTCTATACAGGGAGAAAAGTGTTATCTACAAATACAAAAGATAGTCTGCATCTATTCCTTAACATGAAACTTCCTATGAATATAATGTGAAGGCTTTAAACCACAAGGCTTAGAAAACGACCAAATTGTGAAAACCTAAGATTCTCATTATAATCGTAACTTGACTATATTACACATTTTTCATATAACAAAACAGCCCTGGAAAGTTTATCCAGATATTGAGAGAGATTATACATGTACAATTTGGATGAGTTAACATTACAATGAAAGCCTTTGCTTTTGCATTTCCTGGCTTTTGTGTGCCATTATTATTATTATTTACGACTCGAATGTTGACAGCCAATTCAGCATTGCATAAGCCATAGAGTAAACAGGTTTCTGCCTTGGGGCTTTCTGAATGAATTAGACAGGCAAAATATTTCATATTAAATATCTTACTTCTGAGGATAGCTCACTCTCAGAGGTGCAAGTTGCTTTGTCTTTAAGACACTTGTCCTTTTCTTTATCCTTTTTAATCTTTTGCCTTGATTTGTACACTTCTTCATTTGGAAAATATCATTGAAAAAATGAAGGGAGATGTCAATTTTCCTAAGAAATAGTTGGTCTGAAAGTCCCAGTGCTGCAAAATTGAAAGTACGGGGGTGAAGAAGTGGAGAAAAGCCCAGGACTCTGAGAATTAAAGTAGGATTCTTTTGCCTCTGTGCTTTGGCATGCACTGGTTTTTCTGCCCACAATGTCCCTTCCTTCCTGAGTGGCTCAAAAGTCTCTTCCACTAAGAAACCTTTCTTGACCTTTCTTAGGACCACATCTATTGAAATTGTCTCTCATCTGACTATGTACTCCCTGAGGACAAGGAACATGCCATATTCTGCTGTGTAAAAACAGCATCTAGCACTGACTGCCCAGCAACCACATGTTGTAGATGAATAAATAAAAAAGCAAGAAAAGACTGAGTCTCAGGTAGATGTATCCATGCCATCTTTTAGAATAATGTGACTGGTGAAATTTCCACTTTTCTATTCACAGTCTTAATCATTATTATGAACACTTTTTTACTCCTTAAATAATATTACATATACCAGCAGAATTCCTAATGTATCATGGTCAAAACTATATTTGTTGTTTGCTGTTTGATTAACTTTCCTTTCTGGGGAACCTATTAGATCTATTGGTTTATAGTTATTCTATTTACTTTAGAAAGTAGTAGATATCTGTATGTCTCTTCTTCATTCACTAATCCTGTCATTCCCTAAAACTCTTACCATATAGACATTGAATCCCTTGCTCTGTCCTCCAGATCTTTTATTTATTTATTAATTTATTTATTTTTAACAGTTATTTTAGGTTCAGGGTTTGTTATACAGGTAAATTGCAGGTTACAGGGCTCTGGTGTACAGGTTATTTCATCTCCCAGGTAATAACCATAGTACCCAATAGGTAGTTTTTCAATCTTCATCCTCCTCCCATCCCCCACCCTCAAGTAGGCCCTCATGCCTATTGTTCTCTTCTTTGTGTCCATATGTTCTCAATGTTTATCTCCCACTTATAAGTGAGAATATGTGGTATTTGGTTTTCCATTTCTATGTTAGTTTGCTTAGGATAATAGCCTCCAGCTCCATCCATGTTGCTGCAAACGACGTGATCTCATGCTTTTTTATAGCTGTGTAGTATTCTTTGATGTGTATGTACCACATTTTCTTTATCCATTCTACCACTGATGGGCATTTACGTTGATTCCATGTCTTGTCTATCATTAACAGTGCTGTGATGAAACACATGTGCAAGTGTCTTTATGGAAGAATGATTCATATTCCTTTGGGTATATACTCAACAATGGGATTGCTGAGTCAAATGGTAGTTCTAAGTTCTTTGAGAAATCGCCAAACTGCTTTCCACAGTGGCTGAACTAATTTACATTCCACTCGCTATGTATAAGCATTCCCTTTTCCCCGTAACCTCGTCAGCAGTATTTTTTATCTTTTTCTCACAGTTTTCCTGCTTTGTCTTTCTTTCCCATGTTCTAGGAGACTTTTTTCAGGTTCACTAGTTGCTTTTTAAAATACCTATGTTCACTGCCTTTTTACTTCACATTTCTTTAGTAAAGCAAATACTTGAAGAATCTGAAAAAGCAGTAAATGATACAAAGAATCTAAATTTTTTAAGAAAACCCATGTACCTATCATTTTATTGTTTAGACGGCCATTTGATATTTCAAGAAAATATTTAAAGTTTCTCAGGCCTTTAGATAGCACTTCTTTTTATATTGTATTGGGTATTAGAATACAATTACATTTACTAAGTATTGGTTATCTCCCTTGGGTATTATGTTGCACTCTTCTAGAGATTGTGGGGATACAAAAATGATGGCATTTTTTATGCTCTGAAATAGCTGTCACTCTTTCATCTTTACATCTTATGCTAAAATGTAAGATAATGCTTATAATTTGAGAAGCCTGAGATATACTTCATGATATACACTTATTCATAGAAAATGTTGGATGTATGAAATGGCCCCAGTGAGGTATCTAGGTTTACGCTCTTTGGAAGATGATATTTGCTGTGGAACAGAAGCAAAGAGAAGACCCTGAAACCTGAAGTCAGAGCCCAGTGGAGTCCTGGCTTTGCCCCTTACTAGTTGGGTGACCTCATTTTATCTTCCTGTGAAACAGAGAGCATAATATTGACTGAATTGGATCATTATGAAAATTAAACAAGATGGCATACCCTTTAAAGCAATTTGTGATCTAAAAAGTGCATTCTCTAATCTTGTCTTAACAGAATTTCCTCTTCCTCTTTTAACCACTGAAATTAGCATTTATGAATTGCTCTAAATTAGAAACAGATAAAAAAGAACCCAGATATCTTTCTCTTCAGTGTCAATCCTAAAACCAAATTAAATTTCTCAGCTTAGAAATAACTCTTTACAATAAATATTCAACAAGTATATAACATAACCCAGACACATATGCCATCAACATGTAGTTTTCTGTAAAGTGCCAGCTAGCACGTACTTTAGGCTTTGTGGGCTATATGGTCTCTGTCATGACGATTCAACTTTGCTGTTATAGCATGGAAGCAGCCATAGATGATATGTAAACATATGGGCTTGGCTGTACTCCAATCAAACTTCATAGAAACAAGCGGCAGGTCAGGTTTGGCCAGTGGGACATGGTTTGCTGATTCCTCATTAGGTAATAATGAGATGAAGACAAAGTTCCTGACCTCATGGAGCTTATAGTCAGGAGAAGAATCAATAAACAAAAAATAAATAATACCCAATGATACGGCAGGTGATATCAAAGTGTCACAAAAAAAATAAAAATAAAAGCTGAATAAGAGAATCAAGAGTGATAGGGAGAAGGGAAAGCTATTTTAGGGCACTCAGGAAAAGCCTCTCTGAGGAACTATTCCTTGAGAAGAACCTGGGATAAAGTAAAGGAACAATGCCAGTCCTGCCAGGTGAAAAATATTCAGGGAAGAAATTTTACATGCAAAAGCTGCTACAAAGTATAGTGGATTGAAGAGTGGTCCTCCAAGAGATATTTTCATGGAGAACCTCAGAATATGACCTTAATGGAATAAGAATCTTTATGGATGAAATTAAATTATGAATTTGGGGACAAGGTCATCTTGAATTTATTAGTCCCTAAATCTAATGACAAGTCTCTTCTTATGAAAGAAGGGAAGGGGATACAGACACAGAGAGGAGGGGACAGGCCATGTGAAGACAGAGGCAGAGATTGGAGGTATGCAGCCAAAAGCCAAGGAACACCAAGGATTGCTGGCAAACACCAGAAGCTAGGAGAGAGGCAGGCTACGGGTTCCCACTCACTGCCTCTAGAAGGCATCAACACTGCTGACCCCTTGAGTGCAGATTTCTAGTCTCCACAACTGTTGGAGAATAAATTCCTGTTATTTTGAGCCACTCAGTTTGTGGTAATTTGTGAGGGCAGCCCTAGGAAAGTAACACAGATTAAAATAAGCTTGCAATGTCCATGAGCCACAAAATCCATGAGTAGAGCCAAATGAACAGAGTCAAAATACATACTAAACATATTAATGTCCAGCATGGCAGCGCACCAGTCAGTCAGAAAGGGTACCGGTCATTAAGCCCTATCAATGCATACTGATGAAATGTCAGCCTGAGAGCTTGGAGGGAAGACTGGAGAGACAGGCTGAAGGCAGATCTTAGTGAGATTTATAGATCATGGAAAGGAGTTTGGATTTTACTTTCTATTTGAGCATAAATTGAAGCCATTGGAAGGCTTTTAACAGGGGAAGGACAAAATTTGATATATAATTTTCAAAACACCATTCTAGATGCCCCATGGAAAAACATTGGCTGTGGCAGGAGGGCAAGAGAGGATATAGGCCAGGTAGATAGCTCTTGCAGTAGTCTAGACATCGGACGATGGTGGCCTCACTCAGGGCTGCCATACACAATTCTGTGGGCTTTGCATGACACAATCCCAGAAGTGCAATTTACGGCATGAGCATGAGCATTATGGACTTGTATATTTATTACAATAACTTTTCAGCAGATGGGCATTGATATGTTTTCTTTAGAGAAAGAGTATATTATACCAATATTCTAGCAGTTGATTTTGCCTTGAGAAAGAGATGCCTTTACAAAATTTGTCCAAGGGCATTGCATGGGCTAATGAAGCTTGGGCCTTGGACTAGTGGTGGGAAGGTGTTGAGAAGTGGTCAAAGTAGATTATGGAGATGAAATTTATAGACTTTAGAAGTTGACATAGGGAATGAGATACAAAGAAGAATCAAGAAGACATTATTTTTCTGACTCAAACCACTAGGTAGTATCATTTACCAAGATGGGGCAAATGGGATCATGCCCATGTGACGTGGGAGAGGGATGGACTCAAGGGTTCATCTTTAAGATGTCTATTAAACATTCAAATAAAGAGATTGAGTAGACAGTTACATATACTAAATTAGGGGTTAATTTCTGATATGCTCAGTTTCAATGTTATTGTATCATGAAATGATACAATAAATTGATGTTACATTTCTCCCTAATAGTGTAAGGTTACTGGATCGACTGGATGTAGATCTGGTGCCCAAAGACAAAAAATAGGAGCATTTTTCAAAAAGTGCTTGGAATTGACTATGATTATCTAGTAAAATTTATAGTGGATGAACCACATCTGGGCCTCTAGCCAAGTTACTGCTGAGCCTTTTATCACTGGTTTGTGTGGCTCAGCACTGCCTCCATTGACTTTGGGGGGCAAAAAGTCTCTGTGGATGTTAATGTTAAGTAATCTTTAACAGTAGGGGTTTAATGAGTTATTTTAGTGTTTGATGGTAAGTACTTCAAATTCATAATTCCACTTCAACTGTTTTGTTATCCAACACCATCTTAATTGAAATGCAACTTTTGAAAGAATTCCCAAGACAAAATTGCTTATTATTCCTCTGTCCAAATAGCCTCCCTAGGCCCTCATTGAAAATTATTTACTAGCAGAAATAATGACTTTAATCAACTATAGGTCAAATTGGATATTAATAAAATTATTTTTATAAGGCTTGTAGAAAATGAAATATGACATATAACTATGCCTCATGCACACACTCTAAACATGTTTATATTGAAAGAAAAGTATTAGGCTACGCTTAGTGTTTTCCTCATTCCCTATAATCTCTTCACTGAAGTTTTCTCAATGAATGCTGCAGAGCACAGGAAAAGACATTTTTTCCAATGCAACCCACAGCCTTGCGACATGGTAATTCTAGGGTTTGGAAAATGAATGTCAATTTTGACAATTCATTTTCCAATGCTCCAAAGCTATCTAGAGGTTTCCAAATGTATTCGTCTATTAAATAAATCTTGGCTGCCATATAGTAAATACAAGTCTGTATGGGAAGATTAAAAGTCGTTTTGACCAGGGAGGGGGACCTCTATCAACATCTATCTCCTTGTATTTATTTCTAAATCTTCACCAGAGCTTACAGACATTGAAAGCAAGGTTAATTCTTTAGAAAGCATGATAAATGTTGACTGTCCTTTTAAAAATGTGCA
Source organism: Homo sapiens (assembly GCF_000001405.40). NCBI lineage: Eukaryota > Metazoa > Chordata > Mammalia > Primates > Hominidae > Homo > Homo sapiens. The sequence goes on along the minus strand of NC_000008.11, from coordinate 72,650,735 downwards.
CACCTATACCTTATAAATCCTAAAACTGCTCTTTTCCAAGCAGACTCTTATAGATACTAGACACACTCTCTCATCAGTGGGTGACTAAGTCAGTGACAAGAGCTTGTGATGCTGAATGCAGAGTGAGAATAGTACAGGTGGTATCAGAGAGACCTGGCGGTGACCCTTAGCTCTGATAAATGCTGTGAACACGATCTTGAGGAAGTTACTTAACTTCTCTGAATCTTAGTTTCTTCATCAGTGATATGGAGATTGTTGGAAAGATTAAATGATGAAATGTACTGAAAGTGTCTCACTCAAAGCCAGAGCTCTTCTAATGTCATTTCCTGTCTCTTTTTGTTGTAAGAGCAGGTGAGCAGGGGCAAAACTATTAGAAAAAGGTGGCAACTAAGTGGGAGATAGGAGGTGAGGTTGAGGCATCTGGCGACTGAAAGTCCCAGGCTGGAAATTCAGAAAAGTGTCTAAGGTAGTTAAGAAATCTGGAATCATTAGTTAAATGGACTTGTAAAAATAAACGCAAGCTATATATAGAAACTTCTAGGCAAGGTCTATAAAATAGCTACAGGGTGTTACTTAACTATTTTTTCCCCACAAACACATATTTCATTTAAATAATTAACTATGTAAGTGACTAGTTTACAGGCTTCTCTGTATAATTGTCTTTCCTTTTAATGGTGCTTTATTCCTTTATGATCCATAGTGACATGAAATGAGGTGGAACGCTGGATCACTCCTCCCTGTTGCTCCCTTTAGTAGGTCTTCCAAGTTCACTGCATTATTACCAGCTAATTAAGAACAGACCTGTCACTCGCAGGAGAACCATCTGTTTAGTGAGATGCAAAAGTCATCCTTTCGGTTGCAATTTAAAGGTTTCACCTGTTGGAGTCATTCCAGGTGGTTCTATTATTAATCACTTGATCATGTCATGTTTAGGACTGTTCAGAATCCCCACAAAGAGAAAAAGATCATGTTGTTTAGGGGTTCTCTGGGATTCTAAAGGGAGCTAGTCTATGACAGAGGGCTAGGATATTTCTCATAATACACTGCTCAACACTTTGGACCCCACACTTCCCATCATGGAAGTATCTATTCTCATTGATGATAGTGGAAATCACCTTTTATTTTTAAAGATTAGCTTTTATTTTATTTTAGATTCAGGGGATACACATGCAGGTTTGTAACATGAGTATATTGCATGATACTGAAGTTTGGGGTACAGTTCATCTCATCACCCAGGAAGTGAGCATAGCACCTAATAGTTTTTCAACCCTTCCTCCCTTCCTCCCTACTCTAGTAGTCTCCAGTGTCTATTGTTGCCATTTTTATATCCTTGAATACTCAGTGGGAAATCCAAAGGGCTCATGACTCATCTTCCAATCTCACCTTTGCAAATTGACTGATATTGAATCCTTTAAGTGAATGGGAGGTGTTCTAGTATCTGTCACAGAGACATTTAGACCAAGTGAAAAAACAGATTCAGTGATGTATAACTTGAAAGCAGAAACCAATATCCATAAATCCAAAGTGAAAAAGTTCTGAAAGCTATGAGTGAGAAGATGTCAAAAAAGCACAATTTATTCCATTCTGTAAAATACAGAGGAATAATAGAAAAATATTTTCTTAAGCTATTAGATATAATGAAAACATCCTATTTTAAAAGGAGACAATAAAAATGTCTTTAATAGAAAAACACAGAAGGCATGGTTTTGTATTATGCACATATCTGTAAAGATGAGAAAAGTATGCAATCCAAGAAAAAAAATAAAAAAACTTGCACAATGTAAAAGGACAATATCAAATTAATTCAGTAGCAAACATAATTCTTATAAAGTAGTGCCTATTTTATAGATATTGTCTATTAATCCTCAGGTATTACTATTTGGTCTGGTGAATAATATAGTTTTCTATCTGTTTATAAAAGCTATTTAGACAAGATGTCATTTCTGAATTATAATTTCTTTCTTTTTTTCTGATATGCATTATTCAATATAGATTTTTCCAGCTAGACTAATAAATCTTATATCCTACTTAAGTGGGGGAAATTCCAGCTTGTGAGCTAAAATAAGGCAAAAACTGAATATATTACCAAACATTCATTCATTAATATAAATTTGTTAATATTTTACTCAAAACTATTAATTTATATTCTGAAAAAAAAAAAAAGCCAGGTGTGGTGGCTAATGCCTGTAATCCCAGCACTTAGGGAGGCTGAGGCAGGAGGATGGCTTGAGCCCAGGGGTTCGCGACCAGCCTAGGCAACATAGACCCTGTATCTACTAAAAATAAAAATAAAAAATTAGCTTGGCATGGGTGGTGAATGCCTGTGGTTTCAGCTACTCAGGCGGCTGAGGTGGGAGAATCCCATGAGGCCAGTGAACCACTGATACTTTCTTCCAAACACAGTCAACCATAGACAAAGCATTTATCAAAAGTCAAAACTCACTCATGATTCTCATATCTAATGTGACACAGAAGACCTAAAGCACAGCTTAAAATCAAACTTTTTGTTGTCATCCCTGCATCTGTCACTATATTCTCTCCTATAAAGACATAACATCAAGGGTACCGAGTACTGCAGAAACTCTCGACACGAACATTCACACCTCTGCACTAGGAGAAGTCTAGTAACCTAGGGCTGCATCCTGGGATGATCCAGCCCCCTTTTGAGCTCTCGTTTGCAAAAGTTCAAGGCTGTAAAAAGAATATACAGTTCATTCTAGCCTACACCTGACCATTGGCCCCTGACCACTCTTTCTTAGGGCATTTACTAAAAAGGACTTTGAATTGTGAATCCTTCTGTCCCTCTGAGATCTACGTGTATCTATCAAACCTTCAGAGTGCCTTTCTCAAGTACCTGAAAGCCATTTTTTTGAAATGTAATCATTAGGAAGGTTAGAACCTCTGTTTCCCAGTCCTGGTGGAAGCACAGAATCCTAACTTAGATAATTGACAGCTAGGGGGCACAGCTGCCTTAATTGTATGTACACTGACCAACACTTTGTAATTTTTCTCTTCTTTTGACTCTTGAGCCCAGCCTCATTCCCACTTCCCACTCCCTCCTTCTCCCTTTCAAAGACCCAGTCACCTCTGTGCAAATCAGAATGGAACTCCTTTCTGCCCCCCACTGTCAGTGGTTACTGAATAAAATCTGTTTTCACCACTTTAATGAATGTACAGCTGTGTTTATCTTTGATAGTACTGAGCTCTCATTTTTTCATGGAAATATAATTATTATATTTATAACTCTGAGTAGGTGTCCAAAGAATTTCAATTAATGTATGTGCAAATTGAATTGATTTTAAAATTTATATTAATTTCCGTGGCACCGAAAAAGTTCTAGCAAACTTCACAGATGCTATTTTTTTTTAAATAAAAGAGGAAAAACAATGCTAAAAATTACCCAAACAATTAAGTATCTAAATAGCAGGAATTCATCAGGATATGAAAATGTGGCTATTCAAAGGCCATCTATTTCCTTCAGTTCTTTAGTTTCCTTAGTAGAGAGTGCCAGAGCTGGGATGAGGAGTCAGCATTTGTAACAGAGTTTGCTTTGCCATGATAGGTTTTTAGAACTCCACAACTATTTTAGGACATGGAAGATTCTCTTCAGCCTGCCAACCCCTCACGCACGCTGCCAACCTCGCTGCTGCAGAGAAGGATGCTCACGTGTTCATCAAGACGCAGAGCAAGAGAGACTCGGGAAACCCTCCGTTCCATTTTTAGCTCTTCCATTTATTTACTGAGTGATCTTGAGGTTACTTAACCTCTTTTTATTTTGGAACTTTGGCCAAGAAAATAGAATCACTGTAACTTTCCTTAGAGGATTTCAGCACAAAAAAAATGCTTTCTCATAAACACGTATTCTCATTTTTGCATCTCTGTACAAGTCAGTGGCATCAAGCACATTCACACTGTTGTGTGACCATCACTACTAACTCCAGAACTTTTACTAGAATGAATTTCTCAAACACCTCATACTCACTAAGCACTAACTCCCTATGTCCACTGCCCCTAGCCCTTGATACCCGCCATTCTATGTTCTGCCTCTATGAATTTGCCTTCTCAAGACACCTCGTATAAGTGGAATGAAATCACACAATATTTGCCCTTTTGTGTCTGACCTATTTCACGCAACACAATGTCCTCGAGGTTCATCCATGTTGTAGCATATGTCAGCACTTCCTTCCTTTTTAAGGCTAAATACAGAATTACTTTTTGATCAATTTTTTGGGAAGTATAACCCTTGTCTGAATATTATGTTTCCAACTTTCATCATGCAACCAAAGACATGTTGGAAGATTTATGAGCCAATCCTTCAGTTCTTTGAAAGAGTTTAGTTTTGAGGGACAATCACTATATTCACCCACAAGATATAAGAACTTTAGAAAAAAATATGTCTCTTAACTAGACTTCTCATAATATACGGATTATAAAATGTTAAGCACTAAATATCAGTAAGTAAAAATGCAAATACACAAAGCAAAATATAATTCAAACAGCATTAATAAATAAAATGTATATATTTGAAGATATTATATATTTAAGTATATATAGTATTTCTGATATACCTGTATCAGCATATATGTATATATGTATCTTGACATTTATTAAACTTGAATATACATAGAACAATAGTAAAAACACAGTTGATTCACACTCCCAAAACACTCCCCAACTCAACATGGTGAATCTTTCATCCATGTTTTAAAATGAAGGTGAAATATTCTTGTGACAACACTAATGAAAAACTGAAGAGAAAAAGATCATCAATTGACATTTCAGTGGCAGGTGGCCTAACATACCATTCTGTAACCTGTAATATATTGTACAGAATATGTGTTAAATATCAATGACCACAGTTGTGAAGACTCACCAATACCATCTGTCATTTACTAATGAAGAAATTTAGATACTGAAGGATCACTATCTAAAATTGGTAAAGGTAGGAGAATCACTGATGTTTCCATTTGAAGTTTCATCCTAAAGTAGGTGTGGTTTAATTCATGAGTACTTAAAGACTGGAAAAAAGCATCAGAACATAATTCAGTTTAGTTGTGAGGTCACCAGGCACTTTAGCTGATAGCATTTAGAGCAGTCCTGTGCCCCTCTGAAGCTCCAGAAGAACACAGCCACCCATAAGTTACTTTGAAATAGGAGCCCGGTAGCTCTGACAACACTAAGAGCTAAGCCAAGTGAATAAAAGTGAACTATATATAATACTGTCTCTGGGTCTGCCTTTAGCAGTACAGGAAGACAGCAGCTTTGTTACTATGCCTAGCTAAGGCAGGATTGGGGCTGTGATATATTAAAAAAAATGATGCACTTGCGAGCATAAAATGCACTACTGCCATCTCATAACTGCTCATGTGAAGAGTACAGGAGCAGCTGATGCCAAGGGATTCCAACCACAGAATATATGGTCTGTAAGGAGCCTGTAAAATGACAAGCGGTACAGACCTAGTATATATACTTAGGCCATAAAATGCCATCTCCTGGGGATGAATGTCTGCCTCCATGGTACAGGGTTCTTAGGTTGGAGATAGGATCTAGGATTTTGCATCATTCCATATTGGAGATGGTCATCACTGGTGTGACACTGGTTAGGGCTCTTCCAAGTGCTCATTGGCAATGGACTGCATCATGGAGCTGTGGCTCAATTATATTCCATAAAGATCACAAATATAATGTTTCTAATTTCTAAAAAGATGATTGTATAGGAAACTCTGGCACTGTTTGCTTTTCTCTACTACAATCTGGGGCATTCTTTTCTCCATCCTTCAGCATAGACTCCTGGAATACTGGAAAGCCAACATGCCTATCACCAGACTTGGAGTCAACCGACCTAGACTTGAGTCCTCACTTTCATTTCGTTTGGTCAAGTCATTCAGTTTCTCTAAATATCAGTTTCGTTATTTGTAAAGCAAGAGAAACAAGCTCACAGGCTTCGGCAAGGACTAAATGAGATAAAGTACATGAGCAGTTCAGTAACTACCTGGCACAGGGAAAGTTGTACTCAACAAATCAAAATTAAATTGTAAGATAATACAATTGACATCCAAGAAAACACTTGACACATATTAAATTGACAATTAAAGTGATGGCTATCTACTTTATAACCAGACTTCTTCAAATAAGATGCTAGTCTGAGGCTATGTTTATGTTCCACAGACAAACACGTAGGCTTTCCAATAAGGCAGCTCCAATTTTGCAAGGCTTTTCTAAAGCTACAGGAGGAATGGTGGCGATACTTGGGGGCTCCAGTATGTGGTGCCACCATATTACATTGCAAGTTGAATGAATTTTCATCCCTTATTTCTTTCCCTTTTATTGTAAAGACCCAGCCTGCATTGTCAGGACTGGATAAGTAGCATAGGATAGAAATCCAGTAAATAACCAGCTAATATCACTCAGCAGCACAATTCAGGGCAAAGCAAAACAAAAATGCTACTTTATTTCCAGTTAGCATTCATCTAAAGAGAAGGGGGGGGTGAACTTTTTAAAATCAGGGTTTAATGTGGTTGGCATAGTTATAGTGCACATGGGTAATTAAGTTTTTGGTGTGAATTATTGTTTTCAGAGTATGAAAACAATTGGTTCATATACAGCACAAAACTCTCTTTCAAAGAACATGGCATTTTATGTACAGATTTAGGTTGTTGACCATAATGTTATCATTACTTATTCACTGAATATTCAATTCAATTAATGAAGGGGCATTCTTTTCCCAGATGTTGCAAAGCACTATAACCTACTGACAAACAAAAGTTATTTCCTTTGATTTGCCTCATTTAAACCAATTTCAAACTGCTGGGAACATTCTAGAAAAGTTTAAACTCCCTTTCTGTACATTTTTTGAAGGGTTCATATTTTCCTTGAGTACGGGGTGGTGTTTTCCTTACAACTTTTCTCTACAAGCCTTTGCTCAGAGCAAAGAGAAATGGGTCCATCTGATATGTTTTCCTTTGTTCATGTATAAGTCCAGTAGTCTTCAAAGATCAGATCTGGATGGGAAGTGTTCAAGTGTCTCCATACTTTCCATTATGAATTCATGAATTAAAGATAATTTTCAGAAGGAAAAACCTAGCAATGATAAAAAGTGATACAAGCTCAGAAGGAAATGATGAGTAGGCCACAAATATGAGCACTGCATTCTCATCAAAAGGCAAGCCAACACACCTCAACAGAGTGACTGGGCCACACTCCACACCATGGAGTGCTCTTAATGGTATATGCAGATTTCAGGCCACTCCATGAGTCAGACATACAAAATGGGCAGAAAGAAACTTTAAGGTAAACACTATGTGGTTTCAGTCTAGATTAGGAGTTGATGCAGAGTCTGGGGTGTGCCATACCATCACAGATGTCCTGGGATGATATTTGTTAGTTTCACACCTTAAATTACTTACCAGGGAGTTCTAGCCCATCCCATACCTCCTCAGTGACACATGCTGATGTCTAGCACAGGGCCTGGCACATACGAGAAGTTCGATAATGGCCACTTCCTTCTTTCCACCCTTCTTTCCATCCTTCCTTTCTCTATTTCCAAAAATGAAGGTGCAAGATGTTGTGTGGTTTTGGCTTTGTGTGGAAAGGGTGTGTGGAAGGCACCCACTGTGCAGACCTGGAACACCATGAGAGCATACTCTTGACTGGAAGGCAGAACAGCCACTTCAAATTTGGCATATATGAGAAGAAAAATAAAGCTCTGGTAGACTAGTTTAAATTTCGTTTCCTTTACTTGGCAGGCTCAAAAGCTATCTATCTGAAAGTTAAAATAGCTATTTCTTGACAAGGCTAAAAGCTTTAAAATGTGCCTTTTTAATTCTTGTTTCAAGTCCTCTATACTCTGGCTTATTTCACATCTGATATTATTTCAACAAAGTGCTACAAAATATGTCTCAACTATATTGGCCAAAAGATTACACAAACCAAAGCAAGAAATTTTGCTCCGAACAAAGAAGCTCTGAAGATTGCAGAAGCAGCAGCGAGCAGTTTTACCCTCATTTTACTATTTTGATACCCAGTTTTGCAGAAGACAAACAAAACTTGCTGTTAAGTTCTCTAAACTGGTTAGGAAAATTCTTCTGTTGTGTAGGTGGGCTTTCGGTGGGTGACAGTCATTGTTGCAACTATCCTGCCTCCAACCTCCACCACTGAGTGCAAATGATACAGGTGAGCTCAAACCCCACAGGTTATGAACCCAGTCATGTAAGGTACTGTGTCCCTTTCCTAGACTGTAAGCTGTGTGAGTCCACAAACCGTGCTCACTGCCTGTGCCTCTGTGTTCTTTATAATGATGGATGAGTTGCACCATCTGAAACAGTGCTGCCTACTAGAAATTCAATAGAAGCCACATATGCCATTTTAAATTTTCTAACAGTCATCTTTTTAAAAAGTAAAAACAAATAAGTAAAATAAAGTGTAATAACATATTTCATTTAATACAATGTGTCCAAAACATTATCAGTTTGACATACAATCCATATAAAATTATTAATGAGATATTTTATATTTTCTCCTTTTACATTAAGTTTCTAAAATCAGCTGTGTATTCTATGCTGGCAGCATAGCTCAATGCAGACTGGCCACATTTTGAGTGCTGAGTAGCCACACGTAGCTAGAGGCCACCTGCCATACTGAACAACGTCGATCAGTCTTCTTCTCCACTTAACTAAATCCTACTTAATGAAACTTCAAGGTTCAGCTTCAAATCCTGAGCTGAGCTTAGCAGAGTCCTATGTTCAGAGGACATGTTTAATAAGTAGTTGACAATTCACTGAATAAGTGTTTCTGGCTTATGAAGGCACACATATGTAGCTGTTATAGCTTCCTATGAAATTCCTGGTACTGCAGTTAGTACTTAACAACCATCTAGCTCCTCACTTATCCTAGGCACTTACATATGTTCTTTTATATACAGTATGTTATTGATCCTCACGACTAGCCTATGAGGTAGGTAATATGACTGTATTCATTTTACAGATGAAGAAACTGAGTCTTAGTTAAGTAGCCTGCCCAAGGTCATGCTGCTAGGAAGAAGCATTGTCAAGATTCAAATCTAGACAGTCTGTCCCCAGATTCTAGTGTTTGGTCATCATGCACTCATGGCATTCACTTAAGGAGATCCAAAGTTATCTAGTTTCATTGGTTTATCTAGTTTCAGATGGCTTAAGGAGATCCAAAGTTATCTAGTTTCATTAATTTAATGTGACATAGAAACAAAGGCTAAAAGGACTGGAAGCCTTAGTAATGGGAGTAACTAAGCAAGGAAAGAAGGTAAAGGTCAGAACATCTAGAAGGCCCATTTCTTTTGCCTAACATAGAAACACACAGTACATATCTCTCCCTTGAATAGACAGTAAATAACTAATTATATGAATGTGATTTAACTCACCTGGATAGTGACAGAAAAAATAAGTATATTGTGAGGTGCTTTGTAAAATGGAACTTTAGGGATGAGAAAATATGAATGCATCTACAAGTAGAGAACAAGTGTATTATCAACAGTGGAACCATTAACACCAAAATAATCATTCCCAAATTAAAGCATATATATGGTACTTTGATTTTCCATCCAGTAAAATTTTAGTGGATTGTAAAGAGGGAACCTGGGGTGGTTTCATCAATGCCATAATTATACAAGGTGGCAACGGCTTGATCTGCACTTTTGCTTCCATTTTCAAAATTCTCATTGTCCCTTTACTCAACTTCTCTGCCCCCTACACACATACCTCCTGTCCCAATACCTATAAAGATGTGCATAGTATGAATACTTACCATGTAAGTTACAAGATTATGGCTGGAGAGGGCACTGAAGACCAACTTCTTTTACTTTTATACCATTTTCGTAAGACTGGTTCTGCAACACTTCTACTATAAAATTGAATTAATTGATTAGCTGATAATAGCATAATTTAAAAGATCTTAGGTCTAAAGATAAAGTTTTTCATCAAAATCATGAAGAGTCTATTGGCTATGTTAAAACCAACCACGATGTAACATCAATAGTTTATAAACTATAATTAAACTCCTTTTTCCTAATATTTTTTTTATCATGAGTCACTTTGCAGACTTTCTTATAGTCTCCTATTTAGGATCTGATTTTGTAAAGCTTAAAAATATAAATTTTAATGAAGTTTCTAAAAAAATCAATATTCCTCAGCGTAAGTGTTTCCAGCAGCACTGGACTGAGTGCTACTACAGATATCCACTGAAAGCAGCATTTTCTTAAAAATGGCTAAGTCATAACTTTCTAGAGGATTTCAGTCTGAGAAGACAGGATTTGGGTTGCTTCACTTCCACAATATGCCTTGACATCAGATCACTGATGACCATAATAAAGAAAAAAAAATACCAGCAAAACAGAGGATTGGTCCATAGGTATAATTCAGCTGTTCACTTACTCATTCCTCCTTGATTCATTTTACAAGCACATATTTAGCTCCTGCTGTGTGTCTGGCACAGGCACCTTTCCATTATTAGAGAAGCTGCTGTCTTATGGGAAGACCAATATAAAAATAATAGGCTCACTTCAGCAAGCATAAACTAGAATCACAGTAATAGTCACTGTCCACTAAACAAAGCACACACCACTTTGTTCCTTCATTTCTTGCCTAACAAGGCCAAAAAGCCTCTTTATCACAAATCAGGGCCACCCCATACCATCTTGGGCTATAATGCTAGACTCATGCAATGATGCATTTGACCAACGACTCCTGAAAAGACAGTAAAAAAAAAAAACCATGACATACTGACACGCACCCAGTCCCCCCTTCTCTGCTATCAGCTCTCCTTTTCTTGACATTGTGCCATCTGTTTAACCTTTTTGGGTTTCCATTCCTTATTTCTATTTTTAGTTTTATCGTCTGCTACAGGAAAATTCCAGGTGAGTAGCTCTCAACCCTGGCTATCCATTAGATTAGCTTGGGGAACTTAAAAAATAGACCGATGTCATGCCCTCTCCCTTGAAATCGTGTTTCACTGGTCTCCGGCGGGCCTGGCACCTACATTTTTCAAAGCTTCCTTGGTGATTTTAGAAAATAACCAGAATGGGTTCCAAATGACTGCTCTACTCAGTGATCATGAAGCCTAAGAAGCCAAACTCGGATGAAGTTACAGATTCCCTCGTACCCCTGCACCTCCCTCCTTAGGAAAGAGCATGCTCCTATCCGGGAGAGTAATTCAGCAGAGTATCTGGGTGAGAGGCAGAAAAGAAACCAGATTAAGGAGGCCCTGTTGGGCAAATAATACACAAGGCAAACCTCACAGCCAGAGGTAGAAAAGTCTAAAACCAAGGGAAGAAAATGTGAAATATTAAGACGTATGAAAATAAATGACTTCATGAGAGCTGAAAACGTGTTTGCCTGCCTGAAGGTTGAGGAGTAGGTAATCAGTAATATAACTTGTGGATGTCTAATCAATAGGCGTCCTGCTGGTTATATTTCTGTGCTTTTGCTGTGGGTGGTAGAACATGCTGGGTCAGATCCAGGAGTTATGCAGCCCAGGGTTTTTCTCAGATGCAACAAAGATCAAGCTGGGGAAGATGTGTTCATCAGTTTCCAAGGTCAGGGACCTACTCCCAATAGTTCTAGCTTCCTTTATTATCAAAATGGATTTTTGTAACCATAGAAGTATCTGAAATTGTAAAGACCAATTCATATTATCAGCCCATGCCATCACTGGAGGTAGAAGGAGGGAGCTTTATAGGTGATGATTTAAGCACACCGCATGTGCCTGGAAGCCAATAATGAAAATTCAAGGAAGTCACAGTGATCTGCATAAGTTGAGTGATAGATTTAATACTGTCTGAAATGCTTGGAAGCACTTCCTTCAGGCATCTATCCTGTAAAGGTGAGAAGGGTGTTTATTTAGAGTTTTTCCATTTGAGGATGGAAAACAATGCAATGTAGTGGGAAAGGTTCCAGGCTTTTCCAGAATAACTACATGCTTAGCAGGTCACCTAACCTCCCCAATATAGTTTCTTCAACCATAAAATTGAGAAAATGGCATTAAATGGCTTCTGAGTTTTTTCCAGCTACAAAAGAGTAGGACTTGATTGAGACTGGATTTCATAGTGGTTTGGGGACACTGCCGGCTTGTGTGATTTTTGTTTCAGAGGCAGAAATTAGATGGTAGTTCCAACTTTATGGCCAGCTTAAAAATATGTTTGTCTTATACAAGAAAACTATACAAGTAGAAATGCTAATTAGAAGAAGAACCCAGCTTCTACAAAAGGGGCTTTACCTTCAACTGTGAAGAACAGATCATCATGTAGTTATTTTTAGAGAGAGGTCAAAGAATCAGCAACACTTAGGAAGCCCGGTGGTCAGTGTGCTAGGTGGAAATAGCCCCTGGGATTAGAGAGTGAAAAGGCTTCACTTCATGGTAGTTTCCCAATCTTTTGTGAATTTCCATAGAGGAACAGGGGAAAACTTTAGAGTGCTCACTCTAGTTGCACTGTAATGTGAAAGATAAAAATAAACAGAAAAAGAAGAAAGGACAGAAGAATAGGTCCTGACCCATTTCAAAGGTCATAGGATCTTAAATGATCCCTTACAGAGTTCTGAATGGCGGATACTGGACTCTACGATGGTGGGGGAAAGGGATAATTCTAACAGTGAATGAATAAAATTGCTAAGTGCCAATTGCTTTCCATTCATTTTATCACTCAATATTTACAATAATAGGAGATTGGCATTATTATTATCCCATTTTGCAGATAAGAACACAAAGGCTAAGCTGGCCACAGTCTCAGAGTTGGTGAGAGGAGGAGGAAGGAAACACTGACATATGGCCCATGAGTCTTTGCCCTTTTAACTTACTTCTTATTTCACAGCTCATTCATTTCTATTTTTCTCCCTCTCAACTACCTTCCTGTCTGGTCTTCCAGTAGGCTTCTCAGCACCTACTCTGTGTCACATATTCTCCTGTGAGGTTGTGCAATCCCTTGATGGCACGTCTTTAGTGAGCTGTAGTTGAACAGTCTTTTAGTCAAGTGCATAGCCACGCAAGTAGTCTGTTAAATGTGATTTGCATGGAAGGGATATGAGAGAAGAGGGACTCGCAGGGTTCTGCCAAGGATTCCAAGAATTAGCTTTTAAAGAAGTGAGAGAGAGAGAGAGGCTATAACAGTGACGGTGGGGCGTATCTTCGCTGCATGAGCATCACTGGCAGTGCTGTTTACATTTCCTCATTCTATATCCTCTCTGCTCCCTCCCGTCTCCCAGCCCACACACAGGCTTCCTGATTCATTAGTAGAGATCATCTGATAGAAAAGGATGAAATTACACTGGATAGATTGATAGCTCCAATTTCCCTACAAAAAAAAGATCTATTCAGAGACAGGAAGGAAAACACTGTTTATAAAAGCAATGAACTAAATTGTGAAATCTCCTAGTGCAACTTGCTAAGCAAAAACAGACGAATTTTCCTGACCAGGCCACTGTAAAATACAGGTTTTTTAAGAGTAGAACTGTTCTTTGTGGTCTGGTTTAATCTAGTAACACTACTAAATTCTGGCCACACAGTGCAGTAAACCATCGCATCCTCATATAGTTTGGTTATTGTTAGCAGAAACTGAGTCAGAGGCGTAAGACTGTGATGTGGCAGGGGGGCTTTAGCCTCCAAAACCTATGAAGCATGCCAAACCACTTAGCAAGCATAGTATTGTAATACAAACTATATGCTTGCTTGGCAAATTTACACTCAAGGCAAGAGCATCAACCACCACTCTTACCTTTCGACTCAATAGTGTCCAGAAGCCTCTTCTATAACAAAACTGTGGGGCTGCCTCTGATTTGGGGAGAAGATATTTCAAGACTGGAAAACAATGATCAGTCTTATGGCATGTTGGTGGCAGAAATGGGCCAATATCGGACTTTTATGGCTGTTTGTTTTTCTTCTCATTTGACTACTTTGCTTCTGACTTTGAACTAAAACTAAGATCTGATCTATAATTTGAACTGTCATGACAAAAATTGCTCTAAGAGACCATAAGATTTGACTTGATGTAGAGAAAACACCATAGTTCTAAAGAGCACTTTATCAGGAGTCAAAGAAAACTAGGCTACAGCATTGCCTCTGCTTCTTTGTGGCTGTATGACCTTGGGTAAGTTACTTAACCTCTCTGAGCCACGTATTTCCAACATGCAGTATAACAGGGATCATAATACTATCTACCATAATATTGCCAGAGTGTACTGAGGACTGATGAGATAAAGTAAAAAGCACTCAATAAATGTCACTGTCAGGATTATAACCTAATCTAATCAAAATGAAAGGATTAGAGCTAAATAGAGGAAAATTGTATCCTTTCCATAATTCATAATGGACACTTGTCTGCAAATAGATTTCTAATTTACATAAAAATCTAGTTTGCTTGCTATCAGTTAATTTAATACCTTTTAGGATAACATATTTGCTATAATAAGTAGGACTTCAACCATCTGTCCCTGAGCGACGATTTATTGCTGGACTCTTTCACATAAACTGTTATTTCAGCTTAACTAAAACCATGGGAGATAGGTATTACAGTCCATGTTTTACAAAGAATTTCAGAGACACTGGGATAGACCTAAATCTATGAAAAAGTCAGAATTTGAACCCATGTCTTCTGATTTCCCTGCTGTTACCTCGGGTTCTCTGAGCATCCGAATAAGAGCTAACCTTCCCGGCACATTTATAAATGCCATGCACCGTTCTAATCGTTTCAGATCTGTAAACTTATTTAATCTCATGAAAACCCTATAAAGTACAGTACTACTCTTCCCAATGTGTCGATGAGGAAACTGAGGCACAAAGGAATTAAAATTTGCTCAGTAACACAACGAGTAGGTAGTAGGGCAGGTATCAGAAATCAGACCGATTCTCTCTAAAGCCTGCACTGTTGGCCACCAAGCCGCAGAGCAGACACAGATGATAAGACACTTTCTGTCAGGCTGAAGGCAGCCAGGAGTTCTTACACTTTGAATTCTTTGTTGACAGAGATGCTTTACCTTCTCTTCTTTATATGCCACACACCAAACAAAGTTTCTACATCCTTCTTCCTAATTAAACACTGCAGTGCATTTACCAGCATTTGCAGAGGACCTCCATCCTATGAAAACAGAAAGTGGCTGTCCCTGACAATACTAGAGGTGAGAATATAAAACTGAAGCCTAGGAACATTTCCCACTAAACCACAGTGCAATCTCAGCAGCAGAGACGGGGCACTCTTCATTCGACACTGGGCTTCATATTCCCCAGCAGAATCACATGGAGTTCCTTTGGGGCCTTTCCTGTCAACCAGGCAAACTCAGCTGACTGACAGGACGACAAATCCCTGAGAAGATAATTCCTCCATTTTCATGATAACCAAGCCTAATCTTGGTGATTCAGAATCTCCTATAAATTGAATTACATTGCTTTAGTAGCACTCTTAAATCCTTTGATCTTGGAAGGTGAAAGACATGATGTCAGCCTCTTGGGTGTTGCCTCTGTCTACCTTCAGGATTTGCAGCCGACTGCAAAAAGGGGAAGAGGAAGCTTGTTTGGATCCAGCCTTGCCAGCAGACACAGAATCAGGACCACTGGCAGGCAGTTCCCTCCCCAGGAATGCCCAGCCTTCACGCCAAGCTTCAAGCATCACAGAGCATTACTGAGGAATTAGCTCTTCCCTGAAATCTGAAAGTGGAGCCTGCACTACACATTCAGACCACACCTGCTGGCAGTTACACAAATGCTAAAATTTCACATTCATACTTCCTGGACCAGCTCCCAATATGATAAAAGCTAGCATGTCTCCAGGCTTTCCAAAGAATTCTAGGGGGCTTAAATGAGATGCAGAGGAGGGAATGAAGGAAGGGAATATTTTAGTTCAGGCCCTAAATGTCTCCCCATCAACACAAATCATTAAACCACATTGTCTCACTCTCCAACTATACTTAAGATATTTTAAAGAAATTATCTTCTTATGCTAATCTTGTCATCAAGAACCTATTTGAATCAAAATTTTCACTTTAAATTACATTATTCTCTTTAATTAGGTTTGAGTTGATTAGAACTAATGGCATTCTTCATGGTTGTTCTTCCTGTGCTGAGGAAATGCAGCTTCCTTAAAGTTATACTTAAATCCTAATACCAAGCAAGGAAAGGAAAGCTGAGCTCTTTGACTTTGCCAGTAATATGAATACATTTAACGTAGATACAATAGTTGGTGTGAAAAAAATAACCCTTTGGGAAGAAATTGATTCATTTTGTTGGTAGTCTAAATTCTCTAAATTCTTACCACTCAAAGTGTGGCCCACAGACTCACAGAGGTTGCGTCATCTGGGAAGTGGTTAGAAATATGAAATTTCAGGCCTCATCTCAGACTCGATAATTAGAATGTGAATGTTAAGATCTTAGGCGATTCATGAGCATGTTAGTGTTTAAGAAATCCTAGTCTGCACTCTGAGGGTCTCTGTGCCAGGATCATGGCCAGTGAACAAAAAGATTATTCCCCATTCCTACTTCCCCTTCCACTTTGCTGGAATTTCCCTTTAGTTATTAGCTATCTAGCATTTACAAAATGCAACTATATTTCAGCCTGAACTTCCAAAATACTTCAAGTTTTCTTACATTTGGATCAAATGTAAGGAATTCTTCCAAACGTGGACATCAACCAGATTTAGATGGGTAACCAGAAACATTACAGTGCACAGCAAGGTGACAATTTACCTATAATTTGAGTAGTCATGAAAATGGATGTATTCTAAACTTCAGAGTGGCAAGGTGTTCCAGTCTGACTCCTTGGCTCTTGCCTTTCGGAGAAAGAAGATGGGCAACCAAGATGCACACAGACCTTTTTTTTTATGGCTGCAGCATCAGGCTAAGCAGGCTGTTCACTGCCCAACTCTAGCAGGGTACGTTTATATCACAGTTGATGTATGCAGTGGTTTTCTAACACAGCTGTATGAAATAACTAAGTATAAATGCTTTCAGCTGTGGTGGCTGGGGTCATTTAATTGTGTTGCATGGGAATAACATGGTGATACATCCATGAAAAACTAACTTGAAATGCCAACTCTGCAATAGAAAGAGACTACCAAAGGCTAGTCTTTCTGGGGGCTCCCAAAATGGAAAAGCAAGTGCAGTCCCTAGGGCCAAGTGCTGATCCCTCAGAGTCTTCTAAGAGAAAACAGAGATGCAGACTCTCAGGTTAGGAACACAGAACCCAGAGAAGGCGTGCCAGGCAGAATGGCCCCTGAAAGACACTCATGCCCTAATTCCCGGAATCTGAATATGTGAAGTTACATGGCGAATGGCACTTTGGAGGTGTAGTTAAGGTTATGCACCTTAAAATAGGGAGATTATCCTGGATTACCCAAAAGAAACCAATCTAATCACATGAGCCCTTAAAAGGAGAGATTGTTCTCCAGCTAGAGGCAGAAGTCATGAGAAGATCTGAAGCATGACAAGGGTTTGACATGCCCTTGGTGGCTTGAAAATGGAGGGGGAAATGGGAGCAGGAGTCATGTAGCTTTAAGATAGGCTCCCACCCACTGCCAGCCAGGAAGCAGGGACCACCGCCCTCCTTCAGATTGTTGGCAGAAACCAGCTCCTCTTTCCGCCAATAACCTGAAAGAGCGTGAAAGCAGGATCTTTGCAGAGCTTCCAGAAAAAAATGTGGCCCTGCTGCCATCTTGACTTCAGTTTGTGAGACCTGGAACAGAGGAGCCAGTCAAGCCCACTGGACTTCTAGCCTGGAAAATTCTGAGACAGAAAACTTGTGGTGTTTCAAGCTGCTAAATTTGTGGTAATTTGCTTTGGCAGCAATAGAAAACTAATAGAGACAGGATTAAATACAATCCCAGTGGATTCAATGGAACTAAATTATTTCAAGATGCAAGTTACACATGGAAGTTATGTTTAACAAATAGACATAAAATGCTGCCATATTGGGCGGGGGTTGGAGGTGGCAATGACCACACACACACCTTTGATGCCAGCAGTTAATTTTGTCGATGGAATATTAAGCATGCCCATTAACAGCATTGGTTCTGACTTCTAATTAAATGCTTACTAATTAGCTGCGTGATTCTTCTGATAGTAACAAAATAGGCAGAATCATGATGATGCTATAATTTATGAATGAAGACACCCCCCTCACAGCACAAAGGTCAGCAGCATGATGCCTGTCTGCTTCAGTGACTAGGCTGTGTCATTCGGGAGCAGCAGCAATTAGTTGTGAGGGAGGTATAGTTAACAAAATTAGCATCCTACCTGTAAATGGCCAGAGAGTAAATAGTTCAGGTTTTTCAGACTAACAGTCTCCTTTGCAACTCTGCAACTCTGCAACTCTGCCTGTGTAGTGTGAAAGCAGCCATAGAAAATATGCAAATGAGTGAGTGTGGCTGTGTGCCAATACAAATTTATTTATTGACAACACTGAGATTTGGATTTTATATAATTTTCACTTCATGAAATAATATTCGTCTTTTGATTTTTTTCCATTGCCCCCTCCCATTTTTTTGAGAAAGGGTCTCACTCTGTCTCCCAGGCTGGAGTGCTGTAGTAAGTAGACAGCTCACTGCAGCCTCAACCTCTTGGGCTCATGTGATCCTCCCACCTTAGCTTCTCAAGTAGCTGGGAATACAGGTGCATGTGATCACATCCAGCTAATTTAAAAAAAAAAATCTTTTTTTAAAAGATGGGGGTCTTGCCATGTTGCCCAGATTGGTCTCAAACTCCTGGCCTCAAGTGATCCTCCTGCCTCAGCCTCCCCAAGTGTTGAGATTACAAGCATAAGCCACCATGCCCAGCCCACTTAACCCTTTAAAAATGTAAAAACTCTTCTAGGCTTGTAGACCATACAGAAAAAGGCAGTGGGCTGAGTTGACTGAGCCCTGTCTTAAAATTAATGCTGCATTTGAACAAGGAGCACAAGGCTGAAGACCAGGTCATTAAGACATTCTGAATAACATGGAAATCAACTCAGTAGGAATACCTGTTTTTCAAAAGGAATGAAATATTTACTTGTTAGAACTCTAGCTTGACAAAGAACATTTTATCTATTGATATTAGCATGTGACAATTTAAAAATTTAATTACAATGCTGTTATGGGTTGAATTGTGTCCTCCCCACAAAGTTACGTTGAAGTCTTAAACCCCTGTACCTGAGAATGTGACCTCATTCAGAAATATGGTCTTTACCAATGTAATCAAGCTAAAATGAGGTCATTAGGGTGAGCCCTAATCCAATATGACTGATGTTCTTATAAAAAAGGGGAAACTTGGACACAGAGATGCAAACAGCAAGAACACCATGTGAAGATGAAGACAGAGTTGGAGTGATGCCACAAAAGCCAATGAATGTTAAGGATTGCCAGCAAACCACCAGACGCTAGGAGAGAGGCATAAACAGATTTCTCCCTCACAGCCCACAAAAGGAACCAACCCTGCCAACACCTTGATCTAGGACTTCTTGCCTCCAGAATGGCAAGGCAATACATTTTCTGTTGCTTAAGGCTCTTAGTTTGTGTTACAGCAGTCTCCTCTGATCCGCAGTTTCACTTGCTGTGGTTTCAGTTACCCTTAGGTACATGGGGTAACTCTCAAGATATTCTGAGAAAAAGAGAGGAAGAGTCCATATTCACATAACTTTTATTGCAGTATATTAACTGTTTTATTTTATTATTAGTTATTGTTGTTCATCTCTTATTGTGCCTAATTTATCAATTAAACTTTATCATAGGTATGTATGTATAGAAAAAAACATACTGTATACAGGGTTCAGTACTATCTATAGTTTCAGGCATCCATGGGGGGCTTGGAACGTATCCCCTGTAGATAAGGGGCGCCTATTGCACTTTGTGACAGCAGCCACAGAAACTGATACAAATGCCTTTATTTGTTTTTGAGTTAGGTTTATCAAGGGGTGTCCTGATGTATCTTCTTTCTCCCCTTTTACCAAAAAAAATGCATGCTAGTACAAAGGACAACGCTGACAAATCTGATAGTTGAAAACTTTAGGTATAGGTTACTGGCCACTAATTTGGGCAATTAAGAAGAACATAGCTAAAGTCTAGTCTGTTTGTTATGCTAAAAATCAGTATTAGTAAGGTCAAGTCTGATGCTGAAGATTCATACATGTTACCTACAGATGCCTTAGTAATAGAGACACCCTGCTGACACCTTGATCTAGGACTTCTTGCCTCCAGAATTGAAAGGCAATAAATTTCTGCTGTTTAAGCTGCTCAGTTTGTGGTACAGTAGTCCCCTCTCATCTGTGGTTTCACTTTGATCAACATGCACCAAATACGAAAATAAAATATAAATTGTACTAAACATATAAGATTGAAGACCTTGGGATTTGGAGTAGAATGGAAGAAAAAAGAGACAAAAATTCTATGGTTTAAGAACTTCCTGACCTGTCACATCTATCCATCTGTATCAGTAATTATGTGAATTTTATTAAATATTCTAGAAAAGAAAAAAAAATTTGCTTGAAGACTAAATTCCTATAACCATGGTAACTGGTGGTATGTTGGTAAAGGTGTAACAATCAGTTCATGGTGATGGTTGCCAATTTCTACAGTGTAAATACCACCATAGCTGATCTCAAGCTACCAACATTATTTCACTGAATGTTAAGTAGGAAAGAGATGTACCCAATAATTTTGCACCAGCTGGTGTGAGTCAATTCCAGCATACAACTGGTTATAACAGTAATATCCTACACAATTGTGTGCTTAACAGACAACCATGCTTCAAATAGGTCTGCTTGCTATACGAGTAAGGCAAGATGGCATCTTAATATTGGCCATGATTTTAGAGTTTCTAGACACTGTGTTGGCTCTAACTAGCTGTGCAACATTGAAAAATGTGACTTCATCTCTCTAGGCTCAGTTTCCTTACCTGTGTGCTTACTGAATTGATATCCAAATCACTACAAACTGGAGGAAGGCATTGGCTCTGTTTCATGCTCACTCTCACAGGCTCAGTGCCTAGCACAGAGCCTGGCTTAGGAGGTTCTTAAAGGGGCCATGTGTTGTTCTTGCTTACCCAGAACCCATTGCCCTTCTAGTGACAGCACTCCAATTTTCCTTGAGAAACTGCTTATCTTCTATTCTCAATTCATGTGATCCAAGTGAAACTGATTCCTTCCCTGGCTCCAAACTGAGCATGTGAATCAGGCATAGCCAATCAGAGCATCACATTTTCCCAGCCACGCCAGTCATCATGACTAGCCCAGGGCTGGCAAAAGACTCAGGCCAGACCAATAAGGCTGACTGTTGGGTTATAGGTATTATTATTACTTTGGAAATTCTGGAAGAGAAGTTTGTTTTTCATTGAGATACTGTGTAAAACAAAGATAGAATGAGAGAACAGATTGTTAAGTGTGGAGTTTCTAGAAAGCATAGACTCCCATAAGGGGCGAGCTTACCTGACTGATGGAAGCGGAGTTGGGATTAACTTCAGGTGACATCAGTGCCTCTCAATCAGGAGTTACCAGACACTGTGGGGGCTATTCCTCCTGCTACTAGGACTCTTCCCATTGTTAACACTGAGTCTTCTCTTTAGTTTTTCTTTGAGAATGAGTTCAATTTAGTCTTCAGAAGACATGGATTTCTGAGACTTAACCATACCTGGCTTTCCCCTACATCAAGACTATTGTGTGACACGAATGCTTCAAATGTCTTCTTTTTTTGTCTGTGGTGTCACTGTCTTGCATTCACTTCCTAACAATTGGTTTGACACTCCTCAGTTATATTAGCATTTATTTAGTGCCTAAAATGTTAAGTACGTTATATTTGTAGCTTTCATAAATTCTCGGGCTGCACATAGTTCAAAAAGCACACATATACTTCTGAAGATTTGATGTGGAGGAAGGGAGGCATACAGGACTTTATAAAGGTAAGAAGAGAGAGCTGGCATGGTCACCAGGCCAAGGCCTTAACCTCAGAGTGAGGCTCTCATTTGGATGTTATTCAGCAGCAGATGTGTGCAAGGAGGTGGGCTCGGCCTATTCCCAAATGTTGACCCTAAAAGAAATTTAGCTAGATATAAGAATGAAATGGGGCATGCTGGAAGCTGCTTTCCCATGGTACTGGGGCAACACATGTTTATCAGCGTAAGTTCTCCTGAGATACCAACCTTAATAAAGGATGAAGTGGGCATCATTCCTTGGAGCTATCCTCTAGAAATGCTCCAGAAAAGTGTTATTTTGATGCATGGTTAGCTCTTTTTTCTTGGGAAAAATCTGCTAACCTGCTAAACCACTGTGAAAAGAAGTACTTCAAATAATTATCAGCTACCCCTTTAAGTGCATCTCACACACACACACACACACACACACACACACACACACACACACACCCCCTAACAGGAGAAATCTGCATAATAAGTGACAATAAAGTCAGTTCTGCAATAAAGTCACACACATACACACACATTCCTAAAAATCACTGGGCAAAAAATCCTACAGGACTCATCAGAAAAATGGATGCTAAAAACTTCATCAGTGACCAGACGTGATGGCTCACGCCTGTAATCCCAGCACTTTGGGTGGTCAAGGCGGGCAGATGACATGAGGCCAGGAGTTTGAGAGCAGCCTGGGCAACATGCCAAAACCCTGTTTCTACTAAAAATACAAAAATTAGCCAGGCATGGTGACACACACCTGTAGTCCCAGCTACTCAGGAGGCTGAGGCAGGAGAATCGTTTGAACCTGGGAGGTGGAGGTGGCAGTGGGCTGAGATCCCACCACTGCACTCCAGCCTGGGTGACAGAGCAAGACTCTGTCTCAAAGAAAAAAAACAAAAAGCCAAAAAAAAAGTCATCAGGGAAACATTTTTTTTAATCTAATAAAAATAACACAGTTTTACACATGCTAAATTGTTAAGAAATACATAAATACTACAATAAATACTATATTTTATCTTGAAAACAGACCTGGAGTTTGCTTGCAGAAGTGAGTGTCAAAAGGCTGCAGTTAGTAAGTCATTATGAAGTATGGAAGGAGAGTTATCTGAAGTCAGAAGGAAAGTTCTAACACCAGATGTGGATGGGTGCGGCTCAAAGCACATGGTGAGCAGAGGTAGCTGGCAGATGTTTGAGGTGTGAGCCTGTGTGCAATTTGCACATTCCTACACAGCTCTGTTCATCTGGATGCAGTTTTCTGCATTCACCTAGTGTTATCATGGATAAAAATCATGCATAAAAAAAACAAGACATTTTCATTATGCTCAAATTGTTCTCTAATGTATCAAAATGTGTTGGGACAATTTCCAATTTTCAAAAGAAGTACAGAGCAGAACTGATGGTACCTTGCTTTTGGATCATATACTTTCTATCATTTCTAGGTTATACACAAGGTTGTCTATGATAGAAAATATGATTAGTTATACAGAAAAAAATCAAATTTGAGACCTCCAGAAAGTGTTCTTAATATCTCTGATAGCCATTAGGCTAAATATCACCTGCCCTTTTCTTCACTCCTAGTGACCTCCTTCTCTAAAGAAGATTCAGCATTTGCAATCCTCAAGTTTTTGCATCCTCTTCTCCATAAAAATCTGCTTTCATGAATGAGTGAGATAAACTTATTCTTACTAAAGTATACATGACTGATAAGGGTAAATGACTAGGAATAATTTCAAAGCTTTAAGGTAAAGAAATTTGGCATGAGCTTTTAGAATTTTAGGCATTATCAAACTGATGGGGAAGGTCTTGGAAGTAGATTGATCTTCTAAATATTTGATAAATATTAACACACAATGGTTTCCTACTTAGAACAATAGCCCTTAGAGCCCCCAGTTAGCCTGGTTATGTAAAAAGTGATTATGGCATCAGAAGATGCATGTCGATATCTTGCCTCTTTCTTAAACTAATTACTTGAAAGAGTTTTTCAAGGCTCTTCCCATGACCCCCAAATACCTTTTGCAGGGTTGTTATAAAGAACAAATGAAAGAACACAGCATCTGACACTGTGCTTGTCACATTAACAGGAGGTGCCATGCATAGTGGTCAAGGGCACCAGTTCTGCAACCAGACTGCCTGAATTAAAATTGTAACCCCAACATTTTCTCATTGTTGGATCTTGCGTATGTGTCTTAGGCTTTCTAAGGTTTAGTCTCTTCTATTCAATGGGGACAATAATCCTTTTAAGAAAATAAAATTAAAAACATATCAAAGTGCTCTGCACAATGTCTAGACAGAACTAGTGCTCAACACATGTTATTAACAACCATAACTGCAATTCAACAAGAGCTAGCTCTATGAACACCTTCTGTACACTGCAATAGAAATGTTAGAGTCATTTAGCTGCATGTAACACATTGCACATATAAGCTGCCCAAATATATTCTGAGTGTGATTGATTACATATTAATTTCAAGAAAACCTTTAAGTCTATTCTATAGAATGTGGCCTTAGATTTGTGGTTTCCCAAATACAGTACAGGCTCCTGGTCCCCCAAGTGACTGGCAGTTCAAATTTGCTGGACACTGGGCCTAGGGTGGACTGTGGCCTGTGTATTCTGGGCATTCTGTGGCCCGTGTACCTGGGCATTCTGGGGCTACTTATAAAGCCAGGTAGCTTGTGTGGAAATTCAAGCCCTTCTTAGCTGTCTTGTCTGGACACTAGAACTAACATACATGTTGTTCATGAATGTGACTTTGATCTTCTGAAAATGCTGAATGAATCCTAGGTTTTCTTTTAGACAATGGTCTTTCTATAGAAATCAAATCAATAAGCTGATTTTGAAATTGCTTTTCTTATTTTGGTGACTTTTGGCAGTTATGTATTTAAGCTTTTCAGTATCTTTTTTTGTTTTTTTGAAATAGTGAGATATACTGTATCTCACTATTGCATTATCATGGGACTGCAAAGTTCTGATTCTAAAGCTTCAGCCCATGGAGAACTCGTGTTCTACAGCTGACAACCCCTGTCCTCCCATTCTTTCCTTGAATAAGATCACCTGGTAAGTCAATGCTGAGATATGTCCAGCATTATTTTTCCTCCTTTGGACCAGAAAAGAAATGCTCATTTTTCTGGGTGCAGTGGCTCATGCCCGCAATCCCAGCACTTTGAGAAGCCGAGGCAGAAAGATCACTTGAGCCCAAGCGTTCAAGACCAGCCTGGGCAATAAAGTGAGACCCTGTCTCTAGAAAAAATACAAAAATAACCTGGGCATGGTCACACACGCCTGTAGTCTCAGCTACTTAGGAGGCTGAGGTGGGAGGATCACCCGAGCCCAGGAGGTCAAGGCTGCTGTGAGCTGTGATTGCGCCACTGCACTCCAGCCTGGGTGACAGAATGAGACTCTGTCTCAAAAAATAATAATAAAAGTTAAAAATAAATATTTTAAGTAAATTTTTCTTTCCCATTTTGGGATCACTGAGGTTTTTACTTTGAAATTATAATTGAGATGAATTAAAGCTTCTAAAATGTCTATGTTTTAGATTTATTGAAATACAAGCTCCTCAGAACAGGGACTTCATTTTGTTCACTGCTCCATTTCTAATTCCTCAAAATGTGTCTGGAATACTGAGGGTGTTTGTATTAGTTTCCTGTTTCTATATAACAAATTACCACAAACTCAGTGACTTAAAACAACAGAGGCCTGGCATCTCACAGCTTCTGCGAGTCAGGAGTCTGGACACGGCTTCACTGGGTCTCCCGCTAGTGTCTCACCAGGCTGCTATAAAGGTGTCTGTTGGTTGGTGCTGGGGTCTCCTATGGGGCTTGACTGGGAAAGGATCTGCTTTTGTTGGTGGAATTCAGTTCCTAATGTATGTGATCTTGAGGACTTCTATTTCTCACTAGCTGTTGGCTGGAGGCTTCCCTCAGCTCTAAGAGGCCACCCTCAGCTCCTGGCTAGGTGGGCTCCCAACACGGGCAGCCCACAGCATGGCAGCTGGCATCTTCAAAGCCAGCAAGGAGAGGCTCCAGCAGGAGGGGCACTGCGATGTTATGTGATATAACCAAGTACATCCCACTGCCTTTGCCCTACTCTGTTGTTTTTAAGGAAGTCACAGGCCCCATCCACATTTGAACACCAGGAGGTGGGGGTCATGGGGACCGCCATATCAATCTGCCTACTGCAATGCTCAATATGATGTGTTGACCAAACAAATGAATGCAGACTCACAGTATCTTGTTAGTGTGATCAGGTAGGGTTAATCTAAATTTTGAGTCCATTATTCAATTATAATTAGCATATTTTCCATTCCTTGTTCAATGAAAAAAAAAACCCATATCTCTGAGCAAAAACCATTTGCTAAAAGCCATCTCAGGCTTATGAAGAAGGTTTGAGAGATATCACAATGTACCACAGAACCATAATGTTATCTTTTTTGTTGTTGAAGAAAGTACTTCCCCAAGCACAAAAGGTTGAAATCCTGTGGTAGGCTAAAATCTGTCAGGAAAAAGGCACTTAATGTGTGCTTCTTCTTCGAGGATGTTTTCCCAGTTTTCTGAACATATAGATAATTGGAGAAGTTTTCTACCCGAACTATCCAATTCCATAGCTTTGACTGAGACACTAGCACAGAAAGCCAAGCATGCATGAGGCAGAATGAAGATATTTAAGAACTTAGCATATATTTGTAAAATAGCTTATGTTTAAGTAATTTACTAATATGAACATTATAGAGATTTGATTGATGTAAACAGAAGAGCAGAGTGAGTAGAGAAATGAGGAGGAGGCATGGCTCCTAATTCCGTCTCTAGTAACGATTTGTAGATAAGCTACCTACCAGCATAAGCACTCTTAACTAATGAACACATGCTTATGCACCGATCAGGAAGCACTCAAGCATCTGGGGGGACATGAAAGAAAGGGGTGATCATGAGGGAACTAAGAAAGCTGGAGCCAGAAAGGACATTTGTACCAATGAGAGCCTGTCTTTGGGGCCAGCCTCAGTGGGTCTGATGCTTCACAACTGTGATTTGGGGCACCTAACTTCTTTATAAATCCATCTTCTCATGTATTAAATAAGGAGAGTAAAGACCTACCTGTAGTGGTTGTCATGAGAATTAATTAACCGAATACAGGTGAAGCTTTTTGAATATGACCAGGAAGACAAATGTGACAAATGAGTTATCTTTTTAATCTGGTCAAGGCCTCCTGTGTGCTGGGAGCCTGGTTCCTCTAAACTAGTTCACTAGGTTGTGACTCATATTTTCCCCTGATAACCTATCCACCTTCCTTCTATTTGTAAAACCTTTTTCAATTCTTTATTGTCCCTGAAATGTGTCCAGATGGTTTGGGTTCCAAAGTCTTCTATCAGAACAAACCAGAAACTGCAGATCACAGCCTTTGCTTTTCAATAAGTGACACTTGGTTTTCTTCCCCACTCTGTCCTTGATGCTGCTTCCTTGGGCTCAGAGGTATCTCCCTCTAATCGTCTCCAACCCTCCCCTTCAAAGCTGGAGTTAAGTCTCTGTACTCCTGGAATCAAAACAACTCCAGAAAGGCAAATAGCAAGAAGTGCCCCTAAATTGTGACAGGCATCGCTACAATTTAAGTTGATAGAAGGAATTTATTTGCTTCCTCCAGCTTTGGGGATAACTTTCACCCAATCAATACAGCCAGAGAAAGTTAACCTCAACACTGATTGACTCTGACTGACTGCAACAGAAGTCTTTACAACAGAAATGCTGCAGTGAAATGGCAGTATAATTAACACTCAGTCAATGAAGACACACCAAAAATGATATTTGTAAACCTTCAGTTTCCTTCTTATTGTATTCTGATTTTGGTAAAATCAGAATTTGGGGCCCACTCCCTTGTTTTACAGATAGAGAAATTTGAGCTCAAGTAGATGGTGTCTTGAATAAAACCACATGGCAAGTTCTAGCAGGAGCTGGAACAGATCCCAAACAGAAGTGCTGGTGTCTGGGGGCTCTCAGAGCTTTACTACGGGACTTTCTTACAGGTAACTAAGATGCATGGAGCATTTTAGTAGATAGGGGTCGGAGATAAACCCACTTCAAACCAAATTCTACTGAATACAGGTTATGTTTTAGTTAACACTGTTATATAGACCAGAACAATTAAACAATAAGCTCTCTTAACAGATTCTTACATAATCCTATGGCATAAACCCTAGACTAACTTTCAAAGAAGGTGCACAGTAGAGTTTAATTATCTAGATTATTCACATCCTTCTTCATTCCATTCTTTTTTTTAATTTACCTAAAGTATTCAGATTAATTAACCATTTTTGGAAGCTTGACACAGAAAAAGGGCTTTCATCCCCATCTCACTGTGCAGCTGTACGAAGATGTTTATTCCATCAAGGTTGATCATGATATTCATATCACATTAATTCAGCTGTTCTCTATGATGGCAGATTATGTTAATACCATGTTTGAATGTCTCCTATTATTGGAGGGTCAAGAAATGCTCCAATTAGTCTCAATACTCTTGGATTACAGTGAAAGACTGTGTAGATGTTATTGAGAAGACTAGTTACAGAGGTAGGCTTTTCTTCTTCTGAAATCACTTATACGCCACTTAAAATGTCTATAACCTATTGAAACTATGCAAACATTTTGATTCCTATTTTTCAGAACAAAAAAAGCCTCAGAAAAGTCAAACACTGTCTATTTTCTGTGTACATTCCATAAGGATTAGACTGTTATCTTATTTATCAATTTATCCCCAACATTTCCCAGAGGGCTTGGTAACATCATAGATACTCATGAAATATACACTAATTGACAAAACGATTTTTTAAAAATTGATTATAGATAATACAAACATATTTTAAAGGGCAAACTGTTAACCATATATAATTTGTCTGAGGGTCTAATAGAGCAGGTGAAATAACATGAAATAGGAAAATGTTGCCTATGCTTGAGGTTACATGAATACTACAAACACTTATGAGATGTATGAAGACCAGCTTTCAACATTAAACTGGGAGACAACTTTTCAAAATCAGCTTCAAAGGATAGTGAAATCATGCCACAGATTTCATTAGATCCTTATTTTACTTGTGTAATTCATTGAGAATTTTAGTCTAAATTTTATTAAAACTGTGGTGTTAACGCCAGATTATTTCTGTAAAAAGAAAATGACTGCTAATTAAAATGAGTGCAGGCTCAAGGGGATGGATAGCCCATTCTCCATGATGTGATTATCACACACTGCATGCCTGTATCCAAACATATCATGTACCCTATAACTATATACACCTACTATGTACCCACGAACATTAAAAATAAAAAATTATAAATAAATAATTAAAAATGAGTGCAGGGAAATGTTCAAGTCAAGTGATGTCATTACTATGGTATAAAAAGACAAAACAAACCAACTTTCTGGGAAGCAAGAGAAACAACCATTAGCTGAACTGATGATGGTGTCAAGTTGTTATACTCCATCCCATCTTTCAAGCTTTTTGAGAAAACAGATCTGGAAGCTGGGATCTGGACTGGGGGATTTGATCCTTCTGCGGATCTTGACTACCACGTCCTCCACATATACCACCAGATGGCAGAAGCTTCTTGGTATGTATGGGAGGTCGTTACTGACACGTTGGGATTGAGTCACTTGGAACAAATAAAAATATACAGGTCAGAAAGGGTTAAGAGATGAAATGTACATATGTTAGCAGGATTCTTTTAAAAACACATTCCCATAAACTTGTGATCTTATTTCTTGTATCAAAAGTGAAGACTCATATAAACAGAATCACTTTTATATTAATATTTCCTATTCTGGAATATTCACGAACCAGATGGTTAGGTTTCACAGAAAAACAAAAAATTCTCAGAAAGACAAAAGTCCAGAGACCACATTCCCTTGTGTCTAAGGGCCTAAAACGTAATCCAATGAATTAATGTATCTAAAACGTAGTACTGGCCAGACACAGTGGCTCATGCCTGTAATCCCCACACTTTGGGAGGCCGAGGCGGGTGGATCAACTGAGGTCAGGAGTTTGAGACCAGCCTGGCCAACGTGGTGAAACCCCGTCTCTACTAAAAACACGAAATTAGCCAGGTGTGGTAGCAGGCACCTGTAATCTCAGCTACTCGGGAGGCTGAGGCAGGAGAATCACTTGAACCTGGGAGGCAGAGGTTGCAGTGAGCCAAGGTCGCACCACTGCACTCCAGCCTGGGCAACAAGAGCGAAACTCCATCTCAAAAAAATAAAATAAAATAAAATAAAATACAGTACTGGAAGGCCTTCCAACTTTGGACAACAATGTTGCTAAAGGGAAAGGCTTCAGTTAGAAAGGGACAGTGGGCTTTATCACAGACAAGATTCAGAGGGCACTGAAATGTCTCCCTCTCCTGCACATGTTAGTTCATTTGTATCCTTTAGTTCCAGTAATTTAAGATCTATTAACTACTTCTAGATAGCACTAACTGATATGGTTGATCTTGCAGAAGAGGGACCCAGGTTTGAATCAGCATGTGCTATAAAACGGCCTCTTCTTTTCAGGAGGTGTCTTTGCAGTAGATTCTGGAGAAACAATGATCAGGCTCTCTGGCAGAACATCTAAACTGCCTGTTGGATTTCTGTCTTCCTTGGCAACATTATATTTTAACTGTTTCCCTGTAGAGTAACCAGAAACTTTTGTTTCTCTAAAGTAGTGCTATGTGATGGAAATAGACTAACTTTTTTGGAAGAGGTATTTTTAAAAGTAGATGTAAACAGGTGAAATTAATTTTAATAATATATTTCATTCACCACAGTATATTCAAAATATTATTGCAGCATGCAATCAGTATAAGAATTTATAAATGAACTATTTCCTTTTTTGTTGTAAGTCTTTAAAACAAATTTGCTGTGTATTTCACACTTATAGCACATATTAATTCAGACTAGCTACATTTGAAGAGTTCAGTAGTTACCATATTGGATAGTTACCACAGCTCTAAGGTATCAACATCTCCAATGAATAATTAAATCCTTTAATAAATCATATCAACCAAATGGTTCTGAAACTTTTTACTGTTACAGTTTTGAAGATTATTTTGTTACCTGAAGCTAACTGACCATGTCTGTACACTGTGAAATATTGAGAAACTCTTTTTTTGTGGATGATAAGATTTAGATAAAATAAAATTTGAAGATAATAAAATAAAATTCTTGAAATGAAAATTAGTAAATAAGGGGCTTGCAGGGCACTTCTTCCTTGAGGAGTTCCGTGTGAAGTGGCAGGAGTGGCAGCTATGGAGCCCCAGGAGGAGAAAGAGGTGCAGGTTGCTGTGTGATTAAAAAAAAAAAAAATGGAGGTAATCCCATTTACCTCATACCCATACTCAAAATCTCATACCCATAGTATGAGGTGAACCTACGAATTAGAGATTTTACACCACCTTTTAGAATGCAACAAGCTCCAGGACAGGGATGTCTACCTGGTAATACATGACTTGAAACAGGCAGAAAGCAAGTGAATATAAATCAGAAGCCAAGCCTCTTCAAGACCTTCTCATGGAGAGTGTGAACTTTTCCCCTGCCAATCTCTCCAGCACTGGTTCCAGGTATCTGAATGCTTTGGTTGACAGCACATCGCCCTTGAAACTAAAGATACCTCACTAGCTAGGTTTATCCCTGCAGTGAATAATTCGACATCTGATCTTTCAAACAAAATCCCAAACTGAAGAAATCAAGATTGAATGGGAAAATCTTGAAAAAAAACTAACTGCAACATTAATATTGGAAAAATGTCAAAAAGAGGATCTCAAGAAAGTAGAGTTTCATTTGTCTTTGGAAAGGGTCAAAGTCGACGGTCATCTTCAGAACAGGGATGTTCTAAAAACAAAGTCAGTGGAGTTCAGATTTGAAATCAAAGCTGCAGAGGAGTCACTTTCAGCCAGAGGCATGGATGCTTCTCCATTTCATCAGTCCCTAGTAGCGGTATCAGAGAAACTGGCAGAGTTAAAACGATAGACCATACCTTTGAAGAAAAAAATGGAGTTCTATTTAGATTTAATGCTGAATCCATCTCTTGCTCAAGTGAAAATTGAAGAAGCAAAGAGAGAATTAGGTAGCACTGAAGCTGAACTTACAAAGAAAGTAGACAAAATGGAACCGTGACCAGAGTCAAATAAACATCATTTTCCTTAAAAAAGTAAATTGAATAGGACTTTACAGACTTCCTTTTTCCTCTTGTAATTGCTTAATAATGTAATTTCTGTGTTTTTAGAAGAGATAATAATGTCATAATTGATCAAATCATGGTTTCTTGTTGTGTATAGCAGTTTCTGTGTCCAAATATACAATGTTCGTATTAAAATACCTTTTCTCTGAAAAAAATGAGTAACTAAAATTCTTTCACTAGTGTTCTATTTCAATATAACTGCAAAATAATAAAAATTTATGTTTATTAAAATCTTGTAGTTTTATCAACTAGTTGGATACATGACAACACAGCAAACATATTTTTAAACTAATACTTAGGGTGAATTAATAGGCAAGAAAAAGAAGGAGAGTTTCTCTGATTCTAAGGGTACAAGACCTCAAAAATAATTTGGGGGCACTATTTGGTTTTGATCTTGAGCTTACTTCTCTGCTTCTAGTTCCTACAGAAACCTGAATCATTTGGGATGCTAGTTCTTTGGGATTTTTTTTTTTAACACACATGTGCATCTTGCAAGGATTATGAGCTAATGTCAGTCTACATTGCCATCTCGGTAGGCATTTTTAGCTTTCCCACCATACAGATGCAGCCACACAAGGGGCTGCAGGAGAAACAGCAGTGTGTGCAGGTACCAAGGTGAGTGGGAGGCTGTGCAGCACCAGCAACTGCATAATGAAAGACTCCAGATGTCATTGCCAATGCTCCATGCTGTGAGCCCTGAAGTCGTTCCACCACATAGTTATAACCCTCACTAAAGAGCTTCAGACGCCGCTTAGATAATATTATGGTGTGTGTTTTCTAAAATAGGCTGTAGACAGCACTTGCCAAAATTTCCTCTATTTTTAATTAGTTGTTTATTACTTGGGGCCGGGGCCGGCGGGGAGGTGGCGAATTTAGCATCTGGGAAAACCACTAGATGGAGAGTTTATAAGTAAGGGGAAGGCATGCAACCTGGATGAGTAAGACAAACAGGGTCAGTTCCAAGTAGCAGTGAAATAGTGACTGAATAATTAAGGGTCTATCGTAAAAATGTCCACTAATCAAAATGAGCTATAGTCTACTGTCATTTTTTTTTTTTTTTGCACTTCTGTGATGCTAGCCTATACTGACAAAAATGCACTGGTTTCTGCTCCACGTTGAATAAGTGAGGACCAAATGGAAATTTCAGGGCATGGAAGTTGATCCTGCCACTCAAAGATGAGAGTTCTTCAGGTCTCTCTGGAGTTGGATGGAGAAGGCAGAACATCTGATTTGGGTGCCAAATCCCCGCCTTTCTAAAACAATGTTCTCTTGCCTCCATCTCAAATCCTGTCCTTGCCTATTTTTCTTTTCTCTCTGCAACATACATCACTGGCTATCTTTGTTTTGGAATGGGAAATAAGAGTGTTTTCTTCCAAAATACTGCTCAGACACCAGGTGGGAAACTATCATGTTGGAAAGATGGGAGGATTGGGGCAACATTAGTATACAGGTTTCAGGCAGAAGGTGACATAAGGATACCTCCTAGCTAAGAAAAGTGGAGGAAAGAGAGGGAAATGAAAAGGCACAGACCATTTCCCCCTGACCCTGGCCTCACAGATGTGTCTGTGACCCTTTATTATTCAGTCACTATTTCACTGCTACTTGGAACTGGCTTGCATAAATCACAATTGAGCAGACACCTGGCTCGAGGTGTGAAGCCACAGAGCATTACAAGAGAGAGAGGAATTGTGGAAGCCATTTAGTTAAGCAATGTGTAAGAGCCGTGAGATCCATTTAAGCCCCTCCAATCTTCCTCCATCAGATTTCAGTAATAGGCAAAGGACAGAATACAGAGCTCTGAGAAAACTGTGCCTATTATATTAACTCCTCCTCTTCATATATGCAGTAAATATTTATTAATTTTCTCTCTGTGCTCCAGGTATACCTTCAGGTCCTAGAAAGAGCAACAACCTAAATAGGCAAAAGTCCTTGCTCTGATAACCTTTGCATTCCATGGGAAGAGGAAGACAGTAAATAAATGCATACACAGATAAGAAAATTTCAGACAGTGCTACATGAAATGAAGTGCTTGACAATTCAGACAGTGCTTTGAAAATGAAGCCAAATAAAGTGATAGAGATGAAAGGGGTTCCTTTGCATGGGGTAGTTTGATGAACCCTTAGAACCACATTTAATATATGAACTGAGACCTGAATGAAAAAAGAAAAAAGCCTAAGAGCTAGAGAATT
Organism: Homo sapiens; assembly: GCF_000001405.40. Taxonomy (NCBI): domain Eukaryota; kingdom Metazoa; phylum Chordata; class Mammalia; order Primates; family Hominidae; genus Homo; species Homo sapiens. The sequence continues at coordinate 72,616,468 of NC_000008.11, read as the reverse complement.
TTATACAGGCTGAGATGTGGCTGACTTTGGTGATTTAAAAGTTTCATAAACATTGGAATAAAAAAAGCCTGGTAAGATTAACTCTTAACACTCATGAGGTTATTATATGTGACACTGTTTTGTTGTTAGCTTCCACTAGCCATAAGCATGCCACTTGCACAATCAAAATCCATAGTGATTTTAAAATTACAGCTATAGTTCTACTGCAGATCTAATTTTATACCAATTCTAAATGGAAGCTTGAATGGGCAAGAAATAAAAGCTGACAATTTGGAAAGGCCCTCCACTTAATTTCAACAAAATGTGCAAACTCAAAAGGAATCCTTCGACTTAAAACCTAAGCGAGAAAAGGTGACATGATTGAGAACCTTAAAATGCCTGAATCTCTTCATGTACCTCAGAAAAGCTTTTTTTTCCCTTGTCAATAGGTAGCCTTGGGTTTCATGAACTGGAGATAAAGATTGAGATAATCCTGTACAAGGCAGCCAGCATTTCAAAAGCAATAAATTATTTTCTGCTCAACTTAAACTTAAATTATCTTTTGTTCACTAACTTACAAAACTTATCAAAGCAAGTTATGATACTTGCAGCTGAGAGCTTAAAGACTCTACTGAGAATGAATCTGTTGATCTTATCTGACTTTCTTCCTTCATCTATTTATTTCATTCACTCACCTTTAAAAACTGTGCCTCACTTGGGCAAAGAAAACTTTTTTGCCCTATTCAACTTGTTATAAACTTTCCAAATTCTAGAGTACAGTAGAGGTATCAAAGTTTCCAGCCTACAATATATGATTTTCCACATTATTCGCTCTTAGTAATCCCCCAAAACACACCCATCCCCAGTGGTCTGGCCTCTTAAGGGGCAGAACAGCAGTTTTCAAAATGTGGCCCAAGGGACCAACCAGCTCTAACCAATCACCTGTATGTTTGTTTAAAATGCAGATTTCAGGCTCCACCATGGGCCAAATAAACTAGAAATTTATGGGGCAAAACCTTGAAATCTGTATTTTAAACCAGTACCCTAGGGAATTCTCGTACAACTGAGAAGCCAAACTACAGAGGATTAAAGGCAGTTTTTGCTTCATCTTGTGCCTCGTATGCCCCTCAGTGTGTGATTTCAGAGCCATGTAGCAGTCGGTATTAAGCAGAACCACAGGTTGCCAAGTGCTTTCACACACAACATCTTGTTTCATTCTCATAACTACCCTGTGAGAGGCAGACAGGTCTGTGAGTTTCATTTTGGAGATAAGGGAACCTAGATTCAGAGAAAACAAATGATGTATCCACTATATGTAATTAGTAAAAGGCAGACTTGGGGCTGTTTCAGGTCTACGGAGCTCCATGCTCCTGCTTTCTGGACAGACCTTCTTTTCCCTACCCACTGCAAACGTGGAGTCCAAGGGCTGCTCAGGCAGCTGGTGTTATGTGGGGAGGTTTGGCTCTCCTCATGGTGTGAACTGATGCTGCTTCCTTAGCCACTTCTATCATCTGCTCATAGGGTCCTGCCTCCCAGGGACAATACATAGCCTCTGCTTGTTTGATATTTTTGGTCCCTCAAAAGTATTTCAGCATTTAGCCACCTAGCTCACATGGGCCATTGTGTGGTTATATGTAAGTTATGGCATCTCTGAGTCTCCAAGGAAATCATGTCTCCTCTAAACTTTTCTGTCAGAATGGAGTGGGGACAGGAAATTATTTAAGAAGTGAAATAAGACGTTTTCAGAAAGGACAGAACCAACGGAAGGGAGACAAAGACTTTGAGCACCTAGCCACAAGATGACAGATTTAAAGCATCCTGAAGCAATGCTTATTAGAAAAGTCCTATAAGAGCAGGAGCCGTTATAAACACCTACTCTTCAGCACAGAGAACAAGAGCAATTGTGTCCACTAACAACAACAGTCAGAGACTGGCATCTATGCTGCTGCGCTCAATCCCCCATTTCACTGTGCGATCTCATTTTACTGTAAGAACAATATGCTCAGGTGAGGAGGATTCCTTTAACAGCACAAGAAATTGAGTTTCCAATTTAAAAACCTTGTCTACCTTTACAGGGCTATTAGAGTAGAGCTAGGATTTGAACCCAAGTCCTCTCTGATTCCACACCTACCATCATGCATTGACCCTTTAGGATGACAACAAATCCTTCAATGGTAGAAACTAATATAAAGACATCATAGATATCTTTCTGTATCTATAAAATACATACATTTAAAATTAAAAGGTGTTTCCTTGCTGTTTGGCATCCAATCAATATCTAATAAAACTATTTTTACCCAATAAACAGCACTGGGAGAAGAGGTTGTGATGTTATCAGAAACAAGAGTTGCCTACTGCAGATTGTACATTACACTCTTTTTCAGGAGCAAAACTAATTTACATCAATGTGTGACTAGCTACGTTTCCTCATCCTTCCTAGCAGAAAGGCAGCATTTCTACAGGAGAATCCACTGCTACCTGACTAAATTTAGATCGTCCACATTTATGCTTTGAGTTGGTGTCATTATCTCAGCAACAGTGTGGGAGTTTAAACCCATAATCTCTGCGTATTGAGAACGGGTAAGATCCCATCTGAATAACTGCAAGAGCTCAAGAAATTCACTCTTTCACGTTACTTCATTCTGGTGATGAATTTTAAATGTGGACCATTCTGAATTTACAGCAGAAGAAAGGAACTCTGCTAATTGAATGCTCAATGTGCCAATGACAGCAACTAACAAGTGCACTGTTTAACCACATCAGGGGTTTACAATGGGACTACAATGGAGGCGTGAATATGGTCATCGGATACCCCTGAGTGGCTAGGAAAGACCAATGTGGATTGAACTTTACTTCTGGTAGTACAGCTTAGACTGAGGGATGATGTATCACCAACTGAACACACTCCACAGATGGTCAGATCTTAATACATAGTGAAACATTAATTTGATATAACAGGGATTTTATTTTTATATTTTGTTTCTTCCAAGTCAAATGCTGCTGAAACATGGAACTACTTAGAAATATCTGTCTAGGTGCGTAAGACAAATCTTCATAGTCTGTCAGTGACTCAATGTATATTGGATAACAGTGTGAAAGATACTTAAAACATTATTTTTTGAGGAATATAAATTCAGTCATCATAGACATAGTGGCAGGTTCCCTAAGGACTTGCAGAGGCCAGATGTGATCGCCTGCTTTGTTAGTTTTGCTTGTTTGTAGGGTTTTTTTTCTTGCTATGATTGAATTTATCTGGAGATAATTGCCTGTTTGAAATCCATTGTTTTCACTTTTATTTTCAGTTTATCTTTCTAAATTCAGATTTACTCTCTCTGGCCATAGTGTGGAAAACACAATAATGATACAGTGGGACAGAAACAGACAGTCCATATGTAACCATGGGGCAGTTCTTGAGCCATTGTTATCTAGTTTTCTTTTATTCCACGACATTTATTTGTGAGATTGTGTGCATGTGTGTGCACATGGCACATATGTAAATAAAATAATGCTAACTTGATAGAAATGTTATTTCCACAGGAGAGCATATCTTCTAACAATATTGTCATATTTAATTTTCCAAAAATGTTAAAACATAGAAAATCTAACTTTGATATCTACTGAAAAGAACATTCCTGCTGATTTTCTCATGCTGTACTTTATATTAAAAAAATAATTCTTAGCAAGCTCAAACTTGAAAAAGCTTAGAAGTTCTAAGGACCAAAATCATACTTGCCTCAGGAAAAATCAATTATTTCATCCAGTAGCATTCAGATGTCCATTTTACCTCCACAAAGCCCAAGGCAACTGTTTCTGTTCATCTTGTTCTAGACTTTGACCCTGATGTCTCAGTTCCTAACACTGTCTGCTTCAATGTGTCAAGCTTTATTATGAAGACCTAAATTAGAACCAGATTTTCAGGGGCAAGTGTTTCTAAGTACCATAGCATCTTCCATGATGTAATTTGCTTAAAGAGATGGAAAACTTAAAGAAGGAAGAAAGCAGGGCAAAATGTCATCAGTATGAATGACAAAGAACTGGAAGCAATATCTGACTCTAGAAATTCACCAGCAAGTCTTCCATTAAGTTTTATTTTACTTCCTTGTGTTTTCAAAGATTATGTTGCTTATGTTTACATTTACTAAAGTTGAGTACCTGTATAACAAGTCTTTGGTCACTTGTGGACAGGTTAAATGTCACTCTTCACTGAGAACACTGCATTGTTCAATCCTTTGATTTTAGAACAATAAATCATTTATATGTGTTAATTAAGTTGGAATGGGGCAATAGTCAGGCTTATGATGTTAATGCTTACTATCACTGGAACTGCTGTGAATTAAGAAGTCACAGAATTTATTGATGGTAAGTTTCAAGTAAAATCTTATAATGATTGCATGGGATATACTGCTTGAGAGTATCTGAAGTTTTTATGGAGTTTTTAGGTTTCTATATACTATTTCACTTGAACTCAAGAGTGAGCGAGCTGGCATTACTTTTTCTATTTTAAATAACAGTTTGCGTTTAAGGATTTTTTTAACATGTTTCAGGCAAAAATATTAATTAATTGATTAATAGTTATTTAGTCCTTGTCACAAATCCTATTGTTCCCATTTGAAAACGAAGAAAGTGAGGATCCAGAAAAAAAAAATGGGTTTCTTAAGGTTGGGCAGCAAGTGGGCTACCTAGGATTTTAAGCCAAACTGGAGTGAGCCAATGCCTGATCTTTTTTATTCTCATGTATCACCAATATAAGGCAAAAAGTTGCAATTGGCAGAACAATACACTTAAAAGGTGCTATGAAATAGAAGGTATCCCTTCCATAGTCCATTGTAAAGAGCTCAGTGTGCCATGCAGTAAACAGCAAAGCCGGTTGCTACACACATCCTCTCTGCCTTCCTGTTCCTAAAAAGATCATGGGCAGTCCTCATGGCAAGGGAGTCTTTCTCATCATAGAAAATACAGATCATTGGAAGTCCATATTGCAAGATACAAACATCATAGGTGATTAAAATAACAAGGGAGATGTTGGCAGATTCGGATACCGAACTTTAGTGTGCTGGGGTCACAAATACCCAAGAGTTGCAAGCTTGAAAGCAGTGAGTCAACTCTGTTCCCAGGGGAGCATCTGAAAATACGGTGACCCTATCTACATTTAAGAGACTTGTTTAGATAATTTTTATTACAAAAGACTTTTTGTGAAAGGTATTGGCAAAATTAATACAGGTATCTATCTTGTAATACTGATCAACTTTAAAAATGATATTTTAACATCATCCATATGCATAATTGTCAGAAATCTATAAGAAAATACTAATAACATTCTGAGGATTAAAAGATGGGTCTCAGTTTCAAAATGGATAGCACATAGATTTTCTTTTTCCTTTTCTTCAGTGCTCCCTACTCCCTACAATCCAAGATTCATAAATTTAGAGCAATCTCAACATACATGTCTTGATTCATGGACTGAGCCCATTATTTTCATCAGGTCAGTGATAAAGTCAATGTTTTGAAGGTGTTCCCTCAACCCTAGGGCAGGCTGAAAGGTCATTACTGATTGGAGACAAAATCATTTTTTCTGACAAATCTGATCTCATTGGATTTCACCTGAGGTCTTTCTGTTACCCCTTCAGTGAGATAAGCTGCCTGTCTTGCTTTTATATGTTTTTAATTACCAAAATCCTGTATGTTACGTAAACCACTTGTCTTCTGAATTTACTCATTATAATAGTTATTTGCCTTCATTTTCCTTTAGAATGATTCAGTTTTTAATTTAATGATGTCTGAATTCCGTAACCACATTTTAAAATGAGACTAATAATAAACCTTACATCATAGAGTCAGTTGTGAGGATTAATACGTTACTAAATTTTTTAAGTATTTAGGACAGTGCCTTGCCTATAGAAAGTGCTATCTATTTTTTTGGTTGCTATTATTATGAGTGTTATTTTTATTGCATACATAAGAGATCATATCCCTAACCTTTTGTTAGGCATAATTTGTCTTAGAAATTTCAGGAAGAGGCAAACAAATTGCATACCTAGGCTTTAAAAAATACTACTTGGTGAGCATAAATAAGAAAAAATATGAGGAAAATCTTCATGTTATCCTAATTCCATTGCTTAAAGTCTAGATTCTGTTTTAAACTTTTTCCTTAACTTAGTTTAGAGTTCGGTTTTTAAGCACATCAGTTGGAGGAAGAAATCCCACTGATTTAAGCAAGAACACTCGAATGCTAAACCCTTCATGCTGAGGGGATTATATTTCAGTACAACATCTACTCTTCAAGAGATGTGATTTGGAGAGCTTTAAGAGTCATTATCTTTTCTCTCCAACAATTACCTGCTCTAATCCTTTTCTATTCATTGATTTGAAGATTTTTTTTTCCTGTTGTTTTATCCCAACCCTGTGGTCAGAAAAGTCACCAAATTTTTTTGAAATATTATTAAGTGATTACACTTTAGAAGGTACAACAAAAATCTATTTTAGGTTTTCAGGATCTTTTACATAAGAAGAAAGAAGACAGCCAGAGCCACAGTTTGTACAACTCCAGGGAGAGCTGTGAAAATATTCCACGTGAACAGCAGCCCCTGAATGCTGGACTTCAACGTAACGACGTCCTGGGTCTGCGCAGTGTGGCAGCACTGAAGATGTCTAGATGATAATGCTTTATTCGACTGGGGACTTTAATGAAAAATGGTTTACATAAGTGCACACATAAACATAGTGCTCTGTAGTCTGAAATATTTTACAAATATTTCAAGAACTACAGATAAAATTATACTAAGTTGATCCTAATTGACATTATAATATACAATATTAAATATTTCTTCCTTGGTGTTTTTGCCTGATACCAGATTCTGATGTAAATTCCAAATCGGATATTATCTATGTCTACTCTAGCTTATGTTCAAGCACAAATAAAAGGGCAACAGAAAATTCTAATAATATTCATTGTAGAAAAAACTCTTGTCTCTAATGAAAATTATAAACTCTAGTGCAGATATCTATTACGCTAATTTTTTGATTCAGAAAGAATACATTTTTTTCTTCTTCTATGGTTAAATGTAACTCACTTCTAACGGAACTTCTTGAAAAAGAAGTGTTGACTGAAATTTTATGAATCACATAAAGCTTGAAAATGCTTCAAGAGAGTTTGTTTTTCAGGATTACTCTTAAGTCAGTTTTGAAAGCAAATAATCATCAACTACTGCTATATTGTCCTATGTGCTACATGCACTGATGAGAGTGCATGTGTGTGTGAGTGGTAAGGACATACTTGATCTAAGAAACATGGACCAAGGTCCTAGCTTTGAATATTTAATTAGCTACTATATGATGTTGAACAAATTCTCTTCAATGCTCTGGGTCTCAGTTTCCTTATCTTTACAAATGAAAGAGGTGTTAGACCATAACCTCTCATACTTCTTCTCATTCTAATCCTCTATGAAACAATTCTACTCCCCACTACATCACTTGTGCCTAAGATTATACTTCATCATAGAAAATTACTTGTTATACATAATTGCACTAAATTGTTATCAAGTAAAATCACTTGTTTGAACATCTTAACTCCTCCTTGTAACCATCCTTTTATGATCTTTGGATGGTTGACATCAATATGATAACTGGTGAAGCCCAAACTTCACAAGTTGGGCCAAGTTGTGAAGCTATGTACTCTTAACTACTAGTTTCGAGTTAATTCATGTGCCCAGTGGTGGCCTAAATGTGGCTGAACTGATGTCTCATCCCTTGCTTTCTGAGACATTCTTATCTCTCATCTTGGAGAGACTCCATTGTAATTTCTATTTTTTATCAGTTTCCTTTGATGGCCCTCTCCCCCTGCTGGATACCTCACCATTGGTGGTACCCCGAGGCTAGCTCCTTCCCTTGTGTCTTCTCTCTAGCTTCCAGGAGCACACCCACAGGCATTTCTAACTTACAGCCTTTACTTCCCCATCTCCAGTTCCACAGCCCTCATCCAAGGCATCAGCACCTCTCAAGTACCTGTTTCAATAGCCTCCCAACATGTTCTCTGTTTCCCCTCTTGCTACCCTAGACTCCACTTTCCAAACAGGGGCTAGAGTAATTTTTTAAAAATAGAAATTGGATAGCATAATACCTCTGTTTTAACCCCTCCATTGCCTGCCCACAGCAGTCAGAACAAGTCCTGCCTCCTCTCCCTGCCTGGTTCCCAGCCTCTGCCTGCCTCTCTGCCCACTCTCACCTCCCTATTCCAGCCAGTCCACTTCCACCAGGAATGCCCACCCCCATCTGCCATATCTGCCACAGATGTGCACAAAGCAGACTCCTTCTCCAAGGGGCTTTCTTCAGCCTCAAGATCTGGAGGAGCCACCCAGAAGTCTCTATCACATCACTCTACTTTGAAATCCCTGAAGAGCTCATTAATATCTGAAAAATTTTCAGATCACTAACCCTTGCCCCCATGAGAATATAAGCTCCATTAGGCAGGACATTATCTGCTTGGTTCCTGCTCAAATGCTGGCTCTTTGACCAGTGCCTGACATATAGCAGATGGTCAATAAATGTTTAATAATGATGAGTGGATGAATTTCTGTATTTTTATGTACTAACCCAGTTAAATAAGTCACTTTTATTTCATAATTATAATTTTATAATTCAAAATGTGTTACACAAATTAAATTTTATTTCTAGTGTTTTATATTGTTATTCAAACTTGCTTTAGTCCTAAATTAAGTGCATATATGGGTCTCTATTTTATAACAAATAAAATTTTTTCTAAAAGCAATTATTCAATATGGAAATGATAAAATTTTAGAGACTAGAGGAGAATTTTCTATAGCTATATCTGAGGATTAAAAAACACTTTCTAAACAGATCATAAAATATAAATCACAAAATATTTCCTTGCTTATTGTATTACTGTTAGGCACAGAGACACTTACATGTTTTATCCTCATTATTCTTCATACATTTCAATATATTTGCATTTGCCAGGACATGCCAGCCTGGAAATGCAAAGTAAAGAATGAGTCACTGTAATGGTAACACAATTACATTCTCTAGCTCAGTCTCCAGTAAATACATTGCTAAACTTCCAGCCCTCCATCTCTCTCCCCGAAATTACTGCATTTGAAACAAGGGGTCCTTGGAGTGCCTTGTAATCATTCTTGAGAAGGATGGTCCTTTCTACTTTAGGAAGCCCACCTTCCTTCCTTCTGCTTCTCATGTGCCTCTCCACTGGCCCCATCCCTGTTCCTCCAACTCCATCCCTCTCCCCACACCAATACTGCTGCTCCTCTGGTTGCCTTTGATATGTGTCACTCTCTTTAGCATTACCACTGCCCATGCTGCTCAAAAACTGTGTTGGAAGTAACTCAAAACGGAACCCAGGAGACATCGGCCCATTTTTGAGGCAGGTACCCAGTTCTTCACCTTTCCTCTCTACATCAACACACAGTACAGTCCACCACTCTATAACTCATTTTGCCCTGCTCTTTTCTCTAGCCAAATCTGCACTCTTGGCCATAGATCCTGACTTCAGTCCTCAACACTGATCCCTCAGGCCTGCTCTCCCAGATGCTGAAGCTCAGATTTTCTCTAGCCTCCAGCCCATAGGAGAGGCACTCATTCCCCAGCGACGTCTTAGAATCTAGAACCTGGTTCTCATTTCAGATACACTTTTCTGCCTTAACTTTTACTCTCCCTCAGCAAGCAGACCTCATCTCCTGGTGCTCACAGGTCACAGCAGTGAAGGGGTGGATATTCATTTGTTTGGGTCTTTTTCCCCGTGGGGACCCATCCTGGCGGACTATTCATGATCTCTCCTCCTTGGCTTATCAGACCTTCATGTAAATCACATGCTGGCCCAAACGACCAGTGAACTGCCTCCGAAGGGACCAATACCATAGGGGATGTGGAGCTGAGGACCTCTCTCTAATGCCTCCAGGCTGAAAAATTAATGGCCTGTTTGTTTCTGATGGTGAAATAACAATTACTAATTAGTATGATAAATGTTAATAACAATAAAATCACAAATCACCATTATCCTGCCATGCAGAGATAATAATTAGAACTTTGATGCATTTCCCATTTTTAAAAATATTACGTTATACAATAGTATAATATTCCATCTATAATTCTGTATTTTCTTTTACTTGGATTATGAGTATGTACATATATCATTAAATATTCATCAAAGTGTACAGAATTCCATGGATTTGTCACTGCTATCTAGTCATTCCTCTATAATTGCTTCTAGTTTTTCCCTATTATAATAATTTTATGAGAAGTGTTTACACCTAATACTGTGAATTTCTTATTATTCCTTAGGACTAATTCCCAGAAGTAAAGCTACTGGGTCAAAGAATATAAACATACTGCTAAATTGTTTTCTAGAAAATGATACCAATTTAACTTATTCTAATGAGATAATATATTCTGTATACTCACCAGCTTTGAGTCCTGTTTTTCAAAATCTTTGCAATCTTTGCCAGTGTACAACTGAAAAAGTAGGTTGTTTCAATTTACTTTTCTTCAATTAATTTGACAATTTTCTTCCTCCTTTTGTCTTTTTTTTCAATTGCTGGGTTAGTATTCCTCTTGTTTTGAAGATATTAAGGATGTGACATATTTGCAGCTTCTATCAAAAAGTTAGCCTAAAAAGTGTATGATTTTTATATTCCTATAAAGATAAATTCTATTTAATTACCATCTTCTCTATATTTATGCTCACCTGCCACCATTAGAATATTTATTGAACCACATATCTTGACAAAGTTGAAACTGGAAAAAAGATTCATTTGGAATATTTATTTCCAATGAAATTGGTCTGGGACTAAATTATTTTGTGTGTAACTTCAAAGGCTGAAGCACTTTTTACAGCATTAAAAATACTTAAATACAGCCCTCTGTATAACTGTAACATCTAACTGTTGAAAGACTTTCCTTTCCTTGCTAATGACTTAGAAAGCTGTCTTAATAAGCTTTCTAAGCTTATTAAGCACATGGTTCTCATGAAATCCTATTCTCTTTTTCTCCTATGAAAATCCTTTAAAGCCATGCAATGGTTTTCCCCGTAGTTAAAAATCTTCATGTCTCAGACTGGTAGTAATGACACAAATAGGCCCAAAGAACAAAATCAAAAGCTACCAACACTACAAACCCCTAATGATGTCTAGTGTGGAGCCCCCAGTGTAGCCCAGACATAACCAGCTGCCAAGGAGCAAGCAGGCCTCCATGGCACCCATTGCTAATGCCATGTCCCAGCTGTGCTGTGTCAGGCTTGGTAATGAGCACAGCTGTAGTGCAATGGGGCGTTGCATTTCTTCCTGACATTTTCCCCAAGTGACTTTTTACAGCGTACTTCTATTAATTAACTTCATCTCCTAGCCTGGTGCTGCAAATACTTTCTTATTGCATATTTGAGTGGCACACACCATGGTGAACCATGCTTAGGTTGATTGGCTGTCTCCAAAGTGACAGCACAACAGGAACAAAATAAAATATTCTAAGCAAGACTGCTGATAAAGTTATGAGAACAAGAGAAAACCAACTTGGCATCAAGATGCAGTCATGGAAAGCTTGTCAAGAATGTTAAAATCATTTTCTCCTCCTTCACAAAACACAAGAGAAGGTATGATTGATGGATAGTTCATTAAATAATGCAAGATACATTTTTAAAAAATCATGTGCTTCTACTCAGCATTCTAATCCAAGATAGGGATGACCTTTGGAGTCTAAGTGAAAGGACACAAAATTTAAAACCACAAAAACACTTTGCAGAAAAATATAGAATGAACTGCCAAAAATGTTAATTTAAATGGGTACAAAACAATTAATTTATGATCCAATTAAAAACATCTTTTTGAGCAACTAGTATGTTCATGACACTTCATTAGGTGATTTTTGGGAAGAGTATACAGCTCTAATTATTTGAGTACCTACTATGTGTCAGATACATGTTAATTTTAATTTCCATAAGAATACTGCAAAGTTGACATTATTTGTTTATTTTCAAGATAAGGCAACTGAGGCTCAAATTTAAGTAACTTGTCCAAAATCACATGGTGGCTCTTAAATGCCACATCCCAAACTTGATCTCAAGGTTTTTGTTTTTCTGAGCACTGATTCTTTCTGCTATGTCATAATGCTTCTCAAAAAGGTACAGAAACCAAATAGGACATGATCTCTACCTTAGAGAAGGATTCATACGCATAAGTATCAGTAATAGATTATAGATGGAGCATTCATTGTGTATAGGTTGTGTTCTAAGTAGTTACTGCATCTTAACTCGTTTAACGTATATAAAACTCTATGGAGTAGGGTTGATTATTATGACCATTTTACAGATGAGAAAACTGACATACAGACAGGATGAATAACTTGTTCCAAGTCATACAGCTCATTTATTAATTTCTTAGGGCTGCCATAACAATGTACCACAAACTAGGTGGCTTAAACAGCAACATGTATTCTCTCACAGTTCTGGAGGCTAGAAGTCCAAAACCAGGGTGTCAGCAGGGCCAAGCTTTCTCTGAAAGCTCGGGGGGAAAATCAACACCATATCTTTCTCCAATATTCTGGTATCACCACAATACTTGGCATTCCTCGGCTTGTAGATGCATCATGCCAATTTCTACCTCCAAGTTCATATGGCATGCTCCCTGTGTCTCTTTACATTGTGCATGTCTGCCTCTGAATTTTTTTCTTATAAGGATACGAGCAAGTTTGGAGTAAGAGGCCACCCTACTCCAGTGTGATCTCATCTTAACTAATGACATCTGCAGCAAGCCTATTTCCAAATACTGTCACATTCTGAGTTTTTAGAAGGATGAGGACACTAATCAACCCAGTACAGCTAATAAGTTGTGAAACAGGATTCACTCTGGGACAATCTGGCTCAGAGTCTGTGTTGTTGACCACTCTGCTCTGCATCGCTGACACACAAGAAATGAGTATCAGCAAAAGAGTGATCTGCTCCTGTACTGACAGTGTAAGCACAGTGTTATGGGAGTGCAAGGCAGGTGACATATGAATGGAAATTTGAAAGGTGAATAGGCCACATTAGTAGGTAGATATGGGGAGAAGGGATAATATTCAAGGAGAAAAGAGCTGCTAAGTATATAGTCATGCAAAGGCATGTTGCATTTGGGAAACAGTATAGCCAGAGTGCAATGGAACATGACAGGTAGCAAAGGGGTTTGGGGTGAGCTGGGAAGGGAATGGTGGGTGTCATGGTTAAAAAGAAGACTGGAACCAAATAATGAAAGGCCTTGTGTGCCAGGCTAAGGCTATTGGACTTCGCTTTATAAACCAATAGGAGCCATTGATGAGAAGTGACACAATCACACATGTGCTTTAGTATAATGATTTTGGCAGTAGTGGAGAGGATGCAGGAGACAAGGATACCAGTTAGAAGGCTATGCAAGAGATGTCCTGAGGTTAAATTTGAGAGGTACAACTCAAGATGATAATTTCACTGGCTGTAGAAAGTAAGGGATGAATGAAGTGTACATTAGGTTTGTATACATCAGCGGGCATGCCGCCTTTTTTTTTTTTTAGTGCTTAACCTCAAAGGAAACTAAGTTGACTAATTCATTTGTGACAGATCAAAGATGGCCATGAATTCCCTGAGATGGAGAAGAACTATTCTACTGAAGAGATCATATGGAAAGACTTGGAGATGACATGGAAAGAGAGAGGATCCCACATAAGCCCAGCCTTCCAGCCACTCTCATGAAGGTGTCAGGCTCATGAGCAAAGATCAGCCAACTGTCAGCTGAATTCAACCAGCCGACTTCAGTGGAAAGTCAACTGAAAAACTGCCAAGCTATGCCCTGCCTGAATTCCCAACCCATAAAATTGTGAGTCATAGTAAAATGGCTATTGCTGAAGCCACTACATTTTGGCTTCGGCAACAGTCATTTTACTATGCAAAAGATAGTGCCTATCTTTAATGCAAAAAATGACTAGAGTCTGCCTATATAATAAGGTAGCATGATTCATTTAATCTCTCACATGGAAATTATATAAAGCTAAATGAACAAATATTGATAAGAATGATAGAAACTAAAATAATACAAAATGCACAGTCCTCCTTTGACTAAAATTTAGCAGGGCAGCAAAATTCTAGCAATGATTCAGTAGCATCTGCAGCAAAATTCTACTTACTGATTTTATCATGCAACCCTGAAAAAAAGGAATGAAGACAAACTTGAGGCCACCTCCCCAAATTTAGGCTGGTACAATCACAACAGACCACTCAGTGACTGATTCTGATGTTCTGAGAATTAAATGCTCAGGTTTGTTCTCTCAATAGATTTTAAAAATGGCTGGAGCTGCCTAATATCAGTTATTAGTATCAAGAATCAAACTTCTAAGCTAAATAGAATACTTTTCATTTCAGGAATGATAACAAAGCTTTTCCAGGATTTCTTCCCCCTCACTGCCCTCCCCCATTGCAACCCAGGCACACAGTGAACAGAAATAGAACGTGTCTAGAGAAGCATAAGCCTTCAACTACTTGATTGCTGACCAAACTTGAGTTGCAATTCTGAAGATCAAAGCAAGTTAAAATGCATGTGTAAATTTGTGCAGGCCTGTGGAGCTTCAGTTCATGACTTCATGTCCTCATTAGTTGGCTGCCAACATCACTTAGGCTTGTTGAAATACTGCTTGGGTGATATTGTCAATGGATTGTTTTTGTGATAGAGTGTTCTGTACTGAACTGGCATTTCAAGCCACTCAGGTCAAGAAACCACATTAGTACCTATTTCAAGAGTTTAGACTTACCTTGACAGGATAATAGGTGTATTTCCAGTAACATAGTGACAACTCATCTTGCCTGAATATTTGCCCCTTAAACACTTCACAGTGGAAGTTCAGTCATCAATCAAGTTGTAATGAGTCCCACCATCCAGCAGTTAATGCAAGATTTAAACTTCACATAAAGGGGGTTAAAGATTCATTTTTCATGTGTATATTACCACCAAAAAGAAACAAATAACATTTGTAACCAGAACTTCTAATATTACTGCTGGATGAAAGGCCTGTGCCTCCAATTTTGCCTCCTTTTCTAAACTCAGATGGTTCATGATTCTCCCCTTTCTCTAAATGACAAGGCAAAATGCTAATAGATGAACATCTAATGACAGTATTTCCCATACTCTCCACTGGAATGTACATTAACAACTTAATTACTAAAGTTTTGTCTTTGAAATCATTTCGTGAAAAAAATGCTTATTATTAATAATCCCTTGCTAGCAAATATAAGGCCGATGTTATAAACACAAATGGTGAAAGTCAAGTATGTCAATTCCTACTGAGAGTTAAAACTGGGGTTAATTAAGAGAATATTAAATGAAATGCTCTTAATTTGCCAACTAAAACATATAAAAAATAATGAACAAGTTTGCTGATACCCTTTTTTTTACAGGTAGCAATACAGTCTTAAGACCAAAATACAGAAATGGTTGTGAGTAGAACTTACCATTTTAATTTCTTTTTTTTTTTTTGACTTTTATTTCAAGTTCAGAGGCACATGTGCAGGTTTGTTATACAAGCAAACTCGTGTCATGGGGGTTTATTGTACTGACTATTTCATTATCCAGGTATTAAGCCTAGTACCTATTAGTTATTTTTTCTGATCCTCTCCCTCCTCCCACCCTCCACCCTACTGGTAGGCCCTAGTATTTGTTGTTCCCCTCTATGCATCCATGTGTTCTCATAATTTAGCTTCCACTTACAAGTGAGAACGTGTGATATTTGATTTTCTGTTCATCTGTTAGTTTGCTAAGGATAATAGTCTCCAGCTCCATCCATGTTCCCGCAAAGGACATGATCTCATCCTTTTTTATGGCTGTATGGTATTCCATGGTGTATACATACCACATTTTCTTTTTTTTTTAAATTTTATTATTATTATACTTTAAGTTTTAGGGTACATGTACACAACGTACAGGTTTGTTACATATGTATACATGTGCCATGTTAGTGTGCTGCACCCATTAACTCGTCATTTAGCATTAGGTATATCTCCTAATGCTATCCCTCCCCTCTCCCCGCACCCCACAACAGGCCCCAGTGTGTGATGTTCCCCTTCCTGTGTCCATGTGTTCTCATTGTTCAATTCCCACCTATGAGTGAGAACATGCAGTGTTTGTTTTTTTGTCCTTGTGATAGTTTGCTGAGAATGATGGTTTCCAGCTTCATCCATGTCCCTACAAAGGACATGAACTCATCATTTTTTATGGCTGCATAGTATTCCATGGTGTATATGTGCCACATTTTCTTAATCCAGTCTATCATTGTTGGACATTTGGGTTGGTTCCAAGTCTTTGCTATTGTGAATAATGCCGCAATAAACATACGTGTGCATGTGTCTTTATAGCAGCATGATTTATAATCCTTTGGGTGTATACCCCATAATGGGATGGCTGGGTCAAATGGTATTTCTAGTTCTAGATCCTTGAGGAATCACCACACTGACTTCCACAATGGTTGAACTAGTTTACAGTTCCACCAACAGTGTAAAAGTGTTCCTATTTCTCCACATCCTCTCCAGCATCTGTTGTTTCTTTTTTAATGATCGCCATTCTAACTGGTGTGAGATGGTATCTCATTGTGGTTTTGATTTGCATTTCTCTGATGGCCAGTGATGATGAGCCTTTTTTCATGTGTTTTTTGGCTACATAAATGTCTTCTTTTGAGAAGTGTCTGTTCATATCCTTTGCCCACTTTTTGATGGGGTTGTTTGTTTTTTTATTGTAAATTTGTTTGAGTTCTTTGTAGATTCTGGATATTAGCCCTTTGTCTGATGAGGAGGTTGCAAAAATTTTCTCCCATCCTGTAGGTTGCCTGTTCACTCTGATGGTAGTTTCTTTTGCTGTGCAGAAGCTCTTTAGTTTAATTAGATCCCATTTGTCAATGGCTTTTGTTGCCATTGCTTTTGCTGTTTTAGTCATGAAGTCCTTGCCCATGCCTATGTCCTGAATGGTATTGCCTAGGTTTTCTTCTAGGGTTTTTATGGTTTTAGGTCTAACATTTAAGTCTTTTATCCATCTTGAATTAATTTTTGTATAAGGTGTAAGGAAGGGATCCAGTTTCAGCTTTCTATATATGGCTAGTCAGTTTTCCCAGCACCTTTTATTAAACAGGGAATCCTTTCCCAATTGCTTGTTTTTGTCAGGTTTGTCAAAGATCAGATAGTTGTAGATATGCGGCATTATTTCGGAGGGCTCTGTTCTGTTCCATTGGTCTATATCTCTGTTTTGGTAGCAGTACCATGCTGTTTTGGTTACTGTAGCCTTGTAGTATAGTTTGAAGTCAGGTAGCATGATGCCTCCAGCTTTGTTCTTTTGGCTTAGGATTGACTTGGCGATGCGGGCTCTTTTTTGGTTCCGTATGAACTTTAAAGTAGTTTTTTTCTAATTCTGTGAAGAAAGTCATTGGTAGTTTGATGGGGACGGCATTGAATCTATAAATTACCTTGGGCAGTATGGCCATTTTCACGATATTGATTCTTCCTACCCATGAACATGGAATGTTCTTCCATTTGTTTGTATCCTCTTTTATTTCATTGAGTTGTGGTTTGCAGTTCTCCTTGAAGAGGTCTTTCACATCCCTTGTAAGTTGGATTCCTAGGTATTGTATTCTCTTTGAAGCAATTGTGAATGGGAGTTCACTCATGATTTGGCTCTCTGTCTCTTATTGGTGTATAAGAATGCTTGTGATTTTTGCACATTGATTTTGTATCTTAAGACTTTGCTGAAGTTGCTTATCAGCTTAAGGAGATTTTGGGCTGAGATGCTGGGATTTTCTAGATATACAATCATGTCATCTGCAAACAGGGACAATTTGACTTCCTCTTTTCCTAATTGAATGCCCTTTATTTCCTTCTCCTGCCTGAGTGCCCTGGCCAGAACTTCCAACACTATGTTGAATAGGAGTGGTGAGAGAGGGCATTCTTGTCTTGTGCCAGTTTTCAAAGGGAATGCTTCCAGTTTTTGTCCATTCAGTATGATATTGGCTGTAGGTCTGTCATAGATAGCTCTTATTATTTTGAGATATGTCCCATCAATACCTAATTTATTGAGAGTTTTTAGCATGAAGCGTTGTTGAATTTTTTCAAAGGCCTTTTCTGCATCTATTGAGATAATCATGTGGTTTTTGTCTTTGGTTCTGTTTATATGCTGGATTACGTTTATTGATTTTCATATGTTGAACCAGCCTTGCATCTGAGTGATGAAGTCCACTTGATCATGGTGGATAAGCTTTTTGATGTGCTGCTGGATTCGGTTTGCCAGTATTTTATTGAGGATTTTTGCATCAATGTTCATCAAGGATATTGGTCTAAAATTCTCTTTTTTTGTTGTGTCTCTGCCAGGCTTTGACATACCACATTTTCTTTATCCAGTCTACCATTGGTGGACATTTAGGTTGATTCCATGTCTTTGCTATCATGAATAATGCTGCAGTGAACACATGTATGCATGTGTCTTTATGGTAGAATGATTTATATTCCTTTGGGTATATATCAAGTAATGGGATTGCTGGGTCGAATGGTATTTCTGTTCTTAGGTCTTTGAGGAATTACTACACTGTTTTCCACAATGGTTGAACTAATTTACACTCCTACCATCAGTATACAAGCATTCCTTTTTCTCTGCAACCTCATTAGCACTTGTTTAATTTCTTTTTTAGCATTTTTGGGTTGGGACTTCCTGGCTGATAAAGTTAGGGATGAATTCTAGAACCCTGGATCCAGGACAAATTAATATTCCCATATGGGACCAGTACAAACAAACTTAACTACATCATTATGGCTAAACTGTACTCACCTACCCAATAAAGTTAATTCTTCTTCTAACAGTGATTTGATGAATAAAATGCTCTACCTCTCTGCTAAGTTTAACTTTCAAGAAGTTGGGATAGATTTGAAGCAAGACTGTAAAATCAATTTCTATAATGGTATGGTGAATGGTATTTCCAGTGAGTAGCCATATTTTTACTTTTAAAAAATGTTCATGAAACTTTCTTATGGTTCCTGATAACATGCAGATGCTTCATCTGAAAACAACAAAGAAACAAGAACAACACAAAACCAAAAGCTGTAGACTCCAGACTTTCATATTCCTTTATGCAGTGGGTTGATCCTGTCATTTATAAAAGGGAAAACATGGGCCAGGCGTGGTGGCTCACGCCTGTAATCCCAGCACTTTGGAAGGCCGAGGTGGGCAGATCACGAGGTAGGGAGATCAAGACCAACCTGGCCAACACGGTGAAACCCCGTCTCTACTAATGTCTCTACTAAAATACAGAAAATTAGCTGAGTGTGGTGGCGTGCGCCTGTAGTCCCAGCTACTCAGGAGGCTGAGGCAGAGGAATTGCTTGAACCCAGGAGGCGAATGTTGCAGTGAGCCGAGATCGTGCCACTGCACTCCAGCCTGGTGACAGAATGAGAGTCCATCTCAAAAAAAAAAAAAAAAAAAAAAAAAAAAAAAAAAAAAAAAAGCAAGCAAGCAAGCAAGCAAGCATGCTGGTTGGCTGTTTCCCAGTGCTTCTGCAATGTTTGGGCCAATAGCAGAGGCAATAACATCAGCAGAAAATAAACCAGCAGAAAATCCTTAGGAGGTAAACCACATGCTGATTCAGGCATCACATTTGGCATCATGCATGTGATATTTGGAAAACCCCAAAAAGTAGCCAAAGTTCATGGCAACAATGATGGAAGATGATTTTTTAGCCCATCACAGAAAATAAGATGTAATACTTTGTGTTGTTTTAATATGGCTATATCTTGAATCACTTCCTTACCTTTATAGAGTATATAGAACACTAGACAAATTATCACTGAAAATCCTCTTTGAAATTAGGTAAAATGTAAGTTATAAATAGAATGCAATTTCTTGAAAATTCTGAAGCTATTAGTAAGGATTTTGAGGCAGCCTTATGTAACAATGATGGGCATGTCTTCATTGTTTCATACGTGTCAAGTGCTTCAAACATTATATGCATAATATCTCATTTAAACTTCACAGCATCCCAGTAAGAGACTAAAATCATCGCATTTATCATATGTGGAGACAAAAGGCCAGAGAGGGTAAACAACTTATAGCTGTGGAAAATTAGGCACAGAGCAATTCAATGACTCCCTGGATAAGGTCAGAAAAGTAGTACTCGGCAGAGCCAGTATTTGAATATTGCATTCTACTGCCAGAGGCTGCTCTTTGCTGATGACATATTACCTAGTCTCTTGACATCAGAGTACCTTACTGCAAAGGAAATATGAGGTCAAATTCCAGGTAAGCCATTTAAGCTTGGTGACATTTAAGAAATCATTTACTCACCTTCCTTTCAGTTTCTCAACTACAAATTGGGTATAATAATGCCTTCTTCCTAGGGCTGCTGTGAAGGTTACATGAACACCTAGGACATTGCTTAGGACATAATAGATGCTGACTAATTATCTTAATTTTATTAGATTCGGTGGTGAACATGGTAGACATATTGCTTGTTCTTGAGACCAGGAGTCAGGAAGCTTTTTCTGGAAAAGTCCAGATAGGTCTTGGTTTTGTGTGACATACACTGTCTGTCTCAACTAGTGAACTCTGCCACTGTACCGTGAAAAAAGCCATAGAAACAAGCATGATTATGTGCCACTAAAACTTTATTTTCAGAAATAAGCGAGAGCTGGATTTGGTCCACGAGCTCACCAATCCTGCTTGAGACCATTAAATAAGCAATTGCAATATAATGTAGGCTGGGCCAAATACGGGAATACAGGGTGTTATGGGAACACATGACCAGGACCACCTTACTCTGTGAAGGCTTCTCAGAGCTAGGGACATATGAGGTGAGAATTCAAGTATGTTTAGAAATTAGCAAGGACAGCCAGGTGCCATGGCTCATGCCTGTAATCCCAGCACTTTGGGAGGCCGACGTGGGCGGATCACGAGGTCAGGAGTTCGAGACCAGCCTGGTCAATATGGTGAAACTCCGTCTCTACTAAAAATACAAAAATTAGCTGGGCGTGGTGGCACATGCCTGTAGTCCCAGCTCCTCAGGAGGCTGAGGCAGAAGAATCGCTTAAACCTGGGAGGCAGAGGTTGCAGTGAGCCAAGATCACGC
Organism: Homo sapiens; assembly: GCF_000001405.40. NCBI lineage: Eukaryota > Metazoa > Chordata > Mammalia > Primates > Hominidae > Homo > Homo sapiens. The sequence goes on along the minus strand of NC_000008.11, from coordinate 72,595,384 downwards.
CACTGCACTTCAGCCTGGGTGACAAAGTGAGACTCTGTCTTAAAAAAAAAAAAAAAGAAAGAAAAAAGAAAAAAAGAAATTAGCAAGGATTTCAGGAATTAGCAATCAGAAAGACCCAGAGGCAAGAGACACATGATGCACTTGAGGGCCTCATGAGTGAGTTCAAGGGCTGGAACAGAGTGGGAAATGATGGTGGGCAGGTAGAAGCTTGGGGGTGGGGAGGTGCACAGGAAGGGCTCTGTTAGGGAGTTAGGACTTGTTGCTAATGGCAAGATGTTGATTGTTCTCCATTGTGTGACAGGATCACACTGCAAGGCTGATCTGTAAAATAGCAAGACCCTCAGGAACTTTCAAACTATGAAGAACAATCCTCTTACCCTAAATGGTCCCAGGTTGCTGAGCCTTTTGTTCTTGTACGAATTCTTGTTTTCTGTCTCCTCTGTTGGCTTGGTGTTTTTTAACCATCACCTTTGGCTAATGTGTATACACTAAGGAAGTTTTTCCTAATCTAATTTGGTGCTTTGAATCTGCTATAATATTTAAAACTACTTATTCAAATGCTTTAAAATGGTTTATTATACTGTTTTAAAAAGAGAGTAAGTCAGTTGGCCAAGGAAACTCTTTTATAAGTAACATGTAGGGCAGGGATGAGGGGCATCTGTACTCTTTTACTATGCATGTTTACTGAGTTGGATCTGCTGAGTCAATGATTCTCAGGTATGGAAAAGCGCTGCTGTGTTATGAGCATAGAGCTTGCTGAAATTTTTATAGCTTTTCCACTGACACGTTCATCTAGAAATTTTGGTCATTACCAAAACAAAAGCCAAGGCTACAGCTACCAAAATAAAGTACTCTGCTTCCTTGTTTCTCTAAACATCAAAATATATGTGAAATGTCAACTCCCCAACCCTGACTCCACACATTCCCAACCAAATCTCCAAGACTATTCATCACAAGCTAAAGCAGTTTAACAATTCTTCTACCTGACTATATATTTGACTTATATCTTAGTGATATAAGCATAACTGGACCAGAGAAGGGGGTGGACCATTTGAATAATGCTCAGTGGCAGGGATTGAGGAGGATGAGGGGGGTGCAAATTGCTTTGCTTCTTGTGGTAGAGGTAAATTTTTAACTTTTTGGAAATTGAAAACAACTTCTTAATAATAAGGAACTTGTTTTATCTTCTTATTGCCAGTTTCAAATCCTTTGAAGGCTATCATATATATCAATAGAGCTGAGTCATCTGCAATACTAAGATGAGGTATATAACTAAATTATCATTTCCTCAGGTAGACTCTAAATTCCTTGAGATGGAGGCTAGTTTCACTTATCTTTCTACCCTTACGGTATCTAGCATAATATCTGCTCAATTAATTACTGTTGAGTTAAGTGAAACAATCCTCACAGAAACTTAGTGAAAAGTTTGTATTAACTGACATTCTACACAGAAATTTTCTTTTTCTTTCCATCTGAAAAAAAAATCAAATGTTCTTCCTATAAGCCCAATAAACAGAGCAAAGTCATTTGGCAGACTCTGGTTCGTTCAATATTTAAGTCATTAACCATAACCCAGCAGATTCTATCATTTTAAATGCCATAAAAAATGGCCTTAACAATTGATCACCACAAAATCAATTCAGCCATGGCAGCAGGTTATGGCTCAGGTCAAGAAGGGGTTATTGGAAATTCACTCAGCCCCTGAAGTGGCCCTTACTCCCTGTGGTCCTATATCTGACACAGCCTCCTAAAGGATCACAAAATGAGAAACAGGTCAGAGCCCAGTCTGGATCTCACATCAGTTCTAAACTCTCTCCCTAGAGTTGCCCAGGAATTAAAGCAGAGATAAGAGAGAAAACTAGATACACTACTTTTCTCAATACCGACCTCAGTAGTGACACATTCCGTAAAAGCTAGTCTTTTCTCTCACTGAATTGTCACTTTTCTCTTTAGTTGCTAAAGACCACAGAGCCAGTTTCTTTTGCCTTTTCCATAACCAAAGAGATAATCTAACACATCATAATATGTCTACAGCTCCCAAAACAAAATTCAGTGTACCTTAAGGACTTGAAGAATTTAATAAAAGTCTTTGAATAAGTCTTTTATAGTTTTTTATACTTTAAAATACTTCTCTCCACACAAATATTTAGGGCTCAGTACATCTTTCTAAAACGTAAATATTACACAAACTTTAAAGGATGTAGACAAACAATCATGAATACTAAATATAGTACTCATTATCTTCTAATTTACATTACAACCACTGACTATCAGGCATGCCAAATACTCAATGTAATCAAAGCAAATTTCCTTTTATATGTTGTCTGCTCTTAGGACAACTTTATAAAAGAAGCCTAAAATAAAAGTCTACAAATTTCAAAGTAGCTCAAATTCAAAAAGTCTTTTATTTATTTTTATTCCCTTAGATTCTCTTATAAATGCTTACACCAGACCAACTTGCATTTTCTTTCAGGGAAACAAAACAAAAATAACCTGTATGGATATTTTTGGTTTTGCCAAGGTATGTTACATTAGGTTAGGTTATGCTGCTATAACAAAAACCCCCAAATTTCAGAAGCTTAGTGCACAAAAGTCTCTGATTCTCACTACATATGTCTAGCATGGACCTTCAGGGTGTTCACCTACCAAAGTCACTGAGAAAGCCTGGCTGAAGGCAGATCCATCTCAACGTACACATTCATATTCACCAAGACAAGAAAAAGGAAATGTGTAAATTGCACATTGACTCTTGAAGTGTGTTTCCAGCAGTGGCATCCACTACAATATTCATATTTCACTAGCCAATGTATATCATGTGGCCATGCCTCACATAAAAAATATACTTGTGAGCAGCCCCAAAGACAACATAATTTTAGGTAGACTTTACATGCAGAAATGAACCATTTACACACACACACACACACACACACAGAGTTGATAATTCTAACCCCTTAAATCATTTTTCTGTTTTTTAACCCCAAGTCTTAATAGTTTTCAGCTAACCCCTATGACATGCAGATATATACTGATGTATTGTTTGAGGTATTAGGTTAGGAAAAAGAAAAGCCATTCTTAAATTTAGTATTAATGCAAGCACTTACTCTACTATATTTAACTCCATTTTCTCTCTTTTAGAGTGTAGAGGAAAATCACAAAGTCATTCTTAACCCAAGTACAGATTTCACAATTTCCTTATCATGAAACAGAGAAGATGACTCTCTCTTTCTATGTTTCTATGTATCAAAGCATGAAGCAGATGAATAATCCATTGAATCTTTCAATTTGGCTCACAAGAGCCTAAATATATCCAGTACTTGAGCAGATGGACATAGCATAATTCAATAATAATGTGAATCTCCTAAGCCAAAATGTAAATTTCTTATGATTTAAGTTTTGCATGTATACTTTATGTAGCTAAATATTCATTTCAAGAGATTATCTAGTTTTTAGTTATGTAAACTTATGTAAGATTAGTCTCAGTGATACTATTCTTATAATTCAAAAGGCTAACATTATAAATGAAAAACTTTGCATAAAATAATAGCCAAAATAATCTAAATTTGCTAAACATCCATTGAATGTCTACTAGGACCCATGCTACGTACACAGGATCCAAAGTTGAATGAGATATGACAATATCTTCAATCCATTGGTAATCTGGTCTGATTACCCTTCAGTGAATTTTCTCTATTATGTATAGGAATCTTATCTTTCTTGAATCCTCTCCTTAAAAGCTTGAGAATTCAAGTCTAGTGAACAGGAAAATTTAAGGAGAATAAGGAATGGATCCAGAAATAGAAATATATAACTCTTGACTTTTTCTACACTGATACCTAAACACATCATGAAATTCTATGGTTTTGCCATTAGGATTACTAGAATAAAATTTCACTCCCATAGTAGATAGCAGGTTTAATTTTCTATGACTTGTGAAAGAAGTCCACCTTCTTTTATGCATGCATCAGTTTCCAGCTCAGTCCCAGACTATTAAGGTATATTAGGCTGATTTACATATTTGTAAAGAAATCTTTAAGCTCCAAAACAATTAATATCCTATTGGATGCCCTGAAAGAAGCAGATCAGTGTCTGACTATAGAAATCTGTGCTTATTTGAGTCATCGGATTTGAAGCTACGCAGCGCCTTAAGGGACCTATTAAACCTCCGAATGCCTAAGAAACTAGATCAACTGAATATAAAGTGTCTTAGCATTGGGAAAGTACACTTAGGAGGTACTACAGTTACAAGAGATTTTCAAAGGAGTTAACAAAAAAGAGCTGACTGAACAAAAGGTGTCTCCAAGTGAAAAGGGTAAAGGATTTTTAAAAGTTGAGTGAAATATTTTCATTTTTACCTCTCCCAAGGTGTGACGCATACTTATCAAAGGATTTCCTCTTCCTTTACTTCATTAGTCCTTTGTTAAATGTCAAATTTAAATCAGAACCAAAGGTTTTAGCTACTATAATTAAAAGAAAGCAGTGGCTATGGTAATACTATGCTTAGCTGTGTTTTTAACTTTTGTTTTTGTTTTAACTGGAGTACGTAAGGAGCTACAAATACACATCCTGAGAAATCGAATGAATCCCAGATTTTTTGCTTGTTTGTGACACAGGAAAAGGGAACGTGCCATTTCTAAGACTCAATAGAATGCATTCATCTTGTGTTCATAGCCTATGGTTCACTTTCATTAAGCATTTTAAAAAATGAAATGCTAGTGTTACCTCTTGCAAACTGCAAATAAATTGTTACAAGACATCACAGGAATGATTTGACCCAAATCAACCTAAGGTGTCACCTTATTCTAGTCCTTGCTATACTCATATGAAAGCTCATTATGCTCTGATAGAAATACATTTATGAAAGGATTCACTTTTCACGGGCCATGTGGCACGTATGTCATATGATATGCTGGTTACCATGGTGAAAAATGAGCTTTTCTTTTAAAAGAAGTAACTTTGCCCTTTTGCTCAATGGTATTAGCTCCTTTTTGATTCCAATGTTCTTTCAGAGAGGAGCTAAAAAGAAAAAAAAAGGCAGCAGGGAAATGAGGAGAACAATCTCAGGAAGACACCTCCATTCTTATTTTGTTTTTGGATTTGGTAAAATTCAAAGCAATTACAAAGCAGGTAGATGGTATACATATATATCCTTGCTGTACCACATGATACCTAAAAAGGAAGTAATTCTTAGGTCATTAAATTACTTATGGTTAAAATTGCTTTAAAATTTTGAAGAGTAAAATGACTCTGGGTGTCTACAGCTCCAAATGGAGTTGAACCCAGGAATTCTGAATTTTATCACTTGTAACACCTCCTTTGAAAAGCATCATTTTGTGTGGCCTCTTTTACTATACGTCAGTGAAATTTGTGGATAATCTACACATACACTGTAAAAATCATTATAAGAGCCTAATGAGCTATAATATAAAAGCGATAAAAGGAAAATAAGTTATAGTAAAGTAATCTGTATTTCCAGAATGTAAATGCTCAGGCTAGACCACCAGAATAAAGTGGTCACATGCCTGCCCTTAGTTGTATAATCACCATGAAAGCAGCATCTGCAGATGTATGTTATTAGTGATTCAGACAACATGAGCAGTGTTGCAACTGATACGCAATTTCTCAGAAAGACTGAACATCCCTATAAAATTCAGAGCAAAAGAAAGTACAATCAGTCTTAGATTTACACTTTTGTTGTATTCCTGAAAAATTCAGTGTTTACTAAAACTCAGTTTAAAAATATGTCAACAGAATTAGGTTCTAGGTTTAGATAATTAGACATGCTTTTGAAGTCTATCAGCTCCTCCTTCCGTAGGATGGCTGTAAGCATGGCAGGAAGTAGAGTATCCCAGTCTCCACTACCAAGCACTGATAGTGCCACAGTCATGAGACAATCCCCCTACACACACACTGCTTCCTTATAGAGAGGTGCCACTCCTATTGAGAGGCACTGTTCTAACTCACATACTGAACTAACAGGAGAGCATATGCTGAAAAGATAAATATACACTTTTCTCTTTTTTTTTCTTTTTTTCTTTTTTTAGACTTTTCTCTATACTACAAACTTTGACGCAAAACAGACAATAGACGACACATAGTCCAAAATTACAAATAAATCTTCTAAGTGAATTAAATTAATGCATTTATTTGCCATCATTCATTCTATATGATCTGCAGAAGAAGGAACCTACACTCACACATTCAGGGTCACCTTATACTGTTTTGGTCTATAAGAAATAAACTGTTGGTGTGGGCTCTGGACTGCCTATTCAGCTGAGCTCCCTGTCCTTTCTAGGGTTGCCTGTCCTCTCCTTGTTGGTATGTTTTCCTCCAAGTTTTTGTACTGCTGCCTGAGTGGAGCAGTGTGCACAGTGATTCAGCCCAGAAAATCTGGTATCAGACTATGAGTTCAATCCCTAGCTAAGCCACTGACCAGCTATGTGACTCAGGGCATGTTTCTTTTTTTGTTGCTTTGTTGTTGTTCTTGTTTTTGAGATGGTGTCTGGCTCTGTCACCCAGGCTGGAGTGTAGTGGTGCCATCATAGTTCACAGCAGCCTTGAACTCCTGGGCTCAAGCAATTCTCCCACCTCAGCCTCCAGAGTAGCTAGGACTACAGCCTGGCTAATTTTTAATTTTTTTTTTATTTATTTTTTATTGTAGAGACAGGGTCTCATTATGTTGTCCAGGCTGGTATCAAACTCCTGGCCTCATGCAATCTTCCTGCCTTCGCCTCTCAAAGCACTGGGAATACAGACATAGGCCATCATGCCTGACAGGCCATGTTTCTTAATTTGTCTGTGCCTCTGTTCCCTCACCTGTAAAATGGGATGAGAAAAGTACAAGAAAGCTGGCAGGCGTGGTGGCTTAAGCCTGTAATCTCAGCACTTTGGGAGGCCGAGGTGGGCGGATCACCTGGGGTTGGCGGATCACCTGAGGTCGGCGGATCACCTGAGGTCAGCCTGACCAACATGGAAAAACCCCGTCTCTACTAAAAATACAAAATTAGCCGGCGTGGTGGTGCATGACTGTAATCCCAGCTATTCGAGAGGCTGAGGCAGGAGAATCATTTGAACCTGGGATGGGGAGGATGCGGTGAGCCAAGATCACGCCATTGCACTCCAGCCTGGGCAACAAGTGCAAAACTCTGTCTCAAAAAAAAAAAAAAAAAGAAAAGAAACCCAGAGAGACTCAGAATCCTCAGACTGGAAGAAAACTTAGAAAATAAAAATCAAAAACTCTAAAATGTGCCACTGTAAAAATTTATGAGGAAGACAGAACTTTCAGGTTTAAGAGATGTGACCATGTTTCCAGAGCCAGTTCTGTTCTAGTCCAAAAATCAGGAGAATGGCTTTTCAGTAAATGTGTTCCACAAAAACAGTGCACAAGGAGCATAACATTAACCATTTTTTCTTGAAAGCAAATGGACATTTAAATCCATTCTCTTTCAGATTTTCAATGAATCATTTTATAAAGTTAACTCTGGCTGCAGCTCATGGACACATGCCCAATTATAAAGAAATATTTAACCCTATTTTCTTCATGTAATCTAGATGTAATAACCTTAACAACTTTAACAAATAAAAAGTGACTTAAAATAAAGTTTCATCCTGTTATGGAGTTTACATTTCCTTTTCTTTCCTTTTTTTTCCCATTGAGACAGGGTCTAACTCTTTGGCCCAGGCTGGAGTGCAGTGGTGTGATCATGATGACTCTCAGTATAGCCTCAACCTCCCCAGCTTAAGCAATTCTCCCACCTCAGTCTCCTGAGTAGCTGGACTGCAGGCACAGGACACCATACCCAGCTAATTTTTGTATTTTTCTTATACAGCCCACATTTCACCATGTTGTCCAGGCTGCTCTCAAACTCCTGGGCTCAAAAGATTGATGCTCCTGCCTTGGCCTCCCAAAGTGCTGGGATTAAAGGTGTGAGCCACTGCAGCTGGCCCTACATTTTCAATATTTGGACTAAGACTACATAAGTGTATTTAGATGTAACAAAGTCATTCGCTGCTTCTTTCACTGAGCCACCATCCACAGAGAACCTACCATGCTGTCACTGTGCAAGGAGCTGGAAATCATCAGCTAAGAGCTATACTCCCTGTCTTCAAGAAGCTTTCAGTCTCGGGAGGTGGATAGGCTGACAAGTGGATTGTTATTCAGGGTGAAAAGCCAGGAAACAAAAACAAGGTCCTGAAGCAGCCACGCTTTGATGACCTGTTTCATCAAGTTCACAAAGTCAGGATTTGTTATTTCTGCACTATCCAGTCTATACATACTGAGTAAATTCCAGGAAAAAAATCTCAAGAACTGTTTCTTTCTCGACAGTAATACACTGTAGTATAAAGTCAAACAGAAAATTTAAGATTCATCTTTGCTATCAATAGGCCGTATTTTAATAAAAAATTAAAAGAGGCCAACACCAAGTTTGAGAATACCTAGCAACCTTCGAGAGGATCATATGTTATTCATTCTGTAGAGTTTACTTCCTGATGGCTAGGAAATTGAATAAATGACCCTGGAAGTGACCCAGGTCCTAGGACTGGAGGCAGCTTTTAAAAAATGTGATGTGGTTGGATTGTTGACTATAGTTTGCCTTCTTTTTTCGAGGGTTGTTTACAATGTCTGGACAGCATGGCTGATGGAATTACTCTAAACAGAATTTCAAGTTGAAAATGCCCCTGGTTTTGTTACTTAATCTCTCTAAGCTTTAGTTTTTCATCCTCAAAAGTAAGAATGAGAGCACCCAACTCAGGGGATTATTGTGCAACTGAAATACGATAACATGAAAAGTATTATGGTAGACAATTAATGCTTGTCTGTTTCCCAGACATCATGTCCTTCTGCACTATCAGGCTATCAGGCTTTTCAATTTCCTTAGTTCTTTTCTATTGAGAGATTTTTCTTTTCTCCCCCTCTGTGACTAAGTGCAGGAATTACAAAACGTTGAACACATTTGTTTCAAAAATGATTTCAATTTATAAATTTTGTTGTCTTTTTGGTGAACTAATCCAATCATCTTAGGGCTTTTGTATACAATAGAGAAATTCTAATTTAACTACCACCTGGAACTCTAAAACCTCAACCATAAAAAGTGGCTACAAATGGAATCTTTTCATTCCTCAAAGACAGTTGTTCAAAGTGGAGTTGACACACGGTAATGGGTTTGACACTGGTAACCAGCCTCACAGATTTCCAAGTGGCTAATTTTATAAAAGTTTTTCTTTTCTGCAGTAAGAGGTAGGGAATGGAAATGCTGTAGGAATTCATTCTGGTAAGCCTAAGGCATCTGACAGTGTGGACATTTTTTCTTCTCCACACGGAAAAACATCACCATGTCATTTTTTAGGAATGCTGGTGGATTAATAAGAGTCTACTTAGAGTGAAAGAGAACATAAGAAATAGCAATTAATTTTTGGAAGTGATCTGACTAGACAGAAATACCATACCCTTTTAAATGTTTCAAACTACTGTCTTTCAAACTGCCAGTTTCCTTTTTCTTTTGAAAATTTAGATTTTTAAAATATCAAATGACAAATTCAAACAAATGTCAGTTGCCATTATTTGGCCGAAATAAGGTATTTTCCAAATCTGCTCAGAAAAACACCAATAGATCTCTGTTACAAAACAATCATATTTTGTCATAATCACTCATATGAAAAATCTTAGGTTTTTCTCTTTTTTCCATCATTGATATAACTTCTGTCTTTAAAGAAAACATCCGTTGGGCATCACGGCTCATGCCTGTAATCCCAACACTTTGGGAGGCTGAAGCAGGAGGATCACTTGAGGCCAGGAGTTCAAGACCAGCCTGAGTAACATAGAGAGACCCTGTCTCTAGAAAAAGAAATAAAGAAAACATTGAAAAACTAAGCATTTATTGATCATGTGATTAATGCTTTGCAACACATTCTAAACACTAATTTAAGCATCAGAAAGAGAGAGAAGATAAAACAAGAAAATAAAACAAGCCTTCAAGGGGTTTAAGCTCTAACTGAGGAAATGAACATATATTCACAGAAAATGCAGTCAAGAAGAAACAAATAAATGCATGGGAGTTTCTTAAAAGAAAATTGTATCAACTTATATATTATGAAGAATTCCTAGGGAATTCCTGGCAATTCCTCTGTGTTAGTTGGGAATTGTGTACAAAACTTATTGCATCTCTTGTCTATAGTCTGCCACTTGGCCAGGGACAGAAACTAACAATAACAACAAAAAAAAACCCCTTATTTAGTGCTCCCTATTTGCCAGGTATTATGCTAAGCCATGTCACAAGTATTAAATCATTCAGTCTTCAGCAAGACTCCATGGGACAGAAATCATGACCACCCTACCTTAGAGACGAGCAGCCTATGGCACGAGAGGTGGGTACATCCCTGGCAGAGTTCCAGAGCCATATTCAGCAAGGTGAGGCTCCAGAGGCCTCCTCCAAACGACTTCAACCTCTTTGTGATAATCTGGACTAGGGAGCCAAGAGAGATGGGAGAGATGGGGAGAGAGAAAGGAGCAAGGGTTTCTGATTTTTTTTTTCTTTATCTTTAGCAACTCCAAATCTGGGCTCCAGATGGTAGTTTTTGTTAAGAGCAAATAACCACAAAGCAAATACCAAAGGGTTTTCCATGATTTTAAGCATTATAAATGTATAAGACCATGCCTTTTTCATTCAATAGAAATAATATTTTACCTGTTTACTAAATCAAAATTACAAAGATATTTGCTGTGGTTTTCCTGATACATAGTCCATGTTCCTGCAAGGGCACGGGTGGGCAGGTGAGAGTGGTTTATGTTATCATTGGGTGAATCTTGGTCTAAATTTAAAAAATATATATTTTTCACTTCCTATAAATCATGACTGCTATTTATAGTTACGGAAGTAGTAAAAGGTAAGAGTTTTTTTTTAATAGTTTTTTTCTCTGTTCCATAATCAAACAAAAACAAAAAGGACTGCATCCTTCATTTAAATGGAACCAGCCCTGAGGAGCAGAGGTGAGAAAAGGCCATTAGGAGTGTCAGCTCTGAGCCTCACTCCCAGGTTCCAGAGCCAAACAGGGTCCAGGGCATTTCCGAGACTTTAACTCTCCCCGCTTTCATGGACTCCCTCATATTTATCTTTGTCTGGCTTTGCCAGTTTATATGTGTGTCTATATGTTGTCTCTGATTGACTTTTTTAAAAAATCCTCTTTAAATGCCCTTAAAAAAGGTATCTAGATCTGTCTGTGCCTGGTTTTACTTTTGTCTAAATGTTCTTTTCCTCTAAACGGTTTTTTTCTGTTTTTTTTTGTTTTGTTTTGTTTTGTTTTGACAGCACTAAACAACGATAATTATGAGGATTGCTGAAAACAAACCTACCACCACTGGCATTCTTAAACTGGTTTAACTTTAAAAAGAGGTATTTTTGGTTTTGGGTTTGGGTTTTGTTTGTTTTTTTTTTTTTTTTTGATATTCTATTGTTGTAACTGTTGAAATCTAAATTATGAAAGATAGCATTTTTTTCCTCATAATTAAAAAAAATGGGTATCTAGGACAATGTACCCATAAACCCCAGTTTTAAGATGAAAGACATGAAATGTAAAAATATTTTAGATGATTTTTCATTGAATAAATAAATGCACTCATTCTATATAGTTTTACCATTTAATGGGATTCAGTCTCTCTCCAGAATTATTACAAAAGTCTCTGGGTTCATCTTTTCAATTTTCTATTTTCAATGCAGGAGCTGAGGGGAGCCTGGTGCCATGTGAGTCAGATCACTACTGCTCAGAACTCGCCCAGGCTTCCCATGATCTTTCAGGGAAAAAAGGCAAAAGCCCTGCTAAGAGGCTACACAGCCCTACAGGTTGAAGTGTGTTTCCACTTCAGTGCACAAATAATTAACAGCAGAACTGAAAATAATGTGACAGGTTTTTTTTTGTTTTTTTTTTGCCACAGAATTTTGAAAGAATTAATTTATAATGCAATCTACTAAAAACTCAAAAACAGATATCATGTGGAAGGTTTAAACAAGTGGATACAATTTTACTCTTAGCAATTATCTCATTAAAATTCTTAGAAGATGTATATAAGGCTTAAAGATTTCTAATGCACAAAATAACTCTTCAAACAATAATTTTATGAATTATTAAATTGAAACAAGTCAGAATTTAAAAGGGACTGATTAAGGCTCTTTCTGAAAAGCTAAATTAGAGAATCCCATCAGTAAGGTCTGAAATACCAGAATAATATTTGAATTGAACATTCTTTATCACCAAGTAGCATGCTGATAAAAAGCATTTTTGAAAGAAAAAGGAATGCCTAATATTTATCTAAATCCTGAACTTAGGAGTTTCCAAAAATTTTTTTTTTTGGATTACAATGAAAGTCAGTTCCCCTAAGCTGATACCATTATTATTCTTTTACGTTTTGTAGTAAAAATAAAGATTCTTGATTTCCCCTTTTCACATTACATCATTAAGAATGTATTTTTTCAAAGCCGGGCATGGTGGCTCATGCCTGTAATCCCAGCATTTTGGGAAGCCTACATGGCAGGCTTGCTTGAGGCCAGGAGTTTGAGACCAGGCTGGCAACATCCCAAGACCTCGTCTCTACAAAAAAAATAATTTTTTAAAAATTAGTTGGGTGTGGTGGTGCTCATCTATAGTCCCAGCTACTCAGGAGGCTGAGGCAGGAGAATTGCTTGAGCCCAGGAGTTTGAGGTTACGGTGAGCTATGATGGCATCACTGCACTGTAGCCTGAGGAAAAGAGCAAGATCTTGTCTCTAAAATCGTACAAGTTTTAAAAAGAACTTATTTGTTTCAGACTATCTTCAAATCCTCACAAAAAGACATTATCTTGGAGGTCTATCTTGATTCAAACTCTGGACTTATCCACATTTGTAACTTCTCCTGAGTACTGGGATAGCTCTGAGGGACAGCTCCCCAGGTGGCCTTGTACCAACACAGACTCCCCTCTTTCTTGCTTGTAGCTCTCTAGAATAACTGTAGAATGTGCTGGAAGTGCAACATCTGAGACAGGGACTGGCCAGAACAGCCAGGGCTCTATTCCAATCTCCCGTAGAAATGGGATGCCTTCCAATGCTTTAGTTCCTTAAAGCCCTGAACAGGATGCCTTCTGCGGTCCCTCTGCTGCAGTGCAAGTAGGGCACATGCAGATAAGATTCCATCTGCCCTGGGCAGCTTTCCTGAGCCTTGGGGGATGCAGCTTGCCCTGACTTCTAGGTTTCTATTGTCCCTTGCTGCCTATCTGTAAGTAATAAGTCTGCTTCATGTAACTTATATGTGGGGGTGTTGTGTCTCATTAGACTCAGACGAGTTGGTAACCAATGCACTTGAACCTGCTTCACAAACTCCACTTGGGGCCTAGGACCTGTAAAGGGTGGATGGTTGAACCTAAATAAATGATCTATCCATCTGCCATCAGTGGTAGAAGGGCTGCCTATCCCCTGGGGGTCAGATCAAGCTCTCCTCCACACAAAGGCTACACTTTACCTATGACAAGAGTTCCCAGAGCCCACAGTTCCGATAACCAAATGAGCAACCCTAGCAAAGCAAAGCAAAGCATCTGCAAACCTGCCTGTCAGAAGCACCTGATTCCTTTCTTTGCATAAACCCTGTAGCATACAGAGCAGCCTACACTGCTATTTTAGATGGAGAGTTTATACAATGTAAAAATGTAAAACCCACATCTGTGGTTCTCAGCCTATATCGAAAACGTACAACCATTTAAAACCAGGAAGACATCCGGCTTTCTTAAACTGTTGAAAACAAACCCAGCATTACTCAGGTCTAATCGCTAGAATCAGATACCCAACCTCTATCTATGCTATTTAGTCCTCACAGAGAAATAGGAATACTGTGAAACATTTAGTTTTGCTGTTATTCCTGCCCTCCTGTGTCATTTGGAGGCACAGTCAGTGTTCTTTATGTGTCAGGAGCTATGCTAGGTATCAGTAATTGAAGATAAGAAACAGTTCGGATTCTTCAAGTGCTGCAACCTAGCTGAGCAGTTGAACACAGCACAGTCAAAATCATGAGATTACAAGGATGAAGAGAGAACTAGGGGAAAACAGGTTAGAGAGAGAATCAGGCAGACCTCACAGGAGCGTGACATATGAGCTGAGACAGAAAGAAGGACAGAGAAGGAAGTAGTGGTGGCCATAGGTGTGTGACTGTGCCAGGTACGTGCAGGTGTGGCTGCAGCTCGTATATGAGGCACATTTGAGCAAACTAGAAAAAAATGATGTTCCTTCTGGATGGATATAGCCATGTGGAAATACTCTGTTGAGTTCAGTGAACAACCTGTCTAGACCAGAGCCCTGTCTTCAGGAATGGTTGGTAGTCTGCAACACCTGGGGCACTGTGTTTGAGAAGTGGTAAGGCATATGGTTATATAGGAGGGTTGTGAGGGATCATAAATGCAATGCTAAGGAGTTTGGACTAGATCGCAGGCAGTGGGGAATCATTGCAGTTTTTAATTCAGGAGAGGCCCACAAGAAAGACATATTTTAATTCTGTTGGCTAAATGGAGAATGGATTAGAATTGAGGGGGGAGGCCAGGAATGAAATGAAAATGCCCAGTTCATGACTTACAACAATAGTCCAAGCATGAGATGATCAAGGTCTAGATCATAGCAGTGCATCCAGTGGTCCTAACTCAGCAGAAAAGGAATAGGATAAGTAAAGGTAAGAGAACTTGCAGTAGGGACAAAATGTAGATTTAGTGGGAAATGGAAGGGGGCTCCATGGTTGTAAATAGGATTCAAGATCCCAAAGACAGACTAGTTTTATCCATATGCTAACAGAGTTCAAAATGTGAAATATTTAGGGTGGAATTTATGATTCACTGTTGTCCTGTGGGATAGCAAGTGGGTACGGTATAAGATGATTTTAAGTGATAAACCAAAGCCTTCAGTGAATATCAAGAAGTGATGAGACTATTGGACAATGATAGGAAAGGAATGAAAAATACAACTAGAAATACAACTGTGAGAAAGCCAGGCTGTGGCTAGACTGGGTATGAATATCAATATGGCATTAGTGTGGGGCACTCGACACACATTTGATATTTCTGGGTTTCAACTCTCTAATCTCTGTAATACAATTAATGATGTGTTCTCATAGGATTGATATAAAGTAGTGGTTGGCAAACTATGGCCTGTGGGCTAAATTCACCTGCTGTCAAGCTTTATAGGAACCCAGCTACTTCCATTGGTTTCCATAGTGCCCGTGGTTGCTTTCTCACCACAGCAGCAGAGCTGAGTAGTTGCAACAGAAACCTTATGGCCCATGGAGCAGAAAATAGTGACTCTCTGGCCCTTTACAGAAAAAGTTGTGGAGTCAACATCAAAAAATCAACAAGCTTAGTGTATGGCACATAGCAGACACTCAATATAAATATAAATCTCTCCCCTCCTGCTGTTTTGAGAAAGTCATATTAATTACTGAGGGGATGTGAGAAAGTGCTTTTCACTTCATGACCCTGGACTGCAGGGAACAAGTTCCTTTTTTTCCCCCAGGCTGGGAAGGAAGCAGTATTGTTAGAAAAGAATTGGTCTCAGAATAAGAAGATAGAGTAAGGGTTGCAAGAACACTCTGATGATACTAGGAAGTTGTATCCATACCTCACAGAGGACTTTGAAAACAGAAGCTAATACAGCCTTGTGAAAGCATCTGTTACTGTATTAGGTATCAATTAACAGTCTCTTTCCCCAGAGTTAAATTTCTGCTCAAATAGAAGGCTCTGGGGATAGTGACGCTATTACGAGAAAGCGGAAAGTAAAACCAGCTTAACTTGCACAGCCCGAGTTCACGGATTAAGGGAGGGCAGAGGGTGGGTGAAGAATCAGCTTCTCTCAAAGGGAGAGGAAAAGTATTATGTAGATGCTGATTTTAAAGAGTTGACAAGAGAAAATTCTACTTGTCTTAGCCTCCGATGCTTTAGGATAAAGAAAAACACACACCTTCTTTATAGATTAAAGTCCAAATGAAATCCATTTGGAGGGTGAGCTAGCTTCTTCAATTCGGACTCTTACAATATTCAATTTTGTGAAAATTTAAGTAGACATCAACTCATGAAAAGATTTACAACCAGATGAAAAATAAATATGAAGTCTGATTGGAGCCAAAGAAATTCAGTAGAAAATCAACAGTTGTTCAGTAAAGTATAACCCAAACAGTCCTAGGTGAGGAGGGCTCTCGAGGGGCTCAGTGGGGCTCTGAGCGGAGCAGGCAGTGGGAAAGGAGCTAAGAAGCAGGTATGTAGAGATTAACAGAACCTCCTCAGGCAGAAATAAAATCATGGCTGAAGGAAGAAAGAAAGACATTTCCTTATTTGGGCCGTGCTGCAATGAAAATGACATCTGGATATTTTCCAAGTTCCCATTGGTGGCAATATGGTGCCTTAGAGAACCTCTTCTGCACAGAAAGTACACCATGAGGCCACCCACCCCACCACAGCCAGGTCAGATAAACAGCAAAGGCCTGTCATCTGATCTGCAGGCTCACTTATTTTTAAATGTATGCATCAAAGTGCAACGGGGGAGAAAAGCTCATCAAAGCTTTGGCATTTGCCAAACAACTCAACCAAGATGGGTAAACAAAGAATCCAAAACAGTTTTTTTTCAATTATAATATTTATTTCTTTAAGTTCATAAATACACTTGGTATATTGTTAAAATCTGCCTATCAAAACAGTTTACTGCCTTAAAGTTTCCTCAGGCTAATCTGTATATAAAACTATTTTTAAAAGGTGTGTGTGACTAGCACTTGGTAAATATTCCATGTAATTTAAAATATTTATAATGGCTCATGAGTTAGAGTCTGAAAAATAAAGACCAGGGCTTAAAACCGATTTTTTTTGCTTTGAATTTTAATATTACTCATAATGCAATTACTTTACTTATATAACACAATAATTTTCACACCTGCAGAATTCTTTTAAGAAATATAATAAAGTGTGTTAGCTTTTTTACATAGCAAATATGAAATGGCAAATTCATGTTATCCTAGATTCTGGCCTACTATTTCATATTTTCACTGCATACATAGTTCATTCCATCTGTAGTATGGCAAATTATCACCTTTTAGAAAGTAAGATTACCTACTAACGTTTTTCTGCCTCTAAACTAAAAAATGCACTGAAATAGAACAGGTTGTTCACCACAGGGATATTATGTAGGGCCTCTGCTAGTTTCCCAAAGTAAATTTCCATTGTATTAATGAAATACATCTAATTTATCACAGCATGACTCTGTTGCTGTTCTTCAGAGTGTCATTGATTTATTTTTTAATTCAACCAAATCCTGAATAAAACTACATGCTCTGACATGAATGTACAAGTTAGATGGTCCTATACAAAATGTTGCCAGATACAAATGCAATTCTAAGATACAAACTAAAATGTGAGTGTTTTAAAAAATCTATATTTGAAGAATCCATTTGGTTAAGAACTTAACTTAGATGACAGCAGATAGGACAACTGCCCTTCAGTATTCCAAATTGAGCTCTAGATAGTATATTGATTAAAGCTAAAACGATGACTTGAAGGCTAGGGTTCTTCCTCTCCTGTGCAAATATCCTGAGGTTGGTTGCAGTGACGGATGCTGCAACCAAGCAAACCCATCTGGAGCTGCACCGGGTTGACTTGGCTGTCCTTGGCACTGCTGTGGCGTAGGCTTGAAGTAGCTATTTAAAGTGGCATCCAACACTTGGGGTTGCATCACGAGTGACCCAATGAGAGAGAAGTTAAAGCGTGAAATCTAGGGTGGCAATGACCTCTAGCATCCTGAAACAAAATCTTGGGAGACTAATAAAAATATTTCTTCCTTCTATTCTTGGACCATGAGAGCACTTCCTATGAATTTTCATGCCCTATCAGGTTATCACAAAAGTTTGTATTCTGAATGGGCTGACTGTCTTATTTGGATGACAAAGTTGCATCTATTCTAAATTGCCAAATACATGCTGAAGTTCATTGCTTTTTCTGCAGGTGGGTTCTTTACAATAGAACATACTCTAATGAAGAGGTGGTAGTATATATAAGTAACATCTCTCTCTCTCTATCTCTTTCTCACACACACACACACATACACACACACATACACATGGGCACATACAACAGACTTTGTCTGGGTACTACTCAGTGAGGGCTGCTGCTACTGGCTTCAGCCACCGTAGACACAGAAACTTGACAACAAACATCAGTTGGGTTCAGGTACCTGTCCTTAGTAATATCCAGAGGAATTCTTTTACTTAAAACTTTGTAAAGACATTAAAGGAGATGATTTAAGTGGAAAAATACATTCATTTTATGCATTAGTTAAGGAGTTAACTTAAACCTAGATATATGCACAGCCAAAAATAAATACTATATGGGTGCAAAGTCTGATATAGTTCTGATGTTAGTTCCTAGTATCTCCTGGAAAAACTTTGGAGAGATGAAAGCAAATGTCTTCCTCTTCCATTTTTCTATTTCCTGCCTCTGTGCCAGTTACTACATGTCTCTGTTCCTCATTCATCCATAAATAGCTGTTTTATTCTAGCTTCATTATGTTTGTGTTAAGCCTGACATAGCAATTGCAGAGAAGTCTCAGTCTCTTCAAGTCCTTCAATGTTTTGCTTATAAACTCTAAAGTGATCATCAACTACGGTCCAGGGGACACTGGGAAAGGAGGTTAAGAACTGGATGTTGCTGATAGATACAGTAAGTGCAACTTGCCTCTAGTGCCCACATACTATGTGGAACAGCTTGCTGGTGTGGCTTGGGGTCACCTTCATCTTTCTCTGTCCTGCTGCAGAGGGAGAAAGGATTTTAATGACCAAACAGGCTGTTAGTGGGCAAAAATAATTCCCAAGCTTACTGTTATCTTGAAAAGCTTCTACCACCTCTTAGAATACTGAGATAGAATATTTTCAATGAGGGATGTGTCCTGAGAGCTTTATAAATCTCTACTATGCCACATAATCTCCCTTATAAATACAGTAACATATAACGAGAGCTAGTGCAAATAACAATGAGGAGAAAGAAACAAATTGGGTAAAGTGGACAGCATTGGGTGACCAGCTAAGCTCGCTCACTCTCAAAGTCACTAGCTCCTACACACCAAGCTTACATTATACATAATGCAGATTTATGCCTCAGGGCATTACAGATTACCGAATGCCATGGAACTCTGGGGTTATTCTCAAATAGAATCAAACCACCAATGCTAAGTCAATGCTCAAAACAAAAATAACTATTGTAATCTATGGTTATTTCATGAATTGTACTTTAGCAGCTGTTTTGTTTTTTCCTATACCATGTTTTGATCACAATTCTTTTCAAATCAATTTTGTTAATTATGATAAAGGAAAACACCTTCCTTTATCCGAATGATCAATTCAAATGGGTAAACAGACAGAGTCTCTCTGTTAGGAATGGCTCTTACTTGGGATCAGTTAGCAATGTCAGGTAGGGCCAGAAAGGCAAGTTTTAAAAATTATGAACATATTTTGTTTATGAATTTCAAACTCTTTAAAAAAATTATAGGATTGTCATTTGTTAATTAAAATAATTTGAAACATTTTGTGGAAAACAAAGCATTCTCTAGAGTTACTGTGATGATTTAAAATACATTTCTTCTAGTTCTATTTTTTGCTCTAAATTATTTTAAATTTTACTTGAATAATTAGTGTATGTATTTCTAGTGGACTGCCTCTTTTGTGGAACAAACTAGAAATGTAGAGGAATTAAAAATTAATAAAGTGCCCAAAGCTGTTTAGTTTCCATGACTCAATTTATGCAATATTTAGCATTCAATAAAATATTCAATATTTTATATGTGATATGTAATATTCAATAAAACTGACTAATTCAACATTCCTTAACAAACAATCCTATAGGTTCTCTGGGAAGAGAATATTTTGTTTCATATTATATGCCAAATATGTCTATAAAATATAAAAGTGGATAAGAAAAAGGAAAATATCAGTGGCATTCAAAATAGCATCTTCTCATGTTTAGTCCCAGTATAACTAACTGCTGTTTCTATACCATATCACAATCACAATGCTAATCAATAGTATGAGTATTAATATATCAATATATACCATATATATCAATGTACCAATCCTTATGAGATTCTCTGTAACATGCTGGGGCGGGGGTGGGGGAGAAGCTAAATAGTAACAATATAAATAAACATGGATAAGACAATGAGCGACCATCTCCTTGAGGAATCAAAGCAATTTCATGTATTTATCAGATGAACTTTCAGATTGAAGTTCCACTACAGAACATAAATGCTTAAAAGTAAACAATATGAGGTGGCTACCTGAAGTCCAGGTATATGCCCCATGGGAAATTTCCTATAAACTCTTAGCATTTGGAAAGTATTTGTTTGTCTTCTTCCTTTTAATGATAGATAAAACTCAGATAAGAACACCTAATCAAAAACATTATTCAAACCCTTCTAGAGTCTTCCAAAGTGGACAGTGTTAAATATTGCAACCTTCCTTCATAACACTTACGCTTACCTAAAAGAGTAGATCATTTATTTTACAAACTTTCTCACTTGAAACAAAGAAAACAAACCCACTAATAATCAAAGCAGTGTATATAAATTTTCAAAGCCAGAATATGTAAATACTGTTGATGTACTCTATTTTGTGATAACACTAAGTAATATAGAAAGAACTCCTTTTTCAACGTTGAAAATGATAATTAATGTATTTATTGAGGTTTAAAAAATAAAGCTTGAAAAGAATCTGATGTTTTTTAATATTAATGAAAACTAATGATTTTTCTAAAGAGATGGAAAAACTGCTTGGAAATTAAGACTGGCCCTCTTCAGATGCAACCAAGAAGCAAAGAGGAACCAAAAAGTGCATGATTCTTGGGTAATTTACTTTTTCAAAAATATTCACTTGCAAGGTGATGACTTAGTTCATTGTGCAAACTGGGACACTTTGAAGAGTAAAAAGAGATGCTATTAATAATTAGACTGGGACAAAAGGCATTAGCCAGGACTATCTCCATAACCTATGGCACCCTAGGTCACAATGGGATGTGGGGGTATGAGCTTTTTATGACTTCCTCTTCTTTTCTTGCCCTTCTCTCCCATGATCAAACATGGCCAACTGAACAGAGTGATGAGTTTTCAGGGCAGCCTTTCCGGGAAAGCAGAGAAGCATGGATCTAGAAATAGGATCGCTGCAGCTAAAAAACAGAATATTTGAGACATTTAAACCAAAACCCAATGGTGTTTTCTATTTTAACTGTTTTATTTTCTTATGCCTTATTTCTTTCAGGTTTATGACCTGTTAGTCTTCATGGATGATACATTTTAAGAAAGGAAAAAGCAAATCTTCAAGCTAAACCTCTGCAGATTGGCCAAGTTCTTTTAAACTCTATCATCTCCTGTTAACATCTCTGAACTCTTATGCTATGTTGTTGGAAGAATACAAACTGCTTAATCTGTATAGATGGGATGCAGAGAGGAAAGGGAAAGAAAGGAAAATGGTAAACCACCAATACAGAAACAGTGTGACTGGCATGCTAATTAGCCCACTGCAGATAAGAATGAGAGTACTGCGTAGTACACAGAGGTGCCTCAATGTAGAGGAGAGCACTGCACGGTACACAGAGGGGCCTCAATGTAGAGGAGAGCACTGCATGGTACACAGAGGGGCCTCAATGTAGAGGATAGCACTGCACAGTACACAGAGGGGCCTCAATGTAGAGAAGAGCACTGCACGGTACACAGAGGGGCCTCAATGTAGAGGATAGCACTGCGTGGTACACAGAGGGGCCTCAATGTAGAGGATAGCACTGCACGGCACACAGAGGGGCCTCAATGTAGAGGACAGCACTGCACGGTACACAGAAGGGCCTCAGTGTAGAGGGGTTTCTGTGTTGTTCACACTGCATCACTTCATGTTTTTGGCTCATTTGTGGTTTTAATGCCTATTGTTATATTTTCTTACCACTAAGATGGTCATCAGAAAGCTAAACAAAGAGTGTTATACAGCCCAAGCTGTTCACTTGGCTGGATCTCCTTACAAGCATAACATGTGAAAGTTCTGTTCTCGAACTGAAAGAAAATCATTTATGATTCTGTTCCAATGCCTTCCTTCATTTTTCATTCAAAGCATTAGAATAACTGATCCATATACTATAAATAGAATGAGAATGTTATGTATTTTTTCTTCCTTGATAAGTACACAGGAGTTTTTGTTTTATTTTATTTTTACTATTTCTGTGGCTTGAAAGGCCTACACTCTAATTTAGTTGGAATAGGGGACTAGTTCTCAAGGAGTTATCAACAGGGCAACCAAACAGGTACCAGCATCTAAGAAACTCATAATTTGGACCCCTGGCTCTGTGGAGAGCTGAATTTCCAAGCACAGACTGCCCATCTGCCACCAGCAGCTCCCGACTTGATCCAAGGATGGCTAAGGTCTCCTGGCCCTTCAGGTGCCGCGCTGCACCATGCCAACGACAATGGACCTGTGGATATATGCAGGGAGTAAGATGCAGGCAGGAAACGCGGTCATCTCCTTCCCTCCGTCCCATGCATTTTCAAGGGGAGAAAACTGGTGCTAGTGAGAAGGAATAAAAAAACTTACGTAGTACCATCATTTGTGGCCCTCTGAACTCCATTTTTCAATTTAACTTAATTTTTCTCCTTAGGGAGCTATTGATGAAAAAAAGTGTTGAAATCTTTCTCTAGTCAATCATTCCCCCCTTTTCTTAAGCTAAAATAAAACCAGTTCCCGAGGGGCACAAGATATGCCTGTGTGTGTGTGTGTCTGTGTGTGTCTGTGTGAGAGAGAGAGAGAGACGCAGAGAGAGCCTGAGAGAGAGAGGAGGAGCGGGGAGAGGAGTGGGGGAAAGGGAGGGAGGAAGTGGTGGCTACAGATTAATGAGGAAATTGAGGAGTGGGAAGCAGATCCTAAACCATGCCCCACTTGACCTGTATGCTTTCCTGAAAAAGCTGCTGGGTGCTCTCACTGTTTGGTTCAGATGAATAGAAATGTGTTTCCGCAGATTTTGCCTCCTGCTGTTCTTATCCAATAAGGGCTGCTTATGTTCTAGCTTCCTGACCTGACACCTGAGATCAGCCTGTTGTCTGGCACTGCCCGGCACACACATCCACTTATGCTCTTAGAGTGAAGCTTCCCTCAGAGGACTCAGCCATGAACCCAGGTAGCTGGATTTGCCAGAAACCCAGCTGATTTCCTTTGTTCTTGACCTTCTTAAGACATCCAAAGTGTGGGCCCTGTGTGGTACTGATGAGTCTAGTTTCTTTCAGATCTCAGGTGGGCTGTGCTACTTCCTGATTGTTGTTTCATCCCGAAGGCTGAGAATATTGCCTGCCACAAGACCCATTTCTCAAATATGCTTTTAAACACCTCTTAGACTGAAGTCACTATATGCAATATTTACAGGGAACTAGCAACTGCAGTTTCTTTGGGAAGAGGCCAAGGAAAAGAGAGAAAAATGTTTCCAGTCCAGAGACTGACTAAATTGCCCTGGCCTGGAAGAGGTACAGGATCAAGTCAAATTCCAATTTTTGCCCAGGAAACTGGCAGCAAGTTGAGCCCTTTTCTTCCCCTTGCACGATCCTATGAAAGGCACACTAAAACCAGCAATTCCTGTCATGGTAACCCAGGGAGTTGTTCCAGTCATGCCCTGGGCCCATTCAGCTGAGCCACACATTCACAAACCATCTCAAATTTAAACTGTGTAAATTATTTCTATATGAGGACATGTACAGTCACCAAGATACACTGACAAGAGTCAAAAATGACAGAGTCCATCATACAGATAAAAACCTGTGTCCCATTGCCAAATCACACCATATCCCAGAGAACTAAGAAATAAGTATTTCTATTAGCCCTGTCATTATATTTTGAATAGTACGATTATATTTCATGGTTTTCTATATATGTGCAAAAATGTTAATTTGTTAAATGTAATATTTCAGATATACCACATTGTTAAATGCTGTTTTGGCTTTTTTTCAGTTATTAATACACCAGAACATCCAAGTAAGAGAAGTGGCTCCTTATGTGACACCAGGGAACATGTTCCATAGGAGTTGACTTGCTATTGTCAGAGAAATACCCAAAGACAAAAATAATAGGTCAGTTGACCTTGTAATAATTTTTTATATCATAGGGGATGCATATAGCATGGGCTGAACAATTATTACTTAACTGATTATTGAGTATTTTATTTCGTATCAAAGAATAGATATTTTAGCCTGTTATGCAACACCTGACAGAGAGGGTCAAGTTTTTCCTTCCATACTAGGGATCTGGCAAATAATCTTAATAGCTTTTATACTTTCTTCATTACAGGAATCTATTAAGTTATATAAAAACCAAAAGAGAAAAACACAAGAATATTTTCAATAATATGAAATCCCAGTTAAAGATAAGAGAATATTTTAAGAATATTTTTAAATTCTGGAAAGAATGGAGTGTCTAAGTATCTACTTTAATGTGTGTGGCACACATACAGCATATGTTCAACTAAATTACCATACTGAATAAGCAAAAACTGGAAAGGCAAGGTCCACAGATATTCTGCTTTAAAGCTATCTTACCTCCTCAGCAAGTGAGGACAAACACGAAGGTTCCAAGCATTCCTACACAAGGGCTTCACAACATAGAAAATAGCCTGATGTACCCATACAATAAAGTAAATAGTGAGGGCTAGAATATCACCCTACTGCAGCTGTAATATTACTACTTTTTCTTAAGTTGTGAAAATACTATCCACACATACCTGAATTACCACTTCTCTCACCAAGAATTACTCCAGAAAGAAAAAAAAAACAAGTTATAGGACTCGTGAAGAGTACAGGAAAAGGTAGTGGTTTATATAAGACATCACACAGAGCCATTTTAAAAGGCTCTAAACCTCAGACAAATGAACAATAATTTCACTAAACTACTATATAATCAAATGTAAATACTTTCCATAATATTTCACTATTCAAACAGAGAGGAAAATGTAGACATATAAATAAACATAAATCCTGTATGGAAATTTAGTAAAGAATCAACTTATAGTGAAGATTTACTTAGCTTGATTAACAATGTGGAAACAAATATACCATTTATAACTACATAAAATTTTCCAAAACCAATGTCTTTGGCTGCTGGGTAGAGTTTGTAGGCAGATTTCTTGTCTATACATACAGACATAATTTGAAGCAAATTTAAATAATATGTTGGATACATATGTAAAGGTCTATTGTAATGAGCCATGGTCATAGTTACCCTCTTAGAGATTAAGAAATGGCTATTTCTTCTAAAATTTATAGATTAAATGAACTCCCTTGTGTAGGAAATCAGGTTGTTGACCTTATTCTATCCTTGTGAGAAATTCTTCAGGAAAATATACATATATCTTAAATTTTTTCTGTAACAATACTTAACTTTAGATATAGGTTAATAATGTCATTATGAACAAATAAACCACAGTAACCTTTCAAACTTTCTTTGACTTAATTGCTTTATTTTTATACAGTTGGCTAACTTTCTCTGGAAATTTTGATGGAACAATGATTTATTCCTTAGTTGCCTAAAGGCTTGAAAGAATTCATTTAACACCCACAATACTCACTTAAATCCAGAATCTGTCTCATTCATTTTCAAAATTCACTCCATATTTTTTGTAGTAACTCGAGTATGTACCTAAACACTTGATATTGGAAAGAGCAGTAGCCTTTCTCAATCAAAACCCACAAATGCGGCACATTTTTTTTTTACAAGTAAAATGAAAGTAAACAACTTATCCAAAACTACAAAAAAACCTAAAGTCTTCTATTTCCCACGAAATATGCATTTCTTTGTTATACACAACAGATATCATTTTATTTCACTTAGGTGCATGTCCTGGCTGGAAAGTAAAATGCCTTTAGAAGTCAACCAGAAAGAAAATCAAACAAAAAGCAGTTTTATGATCATTTGCATTAGCTGATTATTTATGTGCTATAGATTATCATGTAGAATCTTAATTTCCAGTCAAAAATCTCATATGTTCTATTATAAATTCTGAAATCATTACTGTTCACGAGAGAAGATTTTAGAAAAAAACAGTAAATCAAAAGAATTCATGTGATGACACACTCTTCCCTTCTCCATTCCGTACTCCATTTTCATCCATTACGCACAAAATGTCAATACTATACTCCTGCAGCTAAAGATGGCTTTTTGAATTTTTACTTATCATTCATACTGCAATACAGAACTAAATATATGGAGTGAAAATTGGTTTGAGCTAACCTTGGAAGCTCTAGATAAAATTAGACAAACAGAATCACGCAGTTGAATTACATACTGGAATTAGTGACAAAAAATTTACTGTGAGATTTAGATATATGCAGTCACAATGGGAAAATATGAATTTACCTTCATTTTAAGCAAATATTTTATGAACTCTGATACATGGTAATACCTCAATTGTAAAAAAAAAAAAAATTAACAGTCAGAAACATGCACTGTTAAAGGAGGCCTCAAAAGGGGAGGTACGTGGATGCATTCTGGACATTGACTCATTTTTTACACAGCTTAATAAAACAGTCCCTTCCTCATGTGTGTGGCACTTGCCCTCTGAGCTACCTGGGGCCATGCTCTCCTCTCTTTCCTTGAACCTCTACATAGCCAGGCTAAGAGGTACCTCCTCTCCTTCCAGTGACAGTACCTTCCCTTTGTTCAAGATGGAGCTCAGGCCCTCGTCTTCCACAAGACTCAGTGCCTGATGGGTCTGAGCTAGGGCTTTCTCCTCAACCTCCAAGTCACCAACCTGATACAGCGCCAGGAAAACCAGGACTCTCTTTCATCCTCTGTTGCCCAGGCCCCTTTCTACAGACAATAATATTTATGAAAGGGTAATGCCATTTTATGTCATTAACCAGGATGAATGACTATATTGGACTAAATAAGATTTTGGAAAGGATTTTTTCACTGTCTGTGTAGCCACACTTTGTTCTGTGTTACCAAAACAGTAAAAAAACTTATACTCTCTAGAACGTAGGTAGCATCTTTTCTGACCACACACAGGCAAGCAATACTATGGGTTTCATACCTTTGCAGCCACTGATGAGTTAGGTTTCTCCAGCAAGTCCCACAGTTTCTTCCTTTTATCAGGGCAGCAGGTATTATCAAACTCTTCTCCTTCTCGCTCTCGCATAGTCTCTGCCTCTCGCCTCAGTTCTTCGTTCATTTGTTCTTTTTTTTGATGATATCTGGCCTGGCAGCAGGACTCCAAGTAGATCTCATCAATCCCCCAGTAATCAAGTTCTTGGCCAAACGAAAGTGCACACATTTCTTCCATCATATGGAGTTTCCCGGTCCGGTAGAAATTTAAAATGGAAGTGAAGGCTCCTGGATGCCGATCAAAGAAATACTCGTTCTCGTTCAGATTATAGTCGTCGCACACTTCCAGGAGGCTCTCGTGTGTGTTGCAGTCTCGAAGCTTCCCCAGGCGCGTCCTGGGCAGCCTGTCCAGCGTTCTCCACAGGACTTCGTGGTTGAGGCCCCCCACATTGATCTTAACTCTCCTGGAGCATGTTTTGCTCCGGATAATGTCCACAGGCTCTGGAGGAAGGGAAAGTGTCGACCTTGAAGTCTTCCTGTTTAAGCCCGGGGGAGCCTTTTCTGCCATTTTGAACTGGACAAAGCCGCAGAGCCAGGGTCCTTAAAAAATGAGGTCAACTGAAGCAATATCCCTCTGGGGCAGGCATTTCCACTGACAAAGCTGGAAGAAAGCAACAATCACTTGGTTACTTGCATTTTCCTAGAGTGTTTCTGTTCTATGGGATCATTCTGTTGTAACAACCAGAAGGTACAATATTAACGACTGAATACAACCAGAAGGTACAATATTAATGTCTACATACTTTTGGAGATATGTGTCTTTGCTTTAGGATATAGGAAAGGGGGAAAAGACAACACAGTGTACTACACAGAAGAGGTTGTGTATTCAGTGATATATACCTATAGGCTGGCAACTCCCAAACATGTCATGAGAGACCTCTTTCTCAAGCTGCAGACTAAAAGATCCATGTGCTTGATCAACTCTTTTTTTTGAGACAGGTCTCTCTCTGTGACACAGGCTGGAATGCAGTGGCACCATCACAGCTCACTGCAGCCTTGATCTCTTGGGCTCAGATGATCCTCCCACCTCAGCCTCCCAGGTACCTGGGACGTGCCACCACACCTGGCTAATTCTTATATTTTTTGTAGAGATGGGGTTTCTCCATGTTGCCCAGGCTGGTCTTGACCTCCCAGGTGCAAGCAATCCACCTGCCTCAGCGTTCCAAAGTACTGGGATTACAGGGTGAGCCGCTGCACCTCACCCTGATCAACTCCTTCTAGATAAACCACAGACATCTTAAGCTAAACTGACCAAGGTGCCAGTCTGCCCAACCAGTTCCTGATCATTCTCCGTCTCAGATTTACGGCCTTCCCCACCCCATACCCGGTCACCCTCACTAAAACTCTGTGAAATCCTGATCCATCCATCCACATCCAAATAAGCACCAAGTCTTACCAATTATAGCTCCTAACCATTGCTTAAGGCCTCCAACACTGTTACCAAGGTTCCCATTACCACAATGCTGGTTCGAACTCTCAGCATCACTTACTTGCCTAGACTTCTTTTCCTTTCTTTCTTTTTTTTTTTTTTTGAAATAGAGTCTCACTCTGTAGCCCAGGCACAATCTCAGCTCACTGCACAATCTCAGCTCACTGCAACTTCTGCCTCCTGGGCTCAAGTGATCCTCTCACCTCAGCTTTCCAAGAAGCTAGGACTACAGGCTTGCACCACCATGCCTGGCTAATTTTTGTATTTTTTTTTTTTTTTAGAGACAGGGTCTCACTATATTTCCCAGGCTGGTCTGAAATTCCCAAGCTTAAGCAATCCGCTGGCCTTGGCCTCCCAAAGTGCTGGGATTACAGGCATGAGCCACCGTGCCCAGCCCTTGCCTACACTTCTAATACAGCCTTAAATTGGATCCCAAACTCGGGTTTTGTCCACCTAAAAACCATTCTCCACATAGCTATTAGAATGCTCTGCTAAGATACAAATTTGACCTTGCCACTCACATGCTTTAAACTCTGCAAAATGTCATCATTATTGGAATTTTATTTTTGAAGTCCTACCAGCACTTTAAAGCCTAGTTAGTCCTAGTAGGTCCAGCCTCCTCTCCACCTTCACTTTTCATCTTTCCCTCATCATTATATTCCAGCAATCCCAGACTGCACACAACATTCCCTTTTAAGCTCCTGGCCTTTCCATACTGTGTTCTAGAAACATTTTTCTTGTTTCCTTCTGACTAACTAGTACTTGCTTTTCAAGACTCAGCTCAAACCTCACCTTCTAGAGAAAGCTCTCCATAATATTCCCACTCTGGGATCATGAAACTTCCACCATACCATTGCAACATACCTTTCCCATAGTATGCTGGGAACTCTTGAGGACAAAGAACATCTTCTCTATTATTACATTCCTATCACCAAGCACAGTGCTTATACAGTGTAGGAGTTTAATAAATATTAAACAGTTAATCCATTCTTTAATTATTTTCCACAAGAGAGCTGACCAAAGTAATATATGTGGCCAGAAAATGCAAAAATGGAGTTATTGGGATCAATTATTTAAAATGCATCTGTGTTTATATGTTATGTGTATATAATATACATCAGAATGTGTGTGTGTGTTGTGTGTGTGTGTGTTGTGTGTGTGTGTGTGTATTCTGCTTCATGGCTCTTTTCTCCTGTGTGCTAATTCTTTAAAGCATTACTGCTCTTGTAGTCCCTCTTATTGATCTGTTATTCTGATCTGCAGCAGCAAGCATCTTCTTAGTTATCTTCCCCTATAATGTTTTTGCAGAAAATCATAGAGCTTCAAGCAATTCATCCAAAATACCACCTTTAATGTAAAACATCATGTTTCACACAGTCAACAGCTTATACTAAAGGGAAAAACTATTAGATTTAAGAGGTCCTTATAATTAGAACTCTCTTCTAGGATACACACCAATTTCTGCATGCCTCTGGCTTCTCCATCCTGCAAGTTAAATTTATTTATTGTTCTGGAGGCGAAAGATTCTCTTGAATGAATATAAGTCAAGGTAATGAAAAATGTAGATGGACTATATAAGAAGTACTTTAAATGTGGCCAATAAATATACTTGCAGCAGGAGTTTTTTCAACTACAGAGTTACAGGAATATTTTAAGCATATATATATATATACACACACATTTTCATCACACATGACAAAAATGCTTATCTTTACAAAAATAAGAAGCTCTATAATGATTGACTAAGCAACTTAAATTCTCTGGGCTTGAATTTTCTAATCTACAAAATAAAGATAATAGTATCTATTTCATGTACAGTATTATGATGATTAGATGAGATTGTTTATGTGAAATGCTCATTACAAGGAGGTATATCTGAATAGAGTAAGAATATTCATATTTCTCCCTAAAGTTTGGTTTCCAAGCACTGAAAGAAAACTAAGATTAAAGCTATATTAGTGTCTATTAAATAAATTCTAGCTTTTAAGTTTTCTCTTTACATATATGTTCTGTCTTTCCCATTGAATTATAAAGGCAGGCCTGGGATTGTGGGTCCAAACTTTTCTCTACTGAGCCCTCAACCCACACATAACAGGCACCTCATAGCATCTGTCTTTGGCGCCACTGATGTTCATGTCCTAACTTTATATTCAGGTGATGATGAACTATATATATATGTTAAAAATTGAGCAACACTATCAGGATGAGGCAAAAACAGCCGAAAATATTAGAGATGGGGCAATTCCAGTGATGAATCTGAATGTGGAGTCTCCACTAAATAACTTAGTTGTAGGTACACTGTCATCTCAACAATCAATCATTGAATTGTCCACATAAATAAACTGTGAGCTGATGCATTTTGAATTTGAATACAAATAAAAATAAAATAAATGTACTCTTTTTGAACACCATGTTTTATACTAACATGAAGAAGATAAATCATTTTTTAACTGATTATAATATCAGATAAGAGGTTTTCCAGGAAGAGAACTAACTCCAGAATGACACAAATATCTCATTTGTTTGTGGCAAAGGCATGGTGTGACTTGCTATTTTGAAAAAGTCATTAAAAAAGGAAATGCTATATCATAGTCACTGGTAAGGTCACTATTTGTCTTAAATAATTTCATGTGCATTGTGTATAGTGAATTTTCCTTTTTGTAGGGTGTGTGTCTCAAGAGAAGAGAGGTCATAAGACTTAACTTTCAAAATATCTTCTTCACTGATCAAGAACTTTCTATTATAAGAGATCCAGTGTTGATTACAAGTCCCGCAATAAAAGACAAACTGAAATTCACTGCCCTTTCTTCATAGCAGGGATAGAGAAAATAAGGGTGAGAAAATTCCCTGTTGATTTGATTTTCTTAAGACTTAAAAATGATCTGCTCTTATTATTGTTACCATGGTTAAAAGATTTTTTATTCTCCCTGGGCAGAATGTTCTGCTTGTTACCTGATAAAGAGTGCAGGCTCAAAGGCATAAGTTCCTGAGCAGTTGAAGAGCTGTGAATAGTGTTCCAAAAGTTAATCAAGCCTTCAGAATAAGCCCATAATAAATGCAAGCTGCAGAGCATCAGCCCTGATCAACAGTGCCTTTGAAACTCACTGAGCCTTTCTGCTTGCCTGCTTGCCATTTTCCCTTCTATCTCTTCTTCTGTGGGTTTCTCTTACCTTCCCCCATGTCTGTTAACGCCACATGCTACCTTTCTTCCTTTGCTTTCCCTCCTTTCCTGTCCTGATCCCTAGATCTTTCTATCCTCACAGCCACTTAAACAAGCACAAAACCAAACTATTTTTTCAGACTTGTACATACTTCATTAAGTTTTCTGTAGCCAATCTTAATACAGAGGCCTCCTAGGCTGAAAATACCTTCCAGGAGATAAAAACATCTAAACAGAATTGGAGGTCATATGGGATCATAAAAGGGGCTCTGTCTGAGGCTCAGAACACCTCAGTTCCACATTGCCCTCAATTGCTAATTGAACTTTAATTTCTTCACCCATTAAGTGGTAGCATGTCCATGCCTAAAATTCTTTTATTTCCTATGACACTTAATTTTTTCCTTTCACTGTGATTCTGCCCCTTTTACCTCCCTATGCCCTCTAATCATCATCCTTACTTTAGATAGAAATAAACTTATCATGCTGCCTCACAGTCAATGAAACATTTTCCATGTCTAGTTTCTTGAGGAAGGTGGTTTTCATATTTCATTTCAAGAACCTTTACTTTAATATTTATCATGGCTTGAAACAAACTACCTTCAGAACATCATGAATGTTTCATTTATTTTATTTAGTGTTTAGTTGATTTTCTATCCTTTAACTTTTCATTTTAAATTTATGTCCTTTTCTGCCATATTAATTTTACTTCTAGCAATGAATCTGCCAGTTCCCTGTGGGTAAGGGTATTGTGTTTTACGACCCTAGAGTGTTCACAAAATTTATGTTTTTAATTTCCGTAATTAAAGTGTATATGATGTTACATTTTCTCACATATACTTTCATAAGTGAATTTATGTCTATCATAATGATTTTTTACCCCATAAAATTAATCATGTAGTTCAATTCTGTATATAAGTATAATATAAAATGCAATAATTCAATGCTTAAATTGTGTAGATATTATGCAACTGTGAATAATTTATAAACATAAATTGTCAGTATAAACAGAAGGCACTTTTGTTTGAGACCTCAGAACACATGTTTTCATGTCAAGGGCAAAATCTTAGTGAATATTTTCTCTTGGCAGTTTGTTGATTTATTTCACCTCATTCAATCAATTGAAAGTTAAGCTTGCTACAATCAGTCAGCCAGTGCAAATGTACTCACCATCCCTTCATTAGTCTTCTAGAGAAAAAAAAGCAGCTCTGTAAACAATAAACAACAACAAACATTTGAGTTTTGCACGGCTGCACCCTGCTTCTACAGCAGCGTGGCATTATGCTGCCACCCGCTCAGGGCCAAAACTGACAAAACACAACTTTCTCATCATGGCATCCTAATTACAGCTTGAGGCTCCAGGTTTGGAGGGGGAGTGGGGTTTACTGTAGTCTCAAAAATACTAGCATTATGTCATACACTTGACACTTCCTTCATGGAGCCAGGCAGGGTAAGTCACATGTGCGATCCTGTGAAGATAAAAAGCAAACCTTTCTAAAGTTGTAAGTGATGTTTAACATTTCATTTTTGTGTTGCTAGAACATGCTGAGCAGGCACTGCAAACAAACATCTCTGAGACCTTTAAGTCTGTATCACTCCATATATAGCTCTAAGGCATTTTCTTAAATTTTCATGTATAGCATTAAGTAGTAAGTTTCTGTAGAAACTATGTTTCAAAGAACCACAAGATGATTTGCAGTAGATATCTGAAGAGAAAGGCATTGTAACTGTTAGCTGAAGATTAAATCAATGTATATTTTTTAATTCTATTGTTGGCTGCAATTTTTGAAAGCACCTCCAAAATTTACTAATAAAAACCAATAACATTATAGCAAGTTAAAAACTATCATTCATATATATATATATGTATATATATATCCATATATATATATATCCATATATATATATACATATATATATAGATATAGATATATATATATATATATATATATATATATATATATAAAAGTAAGATCCTGGAAATTTTCAGCTATTCTAAGAAATTCAACAAACCTGCAACCTGCATTACTTTAGAACCTGGTCAGAAATATTTAATAAATTTCATACTGCTTATTATTTTTTAACACATAAAGTTCTAGAAATAACTGAAATGCTGTCCTTGTCCTTAGAAAGTGGAAGGTGACATTTCTTTTCTGCAATCAAAGGCTGCTAATATCATTTTGTTCCTCAAATTTAGCACAACTATATACTCCTTAGTTTAAAAAAAAAATAGAACTTTTTTGGGAGGCCAAGGTGGGCAGATTATGAGGTCAAGAGATCGAGACCATCCTGGCCAAAGTGGTGAAACCCCATCTCTACAAAAAATACAAAAATTATCTGGGAGTGGTGGCGCACACCTGTAGTCCCAGCTACTCAGGAGGCTGAGGCAGGAGAATTGCCAGAACCTGGGAGGCAGAGGTTGCAATGAGCCGAGATTGTGCCACTGCACTCCAGCCTAGTGACAGAGCAAGACTCTGTGTCAAAAAAAAAAAAAAATTAGAACTTTTATCCTTGATATAACCGATGCTTTTTTTAGATACACTCAGATGAAATCCTAAAAGCTTTCCTTTCAGTGGTCAAAGGAAGCATTGTGTTGCAATAAGAAGGGGACAAGACAAGTAATAAATAGGATATGTAATATGAGCATCTTTCAATATCATAGCTGTCTCCAAATTTATAAATAAACTATTTTGTTTAGACCCCGTAATATAATTTTTCTTCATCAGGATAATTATTTAAAGAACTAGGCCCTAAACATATATGTTCACTAAAATTACAGAATAAAACACCAGATTTGTCTTTAGAAAAATGGCCTTTTATAAAACATAGCTGACCAGAAAAAAAACCTTTCTTTATTCTGAAAAATATAATATTGAATTATAAAGCATCTTGGACCTTTTATAGACTACAAGGTATAGTGATGGCTGGAAATTTTTAGTGTGCTTCAAAATGCACACAGAAAAGGGCTCAAATTTTTATATCTACATTCAGCTATTCAGCTAGTGGGTTTTCTATTATGACGGTAAAAGTGCCCTTTACACTGGCGTCCAAGGTGTGTCCTTCTAAATCTTTCCTTTTGCAAGTCTTCCCAGACTCACAGTGTAATGAAGGCGATAAAGATGAAAGGTGATGAAAAAAATAAGGAAGGCAACCAACAGAGAATCTACTGGTACTACTGAAAGGAATGGGAAACAATAGGCCACCCAGTAATACCCTGAAAAATAAATCACGAACTTCAGTCACTACCTGATTCCACGTGAATGACACAATCCACTATTTGGGTGAATGACATAAGTTTTACATTCCATTTGGATGTTTGGCATAAGATAGACTTAGCCTCTATGAAACCAAATATGGAAATGTTCATGAAATTTGGATAGGATTTGAACAATTTGTTAGGTCTCTTCCAGTAAAAATTAACTTTTAGATCATGTAATGATTGGTCTGAAATGTTTAGTAGTAATATTCATGTACAAGGACTATTTCTCAGTTGGGCTCTGTCTCATAGTAAAAATACACTTTAAATTATCATTCTGTTCCTATTTCTCCATAATCAAACACATTATATGTAATGTGCCTGTATTAAAAGCTCAAATACTGAGAAGTCTCTATGACTTAAGTATTATGTCATGCTTTATATACCTCCATGTTTTGAGACTAAAATCACAGAATGTGGCAGAAGGGAGTTTAGATATGATCTGGTCCAATTTCTTTATTTACATCTTTTAAAACTGAGGTCGCATGACTTGTCTGACCTCAGTTGATAGTTGCTGAGCTTGAACTAGAACCCAGATCTCTAGTTGTCTATACACAAGTCTCTTTCCATTAAATTCCACCTCACTATTATTTGCTTTTCACCTGCTAGTCAGAGTTTTAAAAAACTTTTCTTAATCTATCCCCATGTCAAAATACTAATCCAAACTACACGAAGTTGAGATGAGTTATCTCCTACATATTGTTTGTTTCAGTAAAGGGTAATGGCCGCAGTCAGGCAAATTAATTGTGTTCTTGCAAAGAGAGGTGCACTTCCTAGAACTGCTCTTTCCTTATCTCTGCTTCCCTAGCACTGGTTTTGATGATAACAACCTCCTTCTGCCCTGGATCTCTCCAGTCAGTTCTGCACACTACAGCCCAAACCCCAGCAGGTCAGGGCCATCTCTTGTAGAAGATGCTCTCACGGCTTCCTGGCTCTCAGGATTAAGACACAACACTGGCCGGGTGCGGTGGCTCACACCTGTAATCCCAGCACTTTGGGAGGCTGAGGCAGGTGGATTGCCTGAGCTCAAGAGTTCAAGATCAGCCTGGGAAACACGGTGAAACCCTGTCTCTACTAAAAATACAAAAATTAGCCGGGTGTAGTAGCGCGCACCTGTAATCCCAGCTACTCAGGAGGCTGAGGCAGGAGAATCACTTGAACCAGGTAGCAGAGGTTGCAATGAGCCCAGATCACATCACTGCACTCCATCCTGGGGAACAGAATGGGACTCCATCTCCAAAAAAATAAATAATAAAATAAAATAAAATAAAACAAAATAAAATAAAGAAAGAAAAAGACACAACACTATACAAAGACTTCAAGGTCTATATTTCACTTACTTCTGTGCTTCTACATGTCCCTTGCTGCTCCCCCCAGCCCTCTCTCTCTCTCTGTTGTAGATCCTTCTTTCATTTCTTTAATGTGCTATTCTCCCTCTGCCACAGGGAACAGGGAATTTGTACTTCTTTTCTTTCCCCTCTTCACCTTCAGATATCAACTCAAGGATCACATATTATTGTCCCCTGACCTCCCTGACGATCCAATAATCCTCTTATTGTAAGAACTTTAGAACCAGGTACCTTTCATCTGTAGTAGCATTTGTCACAACATCAATTATATATTTGTTGGGATGATTACTTTGATTATTTGATAAATATCCATCTTCTTCACTAGATTCTAAGTTCCTGGAGGGCAGGGATCACATCTGATCTTATTCATCATTGTGCCCCAAGTGACGTGCAATAAATATTAGTTAACTAAAAAAGTAAATAATCGGGTTTAATTAAGTCCTTCCTTATTTATTTAAAATTCAGTTTCCTCTCATTCCCACTACCTCGTGTTACCTGCCATTCCCCAAATTCAATATGACTTCCACGTATGAAATATTCTTTTCCGCATTTTCCACCTAATAAACTTTTACTCATTATTCAAGATCAAGGATAAGTACCTTCCCGGAAAGAATTAATCTTTCCTGCTTCAGTGGGTTAGAAGTTTGTTTTATCTATTATAGTGCTTTTCTCATTATAACTATTCAATTAGAATCCTTTCTTATCATGCAGCAAATATGTATGAACCCCTACACTGCTTGAGGCACAGTCTCTGACATGGTGCAGCTTACATTCTCATGGAGGTAGACAGATATTCTACAAGCATGCAAGCAACTAACTACAATTCTAATAAAAGCAACAACAGCAAAGTACAAGTTGCCATGAGGGCTTAAACCTGGAAACATCTACTTGACGTGAGTTATTTAAAATTGACAAACATCTCTGTATCCATATCTGCATCTTTTGTACCTAGCTAGTGTGTCACCTAATATGAATGCTTAACACATGTTGTGGACTACCCCCAAAAAATGAATGAATAAGTAATAAATTTCAAAGCACTAGTATCTTGTTTGTTTTGTTAGATATTTTGGTTAGCATAATACCAGTTATTATGGATAGCCTCCAATTTATTTAGAAGTTCTGATGACCTTTATTTACCAACTTTAACAAGGCCTGTGTTAAAAGTAAGAGCTGGATTTCCTGGAACTAGGTAGAGAACAACTTGTACATATATAAAACTCTCTAGTAATTATTGTTGCCCAACAATGGACAGTGCTACCTCAAAAAACTACCAGGCCCACTGTGTGGCAGTGTTCATGAAGACCCAGGTGATCACCTGTCAGGTATGCACAAGAGAAGCTCCTAGTCTGTGGATATTGACAAGATGGACCTCAAGTGCTTTCTGTCACTGCAATTTTATGGTTCTGTGAGATTTCTGTGTGATTACTACTCATCTACATCTTCCACTGGACTGATGAGGAATAGGAAAAAGTTGACTTTGGTAAATTTCTTAAGTTTAAAATGTTGTACAAGTGAATTTTCCATTTCTCAGCTTATACTCACTCACTCCTAGGAAAGATATTTCATGTCCTAGGAAAGATATTTCATGTCTGGTGAGGGTCT
Source organism: Homo sapiens (assembly GCF_000001405.40). Classification (NCBI taxonomy): domain Eukaryota; kingdom Metazoa; phylum Chordata; class Mammalia; order Primates; family Hominidae; genus Homo; species Homo sapiens. Next base: position 72,557,449 of record NC_000008.11, on the reverse strand, counting down.
CTTCAATATGATGGCATTTTCACCAATTAAAAAATAAAGAAAAGTAAAAGAAAAGAATGCATCAAAGTTAGTGAGTCCATTTTTTTCTTCAAAATATAAGCTTATACCTGTTAACAATTGTCTCTTCTCTTTCCGAATAATAGAATGTATTTCCATGTGAAGCCTCAAAGGAATAATCCTACAATAATGGAAATACATGCTGGGCAGTAATTGGGATGGGAAAATCATGTGAGGGGAAAGGTGAGAGTCTTTCCTGATGTATTCTAATCACAATACACAGGTGGCCATGTACTATGGTCTGAATGCTTGCATCCCATCAGAATTCCTATGTTGAAATCCTGCTTCCCAAGTTGATGGTATTAAGAGGTGGGACCTTTTGGGAGTGATTAGGTCATGAGAGCAGGGCCCTCATGAATGGGATTAGTGTCTATAGAACAGGCCCCAGACAGCTGCCTGTGTCCTTGACACAGCAAGAAGACATGATCTTTAAGGAAGAGGCCCTCACCAGACACTAAATCTGCCAGCACCTTGATCTTGAACTTCCTATCCTCCAGAACTGTGAGAAATAAATTTCTGCTGTTCATAAGTTACCTCGTCTAAGATATCCTGTAGTAATAGTCCCAAAGGACTAAGATACCATACCATCAGCCTCAAAGCAGACCGCTTCCAAAATTCACCTTGGGACACTCGGCATAGCATCAACTGGAGGTCCCTTTTTGTTCTTTCCCTGACTACTCATACTCAAAACACTGTGTTCTAGATTCAAGCATGAAAAACAAGTTTCTAACAAATCAATGGTATTATGGAATTAATTTAAAAATTGGACTTTGTCAAAATCGATTGTATGCTTGATTTTTTTCTATTCATTATTAGATATTATTTCTATTCATTATTAGATAGAAAAGGGAAGAGTTTCCCTGAACTATAGACACCACCATCTCCACATTCCTTGGGAATAATGTTTTCCATCCATCCTTATCATTAGTGAGGATCATTAAACAGCATTTTTTAACCATCCATCTGTGTATGGCACTTTATAAATATTCTTTCCCTCTCCCCTGCCCCCTCTCTCAACCTACCATGTGTCTCTGTTGTGTAAAACACTAGGAAGCTACAACAATAATAAATAATTAATGGTAAAAAAGTAAGGCAGATGGGCAAGATGACCTACTAGCATCTATGAATCTTAGGATGTTAAATTTACTGCTAGAAATATAATTCAGCAAAATTTGATAAGAAAATATCAAAGCATTTGGTGAGGAACATGAACTTATCGATTTCCATCAACATTTTCTAAAATAAAAATGTAAAAATTAGGGACCCACAGATGGACCAACTGAAGCCCTGAGTTCACGTGACTTGTACCAGATGATGCAGTCTTGAAATAAATAATGAGAAAAACAGTGTGGAAAATCATAATAATTATGGTTGCAACAGTATATAACAGACAATGTTACTATGGACAAAGAGAGAAAATATTCAAAAACAAACGAAGGATATTATTCTCATTGAAAGGAGTAGTGTGGTTAAGGGTTGTGAAATTATGGATTCTATTTTCCTTTAAAAAACCTAATGCTAAATGACGAGTTAATGGGTGCAGCACACCAGCATGACACATGTATACATATGTAACTAACCTGCACATTGTGCACATACATGTACCCTAAAACTTAAAGTATAATAAAATAAAATAAAATAAAATAAAAAGAAAATCCAAATGGCCAATAAGCCTACAAAGAGGCTTTAATCTTTTTAAATCTTTAAAAACATTCAAATTAAAACCAAAATGAAATGCCAAAAAAAAAATTCTTCTTTAATATTGTTATGGGTTTTTTTCATTTTTTTTTTCTTCAAGGAAAGAACTAGTTTTTCTGGATTCAGAGATGGTGATATTTAAAGCACTGTTTTTCAGCTTTGCAAGCTGCATGTAGTCAGGATTATAATAAAAGAACATGTCGGTGTAAAATAAGCTATTGTGATGGATTCGGTTTTACAATTTGGATTTTATTTCAGCTTAAGATCAAAATGCCCATAAGTAAAATTTACATTTCCTAGAAAGTAGGGATATTCTTAGAGTTGTATCTGAAAGAGAGCCAAAGTTATGATCTCATTTGCTTTGTGAATTTTGTTAATGATTATCATTTTCATCACCTACCAAATATTAAGTGATTATTATATGTAGCCACTGTGCTTATTGCAGTTAATTCGCATGGTGAGAATTCTCATTATTTCTCATCCCTCCTTGGGATGGGTATTATTATCTTTTATTTATAGGTTAAGAAACTGAGGCTCAGAAAGGTAAGTTTCTTGCTCACAACACAACTAGGAGGTGCTGCCTCCAAGATTCCAACCCAGCATTATCTTAATCCAAAGACCATGTTCTTGACCTTATAAGACACTGGGAATTTTCCTTGAATTGAAGGATTCTGGATGCCTATAATAAATAAGCAGAAATATGGGATCAATATTGAGCAATCCTAGTAGCATGATATTGAAGGTAAGAGTGAACATAAATAATTCCTGTAATATTTTGTCTACCCCTTGGCCTGAATGACATGTATAACATCTACTATCACGTTACAATTCTCTTATGGATAGAGATGGTAGAATTGGCAACTGTTTTGGCAGCTCTGAATTTTTAAAACTAAACATAAGTTTTAGTATGTGACTTTCAGAAGTAATGCTAATAGTCTTAGTATTCAAGATTTATGGTCAAAATAGATGCCAAGAATATTTTTTAAATGTTGAAAATACAAAATTTATAGTTAGAAGGGGTCCACTCTAACTAGGTGAAAAACACTGGTAGATTTAAACAATCTTCCCAGGGCCTTTTCAGCATCAGGGCCAGTAGCTAAAGCTCCTGCTTCTGAACCTAGTTCTTTGTATTAGACTTTGCTACCGCAGAGCACCAAAAATAAATATACAATTTAAACAATGGAAGAGAAAAAATGTGAAGCAAGAGTAATCTGACTATCTCATACCCAGTGAAACCTATAAATACTGGTGAGTTGAACCTTATTATTAATGATTCCTGGCTACAACATAAGTCTATAATTTCTACTATTCCAATAATGGTCAGAATGGAAAAAGACCATAAAATATAAATAAGAAATACGGATTTAGATCCATTATTCCTCTCATTCTGTCTCCTCTTTCCAAAACAATGTTACTTGACTGTCACTATATATCGAGCATGGGAGATGATGCAAAATTGGGTAAAGTAGCCCTTTGCTCTCAAGAAACCCACAGGATCACCGCAAAGAATATTACAGGAACTTTTGGTTTTGTGTTCTAGCATGCGTTTTGTAGGCCCAGATAACATTATGGACTTGAATATGTATTTAACTAGCACCTAGTTGAAACTGTCTCCCTGATTTAAATGTATTGCTGTAAAAGAAGAGAAACTAATATAAAGTACCAGCAAATGACACGGATATTTTAATTCATGGGGCTTTGTGGAATATAGTATGCATTTATGGACACAATAGTCTTAGCCCCCATTTGTAATTTTAAAAACTCTTTGAGGTTTTATTAATTTGCTAATTCATTCAACAAATATTTATTGAGCATCTACTACCCATGAAGCACTGTATTCCAAATGTTATAAAATGCCTGCAATAAAATAGCTCCCCAGATTTAAAAAAATGACAAAAATGATTACCATAATATTCTACTTTAGCTTCATATAGATGTTTACAAATTGTGTTTATTATGCTGGAAATTATTTGGCTGGGCTGGAATGAAACCAGAAGCCAAGTTTAAGAAGTAGCTTCTTAATAGCTTCTAAGCTTTCTATGTGCACTCTTTCCATAAAGCCTAATGAAAATGCTCTCCTTAGATTTAGAAAAAAAAGTAGGATTCCAAATTTAAAATGACATTTATCTCAAAAGTAAGTTAATATTTAATGATAACCTGATTAATAATCACGATTTTATGAACTGGGAACATTTAGCATGAAAGCCCTGAGACACATTTGTTCTAAGCTATTCAGACTAGGGAAAAAGGAGTAAAGATAGACTCTTTCTTTGTACTTTATTATGATATTTCAGATTTTTGCCTTCTAAACACCACATTCTTATTCTGGTATTTCCTCATTGGAAAGTTTTTTTATTTGTGGAAAGCAGGGCAAAGAACTCAAGAGTCAGACAAATGGGCAATTTCAAAGGATTAAAAGCAACTACCATGTTATCTAGGTGAAAACTGGGAAAAACCAAGTGCAATGGCTTACGTTAAATTCTTCATATATTGATATTGAAATTATTATATCTGATCAATATCCAAAATGTATGAAACAGCAAGCCAAGAGCTATCATCATTTCTGAGATTTTGTTGTTGTTGCTAATGATTTGAACTGTATTTTGGTCTGTGTGTTTTTTTTAAATTTTTTTGTTGTTAAGGATCTGAACTCATAAAACAGCTTATAGAAATAAGCACAAAGGAAAAGAAATGAACGTGCAAAAGAAAAGGAACTTGTTAAAGGACACAGTGTTGTATCTTTGTCATTTTAGACGTCAAAAAAGGAAACAGTAAGAGAGGAAGGAGAGAAACAAAGAAGAGGGGAGGGTACAAAAAAAAAATCCTGCCTGGGAAAAGTGGATGTGAGACAGTCATATGACATAGATACTTACAGAGAAAGTGTTCTACATGTGTACAATACTTCACATTTTGTACAACCTGCCTAAAGACAGAAATGCCCTCAATAAAGAACAGTGCCAGTGGACAGAAACAAGAGATAGTTCATTCAAATCCCTTCAATAGGATGTACCTAGGAGACACTCATCAAAGTCAAACTGGTACTGGGCACCAAAGATTGCTTACATGTTTATACAGTAAACTGGAGGCCAACACTGGTTGTAAATGAATATGTCTAAAATTTAAACCACACTGCTTTTGAAACTTAGTTTCTTAAGGTAGTTCATGCTAATAATAGTCTAGACCTATATACTATCTAGCATGGTAGCCACTAGTCACATGTGGCTATTTCAACATAAATCACATAAATTTAAAATTCAACTTCTCAGTCTCTCAAGTTATGTTTCAAATATTCAATAGCTCATGTGGCTAGTGACTACTGTATTGGAGAGCACCAATATAGAACATTTCCATCATCACATCAAGTTCTATTGGGAAGCACTGGTCTAGACAACTTTCCTGTGAAGTTATGAGGCTGAGTTCTGTTCTTAAATAAGAAATAAGTTCTGTTCTTAATAAGAATGGCAGAAAAAATTCTGTTGGAAGAACATGTTTTGCCTTGATTGTGTTTCTACCACCTTCTACCTCTACTCCCATTCTCAGCAGTGGTATACCCTGGGACTCCAATTACAAACTCTACTTCCTCTTGGGTTTTAGGACCATCTTGGTCCTTGTCAAGAAGAATATAGAGTTCATGAGTGTAAATAGTGCACGGTCATGGTTTGGCGCTTCATCATCAGGCAGACTTGCTCTGGTCCTATCCTGCCCTACCCTGAACAGCAGTTCTTGGGAACTGGGCTCCCGGTTCCATTTTATGACCTAGAACTTGACTTGGGCCCCAGCTCCATCCATTCCTTTACTCATTTATTCAACAAACAAATAATAAGCATCTGCTATGTGCATGGAGTTGTGAGAGGTGCTGTGGATAAAGAAGTGCATGAAAGCAGCAGTCCCTGCCTTCACTGAGTTTATATTCTTGCAAAGGATGCTGATATTAGTGTGAGAAAGCTGATATTAAATGAGTAAATGCCTGAAATTTTAAAGTTAGATTTGGGGTAAGTGCCATAACGAATCAGGGTGCTAGAAGACGGCATGATGAGTCACCGCCCCTGCTCTGGGAGCCAAGAAGACTTCTTTGAGCAAGTGATTTTTGACCTGAGTTCAGAGACATGAGTAAGAATGTATTAGGTGAAAGTGGGAAGAGAGAGCATCCCAAGTAACTATGCGAGACGGCCTTCTAGCAAGAAAGCCCAGGGCACTTCAGATGAACTAAAATAAAGCCAGAAATTGTAACAGAAAACAAAGGATGAGTGGGGCCTGAGACGATGCTGGCGACAAGGGGCCAGACTGACCAGAGCCCGTCATGTACAACAGCTTTCTACTAGTGATGCTTTGGGAAATGAAGGAGGAATATGGTAGCCCCCAAGTTGAAGGTTTAGGACCTTATCCTAAGAAAAGTGGGAAATCATTTAAGGGTTTTAGGTAAATGAGTGACACAATCAGATTTGCTTTTTGTAAAAAATAAACAAACAACAACAACAACAAAAAAGGGCAAAATTAATTGAGAGGACAAGAAAAGAAGCTGAGTCCAGTTAGTAAGCTATAGTGGAACATCATGAAGGTGGGGTTGGTGCTTTGGTGATGGCGTAAGAAATGGTCCTGTCCATTGTGCCTGGATCCCTTCATTAATGAAGTGAACATCACCCTGTCTTCCTGAGAATGGAGATGTCTTAACTGTGTAGGCCCCTGCTAGCTACTTAAAAGAGGCTTCTTCCTAAACTCTATGTCCCCTCCAGCAGCAGCATTCTGAGCCTATGGGGCTGGACCATTCTATCCCTGCCTGTCTCTGTCAGCCCTGCCTGTCTGAATCTCCAAATATCGCCTGCTCCCAGACACTGCCTACCATATTTGGCCAGGACATTCCCTAGGAAGAAAGTCTAACTTCCTGTCTACTGGGATTGCCATCTGTCATTTGCTCTATTCTCTCCAGATGCCACTTTCCCATACCTGACTGATCTCCTTTTAGGACTGGCTTTTCCTGACTGTCAGAAAATAGGAGCAGGGAGTGTAAAAAGAACCACATAGCTTAAGACCTGGAGTCTGCAAAAAATAACTAGGTGACCAGAAGCAGAGCACAGAATTTATCTCTGGGAAATAATGACAGCATAATGTCTCAACTTCCCCAATTTAGCACACCACAGCCTGCATGCTGCTACTCCCCATCCCTTTCAAAATACTCCACAACCCAAAGAATTATCAATTGTTTGGACCTGGGGCAAACTCACTGCAATTAGCACTGCAAGGGATCTAGGGGTTCTATGTTTGTTTTCAGGCAGACCATAAGCCTCGAAAGGGTAAGGACTAAGTTTGCATAACCTCATGACCTAGCAGAGTACTTTACACCTGAAAAGTGTTTAATAAATATTAGCTGAATGTGCACCTGTAAAAAGCTGGCTACAATTTCCAGCCAGTTAGAGTATAAGAAGCAGTAAGTCCTCCTGGGGAAAGAATTGCTTTCTCATTTCAGAAAAAAACATAATGGGCTATTTGGCTATTACTGGCAAGTGCCCTTGGGCAAGTCAGAGGCAAACAAGAGTTAAATAGTTCAGCATAATGAACTACCTCTGTCTTTTGGAATCATCCATTGTCATCTTGAGAAAGGATAGTGGGAAAATTCTGGATGAAGAGATGGGAGGAAGTGTCCAGAGGAAGAGAGAGACCTAGCAAATGGCTGGTGAGGTGTCCAGAAAATGGCTGGTACCTGGGCCCCAGTGAGACATGGACCAATGAGAAAACTCCTGTGATGAGGAATGGTAAATGCATTTTTAGGAGCAGTGACATCTAACATTTAATTAGAATTAGTTTCTTGTCTATGCTATAATTACCATCCTTTATCCCAATGCACTCAGCCAGAGTCTTTTATATATGAGGGCACTATAATACTGATTGATTAGAGAAGGAAGGGAGATGTGTCCCAGAGGAAGACATCCCAGAGGTCTGAGAGGAGCCAAAGAGAACACAGGCGTGTGGTGAAGGATGTGGCACAGCATGGATTAACCAGTGAGTGGATGCAATTCAAACACTTTTCTCCCCTAATTTATTTTGAAGAAATATGACGACAGCAGGGATGGCTAGTTGTTTATTTAAATTTATAGTTCACCTTATATAATTGCCACTGAGAAGTTCCTGTTGAGCCAAATATTACATTTCACAGCCCCTACTCCCAGCCCCCTCATCTAGGCATCTAGATAGAGTGGTATCTGACTAGTTTTCATCAGTGGAATATAAGCAGAAGTGTTGTTGTCACACCTGAGTCAAGATGTTTAAGAACTGGTCGTGCCTTTTCTGTGCTCTCGCACTCTTCATTTGATTGTTATGTGAATGAGAAATATACTTTTGTTATGCCAAATCGCTAACATTCTGGTGTTTGTTACAGGATGAGCTAGCATTATCCTAACATTGACACCTTGATGTTAGGGGGCGTGGGAGTGCTGCCTTTACAAAAATCTAATTATGTGGCATTGCCCCAAGCAAGGAAAGGGATATAGAAGACGAAATGCCTGGACCCTGCCATGCCCTGGCACAACTGTGCTAACTTAGAAGGCAGGTCTATAACTTCAGAAAAAAAGATTGCAAAGAGCCAGAATGTTATTGTGTGGTGGTTGCTCCTCACTGCCTGTAGCAAAGTATTAAAAAACGATTGAAACAGAAGACCTCAGGAAGCTGCAACAGCCCACTCTTCAGGGAGGATAAGGGTGAGAAATAACAATGAAAAAGGCTTTGAGTAACACAAGTCCCTTATAACCTCCCAGTTCGACAAAGTGACTCAGCCTTGCAGTAAATATCTCATTAATGAAGTGACCTAACCACCCAAGCCTATTTTTGAGATGAACCCAACATAACCACTTAAGACATGGGTGTATAAGACATGAACAAAGGAATGAAACAGCTTCAAAAATTACGAATAGGAAAGAACTTTCACTGTAGCTAGTAGTGTAACTGACAGAAAGCAAATACGTAAGTAACTTATGAAAATTTTGAGGAAATTGTATTGTCAAAGAAATTAAGAGCCAGGCCTAACAAAAAAGAAAAAAGAAAAAAAAACCCAATGACTTTAAAACCACCTCTAGGTATCTAGGCTTGGATTGGGAAGAAGCAGGCCTATAAGGCCCTATAAGTTCCAGGAAGGGTATACTTCCCAACACCCATTTTGCATGTGGTCATGGAGAGTAATGGACAATGAAGAACCTCCCAGAAGGTGGCCTGGACTACACAGAACAAAGAACAAAGAATTTCTTCCAAGATAGCAAACCAGGGTCCAAAGAAGGAATGTGCCCTATTGCCAGGACAGGGGGCCTTTAACAATATCCAACAGGACTTCTTCCATGTTATGCGTCAATGACTGGTTTATGTCTCCCATTGTTCATTTTTCCAAATGGAAATTTTAAAGGCAATCATTCCAAACTTCATCCATCATTATACAAGCATACCTCAGAGATATTACAGGTTTAGTTCCAGACCACGGCAAAAAAGCAAATACCTCAATAAGGCAAGTTACAGAAATATTTGGTTTCCCAGTGCATGTAAAGGTAATGTTTATAAAATACTGTAGTATTTTATATTATTTCGATTAAAAATGTTCATACCTTAATTAAAATGCTCTATTGGGGAAAAAAGCTAACAATCCTCAGAGCCTTCAGGGAATTGTAATCTATTTGCTAATGGATGGTCTTGCCTTGATGTTTATGGCTGCTGACTGATCTCAGTGGTAGCTGCTGACGATTTGGGTGGCTGTGGCAATTTCTTAAAATGAGACAACAATGAAGTTTGCACAGTTGTGTCTTCCTTTCACAAAAGATTTCTCAGTAGCATGCAATGCTATTTGATAGCATTTTACCCACACTAGCACTTTGTTCAAATTCGAGTCAATCATCTCAAATCTTGTTTCTGTTTTATCAACTAAGTTGGTGTAATATTCCAAATCCTTTGTTGTGATTTCAACAATGTTCACAGTGTCTTCAATCAAGAGTAAATTTCATCTGAAGAAATCACTTTCTTTGCTCGTTCATAAGAAGCAACTCCTTCTCTGCTCAAGTTTGATTATGAGGTCACAGCAATTCATGTATATCTTCTGACTCCACTTCTAATTCTCCTTCTCTCCACCATATGTGCAGTTATTTTCTTCAATGAAGTTTTAAATCCCTCAAAGTCATCCATGGAGGTTAGAATCAACTTCTGCCAAATTCCTGTTAATGTTGATATTTTGACTTCCTCCCATCAATCACAAACGTTCTTAATGGCATCTAGAATGGTGAATCCTTTCCAGAAGGTTTTTAATTAACTTTGTCCAGATCTATCAGAGGAATCACTATATATGGCAGGTATAGCCTTATAAAAGGTATTTATGAAATAATAGGCTTGAAAGTCAAAATTATTCCTTGATCCATGAGCTGCAGAGTGGATACTGTGTTAGCAGGCATGAAAACATTAATCTCCATGTACATCTCCCTCAGAGCTCTTGGGTGATGGGAAACATTGTCAAAAAGCAGTAATATTTTGAAAAGAATTTTTTCATAAGCAGTAGGTTCTAATGGTGGGCTTAAAATATCAGTAAACCATGCTGTAAACAAATGCATTGTTCATTCAGGCTTCATTGTTCCATTTCTAAAGCATAGGCAGAGTAAATTTAGCATCATTCTTAAGGACCCTAGGATTCTCAGAATAGAAAGTAAGCAATGAATTCAACTTAAGGTCACCAGCTAGATTAGCCCCTACCAAGAGAGTAAGCCTGTCCTTTGAAGCTTTGAAGCCAGGCATTGACTTCTTCTCTCTAGCTATGGAAAGGCCTAAATGGCGTCACCTTTCAACAGAAGCCTGTTTAATCTCCATTAAAAATCTGTTGTGGGTAACACAGTGAGACCATGTCTTTTTTTAATTAAAGAAATTTTCAATAAAAAAATTATCCAGGTGTTGTGGTGCATGCCTGTAGTCCCAAGTACTTGGAAGGCTGAAGGGGGAGGATCCCATGAGCCCAGGAGTTCAAGGCTGCAGTGAGCTGTGATCATGCCACTACACTCTAGACTGGGTGACAGAGTGAGACCCTGTCTCTAAAGAAATTTTAAAAATCTATTGTTAATTGTAGCCACCTTCATCAATGATCTTAGCTAAATATTGTGGGTAACTTGCTGCAGCTTCCATATTTAACACTTGTTTCTTCACCTTGCACTTTTTTTTTTTTTTTGACACAGAGTCTTGCTCTGCCACCCAGGCTGGAGTGCAGTGGTGCAATCTCGGCTCACTGCAACCTCCACCTCTCAGGTTCAAGCAATTCTCTGCCTCAGCCTCCCAAGTAGCTGGGATTACAGGCACCTGCCACCATGCCTGGCTAATTTTTTTGTATTTTTTTAGTAGACACGGGGTTTCATCAAGTTGGCCGGGCTGGTCTTGAACTCCTGACCTTGTGATCCACCTGCCTCGGCCTCCCAAAGTGTTGGGATTACAGGCGTGAGCCACTGCGCCCGGCCCACCTTGCACTTTTGTATCACGGAGATGGCTTATTTTTTTTTAAACCTGTGAACCAACCTCTGCTAGCTTTGAACTTTTCTTCTGTTTGAAGAAACAGAAGAACAGAGAACAAAGAACAAAGAATTTCTTCTAAGATAGCAAACCAGGGTCTAAAGAAGGAATGTGCCCTATTGCCAGAACAGGGGGCCTTTACCAATATCCAAGAACTCACAGAAAAACTCACTTCTCTCAGCCTTCATGGAATTGAAGAGAGTTAAGGTCTTGTTCTGGATTAGGCTTTGGTTGAAGGGAATGTTGTGACTAATTTGATCTATCCAGACCACTAAAACTTTCTCCATATCAGCAATCAGACTCTTTTTCCTTTATTATCATTCATGTATTCATTGGAGTAACATTTTTAATTTCCTTCAATAACTTTTCCTTTGCATTCACAACTTGGCTAACTGGAACAAGAGGACTAACTCTCAGCCTATCTTGGCTTTCAATATACCTTCCTCACTAAGCTTAATCCTTTCTAGCTTTTGATTTAAAGTGACAGACATGTGATTCTTCCTTTCACTTGGATACTTAAAGGTCATTGTAGGGTTATTAATTGGCCTATTTTCAATATTGTTGTGTCTCAGGGAACAGGGAGGCCCAAGCAGAGGGAGAGAGATGTGGGAATAGCCAGTCAGTGGAGAAGTTGGGACCCACACAACATTCATCCATTAAGTTTACCATCTTATATGGGCACAACTCGTGGTGCCCCAAATATCACTGATCATGGATCAGCATAACCTATATAACAATAACATTTGAAATATTGGGAGAATTACCAAAATGTGACACAGAGACAAGAAGTGAGCACACTGTTGGAAAAACGGCACTGACAGACTTGCGTGATGCAGGGTTGCCACAAACCTTCAATTTGTGAAAATCGCAGCATCTGTTAAGCACAATAAAACAAAGCACCATAAAAATGAGGTATGCCTGTATATTGGAGGCTGATAACTTGCCTTTTAGTACAAAAGTTTCTAGACAATGAGGGGCCATATCCAGACTAAATGGTGGCGGGCACTCAGCATCAGCCATAGAACCTGGACTTTGAGATGGATACAGTGACTAGGTGAGATTCAGGTTGTTTTCTGGAGTTGAGGTTTTCCTATCTGTAGCCAGAGAGCAGAATATAGTAGAATTTTTGTTTAGCAAAATCTATGCTTCCCTTTCCATGATACAGAAATATGACTGGAAAGTAGCCTCCCACCCAGAGGTTGCATACTCCAGCCCTCTTTGCATACTGACAGAGCAATGTGACTATCTCATCAACAGAATGTGAATGGAAGCCAGGTGTGTCACTACTTGGGTGTGCCTTCTCTATGTTCATTCTCTTCCACAATGTCAGCTGGATGCAGAGAGCTTCATGTTTCTAGTATCAAGAGCAAGATTTGGGTCCCCAAATCACTGCACTGAATGCATACATTGGACTCTCATATAAGCAAAAATTAAATGTCCACTCTATTAACCACTGAAATATGGAAGTTTAGAAGTTAAAGTTACCTCAACTAATACAATCACCATTGAAAAGCAAAAAAGGAGGGTAATACCTACTATTATGACCTGTATTGGGAGGTGGAAGACTTGGAGACCCTTAGATTGCAAGTGTTTGCCGTCAGGAATTCAAATCCTCCTCCCCTTCTTCGCCATTCCTGTTTAAAGCAAGTCTTAGACATTATCTTAGTTGTATTCCTTGAAAGACTCCTAACTAGTCTCCAAAGTATCAATCTTTTCTCCTGTTAAAGTTGATCCTATTCACATTAGCTCAGAGATTGTTGCCAAAAATAAAGTGGATTACACCACTTTTTAAAAATTTTCCATTGACCCTCTCTCCCCCAACAACCTGCCTTTCAGGATAAAATCCAAATGATGTAGGATGGCATAAACACCTTTCACATCTAATCCTCAACCTTCTTCAGCCTCGTCTCCCATCACTTCCCCACAACTGCCAATGCTGACCTTCAGTCACCAGCCAAGCCCTTTTTTATGACATTGCTTTGCAAATGCTGTTCCTTCTGCCTAGAATGCTCTCCATCTACCTCCTTTTCCACTTGGGGAATGCTTACTCATCTTTTAAAAATGAACTTAGATGTCACTTCATCTGTGAAGTCCTGTCTGACTATCCCACGTAGAAAATGATACTCTTCACAGTGATAATTAAATCATCAAATTGTGCCCACTAATAGGATGTCCCTAATGTTTAGCAAACTACATAGTTTGATTTTGTTGCTATTTATTTGTATTTAGTCAGCCGCTAAACTTACCTTCATACTAAAAACATAGAGTGCTCAGCTTTTTCAAAATAGCCACCCACACAGTAGAATTGGATTGGCTTTCTTCAATGGGAGAATATAGCCATAATCAGTGCTCCTGAATGAGAGGAATATGATCCTTTTGAGTGAGTTTCCTAAAGTTGTCAAGTGTTTGAAGGGCAAGGCCCAAGAATGCAGGAAATCCTGCTTCCTCCATAACTTTTACACATCTCACCAGACATATATGTAAATAAAAAACTTGCTTACTGTTATCTGTGACTAGACCCTAGTCCTATTGTTCATAGCATGTTTTTACACAGGAATTTTCTAGGAATGATAGAAGGTGCTATCACCAAGATTTGCTCACGATTTTGGGAAGTTATGTCACCAGCTATCATGCTGCTCCTGTTAATTGATTCATTAATCCAGTACACCCACATCTGTTTGCAATTGCTGCTGTCACACTCAATGAATATATTTATTTTGCTCTTATTTCAAAGTGCCAAATATATAAAAGTGTTACCAATATTCAATTGAATATTATCATCTTATCCAAGTTTATCTTCTAATCTTATCTGAACTTATCTTCTTATCCAAACTTATGCATTTTAAGTAGCAAGCATCTATTTTAGTACATCTTTTAGTGTAGTTATATCTGAGCATGCACATATTGATAAGCCTACTATTTTATCTTAAGTTGCTTTCTTCTTATTTACTCTTTCTATTACAGATAGGGAATTTATATTGCTTTTTAAAATGTTATATGTGTAGATATGATTTATTATCTATACATATTATTTCAGGAAAGTAAAGGGGACATTACAAAGTACTGCTTATAAAAAGGGGGTATTGGATCCGACTGAGTAGAGTGTTGTGGCTCTAAATATATTTAGAAATTCAAAGCAACTGTATTTTCTTACTGTTGGGATGCTTCTGTCATACAACTACTCCGTTGAATTGCCATCCCACTCTATCAATAGCATTTATAATATTTGGTTGTGATTTATTTCTCTACAAATGTAGGCTGTGAGTGCATAGTGTCTTATGCATATTTATGTCTCTAATAACTGGCTTAGGACTTGGCACACAGAAGCTGAGTAGATACCTTTAGGATGAACTACCAAATGAGAACCCTGAAGGGATTGCAGTCCCTGGATTTCATGGTAGAACTCTGAATCAATTATCCAGTGCTTTGCCTCTATCACTCTTATATCGCTTCCTTCATTCTGCCAGATGTCAGTTACTTGTGTACAAATACCCTCTCCATTTTCTCTCCTCCTTGTGGGCCTAGGCAGTACTGCATTCACCTCTGTATCTCAAGTGAGTCTCACACAAAGGAAGCCAATAAACATTATGTAAATCAAATGATTCCCCAGGAGTATTGCCATACATAATTTTTAATTTTTAATTTTTAAGTTGGCTGTGGGTTTTTTTAATACTAACAGTACTGTACTTCAGGTATATTAGTTATTAAAAGGGCTTTGGTGGATTGGTCTGAGGACCTAAACATCATTTAAAGTACTATTTTTATAAGGAAATGTTTACAAGTTCTAAAATACCCAAATTTTTAAAATGAAATTTTATCTAATAAGCCAATTGTAGGTTCAAGGTTGGCTATACAATGTGATTGAACCTGTAAGACCTAATAATTGTGTGAAAAATTAAAATGTCAATCATGAGGATATGTCTAAATATTTGATTCTATGGCTTCCTGCAGGCAATATTTAATCATTTTAGCTTTCAAATTTAATCTGGATGACATTGTTCACATAAACAGAAGTTGTAGCTATTTAGAAAAAACTTTTCTTCAAATATATAAACTTTTCTTGATGAAAATCTCAATTTATGTTTTCATAATGTTATCATAGTAACTCTGCACTTAATAAAATAAATGCATTCTAGAGACTATACTAGTATGTAAATCTGTTAAGTAACCATATTTTAATTTCTATTGAAATATTCATGTTATGTTTCACAGGGAAAAAAATGGGGACATGCATAAAAAATTATATTTCAGAACTAATAATTTTTAAAAAACAAATAATTCTAAAAGTAGCTAAATTAAACAAATTTGTAATACTATGTTCAAAATAATTCACAAACTTGTTTTTAAAGAACCTGAAAATGAAAATAAACTGACCAATGAGATCATCTGCATCAGCCAGCCTCATTTTCTGTGGTCGATGTAAAGCTAGTAGTTTCTAATGTGTTAGCATTCTGATAAAATCCCACCTACCTTATAAAAATCTAAACTACCTTCTTATTTCAAATTCATGTTGAAAATATGGGGGTTTTCTCTTACTTTTGGCCTTTTTCAAGCATCCTCCTGTACTAATAAGCAGGGCATCCTTTGGTGAGTGAGAAGATACAGTTCCAAATAAATCTAGGAACTGCAAGCATTTTTTCTTGTTCTGCCTGGGCTCGTTTTTAACACTTCTGAATATCATAGTGGTTAAGTGAAGCCAGAGCACCTAGGTTCAAGCTTGACTTTACCATTTATTTCCTATATGACTTTAGACAAGTTAAGAAAAGTCTCTGAACATTAGTTTTCATATCTATATAATAAAGGGCATTTCTGACAGCTACACCATAGGGTGGTTGTAAGAATGAAAATAATATTTGTAAAATGCTTAAAACAGTATGTGCCTCAAGTAAGTGCTATAATAATAACTTTATTTTATATACGTCAATAAAATAAATAGTATTACTTATAATCATAATACTCTACATTTAAAATTAAATATTTTAATGAAATTATTATTACTATTATTTTTATTGTTTTATAACAACTGCCAAATGCATAGTTTGTGAAAATTTTCATGATCCTCTTCATGGATGTGTCTTAATTAATTTGCTAAGTATAAAATTATTAAGTGCATTTCTGTATAAAAGAGATCTTTCATTTTGAACTATAACTGATTTTTCAATTAGTTTTTCAAGTTTTTTTCCCCCTAAAATATTCTTGGGAGCAGGGCCTAGCTTCTATATTTTTTACATTTGTTATATTCTATTCAAGCACTCTTCTCCTTATATATATATATTTAGTAAGTAATAAATGAATTAATGAATGAGTCAATGAGTGGCTATGGGACATCAAATCAGATAGCAAAGATAGTTAAAATTCAACCTATAGGAATACGCACTTTTTAAGATAATATAAGAGGGTTTGGCTTACACAAGTCAAGGGATTACTTGTCTCACACACATGGCTTTCTGCCTCACAACCCGTACTTGCAGTAAAGAGTTGGTGGGAATACATATTTAAGAAGCACAAGGAGGAAATAAGCAATGAAACAGAATGGCCCACAGATCTAGGCTATAAAGATACTTGTAGAATGTGACTAAAAAATCTAATGCTGCTCTGCTCTATAAAGTTTATTCTATCACTTGGGGAGTAACAAGGCCATAATCTCTAGCCTTAAAAAAAACAAACAACAACAACAACAATAACAAAACTCTGGGCTAAAAAAGAAATCACACATAATGCCTTTGTATTGTCCATCTGTCTGAAGCTTCTGTGAAAATAATAGAAATCTCGATTTTATGCAAAATCAATCTGAAGAATATAAACAAATCTTAAACAATTACATTTTGAAATAAGCAGAATATCTTACCTTTATATATTTTCCTTAAAATATGCATGAGATTTCCTATCAACGTTAAGAATCTTCCTTTGGAATTAGTCTTTAAGAGATAGCAAGTTTTAAAGGAACTAATTAGTTCTTTATGAAGAAAAAAATGCATTAGGGCAGAATGAAATATATCTTATAGGTTTCCTAGATTTGGGTCTACTTTCACAATATGTTATACACATATACTGATCTCTCTACCATATAAGAATGCCAGATACGCATTCAAGAAAAAATATTTTTCAACGTTTAACGAAGATGCTCTGCAGACTTGCACATTTGTAGACATGCAGGCAGGTATATAAAACACGTGGACAGACACACTCTTAAGTTGAGAAACGTGACCGAAACCATATCCTGCCATTTCGTTATTCTAGCAATCTCACTTTTATTATCATAGTGAGTGTTAAAAAGGCAGGAAGTTGCCCTATTGCCTAAACTATGAAGTTTTAAAAGCCAAACAGAAGGGAATGGATAAAGTAATAATTTCTACTAACTCCTCTGAATATTCAGTAAATATGTATGCTTGGAAAGTTGAATTGTTGGACTTGGAGAACAGTGAAATGCAAAATAGTTTCAACGGATGCATGGATTGATTCTATTTGGAAAAACAGAAGAAAAGAAAAGAGAGGCAATAGAAAAGATGTGAGATGAGAACTCTCAAAGTGGCAGGCAGGAGAGTGATTTTTCTGGAGTCGATACGTGTGGGTTTGTGTATGAGGGAGATTTGAGAACACTAACATGGAGAGGGAAAGGTGAAGGTTAAAGGAGCAAGAAAACAAACAGAACTGCCAAGTTCTTTCTCCAAAAGTCTGAGTAGTGCCAGAAAAGGAAGAAGGGTACATTATACAGAATTCTATTTGTGATAAACAATTGTTCTAAACCTTAAGGCAAGAGGGAGGGGATTATGGTATTTACTTTGTGGAAGCATATTAACTCTTCTAGGTGATAAGGATACTTTTCCTTCAGTGGGGAAGAAAGTTATTTCTACGTTGGACCTTCAGTATTTTCAGAGTCCATGCAATCACACAAGTAAGCACTTTATCCATGCCCTTAAATTAAAAACACCACCTCAAACGGCAATTAAATGCGCATACACATGTGTAATGTGCCAAATTACTAAACTGTTTGAGTTAATTTAAGAACAAAGAACTCTCTAGCCTAGATGTCTAGTCTAGATGGGTTTTATTCATGTATTACGTTAAGCTTTGGACAACTTTATATTTATTGACACACACACACACATGCCCCTAAAGAGTGAAATAGATAAAACAAAACTTTATTTTCTTGATATGTAACTTTAGAATGTTACCCTCTTTTACAAAATCTTTCCTGTAAGTTATTCAGCACTGACAGGTAAGACAAGATTTTTGACCGAAATCTATCTCTCGCTTGTCCTATGAAATGTAATATATTGATTGCTGTTTATTGGTAAATAAACCAAGAGACTTCCGACCCACACTATACTACACATTTAACAATAACAATAAAATGCTTACTCTTCCTTTCCCTCAGTTTCAAAAAATCAGATTCCCAACAAAATAAAAAAATTAATCAATGCAAAAATGAAAATGTGATACGATACTTAAAATCTTGACATTACTACACAACTTGATTAGAAGGAATGTTGAACCTGCGCGGAATTAACCCAGTGTATGTGCATACTAAATTTTTTTCAATGTAATCTTGTATGCATTATTACTTATTGTTGAAACACATGTGCAGTCATAAATGTTGCATAAATGGCATGTTTGTGCATATTGCACACTGACAGTTTTTATGAATGAATACGCATAAATGCTCACAACTCGAGAAAATGGATGGCGGCATACTATTTTGAAGAGGATCATTAAGCATCGGGAGCAAATGATGAGGCAAATGGTCGATGTCTTTTGGTGCTATTCAGGGCAAACGTATTCCCAAGTCCCCTAGCAGAGTGTGTTGGAAACAGCCATGAAGCTCTTTCCTTAGAGACCCGTTCTCCCTCTCAGGAATCGTGCTACAGAACGGAGACCGCGCACCGCTTGAAGAATAAAATGCACGCATGTCTCTGTGTTCTGAGGATCGTTCATACATCAGAGACATCACACTCCCTAAATCCAGTCCCACAAGTGTGTGCATGTGAGTGTGGCATTTACCAACAAATGGACGGAAGGCAACAAGAGCTCGGCTCCTAGAAATAACATCCCCATCCCTTCCCAGTCAGGCTGCTGGGAAGCTTTTCAGGGGCTAATACTTGAGCGCCTTCCCCACCGGGAAGGAGCCTGACATTAAAAACCCTCTCAGGGCTAAGTCAGCTTTGTGTGTAAGTCCACTGGGCGCCATATGGCAGTTTCCAATTCCTTTAGCAACTCAAGTCTGGCTAGGCTGCCGCGATGATTCATTCTTAAAGGAAGACCCCCTTCGGGGAGCAGCAATGCCCCCGCCACTTACCTAGCTCCCACAGACCCCGCTCAGCAGGCGGCACGGGCTCGGGCACCACAAAGGGCTGTGGGATTCCCCGCTCCCTCCGGGGAGCCTCTCCCCGCGACGATCCCCTTCGCCAATGACCTGTCGCTGGAAATCCCCCTCCCCTCCACAGAGAGGAGGGTCTCCCCGGCTGGCTGGAGCTCCCGGCGTGCTTTCCCCCTGTCTTTACATCCCTGACTCTGGTTCACGGTCTCTAGTAGGAAGGCTCAGAGGAAAGGCGGCGGGAGGAAGCTAAGGCATCCTTTAAAAGAACAATAATCTTCATCGATCTTCAACCCCTTCCCCACACGGGGTCCCCATCCCCCTGCCGCCGCCACAGCCACCCAGACAAGAGAGGGCTGGAACAGAAGAGGAAAAATCGAGCGGGGCTGAGCTCGCCGCGCGGAAGGAGCCAGAAAGCGAGCCGCGCCAGCCCGGGAGTTGCCGCTCGCTGGGGCTGCCCGAGGCGCAGCGGCGGCGGCGGCCGCGGGGGCGGAGGGCGGAGGGCGGAGGGCGGTGGGTGCTTGGTGGGTGTGTGTCTGTGGCGGAGCAGGGTAGAGGCTGCGCGCGGGAGGCTAGGCGGGGCGCTCTGGGGCGCCGCTCCCCCGCCCCGCAGCTAGCCGGCCCGGCGCGCACACAGGGCTGCGGCCACCCCAGCCTCCCGCTCCGCCTCCTCCCGCGCTCCGCGCACCCGCGGGCTGGAGCGGCCGCCGCCTTCTCTTCCTCCTCCCCCTCCCCCTCTTCCTCCTCAGCGCTCCCGGCTGTCAAGGTGGGCGGCGGGGCGGGATGGCTGGGCTGCGCGAGCCGGCAGCGCACCGCCGGGGACGCCGGGGCTCTGCCTCGCGGCGCCGGAGCTGTGCGCTCGGCCGGGGACAGCGCTCTGGTGCCCAGGGCGCGGCTGGGGCGCGGGCAGGCACCGCCCACACCTCGGCGGGGTGCCTCCCTCAGCTTCCGCGCGCCAGCCACTCCTGCTGCCCCGGGCCTGGCTCCACACCCACCTGCTTCGCTCTGCAGCTCCCACCCGGCTGCACTGGACTAGAGGGACGCAGCCCCCGCGGCTGCCGCGCACCCGGGGCCGGGAAAGCCCCGGGAGGCCCCGCCGCGACGCGCTCCGGCGGCTTCGCGGGATTCCCTCGGCCCTTCTGCTTCCAACTGCAGGGCTGTCCTCCCGCCCGCCCACAGCAGGACCCTGACCCTGGGCTGACTGCTCGACCCCGGGGAACTGGGGCGAAGACAGATGGCTCCTGAGTGGTGGTGCCAGGATTATTTTCCTGGAGAAAGAGCTGCGGAGATAACTAGGAGCGCAGATAAGATCTGACTTTCCTCGCGGCACCTGCAGCCCCGCTCGCTCGGGGGCCGTCCCTAGCCCCAAGTGACCCGGCTTTCCTGGGTTTGAGGGTAAAGCCGGGTCCGTGGCAACCTTAACCCTTGCTTCTCACGGGGGCGCTCTTCATACCCTTCTTTCTTTCCTTTGCCTATCAACTTACCAGCTGGAAAACTATGCCAAGTTACCCCTTGGCGAGGCCGCAGGGTGAACACTTAGACCTGTACCCACTTCCAGGGCTCGGTAAAGACAATGAACTTGAATAATAACACTGAGCCTTACATATTTCTGACCCCAGTGCTCCTTCACAGGCACGAAATAGAGACAGCTGGCACGGTTACAGGGGCTTTCAGGAAAACAAAGTAGCTTAAAACACCTTTTAGAAACGAACGCAGGCCGTGACAAGTCTATTTAAAGCTGGGACTCCTGAGTTTCTATAGACCAAGAAGGATGGCTGTTGAGGAAGTTCCAAGTACACTGTTTTATTTATATTTATTTATTTATTTATTTATTTATTTTTTCCTTGTATCTTCTGTTTATTGAGTGTTTTTTTAAATTTTATTATTATTATACTTTTAAGTTTTAGGGTACATGTGGGTTTGTTACATATGTATACATGTGCCATGTTGGTGTGCTGCACCCATTAACTCGTCATTTAGCATTAGGTATATCTCCTAATGCTATCCCTCCCCCCTCCCCCCACCCCACAACAGTCCCCGGTGTGTGATATTCCCCTTCCTGTGTCCATGTGTTCTCATTGTTCAATTCCCACCTAGGAGTGAGAACATGCGGTGTTTGGTTTTCTGTCCTTGCGATAGTTTGCTGAGAATGATGATTTCCAGTTTCATCCATATCCCTACAAAGGACATGAACTCATCATTTTTTATGGCTGCATAGTATTCCATGGTGTATATGTGCCACATTTTCTTAATCCAGTCTATCATTGTTGGAACCAAGTACACTGTTTTAAATATACTCCATGTCATCCTTGCCTTAGTTTTAGCCCTGATATGCCCTGGAATGCGCTATCCTCTCTAATTCTCTGCACCTTGACTTCCCACCTCGCTATGGGGAGGTGGCCTTACTTTGTACTGAGGGTTTTTGGTTTTGTGGTGGGTTTTTGTTTTGTTTTGGTTGTTGTTGTTGTTTTGAGGTGTCAGATGTTGGGCGGGATATTTAGCATGGAGGTTGGCCCTTCTGATGTTGTCACCCTCCAGCAAGAAACTGCCCTGCCCTTTGCTCTTCTTGGGGTTTCTCAATTATGAACACTAGGAAGAGGACACCCAGATTCCCAAACTCTTATCCCCAACTCTGGCCTGGTCCCAAGCTCCAGCTCTGCATTTCCAGGGACCTGCAGGCAGTCCATTCCCTCCCGCCCATCCTTTCCACCCTCCCACACAGTTTAAATACTTTCTGCCAATTGCTTTTCCTCACGCAAAACCCTGACCATATCATTTCCCTACTCACAAATATTCCCTGGTGTCCCATTTCCTACCAGACAGCATCTGCCTACCTCTGTGCCATTGCATGCGAGTATCTGGGATACCCTTCTCCAGGTCTTACGTCCAAAGCATTACAGTCCTGGAAGAGTCACTTCAAACTCTGCCTCTTCCATGACTTCTCCCTTTTGGTGTCCGTCGCACAATGTCCCAGCAATCTTTTTAAGACATATATCACCTTCCACTTCCTATACCATGTATTTACTGTGTACATTTCTTAACATTTTAAATTCTGGGTTCCTCCAGAAACAATTCCATGTCCCTTTATGGTTTGCATTCTTTACGTCTAACCCAAAGCCACACATGTGAGAGATACCTATTCATCTAACAAAGATTTATTTTGTAGTTTTTATCAGTCCCTCAATATTTGTTAATTGAATGAAATTTACAAAATAGTTTTAGGCTAGAATTCCTCAAATTAATTTTGAGTGTGCCTAAACTTAACATGACTTTTTATAAATTTAGGGGTGCCAAAAATCTTTCTTTAGTAGCTCTGTATCAACATTAGTGATCGCCTCGCTAAGAATTTAATAATTTGACAAATATTTGTTTAAGTTTTTACCTTAAATTTCCATTAGATTTTAGAAATCTGAATCCTTTTGCCTACTATCTAAGTGGTCATTAGTCAAGAGAGTAAATTATCCATTGGGTAAAACACAATGCTGCTATCTCCATTTCTGGGAAGCAGGGTACTAGGAGTAAGTTATCCATCAGCTCTGAGCCCTGTATATGAGCATGCAATGACAAGTAAAAACAATCTTTGGGGGGAAAATAAGTCTAATTTTGCTTCCTAAATGACTCATAGCTCAAATGGATTATAGAGAATCACCCCTGGTATACAAGTTGTTTGGAATAGCAGAGTTCTCCGTATGCACAGCTTGAATTCCGGATGGCTGCAGAGACTCTTGTGTTGATTATCATCATGTGGCTCCACTTCCTTAGTAAATTTGGGTAATTTGGGGTTTTGTTCAGTTGTTTGCCAAAGAAAAAATTTAAATGATCTAGCTGAAAAGTCAGACATGTTTTCACATTGCTCCCTTTAAGTCTTTTGTTTATTGATATTTACGGAACTGTTCCTTTTGCTTGTATTTCAATTTCTCAGAATTACCTTGAGTTATGACTAAATTATATTACAGTAAAGGAGAGAAATATCTGTTTGGGATGTCAAAATGCTTTCTTCATAATGCTTGGTAAAATAAATAACTGTAGTATAAATTTAACCTGAAATAGCCTTATGCGTATCATTAGATACAATGTAGAGGAAGAATGTGTTTCCTCATGTATCATATGCTGGTGTATAAAAATATATATGTATTTGTACACAATACCAAACATAATAGATTCTTGGTATTTTTTGGCTGAATGAAGTATCTGAGCAAAACCAATAAAAAAAAAGATACACCTGCAACAACATGTTTATCACAGCACAATTCACAATTGCAAAGATATGGAGCCAACCTAAGTGCCCATAAACCAATCAGTGGATAAAGCAAATGTGCTATAAATATAACATGGAATACTACTCAGCCATAAAAAAGAATGAAATATTGTCTTTTGCAGTAATTTGGGTGGAGCTGGAGGCCATTTTTCTAAGTGAAGTAACTCAGTAATGGAAAGCAAAATACTGTATGTTCTCACTTATAAGTGGGAGCTAAGCTATGGGTACACAAAGGCATACAGAATGGAATAATGGACATTGGAGACTCAGAAGGGGGAAGGGTAAGAAGGAAGTAAGGAATAGAAAACTACTCATTGGGTACAAAGTGCAGTACTCCGGTGATGGGTGTACTAAAATCTTAGACTTCACCACTATACAATTCATCCGTGTAACCAAAAACCACTTATACTTCTAAAGCTATTAAAGTAAAAAAAAAAATTAAAAAATAACGTGAATCCCATTAAAGGGAGAAACATAAACATATATGTAAATGTGTTGTGAGTGGGTATGTGTGTATATTCTAGAAGGATGTATATTAACAAGCTAAAAGAGTTATCTCTGAGTTGAGAGGCAGGTTTTGTTTTATTTGGTATAAACTGGTTATACAAAAAAGGGTAGATATTAATCTTCAACTATCAGAACCATGAAGACACTACTTTCATTCTTAATCATAAACCACGTATATACACAGAATGGGACTGTACTTTTTAAATTTATTTTTTTATAAGGGCAAATATTACTATGGTACTTATTGTCATACAAGAAAGTGACCACTGAAGGGTACACAGAATTTGTCATATTGTTAAATGTAATATGCCTTCTTTTCTTCTTCTAAATAAAAATATAGGAAAGCTTGAGCAAGTTTGAGCAACTCACAGAATCTTAGCCACTGAAATCCTACACTAGCACATTGTTGTGAAGGTTTGAAAAATAAATGAGCTGTCTGTGTGTTCTTCCTTGAGGAGGTAAGTACTATCTCATTGATTCTTTCATAGTTAGTTGAGATTTGGC
The DNA here is from genome assembly GCF_000001405.40 of Homo sapiens. Lineage (NCBI taxonomy): Eukaryota > Metazoa > Chordata > Mammalia > Primates > Hominidae > Homo > Homo sapiens. The sequence goes on along the minus strand of NC_000008.11, from coordinate 72,532,598 downwards.
TGTCCTTTGATGATTTAAAGTAAGAGATAAGCTCCAGACTGACTGTATTTGTATTTTTTTAACAGTTCTTATTCTGAGTATGAACTTTCTGAAAAATGCCAGATGTTTAAACACGTATTTCTGCCATGTAATAGCATGACTATAGGTATTATGTTTGAATCCACACTTAGACCAATTTGCAGATATCATTAGTGTCTAAGCAGCCTCGTTTGTTCTTAGGAATCCATGAAGCTTAGGGTAAGGGGTTTCTGGGGCCAGTGAACTGGAAATGTTAAAAACATGCCACGTAGAATCTGAAATTTAGCCACATTATTCCAAGACGTAGTGGAACAAGGATTGGATTCCTAGTCAGATTCAAGTCCCATCTCTCTTATGTAATTGTGCTGTATAGTCAAAGATAAATAAAAGGCCTTACTACATGTCAGTCACTGGTCTAAATTCTTTATAGGTATTGGCTAATTTCAGCCATAAAATAGTTATTTAAAGTAGATAATATTGTTGTTCTCCCAGTTAATAAAGGAGGTAACTGAACTAGAGAGAATTTTTGACTCAGGATCATACTTAAATGAATTGGAATTTGACCTAAGGCCATATGACCTTAAAATTTTAGGCTATATTATGCCTACTTCACCCCTCATGGATAACATCTTTCTGCTCTCTCATTACATTGTCTAGAGTTCATGTGGGAAACTATTATATAAAATATTATATAGATTATATTTTATCAATATAAATCTTCATTTATATTATTAATAAATTTATCTTAATATAAATATATTATATAATTATATAAAAATTATATTGATATAAATATAAAAATAATGCTATATTGTATTAATATAATATAATAATATATTAACATAATATAATATATTGCTAATAGATTTGTATTAATATATATTTATATAAATGTATTTATATGATTATACTTATGTAATTATTGTATATTATTATATACAATAATTATTATATTTTTATTTTTAGGTATAAATGTGAGTGTTGCCAAACACAATCTACATAAAGATTGTTGGTTGTAAAGGGTGATGGAGGTAGGTCATGTATCTTTTGTTTTCCCAGCAGGCAGACTGGTGCTGATCCACCCACAGGGCTCACTAGTAGTCTAATGACTTTTGTCTGTAAATTTGATCTGAGATGCCTGGGCACTTGGGGCACAAGGCATATTGCCTTGGACTATGATGAAGGGTTTCAGGCTTACACAGGTAAGATACCTATGTGGATCATAATCCACCCAGTAGTGCTAAACACTTCAAGATTTTGAACGTACCACCAGCACAGTGGAGCAAAAAGCTCTGGGGCCCTTAGAAATAACAAATTTAGGGCCGAGCATGGTGGCTCACACCTGTAATCCCAGTACTTTGGGAGGCTGAGGTGGGGTGATCACGAGGTCAGGAGTTCAAGACCAGCCTGGCCAACATAGTGAAACCCCGTCTCTAGTAAAAATACAAAAATTAGCCAGGCGTGGTGGCAGGTGCCTGTAGTCCCAGCTACTTGGGAGGCTGAGGCAGGAGAATCGCTTGAACCCAGGAGGCAGAGGTTGCAGTGAGCCGAGATCACACCACTGCACTCCAGCCTGCGCGACAAAGCAAGACTATGTCTCAAAAGAAGAAAGAAAGACAGTAAAAGCAAATTTAAAGCACTTCCTATGCTTTGAACAAGAGGAAATGGAATCATCAACAGTAGAGGAGGTGTAACCAGTTACAAGTGAAAGAGGTGCTTTGCAAATACAAGGGCATTATTCCCAGCTCCAGACTTCACATCATTATAAACAAAAAGTGGATATAATGACAGAATATATCCCTACTGGCCAGGCAAGGACCTTGCCTGTCAAAAGCCATAAAAAGCAGGATTAAATTAGCTACCCTCAGTCTTTTCTGAAAAATTTCCATGTGGACACAAGACTCAAAAAATCAATTGAGTTTAAATTGTGGTAACTAGTCCCAATAGCGCTTTTGTTCCCTTCTGGGAATAAAGCATGAGCTGATAATACATTCAGCTGAAACATACTTTCGAAGGTGTCATTAATTCTAAGAATGATGAAAAAGTAATGTTGCTACATTTTTTGGTCTTCCTTGTAGTTGGTACTCTTGTACCTTCAAAACCTTATTTGCAGTATCAAATAGAAATATTGGTCATTCCTAGGATCTATAGCTTGACAATCATGATTTCCCAGAACTAATTAAAGTTATGTTTTAAAGTTTTTTTCTAAATAAAATGTATTTTGGTAACAAGTATAAAAAGTCAGAGTGTTTTATAAGCATTCTAACATTGTATATTCAATAAAATTATATCAAGAACTTAACACAATGATTATTGAAGAACAATTAGTATTAAAGATAAATAGATGTGAAAATTGATAAACTCATATGAGAAGGTATATGAACTCAATTATAAGCACATTGTACTTAAAATACCACTACAAAGACAAAATAATTTTTTTTTCAATAATGCCACCCTACAGGTTGCTTAATTACTACTAACAAATTGCCACTTTATGGACTTGAATACATATACAAATTATGGCACTCATATTCAATATTTGACTTCATATGTTACATATATATGATTTGATGTAAAATATTATCAAAGGGCATTTTAAATGTTTGGTTCTGTTTAATCATCTATTTCTAGTCAATAAAAGACTTGTTTCAACAAACACAGGTATATATTTTAGAACAGAGCAAGTGATTTTGACTGAAATTTAAAAAAACAGAAATGAAAAAAATTTAAAGCAAGACTTGTAAATGACCATTCCTCTCCACCACCACTTCTACTCTAGGCATAGCTAAACAAGGCCAACCAGATTTTAGAATTTGTTATATTTCATATTTGGTTTAGCTAATCACAGTGCTTACAGAGATAATCAGATATGGAAAAGGAGAATCAAACATGGAAATTTAATCTTGCTAAATGAGTCTAATTAGCACAAAACAATCTAATTTGACTTGCTGCCCCTACTTTCAAATAAGTTCCCAAACTGCCCCAGCAATCGATCAATTCATCTGGCACTTTGTGGGTGATATTGGTTTCATTAAAGAAGCAACTCTTCATGAGATTTAAGTTAGCTATGACACATCTTTTCATATTCCTTTCCACCACATAAGAAAGTGAGTGTAATAGAAAACTAACCTCTCCTGAGAACAGCAACAAAAATAAAAAAACACATTCCTGTTGTGGTTAATGCTAATTGGATTGGGGGCTGAAATCTCACTTGCATTAGAGAATTTCTCTTGTTCCTTCTTTCTGTACTTATTCTCAACACCAAAATTAGACCTTGATATGATAACCAGAGGTGTACATCACTACTATCAGGTGAGGTTCCCATCTATGGTACCCAGAGAAAAATGTGTCAATCTTTTATATTGTTTTAAAATTACTGAATGCAGTAGTCATGACAACTCCATTTGATAACAGTTGACGCAAAAGAAATCTAGTGTAATCTCATCACATACTCTAAGTTGCATTAATTAAAAATATTTCTAATAATTGTATTCCTATGAAAAATCTCTGGGGTTCAGCATTTTGCACAAAAATCTGAAGGGTACCATATAGGATATCATGAAATAATTGTCTGGAGAAGAATGTGTTTCTATGTAATACCTAAAATGAAATTTACCTATTAAGAACTACAAGCTCAAGAGACTTCCCAGGCATAAGACTTTCAATACAGTGCCAGGTTATTGGCTTATGTAATGTTCTGTATTGCTTATGGCAATTACCAATAGTTATAGAACTAGAAACTAATGCAAAAAAAATTAATGAAAAAGCAGAGTGGATATATTGAATTAGTTAAATAGCTAATGCCGAAGAAGGAAGAAACACTTTTCTGTCTCTTTACAAACTCTCCAGTTTATTCCCTGAAGCGTGAAATTTGAGTGCCCATAGACAATATTATTGTTTGGCTTTCAGAGCTATAAAATACTCCTGGCATCTCCATTTGAAAAACGTGGCTGCTGACATTTAAATGACTCTGTTAAGATTTGACCTGGAAAATTACAGTTGACGCTCTACACTTTATTACCAGAAGAACGTAGCCACATTAGAAGGAGTTGGAAAGGAGTAATACAAACAATTAAAGAGGAAAATAGGAAGAGGGACATTAAAATTGTACTGTTAGAAAAATGATGATGAAACTGAGATGTAGAAGTCCTATGTCCAAAGAATGATGATGTAAGTGTGAAGATAATATGGAGATTATATTCAATTGTTTAAAATGCATACAATAAAACATAAGATTAAAGAAAATTAAACCTTCTATTTTAAAAAAGATGCATTTTACAATATACAAAAAATTACAAAATACAAAGTATTATTCTTTAGGTGTCAAGTATAGTAAGCCCCTCTTAAAAGAAAACAAAACGAAACAAAATAAAAAGATACTTAGACTTACAGAGGGTAACTGCTCATGATAAGGAGTTTCTTTTGTCATACTCTCAAAGAAAACCCCCAAAACCCCCCAAAATGCTGTTTATTAGAACATTTTTTTCTGATAATGCTCAACAACATAATGAGCAACTGAGATGTGATGCTTTCTTTGATTATTTAAATAATAAGGCACATTAGATAATATATCTTGGGGCCTCTTTTATGTTGAAAATGTATAGTTATATCAGGTTCTATAAGCATTAACATTATTAAATACTTGGACTACCTATTGCTATATCCTGTCATACTTATGTATTTAGAGAATTGAAATTCTAAGTCATGTCAAAATGAAAATTTACTTGGCTATCTCGTAGTAAATGATTTCAGCACAAAGTACTGCATTTTTTTCCTAAATAAATTTGTGGATTTAGCAAGGTTTTTAGTTTTCCTATTTAACACTCCTTCCTCCTCTTCTTCATATGATCACACTTGATGAACAGTTCTATATCTATCAAAGTTAGACTTGCAGTTTTAGTAGCTAATAAATACATACTCAATTCTACCACAAGTTACATTATTCCTTGGAAAGTTGCATGGAAACAGTGAAATGAGGAAAGACAACTAAGTGTTGAATGTGTCTTCCTCTCTGATGTCACTACATTTTTCTCCCTTGGGAACCATTGCCACCCCTAGAACTTTCATCTCTATGCAGACAACTTCCAAAGCCATATTTTCTAACCCTTGAACAATTTTCTAACAATTAGTGTTATGTTTCCAACTGTCTTTTGGATCCTTTCACTGGGATATTATGCCATGATCTCAAATTAATGAGGAAACAGATATAGAAATCCTGAGATAGTCAGAGATATGAAACCCATCACAAGTAGCTAGGTATAGAAATCATTATTAAGAGCACTTCCTCCTTATCACCATGCCTACCCATGATATCACCATCCCCCAGCATCGAAGCTTTGACAGTCATCTTAATTCATAGCCTGCTCCTCCCCACATTGTTACTTACCAAGTCCTGATTTTTCTTTCCCAGTATCTTCTAATCTAGTCTTGCATATGCACAAACATACACACACACACACACACGCACATGCACATACACTGCCTCGTTCCTTGCCTCATACCCACAGTTCCCTCCAATGGAAATTTCCTTCCCATCTCCCCTTCCAAAATGTTTACTGTTTGGTTTAAGAACATTGCAGCTGGATTTAAGAATGATTCCCTGTTGTCTATAGGATAAATCCCCAGTCTGTAGCCGGAGGTTCAAAGGTTTCCATGATTTGACTCTACTCCCATGTTACCACCCTCATTCCCAACACATATTCCTGTAGTCACTATCCGTCAAAGAGACGTGAACTTTCTCAGTTATGTAATTTCAACTACCCCATGTTCTTATCTTGGAATACTCTTTCTTTCCTTCTTCACCAGTCAGAATTCTGAAAAGTCCCACTTAAATCTCATTTACACCCTGAAGCCTTTCTTGGCTGCTTTAGGTAGAAGAAAGTCTCCTAAACTATAACCTATTATCTGCTACTCATCTATTCTAGAAAATGGTAACATTTAGGAATAGACATATTTTTTCCATCATAGATTAGATTTACAATATATATATTAAATACTGTCTCATAATTAATTTTCATAGAGAATTTCAAAGGCCATCTGTTTGTTTAATTAGATGATCAACATCTTAAGAGAAATTTGGTAGATAAATAATTAAAAACCACTAGCTTTGAAGTCACAACCATCTGTATGGCTCAATAAAAACTCAAAACATTACCATGAGAATGGGCAAGTTATTTAGCTTCTCAAAGCCTTGGGATGTTGGTTTGTAAGAAGGAAGAAGATATACCCATCTTGAAACTTCATTTAGGAGAAAATGTGGTATATATACATAACAAAATACTATTCAGCCATTAAAAATTCTAATTTGTAGCAACATGGATGGAACTAGGGGTCATTATGTTAAGTGAAAAAAGCCAGACACAGAAAGACAAATATCACATGTTCTCACTCATATGTAGGAGTTTTAAAAAGTTGATTTCATGGAGGCAGAGTGTAGAATGAATGTTACAAGGGGCTGGGAAGGGTGGGTTGTGAGATAAAGGGAGATTGGTTAATGAGTAAAAACATACAGTTAGATAGAAGGAATAACATTATCTTCAATAGCACAGTCAGGTGACTATAGTTAACAATAATTTATTGAATATTTCAAAAGAGCTAGCAGAGAAGATTTGAAATGTCCCCAACACAAAAATATGATCAGTGTTTGAAGTAATGGTTATCCTAAATACTCCAATTTGATAATTACACATTGTATGCATGTATCAAGTTATCACATGTACTGTATAAGTACGTATTATGTATCAATTTAAAATAACATGTAAAGGTGTCAATCCTGGAAGGCTCTCAATAAGCATGAATTCTTCTTTCTCTTTGTGTTTTCTCAGTAGCTGACTCACAGTGGGGACTTAGTCAAAATAAATTAATAACCCAAATTTTTGTAACAATTTACATTTTTATCATTTCTTAGGAAAAAACTAGCTCAGTGTCACTAGAGCCAAAGCACATATAGAGATTGGAGAGTAATAGAGTTAACAATGAAAGTTCAAACAAGACTGTGGAAAACCTTGATTGTCAAGCTATACACAATTTTACTCACTTACTCTGAAATAAGACATGCTGAAACACTTGAATCAAGAGTCGCCTCTTTTAAATTTTCCCACATTATAATATATGGAAAGCAACCAGCGTAAGTGTTAGACACTTGCAAAAGCATGAAGGTGGTTTCAGAAGGCTGGGCTAACATCCCGGCCTTGACGATGAATAGCTGTGCAACCCTAGGCAAATCCCTTTACCTCACTGAGCCTCTGTTTTCTCATCTATAAAATAGAAGTAATAATTCCATTCTCATGGAATTTATTTGAAGATTAAGTAAGATTAGGTATATAAAATATTATTCATAATATGCAAAGAACCACATGAATGTAAAATATTAAGAATGCCACGTGTCCTGCTTTAGAGATTATAGTATTATTAAAGTTAGATTTGGTGAGATACATCATAGGGTTTGTAAATCTTTACAAAAAATTAAGATGCAGGTCTATGTTTATGGTGGAATGGGAGTTTAACAATAACGTGATGATGGAGTTGACTCCCATTTCAGAGGAGGGCCACAACTACAAAGAAAGTCACAGTACCAAAAGCAGTGGTCCCTGTAAGATGGGCTTATTCAATTGCTATTTGTCCTTTTCTTCTTTTTCTGATCCCAGTGCTGCCAGATTTCAACAGCAGGCTAAAATCCCATAAAACAATAATATAATGTGACTGTTTACTAAATGTGTAAGACAACATTGACTACTGGAAAAAGTAATAGCATTACATCAAGTTAAACTAAATCCAGTAGGCAGAAAATTCAATAGAATGTTGCAAAACAAAAGCATGCATCTTGCTTTGAGCCCTAAAGACCAACAAGGGAATGGTGGTGATGGTCTCCATGTGGAAACATTGCCTTGAGTTTCTGCACTCAGGTGTGAGAACAGCTGACTGCAGTACCATAGTTGACTGTGTTGCTATGTTGCTGGATATAAAGGTAATTAGGCCCCAAATCTAGTATGGCTTTAAGGAGTACAGATAATTCAATTCAAATTCTGAAATCAGCCATATGAAGTTGCTCACAGATTGTAAACAGAATTAAGGTGCAAGTAATAATCATTAACATTGTTTATGTTTCTTGATATCATTTAGGAGGCATTCATCATTGACTTTCTGGTTGCGGAAAAGATTATATTTATTTATCTAGTAATAATAGGTAACATAAAAGCAGTATTGTATAAGCTTATGGATGTGTGGGTTGTAATGTCTATTATATACATAAAGTATTTAGAGGACAACTCAACTATGTTCATATTATTAGTTACTGAAAATGAACTCAGAGCATAAGTACATAAAAAAAGTTTACTCGAAAGTATGGCTCTTACCAATATATTATAATTATTTCTGGTTTGTATTTAAGCCTTCAGCCTTGGTAGTCTTCTCATTTAAAGGAAGAAAATGAAAAATTGAAACACATCATTTTAATTAAAATTCCAGGATCAAAAGATAGTGAGCAGTCTCCCTTGATAAAATCAGTCCCAACAGTGCTTTTGTCTTTACAGTTAATGATTAGTTTCATGGTTTTCCACGCTATTTTTTATATAAGGATCTATCGTCCTTAATTAGGAGGTAGGACTTTAGTATTTCTAAGTTGCAACATAGCATAACAAGAAAAATATATCCACATAAGATTCAAACTCCTTATTGGAAGAGGTATGGAAAATCTTGTCTTAATTGGAGGTATATGGCCAATTGGTTGCAGTGATCTAAAACTCGTGGGGATGACTTATTTTTAAACACCACAACCAATTTTTGGATTTGTTTTGTTTTGTTATATGGAGTCTTGCACTGTTGCCTGGGCTGGAGTGCAGTGGCATGATCTCGGCTCACTGCAACCTCCACCTTCCAGGTTCAAGCGATTCTCCTGCCTCAGCCTCCCAAGTAGTTGGGATTACAGGCACCCACCACCACGCCTGGCTAATTTTTTGTATTTTTAGTAGAGACAGAGTTTCACTATGTTGGCCAGGCTGGTCTCGAATGCCTGACCTCGTGATCCACTCACCTTAGCCTCCCAAAGTGCTGGGATTACAGGTGTGAGCCACCGCGCCAGGTCTATTTTTTTAAATTTTATTTATTAGTACTTTGTGTATGTATTTATTTTTAAATTTTAATTGACAGATAATAATTGTACTTATTCATGGGATACACAGTGATGTTTTGATATATATAATGCACAGTGATCAGCTGCAGGTAATTAGCATATCCATCATCTCAAACATTTATCATTCCTTTGTGTTGGGAATGTCCAGTATCCTCATTCTAGCTATTTAAAACTCTAAAATATATTATTGTTAATTATAGTCATCCTACAGTGTATAGAATAGGGGTCCCCAACCCCCCGGTCCCATACTCATGTGGTTGGGAACTGTGGCCTGTTAGGAATTGGGCTGCACAGCAGGAGGTAAGCTGCAGGCAAGAGAGCATTCCGGCCTGAGCTCTGCCTCCTGTGAGATCAGTCGCGGCCTTAGATTCTCATAGAAGCGTGAACCCTATTGTGAACTGCGCATGCGAGGGATCTAGGTGTGTGCTCCTTATGAGAATCTAACTAAAGCCTCATCATCTGAGGTGGAACAGTTTCATCCCCAAACCACCCCCACCCTCTGCCCCTGTCTGTGGGAAAACTGTCTTCCGTGAAACTGGTCCCAGGTGCCAAAAAAGCTGGGGACCACTAATATAGAACTTTTTCCTCCCATCTAGGTGTAATTTTGTATCTTTTAATAAATCTCAGTCTATCTCTCCCTTCCCTTGCCCTTCCCAGCCTCTGTTCTATTTTTTACTTTTATGAGTTCAACTTTTTTAGCTTCCACAAATGAGTGAGAACATGTGGTGTTTATGTTCCTGGCTTATTTCACTTAACATCCTCCAGTTCCATCCATCTTGCCTTCAGTGACAGAATTTCACTCTTTTTAATGGCGGAATAGTATTCCATTGTGTACATATACCACATTTTCTTTATTCATTCATCTGTTGTTGGACACCTAGGATGATTCCATATTTTGGCTATTGTGAATAGTGTTGCAATAAACATGGGGGCATAGAGGTCTCTTTGATATGATTTTCTTTCCTTTGGATAAATTCCCCGTAGTGGAATTGCTGGATCATATAGTAGTTTTATTTGTAATTTTCTGAGGAACCTTCACACTGTTCTCCATAGCGGTTGTACTAGTTTACATTCCCACCAGCAGTATATAAGAGTTCTCTTTTCTCCGAATTTTTTCCAGCATTTGTTATTTATTTATTTGTTTATTGTCTTTTTAATGATAGGCATCCTAACTGGCTCATTGTGTTTTGATTTGTGTTTGCCTGATGATTAGTGATGCTGAACATTTTTTCATATATTCGTTGGCCATTTGTGTGTCTTCTTTGAGAAATGCCTGTTCAGATAATTTGCTCACTTTTTATATCGGATTGTCTGGGTTTTTTTTTTTTTTTTTTTTGGCAGTTGAGTTGTTTGAGTCCTTGTATACTCTGGATGACAATTGTCTGTCTGATAAGTACTTTATAAATATTTTCTCCCTTTCTGTGGGTTGTCTTTTCACTCTTTTGTTTTCGTTGCTGTGCAGAGGTTTTTAGCTTCATATAATCTCATTTGTTTATTTTTGCTTTTGTTGCCCGTGCTTTTGAGGTCTTACTCATAAATTTTTTTCTTAGACCAATGTTGAAGTGTTTCTCTTATATTTTGTTGTAGTAGTTTCATTAGTCTGGGTCTTACACTTAGATCTTTGACCCATTTTAAGTTGATTTTTGTATAGGGAGGAGTGGGAGTCTAGTTTCATTCTTCTGCTGATGGATATGCAGTTTTCCCAGCACCATTTATTGAAAAGACTGTCTTCCTTAATGAGTGTTCTTGGCATCTTTGTCAAAAATGAGTTGACTGTAGGTATGTGGATTTATTTCTGGGTTCTCTATTCTGTTAGATTGTTTTAAACAGGTAAAGTAACCATAAGTTAAGTTTGAAGCTTTATCCTTTGTTGAAAATATAAGGGAAAAGGTCACTCTGAATTTCTCATGTCTTCAGTAGGTAGGTTTTACTTTAAGAAAACATGCCACATTCCCAGGAACTTCCAAGATTAAAATGAGAAACCACTCTGTCTTCAGATTTTTCACAGGAAAAGTCTTTAGATTTCTGAGTAAAAACTATTTTCAACCTAGAATTTTGACACTTTGCTGAACTATCAATAAAGTCTAAGGGAAAATTAAAAAGAGTTTTAGACTTTTAAGGACTCAAAATATTTTCTTCTCACTCATCACTTTTAAAACATATTCTAAGTAGCTTATCTTATTTTTCCATAATGTTAAAATTTTTACTGTGGTAAAATACACATAACAAAATTTACAATTTTAGCAATTTTTTTTTCTTTTTTTTTGAGATGGTGTCTCTCTTTGTCCCCCAGGCTGGAGTGCAGTGGTGCAATCTCGGCTAAGTGTATGATTTATGTGGTATTAAATACATTTTCATTATTATGCAACCATCCCGTATCCATTCTAAAATTTTTGTATCATGCCAAACAGAAATTTTGTATCCATTAAACAATAACTACCTATTACTACTACCCCCCTGCAGCCCTGGTCACCCCTATTCTACTTTCAGTCTCTATGAATTTCACTATTCTAGATACCTGTTATAAGTGGAATCCTATAATATTTGACCTTTTGTGTTTCACTTATTTCAATTAGCATAATATTTTCAAGGTCTATCCATGTTGTAATATGTATCAAAATTTCATTCCTTTTATTGCCTTCATAATATTCCATTGTATGCTTATGCTGCATTTTGTTTATCCATTCGTCTATCAATGGACATTTAGGGTGTTTCCACTTTTGGCTACTGTGAATAATGCTTATATGAATATTTGTGTGAAAATATCTGTTCTAGTCCCTGCTTCAAATTCTTTTGGGTGTATACCCAGAAATGGAATTGCTGGATCATATGGTAATTCTATGTTTAATTTTTTGAGGAACTTCCATACTGTTTTCCACAGCAGCTACACTATTTTATATTCCCACTAGCAATGCACAAGTGTTCCAATTTCTTCTCATCCTCCCCAACACGTATTAGTTTCTGTTTTGTTTTGTTTTATAATATTATGTTGGTTCAAAAGTAATTGTGGTTTTTGCCATTACTTTTTTAATATATGTATTTTCAGTTCTGGGATACATGTGTAGGACCTGCAGGTTTGTTATGTAGGTATACATGTGCCATGGTGGTTTGCTGGAAAAGTACTATCACATTGTGGTTTTGATTTGCATTTTGGTTGTTTATTTTTTTGTTTTTGAGTCATAGAGGTTTTTTATATTTTCTGGATATTAATCCCTTATCAGCATATGATTTGCAAATATTTTCTCCTATTCTATAGGTTGCCTTTTCAACATCATGATTTTGTCCTTTAACACTAAAGTGTTTTATTTTGATGAAATTTAACTACTGTTTCCTTTTGTTGTCTGTGCTTTTGATATCTTACCTAAGGAATCATTGCCAAATCCAATGGCATGACGATTTCCTCTATTTTTTTTTCTAAGAATTTTATAGGTTTAGCTCTTACATTTAAGACTTTGATATATTGAGTTAATTTTTATATATAGTGTAAGTTAAGGATCCAACTTAATTCTTTAGCATGTGGATGTCCATTTTTCCTAGCACCGTTTGTTGAAAAGACTATCCTTTCCTCATTGAATGGTCTTGAATACCTCATCAAAAATAGTTTGACTATATATGTGAGAGTTTATTTCTGGGCTCCATGTTATATTCCATTGGTCTATATATCTGTCTTTATGATGCTCATCATTTCTTAAAAAGTTACTTAAGTAGGTATTCCAACCAAACTAAGGAAGAAGACAAGATAGGCTTTGGGAGACAGAAGTACCAAACCAGAATAACAATGTATACAATCCCCAAATTATAGTTTTGCATAAGCCTGAAGAGTAACCAGTCCAAATAGGAGCGAGGGGGGAGAGGTTTTCAAATACTAGTCTTAGGGAGAGAAGAGGATTCAATTAATTAGATAGAATGAGGGTTTTGATAAACTTGAGAATATGGTAAAGGCATGTGGTGGAACAGAGAAAAAAATAATCCATTCCAGCCTGACTGTAGAAATGTTTCCTTTGAGTAGCGCAGCAATTGTGCCATTAGATCTTAGAAGAAGAAATGTAATTTCTTTTTCCTTTTTTGAGACAGAGTCTCACTCTGTCACCCAGGCTGGAGTGCAGCAGCACAATCTCGGCTCACTGCGACCTCTGCCTCCCAGGTTCGAGTGATACTTCTGCCTCAGCCTCCCGAGTAGCTGAGAAAAAATGTAATTTTATCACACAACTTGGTTCTGCAGAAAGCAAAATTTACACATTAATAGTACTATAAACTTTGAATTTTTCATTATACTTTCAATTTTAAAAAGTAACCCATAGACAAATCAGGGACTTACTGTATTACAGAAAAGAATGTAAGGGATATTACCTTAACAATATAAAAGATAAGGAATTGGAAAATGGTATTGGAATGAATACCATTCACTCCAAGGAATGAAGTGAAAGCTGGTGCATCTATATTCTGATCACTTACAATGAAGGGAAAGTGAAAACTGTCTATGGTTATTGGACTAGAAAGTGGAAGTTTATGCAAGTTGTTTAAAATTATGTAGGTATCCAATAAAAGAAATAAGAATAGTGAAAAACAACATGGAGGTAAGGAAAAAATAAAGGTGAAATGAGGAGGTATAGATGAGATCAACCCTCACCTATCATAGTAGGAAGTCAGTAGACACTGTAAAAAAACTTGTAAAACCACAAACAACAATAAGTAATGAGCCTTAATGAGCAATTGGGAGATTGTTGCAGCACTCCGAAGGCACTAGAAATGAACATTTTTAAAGGGTTTCCTCTAAAGAGCAAGCAAGTGGGTTGGAAAGAGGAAGCAGCAGGCTTCTTTTCACTACAAGCCCTTCTATTTGATTTTCTAGCCATGTGTATATCTTGTTTTGATAGTGTAAGATAAAATATAAAATGCAATGCCAAATAAGAAAAGAAAATATAAGATCAGATAAGAATTCATAAATCAGTATAATCTGAGGTAATTATTTGATTACAAAACAATATTTGGCTTGCTAAGGAGTCAGTGATATGTCTCTTTAAATAGTGAGGGCTCCATCTGCACTTTACTGTTAGTCCTAAATCATATAAACTACTTGATGAAGAAGGTGTTCAAGCTAAAGTGGTCAAAGAAGGGCAACTAAAGATTCATCTTCAAGCATCTCTGAAATGAAAATGTAAATCTCTGGGTTAAAAGCTTTTCTTTAAAAATTTAATTCATAAATAACTTATCTGTGAAGGTGATTAAAATACTGAGATTATGTCTGAGGCTATAGACAGATTCATTGATCCAGAACTCAAGGATCTGAGTCCTTAACCTATCCTGAAAAACACACCTGAATCAGGATATAAACCACAAAGTTCTTAAAAGACATGAAGCTCATGTTTCAATATTTTACCAAGAGAGATTCTCAGCCCCCTCGTGTAAGTTATATTAATGGCTACTGATGTTAATATATACACACAATCCTAAAAATTTTGTTAACTGATTCCTATGTACAGAGTTTCTTAAGGGAGAGAAAGGGAGTATAATACGAGATCCTTGACTGCATCAAATGACAACTAAAAGTGAGGGAAACAATGTTAAACAAACAAACAAAAAACAATAAAGCAGTCACAAGAGTTTTAGAAAATAGGAACTGGAGGACATTTAATTTGCCTGCAAACTGCCCTATACATCAGAAAGCCCAGAGAGCTAGTGTAACTTTAACATTGCTGTAACTAATGACACATCGCTCCCTGTATGTTGAGGACTCTCACAACTAGATTTCTAACTTGAATGAGTCTTCCTTGCTCCAGACATGTTATTCAACTGTCTGCTGAATGTCTCCAGCTGAATATTCCCCAGGCTCTTCAAATTCTTCACCCTCATCTCTCTTGGGAAGTGGCAACATCTCCTCCTGATTTCCTATCTCAGTGGTCTGATTCCTGGGCCCTAATCTAAACGTTCCACCTGCATGGTTTTATTCACACAGTTTTCTAAACTTGCATTGCCTTTTTCTCTTGCACAGATCTCCAGCTGTGGGGAGACTGCTGAAGCACTCTGAAGGAACTAGAAGCAAGTACCTACTCATTTGCAAGACCCAGCAACGGAAGCATCATATGCTATATTAAGGTTATGCTGTCCTGAGTCCCCAAAAGCAGCTAATTGTGCTCTGTTTAGACAGACATTTCTCCCAGTACCACTAACACTTTGTCACTCAAATTTGCTTATCTCCCTCTCCTGGACTCTTTGAGGATACAATCTGTATCTTAATTGCCTATGACCACTCAGAATCTAACTTAGTCCCAGGCACATACTATCTGTTCCATAAATTTACTGAACAAATGAATGAATTACATAGCAGATAACACATTGATTTTGATAAGAGAAAAAAATACTAACAGGCAATTTTCAGAGGAGAAAACACAAATGCTTAGTAAGCATAGGAAAGATGCTCAAATTTACAAGTTTCAGGAAAATGAAACACACACACACACACACAACACCAAGAAACCAATGATTTAAAGTGTCAAAGGTGGAAAAGATGGATAACTTCGAGTGTTGGCCAGGATGTGTGGAATACTACAGAATTAGTAGGAAAATGAAATATTACTACTGTTCTTGCAAGCAATTTGATAAGTCATTAAAATGTAAAATGTGCATACTCTTTGACCTAGAAACTTCTGGGAATTTATATGGCAGAAGTAAAAGTGCAGCACATCAGGATTAATACACAAGTTTATTTATTACAGAATTGTTTTAGTAGCAGTTTCTCCCTAAACAAACAAAACAAGATGACAACAAACATACAAACAAAAACACTTCTGGAAAACGAAATCCTTATCAATAAAATAATCAGTATATAAAATTATGACATATCTATATTGTGGAAAAATACAGAGAATGAAGTACACCTACGTACAATGATACAGATTAAAATACATGTATATCTTCTTATTCAAGCAAAAGAGAAATCTGGAAAGATAACATTTTCAGAGGAGAGAAGACTGATTTTGCTTCTTATACTTATAAAGAATTTAAATTGTTTTTTAAATGTTTTAAAGTAAATAGCTGTTTAATATGTGGAAAAATACAGAAACTATGACACTTGTCTACCCATCTCTTAAGTATATAAAATGGCAATATTTTGACATATTTTCTTCAGCTCTCTTTTTCAAAAGCGAGTCGTGTCACACAGATAAAGTCATTTCACCCACATCCCTGTTCAATTTCCTCCTCCCACTCTCCCCAGAGGTAACCACTGTCTTGATGTGAGGATGAATTCTTCCTGGGCCTGATTCTATAATTTGCATGTGCATATGTATGTATTCATAAACAATAGAGATCTCTTTTTGTGTGTTCATATAATTGGTTTCATTCTTACCTGTCATTCTGATACTTGTTTTTTGTGCTCAAGGTTTCTTTTCAGCATTATCTATGTTGATGTTATTAATTCATTTGTATTGCCTAAAGTGTTCTATTGTATAAACTTACCACAATTTATTCATTCTGCTATGAATGGAGATGAATGATGCATGTTGTTGTTTATATCTTCTTGTGTGCACATGCCAGAGTTTCTCCAGGTTTTGTAGCTAGAAGTGGAATTGTAGGATCACAGGCCATTTCTTTTGGAAGGTTTTCTCTGTTCCCCACCTTTTAACCCTTTGACTGGTTTGGTATTACAACTGTTTTCTTATTTATTTAGTAATTATTCTTACATTTTTAACATGCATACTTAACTCTAAAGAACTAATATAATCAATAGGCCTGACTTCATCTTGAATAATAAGAGCAACTTGCAACACTTGAATTCAAATTACTGCGCTTCTCTTCTTATCTTCCATGCTGTGGCTGTGAAGTACTTTAATTTAACCTTCTTTTCGAATCATTTCACCCTAAATTAGTCTTTCTTTTTGTTGTTTTTACAGTCAATGTTTATTTAGATTTATGCAGATGTTTTCCAATGCCTTCGTTCACCCGTTTCTTATATCCTCCTCCTTCCTTCCATGTTCAATTTACTTATTTCTAAAACACATCCAGTCATATTTTTAAAAATCATTTACCTTAAAATGTATTTATTCTTGTCTAATTCTTTTTTTTGTTTTTCATATTATATAAAGATATATGTATATTATATATATCTTTGTCTATGTATTAACTATCTATCTATCTATCTATCTGTCTATCTATCTATCTGTCTAATTACTAACTGATAGTTTAGCTACTTTTAAAATTCAAGATGACAGCAATTTTCTCTTGGCAGTTTGAATATATCCCTAGTTTTTAGTCATACAGAAACAGCTATCAGGATAAATATTTCTTCGTTGACAATCTAGCTTTCATCTCTGGGTGATTTTTAATAATTTTCTCATTGTTATCAATGTTCCATATTTTTACTATGATTTTTTTCAAGTGTGAATTTGTTTTTATTTATCCTAATTAGGCACTTTGTTCTTCAATCTGAGGATTTGTCTTAGATAAATTCTGAATTTTTTTTAAATTTATTTTTTAATTTACTTTAAGTTCTGGGATACATGTGCTGAATGTGAAGGTTTGTTATATACAGGTATACATGTGCCATGGTGGTTTGCTGCACCTATCAACCCCATCATCTAGGTTTTAAGCTCTGCATGCATGAAGTATTTGTCCTAATGCTCTAAATTCTAAAAATGTATCAGTCATGATTTCACTTAGCAGTCCTATTCTTTGTACATTCTCCTTCTTAATTATTTCTTGTCTCTTAAGAAGTGTTTCATATTTTCATATATTTTTCTCGTGTATCATTTCACTAAATTTCCTTACATTGATATTCTAGCTCATGAATTCTTTCTTCTACTCTGGCTCATCTGTAGTCTAATTTATTCAATGAGTTATAAATTTCAAATAATTAAATTTTTATTTCTAAGTATTGTTTTTATTATTTAAGAAAAATCTTTTTGAATTTATCTATAATGTCCTGTTTCTGCTATGTTTCTATTTTTTTAAATGTCTTTAACATTCTAGATATAACTACTTTTGAGACATTATATATACACTAAGATTCTCAAAGTCCAACCTCACAGTTTCTTATTTTTGTTGACTCTTACTTATAAGGTGGATCATTTCCTTGTGCATTTTATAATTTTGAAAGGTGAGTTTATCACTGATGAAGATTGTTTTTCTTGAAGAACTATGTATACTTTAGGTTGAAGTCTGCTGCATAGTGGTTGTGCATTTGTTTGTGATTGGTGCTCCAAGTGTTTCCCAAGACCAAGGCTACTTTTTGACATAATTTTTTTTGTTGTGGTGGTTCCCTTACTTTGCATTTGGTAAAAAAGCACTGGTGCATGGCTCAGACTTTTGTTTATTTTCTTCTTCATTCACAGCTTCTTATCACTTCCCTGGGTAGAGGTGCTGGCAGAGAAAGTTTTTCAACATTCCCTTTTTTGAGGAGGCAGCTGTCCCAGAACTCAGTTTTATGCAGTTGTCTCAGGTCCAGCAACACACCTAGAGCAGATGGGCCCCAAAGACACAATTTCTGTCCTGGAACCATGATTAAAACCCCAGATCCTGCACCTAGAGCTTATCTGTAAGTAAGGTATTCCATACCTCTCTAGGATCCAACGGACCTAGAGCAGATGGGCCCCAAAGACACAATTTCTGTCCTGGAACCATGATTAAAACCCCAGATCCTGCACCCTAGAGCTTATCTGTAAGTAAGATATTCCATACCTCTCTAGGATCCCGTAACTTCAGCTCATGAGCTCACAGCTCTGCTATTAGGTTCTCCTTTTGTTTTTAGCACCAGAGATTTCTCTTATTTTTCTTTCAGATCAGACATATGTTTTTCCCCAATTTGTTTATATTATATTCCTTATTTCTTTAAATTTATAATAATAAAGTTTTCTTTATTAGTTTAGCCTACAGTAGTGCCAAAATCAAGAGGCCATTTTAGTTTGAATTGTTACAAAACAGTTATAAGATTTGTAAATTCAAGGGATAAATATAAAAGCAAGTTTAATAAAATAGGAATACTTGATATAGAATAATATCTCTTCAAAATTAATACAATTTTCAAAGTGGTTGAAACTTAAAATGTTGGAATTTTCCAGAATTCTCTCTGGAAGAATTTATTATTCCCAATAATGTACTCCAACAGGATTGTGGATATCCTAGCATTTACTACCTGTCTACTTCAGAAATGTATACACAGTCATCCCTCAGTATCCACAGGTGATTGGTTCCAGGACCCCCATAGCTACCAAAACCCATGGATGCTCAAGTCCATTATATAATATGGCTTACAATTTGCATATAACCTATGCAGATCCTCGTATGCTTTCAGTCTTCTCTGGGTTATACCTAATACAATATAAATGCTATTTAAATAGTTGTGCTATATTTTTATGTGCTATTTTTTATTGTCGTATTGCTGTTTTTATTGGTTTTGTTTTGAATATTTGTTATCAGCAGTTGGTTGCATTCAAGGATGTGGAACCCACTGATATAAAGGGCTGACTGTACATGACTTTATGATATGTGTGTATTATCTAGATCAAAATGCATGTCAGAACTTATTTTATCATAGAGATAGTATCTTAACTCAGTGAGGAAAGGGTGGTCTATTCAGTAGTGGTGATGATATAACTGTTTACCTCTTTGTGAAAAGAAGATAAACTCTTGAGAAAATGAATTTCAGATACGTTAAAGGCCTAAGTGTATGTTGAGGGGAAAACTTTAAGCCTAAAAAATATAGTGGTATATCTTTATGATATCAGAATAGAGAAAGTTTTGCAAAGCCAGAAGTATCCAGAATATATAAAGAATACCTACAGATCAACAAGAAAAAGACAAAAAGAGTATCAAAGTTTGGGAAAGGACATGGACAGACATTTCAGAGAACTGAAAACCCTACTTGCTAGTAAGCACATTAAAAATTGTTTTTATCTTCTGACATGTAAAATTTTAAGTAGGAAATTTGGTTCTCATTAACACCTGGTCAAAATGGAAGTTCTCTTGTGTCAGTAACATACAATTATAAATGTACATTTATAAACATACAATTTATATTACCATCACAAATATACCATACATTTTTAGGAGATTTAGACAAAATGGAATTCATGATAATTTCTGCATTTGCAAAGTACAAACCTGCAACAGTACTACAACCATGGTGTATGTGTGAAGTCATATGTTATATGTGTCTCACAATTATAAAAACAATTCACCAAGGCCAGGGGATCACTTCAGCCCAGGAGTTCAAGATCAGCCTGGGCAATGTAGTGAGATTCTGTCTCTACAAAAAAAAAATAAAAAATAAAAATAAATGAGCCAGTGTGGTGTTGTGTGCCTGTAGTCCCGGCTACTTAAAATACTGAGGTGGGAGGGTTGCTTGAGCCTGGGCGGTTGAGGCTGCAGTGAGCTATGATTGCACCACTGCATTCCAGCTTGAGTGACAGAATGATATCCTGTCTTGAAAAAAAAGAAAAGAGAAAAACATTGCAATCAATCTTTCAGGAGAAGGAATTAGTTATCCTTCTGTTTTTCTCTATCAAAGATGTTTTTTAATAAAATAATGATCATATGAAGAAATGAAGACAAGAAAGGTAGAAAAAATATTGTACAGGTGAGGCAGTTAATTAATAACAATTTTATACTAATGTTTTTGGATTTTGTAATTATTTTGATACTTTTTCAGCCTTAACATTTTGGAACTTATGTTTTTTGCTAATTCTAAAAAAATCATTTTTATAACAAATGGTATATTTTCAATGTTTTACTTTTTTCTGTTCTTTTCATTTTTTTCTTTTTCTTTTTTTTTTTTTTGAGACAAGGTCTTACTCTATCACCTGGGCTGGAGTGCAGTGCCACAATCATAGCTCAGGACAGCCTCAAACTCCAGGAACCCTTCTGCCTCAGCCTTCTGAGTAACTAAGACTGCAGGCACACTCCACCATGCCTGGCTAATTAAAATTTTTTTTTTTTTTTTAAGAAACGGGTTCTTACTATGTTGCCCAGGCTTGTCTCAAACTCCTGGGTACAAGTTCTCCTCTTGCCTCAGCCTCCCAAAGTGCTGGGATTACAGGTGTGAGCCACTCCTCCTCCAGCCTGTACTCTTTTACTGAAAGAGCACCCTTCCAATTAAATAAGCACTAATCTCCGTAAGGCCTGGATCTACCCATGGCTAGGGCTTCAAAGTTGATTAAGTTTTAAAATTTGGTTAAGTTTATTTGTAACATAGTTACAAATTTAGCACTCTGTACTCAGATTGGGGGGGAAAAAAGAGACAAACTTCTTATCAATGGCTGTTCTAATTTCTTTACGACCTTCCCTCACTTAAGAACTTAAATGGTCTTTGCAGTAACTGAGTCCCTTTCAAATAAATGCTTAGTCTTTCAGATTTTATCTCCTTTCCCCTTCTTTCCAAGTCAGTATTTGGATGATTTGGGTGTTGGTAGGGCTTTGGACAAGGTTTGTTAGACATTTTTGTACAAGGGGATAATGGGAGAGGTTTGGATCCATACACTGGAACACTTGTACTGGACAAATGATGTATTGGTTAGCTATTGCCACTGTAGTGCTACATAACAACCCCCCGCCAAAATTAATGTTTTGAAAGAATAATAATTTATTGTTATGAATCTGCAGTTTGGCCAGGGAGCTTCTGCAAATTTCAGCTGGACGCATGTGTGAGTCTGCAGTTGGTTGGGGTTAGATTGTTGAGGCAAGTCTTGTCTGGGCTGCTCTGCTTCAGGCTGCTGGTCTTCCTGTTGGCCAGGCAGCTCTGATCCACGTCTCTCATCCTCCTTGGACAGGCTGGGGCATAGTCTTCTCATGGTGAAAACAGAAGCTTAGAAGAATAAGCTCAGGTAAACAAGTACTTTCTAAATCTTTGGTCATGTTATGTCCACTAGCCTTCCATGGTCGAGAGTGACCTGGCCAAGCCCAGGTGATGGGGGGAATCATATTCCACCTATGGAGGTTGAAGAGGAAGGGGTGAATATTTCTGAACAATAATCTAATCTACCAAAGTGATATAGCATTTTACTTTCCAACGTAGTCTCAGAAAACAAGACTGTTGTTTAAATCCCAGCTCTATGACTTAACCTCTCTGAGTTCCATGTTTTCATCTGGAAAATGGGTGTATTCATAGCACCAGCCATCTCAGGGCTGCTCTCAGGAGCAGATGAGCCATATGTGCAATACTTAGAACAAGACTTAACTCGTGGTAAGACTTAAATACCTGGCAACCTGTTTTTACTGTCCTCTAGCTCCCCTTGTTTCTAAGCAGTTGTCACTGCCTGGTCAGCTGCCATCTGGTGGTGATGTCTGAGGCTAGTGGTTCATCTGTACCTGGGGTCCTCCCTTTGGTGACTAGCCCCAACATGGCTTCCTTTGGGTCTGCGGACCCCTGGGGTTTTGCTGTGACTCGTCTTTGGTCCCAGCTTGGGCCATGTGTACTGTAGTCTCCAATGTGGAATCACTTTTCCCCGTTGCTGTGAAAACCTCTGGCCACACAGGCTGTGGGATTGAAGGCGAGCAGGTGGTCTCAGGCTGCTTCTTCCCACATAGGATTTGAGTGTGGCTGAGGAGCGTTCCCCTGAACCCCTCCACACCGCCACTTTACTATGCCAGCCACATTAGAGGGCTTCCCTTCCTTAGCTGTTGGCTTCCCTGTGCCTAGATGCCTTCCCACTCTGGAATTCTGACCCAGAAATGCAGGGTGAGAACAAACTTGTCTCACAGACCAGCTTCTCTTACACAAGCCTCCCTTCTTTCTGCAACTCATGAGGTCAAGAAGGTGTGGGCTACCAACTTCCTCTTTCTTCCTGAGGTGCGTTTTATCACCTTCTTTCCTGAGGCAATACTGACAATTGGTTGCCAGCAAACGTATTTTACATGAAGGGAAACAAAAAACGCATCCTTTCAATATTTGCAAATGATTATCTTAGTTGCATTTTATTTTAATAAACAAATTCCACACTCTTGCCCCTGAGAGAAATAAATAGTATGTTGGAGACACAAATTCCATTTCTGAATAGTTAAAGAACTATAACGTTGAAGAGAGATTAAACTTGTTTTGAATATTCCTGAAGAGTCAAACTGGGACCAAAGTGTAGACTTTACTGAGAAACAACTTGTCGTGCAAAAGGCTAAAAACTGATATTTTTGTTTGTATTTTATTCGTAGGGGAAATGTTTATCCTAAAAAAGAGTTTACAATAAATTAATTCTGAGGGATATTTTAACATATATCACTATATTTTTGTTTTAACAAGTTTTTTAGGCATGTGGTAGAGATGCTGTCGATGAAAAGATGAAGCAGTTGACTTTAAGGCCCTGGCCACCTGAAGACTCTGCAATTCTTTATTTCTTTCTTCTCCCTTTTCCACCCCATCCGCTATTCTCCTCCTAATTACCTTACTTACCTAAGTTCCACTAAGCCTTTATGTTCTTCGTAGACTTGCTGGAGGTTGAGAATATATAAGTGGACAAAAATGCCAGTTTTCTCAGCACATCTCAGATGGTGGCAAATTAGGATATTCAGCTTTCTGCGAAGTGGCTGCCATGGTGGGCTCAGTCTGGGACCAGGGTACCAGTGAAACATGAGCAGCAGGTAGTTTCCAATGACTGGTGTGTTAAGGGACCCAATGTTCTTGGACATGTACAAGTTAGGGGCCAGCTTTCTGCCAGTGTCAGCCAAAGCCAGAGAGATTGCCCTTTCTCCCCACTCTTCATGATACATTTGGACCTTTTATAGCTTCTTTCTCCTTCTAGGCTACTTTGGGATTAAATTTCATAAAATGTCTCCAAAATAGCAATGTGCAAGCAGCCATCTTGTGAGTTATTCTAAGTCCTAAAGCTTCTACATGGGTGGCCCTGGACCCATGGCTATTTTGTTCACAGAAAAATTTGAGGATGGTAGTTTCCTCTCCTTTCAGATTGCTGAAAAGCTATCCTTCCTTTCAAATTGCTTGAGAACTCCCACCACTAGTTTTTTTCTCTGTCATAAGCCACAAAGGCAGGCTATTATTTTGATATGAAGTTAAAATGTTATATAGTAGGTTTTATCTCCTTGGAATGTAGGTGGGGACGAGACCTTCTCTAGCACAGACTAGTTTTTGTTAGAAGGTGAAGAGACCTAATGCTAATCAATGAGATGCTGCCCAGATAATTTCAGAATGAGGAAGAAATGAGAGCACTTAGAAACTAAAAGGGGAGTGAGTGTCACTAGTAACATAGGGGTAGACATAATATCATTAAGAGGAGACAGAAACATATGTGTGAGAGAAAAGGTTGGCAGCTTTCAGAGAAGGAGCTCTCAGGGGATGCTCTGATTGTCAGGATTCCACAGAAAGGTGGGGATTTCTACTCCTCCCTTGAGACAACGGAGACCTAAAGTAGACACCTCTGGCACATCTCTGCCCTCTCACCCATGAAGCAGAAGGGAATTATTTAAAATTTGAAAAAAATGCTTTATTTGTACATAGATGTTTGTATTTCTTTAAAAATATTCTAGATTACTTTTTTCCTGAAAAGTTAAGCAAAACTTACAAATTAACAATTTCAAAGATAATCTAATAAAAATAAGAGTTTATTAGGTGATTTATTTTCAGTGCTGGGGAAAAGCCCAAATGGTAGGTTCTCTGCAGCCAAAGGCAGGTCCCATCAGTTCTCTCATGGTAGACTCCCAAAATGCAGGCATCACATCCAAGATAGATCAAGCAACCTCTACAGGCCTGGCCTACATTATGATTAAAAAAAAAAACACAGCACTAATATAAGTAACAACAATGTGCATTGACCCTCATATGCCAAATACTACACTTAGTATTAGACGCATGTTATCTCATTGATTCTCTTACTAGGTGAAGTGGCAGCTATTATTATTAGCTGTCTTACAGATAAAGAATTAGAGGCAGAGAGAGCTTAAGTAGCTCACTAAGTCATAAATAGTAGAGCTGGGATATGAACTCAGCTTGTCTTATACCAGATCCTAAACATTCATCACCATCAAAGACAAATCTTACCAACCTTGCCATTTTGCCTTGATTTTCCCTAGCAGGATAATTCTATTCCTAGGTTTCTCTCTGCCTCGTCTCTATAATGAATGAATCATTTTTCTAAGTATTCCTTTTTTTCCCAAGATCTAGTATGTTTATGGATGCCTATTCATCCTTCAAGGACAGCTAAACCAAACCCCTTTGGTTAAACCTTTCTTGATGTCACATGTGGTTTTGTTATAGTGCACTGACTTGATTGTTTCCATGTCTGTATCTCTCAGAACACCAGGTCTGTATCTCTCAGAACACCAGGAGTAAGAGGCATGAGGCCAGGAGTTGTATAAAGTGATGAATCCAGCATCTCCAGGAAATACATGAATGAACATGTGGGTCAATTGCACCAAGGAGTTAAGAGAAGAAATCAGCAGCTATATTTGGGGGTCATTTTCTATATACAACATTTTGGTATTTTCTTTATAACATTATTTCTGAATTTTACAGAAACCTAGAAGTTTAATAGTCCTAGAAATATGCAACCACTTTGCCTGTAAAACCTTTTATATTCTGTTGAAACGAGAGAGGGAGAATAAAAACAAAGGGCTCAGGTTCTGAAAATAAGGCCAATCCAATGGACCAGAAATGTATATCATTGATTGTCTACTCTTACTTACTAGTATTTATGGCTCTTCATAGACACATGTCGATATAAATATACATGTTTATATGATTGTGGTCCCTGTACAGTAAGTCTTCAATGTCATCCATAGGTTCTTGGAAACTGTGACTTTAAGCAAAATGATGTATAACAAAACCAATTTCACCATAGGCTAATTAATATAAGCAAGACTTAAGTTCCTATGGCATATTTGTGGTCACAAAAAATATCACTACACTTCTAAATAAAGACCCATACACTTCTAATATTAAGCAGTGAAATAAATATGAGCTATACATACATTTAATAAAGACTAATAAAAACAAGTAAGATAGTTATTTATCTAATTTTTGGTGAATTGAGTGATGACAGCCATAGTGATGGTGGGTTAAATCAAGGAATGAATGTTTGCAAACTGAAAATTTGTAAGGAGCACCTCCTGCCACCTTGCAGTTCAAAAACAAACAAAGAAAGCAGTCTTGCTGAGCACTTTCATACTGAATCACTTATTGTCGTGCATTTGTATAATTATTGTATACTTTACAAATTTTTATTATAATAACTTACATTTATTTTCCAACCCACTTTTTGAATTCTGGGTGGTGGGTGGCCCGAGCCCATCCTGGCAGCTCAGGGTGCAAGGTAGGGACTGACGCTAGACAGGATGCGACCCCATCCCATCGCAGGGTGTGCTAGTGGGCTTTGGGATGTGGGAGGAAATGGGAGGACCTGGAGAAAACCCACACAGACATGGGGAGAACATGTCAACTCCTCACAGAGAGTGGTCCCAGCCAGGGAGAGATTTTTTTCTCATCAATATTACAACAAAATGATACTGAACGAAAATACATTATTTGGGGACCTGCGGTATGTGTTTGGATGAGGAGCATAATTATAAGGAACAGTGTTTCATTACCTCTTTCATTTATCATTAGATGACTGACATATTAACATTATTAATATAATATATAATAATAATAATATAAATTAGATAGATGAAGTAGCAAATGTACAGCATGCTCCAGTGCAAACCTTCCACTATGCTCGGGTTCTTTACATTACGTACTCAAAGGCTTTTAAAAATTTAACCAGAGTCTATAACTCATTCAGATTTCCTTAGTATTTAATTAATGTCCCTTTTCTGTTCCGGAGTGCTATCCAAGACATCACGTTACTTCTCAATGTTATGTTTTCTTATGTTCCTCTGGGCTGTGATGATTTCTCAGACTTTCCTTATTTTGGATGACCTTGAAAGTTTTGAAAAGTACGGGCCAAGTATTTTGTAGAATGTACTTCTGTCAGGATCTTTCTGGTTTTTGTTTTTTGTTTTTTTGTTTTTTGTTTTCTCATGATTAGACTGGAGTTACGGGTTTTGGGGAAGAAAATCACAGAGGGAAAGTGCCATTCTCATCACATCACACTACTGACGTGACTTATCACTGTTGATGTTAATCTTGATCACCTGATTGAGGCAGTACTTGTGAAGTTTCTCCACTGAAAAAATACTCTTTCCTTAGTTTTCCACACTGCACTCTGGAAGGCAGCCACTATGGGAAGCCCACACTTAAGGAAAGAGGAGCTATTCTCCACTGCCTTGAGGGGCAGTAGCTACACAAATTATTGGAATTCTTCTGCAGAGGATGTTTGCCTTTCTTTCTTTTTTTCTTTCTTTCTTTTCTTTCTTTCTTTTCTTTCTTTCTTTTTCTTTCTTTCTTTTTCTTTCTTTCTCTTTCTTTCTTTCTTTTTCTTTCTTTCCTTCTTTCTTTCTTCCTTCCTTCTTTCATCATTTTTATATCAGAGTGGACTCTCAGATATTTATTTTATACCTTTGGTTATAATCTGTCACTACTGTATTTTGTTGCACAAATTGTTTCAGCTTTGGCCATTGGGAGATTTTTCAGTTGGCACCTGATATTGTTTGGCTGTATCCTCATCCAAATCTCATCTTGAATTCCCATGTGTTGTGGGAAGGACCCGGCGGGAGATAATTGAATCATGGGGGAAGGTTTATCCCATGCTGTTCTCATGATAGTGAATAAATCGCAAGAGATCTGACAGTTTTATAAGGGGGAGTTTCCCTGCACAAGCTCTCTTTCTTTGCCTGCTGCCATCCATGTGAGACGTGACTTGCTCCTCCTTGCCTTCTGCCATGATTGTAAAGCTTCCCCAGCCATGTGGAACTGTGAGTCCATTAAACCTTTTTCCTGTGTAAATTACCCAGTCTTGGGTATGTCTTTACTAGCAGTGTGAAAACGGACTAATACAGTACCTATGTCTCTTTGATGTATCCTCAATATTGTGGGGTTCTTTTAAGCACATCCTTACTTTCTGGCACTGTAAGATGCTCCAGGCTCATCTTGTATATTTCTTACTCTACTCCTATAATCAGCAATTCCCTCCAAGGAGCCCTGGTTCCTAGCACTGAGGAGTGGTATTAGAAACCAAGGTCTGGACTTTGGGTGTGCTTGTTGCTACTGGGGTGCTGTTATTTCTAGGCCTTCTCAGCTGATAGAGCAAGGAAATATGTATGTGCATCCCAACTCATGTACATACACAAATCTAAAAATACATCTATGTATCCATCTGTATTTATATTAAGTTAAATATGAGTTCATACTGAAGTTTCCAACTCTAAGCTAAATATGAGTTTATACTGAAGTTTCCAACTCTAATCTATTATCACATGGATCATTCTAGCCTTTTCCTGTTGCTTGTCTGTAATGTCCCACTCCACCAGTGAGAAACTTGGCTCTTACCTTCTGCCATTTATTTACTTAATTGTCCAATTCCAGTATACATGTAGAGTGGTTTCAGTTTATAAGCTTTTATTGAAGAAAGTTGAAACCAAGTATTCATTCTTAAGTGCCATTGTGGACTGCCAACAGCAATGATAATAAGCATTGATGTACTATTCTTAGTGCCATTTGGAGGGTGTTAAGAAAATTAAAATAATCATCAAATATTTGTGTTACATGTGAATGAATTCTATTCAATTCTACAAACATTTGCAAAGAGGCATCCATATGGCAGGTACTGACGAAGGTACTGGTGGAGTGAAGGAACCCTTCAGAAAACAACAACATACGGTGTAGACATTCATTGAGTGCCGACTGCCACTTGCCAGTGTCAAGTATTTTTCTGGGTATTAGGGAAATGAAGTTGCGAAGGATCCATTCTAAGACCCTAAGCTGTAATAGGACAGACAGACAAGAAGCAGGCAGAGAGAGACACACAGAGTCTGATAAGTATTAAAATGCTTGTATAAGCAAAGGGAAGGGAGGGAGTGCTTTTTACTGTGAAGAACAGGGAAGGCTTCACAGAGCTGATATTTGATCTAAGCCTTGAATACAGGCAGAAATTCAATAGCAGATAGAGGTAAAGAGAGTCCTGGGCCAAGAGAATGGTACACACTAAAGCACAGATGCATAAAAGTGCACACTGTTCTTAGAGAATTCTCCGTATCACACTACATTACCTAATAATATCATATTACCACTTAGCAACATTAGTTCTTGTTAAACCATAAACATACATGATTAATGGAGTTTTGTGCTTTGGAAACACAATGACATTTATAACACCTGCACTATTTCCAGTGTGGGACAAACAGTGCAGAAGTGAGGTACGAATAGCATCCTTGGAGAATTAACATCTAAAACAACAGTCACAGAGATTATGCCAGAGGAAGCAATGGAATAATTAGGTTTTGTGACCTCTTGGGTCTAATGGAACAAATCACTTCATTTTTTGCTTGAGACTAGCCAGAGGCTAAACTATATTTTTTTAAATGTCATAATATTTATCACAATCTTTCTGAGTATATGACCCCAAACACTGTATAATCTCTTCCAAGGTTATATGAACATAGGAATTATTTACTTTTTAAAAGCTGAAATAGCTATTTCCAAAATTCTATTCAATTTTGTTTGTTTGGATTTATCGTAATTAACAAATAGTTTTGTCCTATTTTTATGAAGGTAGCCTTCATCCCTCTGTAATGATGTTATGCCCACATGTTCTTTTTGCTTCATGGTTGTCATCACCACAAATAGTTTCCCCATTACGTCACACAGGTATACCCATCAGCAATCTAAAACTAGAGTCATATACCATAAATACTAAGATTTCTTTACATTAACTTTGTTAAAAAGTAATTTTGGTGAAGATGCCATCAGTAATGTTACCTTCACTCCAAAATATTGAACTTAAATCTAGAAAATATAGTAGCATGGGTCCTAAAGTCTTACATAATAATAATGCTAGTACCAAAATGTTATCTATTGAATTAAACTAAAGAAAACTAACTGTAAGGCATAAAATAAATGAATTTAAAACATAGAAAATTCCTTTTGTGAACAAGAAGTCATAAAAGGAAAAGTATAAGAACTGAGGGATTGATAAATATTATATGCATCTGTACACATCCTGTACAAAAATACAGAGCTTGCTGGATTGTATTTGGGGATTGAATACATCCTTTTATTGGCATCAAGGCTTGCTCTTGGAAGGGAGGGTTTGCTGTTGCATCTGACTTGGAAGGGAGGGTTTGCTGTTGATGGGGCTTTGAGCTCCATCTGCCTATGCCTTTGGTGAGTACCATGCTTGGACCTGCTGTAATGGATTATGTTGGTGCTCTGCTCAGTGCCCCTCACAGCCTTTTGCCATCCTCCAACTTCAGTGCTCTTCATTCTACTGGATTCCTCCTGCAATTTTCTTCAAGAACCACCACGAGGCTATTCAAGTTGATTCATGTAGATAGCTGAGAGATGGAAGAACCCAGGGATTGACTCATCCTTCTCCCAACCTGCAGCAACCCAATGACAGATAGAGAAATATGAAAGACCAGCTTACTTCCTCAAGATGGAAAACACTCTGTGCTGTTGTTATACTGTCTACCTCTCTGCAAGATCAGGCCAAGGCTGAGAATTCACCTGAAATCACACTTCACTTGTCAATTGGGGCCCTCGAGCATGGCAGATCCCGTCATGCTAGAAGGATTTTTTGGAAGATAAAAATGCCACATGGAATCTCTGTCAAGCCACAATAAAACAAACAAACAAACAAACAAGCAAACATAAAAACAGTAAAAGAGACATATCCCAGTAGATATCAACATTAACTATAAACCTATAGTCATTAAAGAATGCAGGATTTGTGCAAAGATATAAAAAATTGATGAAAACAGTATATAACTGATTTTTAGCTTTTACTATGTGCCCTGTATTGATCAAAGTAGTAGCCTGTACTGATCAATAGGAAAGTATTAACTCAATTCTCACACAGCGATATGAAATACATATTAACCATGTGGGGAGCTTAAATATCTTGTCTTTCTGGAACTGAATGAATAACTCAGAAACAGACTCAAGTGTATGCGCTTTCTTGGTTTATGATACAAGTGAGTGTGATACATCAGTGGGAAAAGACTTGACTGTTCAATAAATAGTGTTGCACACATGGCTTTCCACATGGGAAAAAATAAAATTAGTTCCTGACCTCATACTATATACATCAACCTCATATCATATACATAAAGCTCATATTGTATAAACTCTAAAAAATACAGAAAATTATTAAAATTATATATAACAGAATATACTCATGACTATATTGTTCAGGGTCTGGGCAGGAAAAAAAGCAGTAATTTAAGAGAGTTAAATGAATGGACTAGTTATAAAGTTGTGGAGACAATTAAGGGAAACCAACATAGGATGGTGAAGCATTCTGGGGCTGGCCAGAACAAACAGTCCTTACTGTTTCAATCTCTAAGCTTAAAGGGGAAGGTGAAGGGAATGGTCACATGAAATGTGGAGACCTCTAGTTGCAGAAAAAGGGCTACTCAATAGAAATTATGACCTTAGAGAAATGCAGCATTTCCAAAATTTCACAGTCAGGAATACAAATGCCTCAATTTTCTCTCCTCCCATCCCTTGATCTCCTGCAGATGTCTCCCATTGATCAAACCCAAGAGGAAACTAGAGGTCAAGGGAACTCAACTGATGCATTGTGTAGAGGTTGAATTTACAGAGCACAGAACAGAATACGGAAGAGTGGTAGGTGGATCTGGGATGGCAAACAGCAAATATACAATGCAATGACTGAGTGTGAAGCATGAACTTAAAATAATTCTATTTTTATTTTAGATTCAAGGAGTGCATGTGCAGGTTTGTGACAAGGGTATATTGCGTGATGCTGAAGTTTGGGGTATGATTGAGCCCATCACCCAGGTAGTGAGCACAGTAGCAATAGGTGGTTTTTCAACCCTTATCCCCCCACTTTCCCTTTCCTCTCTTGTAGTTCCCAGTGTCTGTTGTTCCCATTTTTATGTCCATGTGTACCCAATGTTTAGCTCCCACTTATAAGTGAGACCATGTGGTTTTTGCTTTTTCGTTTCTATGTTAATTCACTTAGGATAATGGCCTCCAGCTGTACCCATGTTGTTGCAAGGGATATGATTTCTTTCTCTTTAATGGTTGTGTAGCATTTCATGGTGTATATGTACCACATTTTCTTTATACAATCCACCATTGACAGGCATCTAGGTTGATCCCATGTTTTGTTATTGTGAATAGTGTTCGATGAACATAAGAGTGCATATATCTTTTTGATAGAGTGATTTCTTTTCTTTTGGGTGTATACACTGTAATGGGATCACTGGGTTGAATGATAGTTCTAATTTTAGTTCGTTGAGAAATCTCCAACTGCTTTCACAGTGGCTGAACTAATTTACATTCCCACCAACAGTGCATAAGCATTCCCCTTCTTCCACAGCCTCGCCAGCATCTGTTGTTTTTTCACTGTTTAGTAATAACCATTCTGACTGTTTCAAGATGGTATCTCATTGTGGTTTCAATTTACATTCCTCTGATGATATAAATCAAATCAAAGTGCTGTTGAGCATTTTTTCATATGTTTGTTGGCTGCATGTATGTATTCTTTTGAGAAGTGCCTGTTCATGCCCTTTGCCTACTTTTTAATGAGAATTTATTAGGCCTTTTCTTGTTGATATAAGTTCCTAATAGATTCTGGATACTAGACCTTTGTCAGATGCATACTTTGCTAATATTTTCTCCCGTTCTGTAGGTTGTCTGATTACTCTGTTGATAGTTTCTTTTGTTGTGCAGAAAATCTTTAGTTTAATTAGGTCCCTCTTGTCAATTTTTGTTTTTGTTGCAATTGCTTTTGAGGACTTGGTTATAATTATTTTTTGCCAATGCCAGTGTCCAGAAGCGTGTTTCCTGGGTTTTCTTCTAGGACTTTTTAAGTCTTTAATCCATCTTGAGTAATATTTTTATATGATAAGAAGTAGGGGACCAGTTTCATTCTTCTGCATATGAATAGCCAATTATCAAGAAAAGACTTTTGGATAAGATCCAAAAGAGCACAACTCTTACAGGAAAAGACTGATAAAGTTGACGATAATCAAATGTAAAACTTGTATGATAATCTAGTGTAAAAGGCAAACAGCAGTCTGGGCACAGGCCTGTAATTCTAGTACTTTGGGAGACAGAAGCAAGAGGATTTCTTGAGCCTAGGAGTTTGAGACCAGCCCGGGCAATGTGGCAAAACCCTGTCTCTACTAAATAATAATAATGATAATAATAATAATAATAATCAGTAATTAGCCAGGCATGGTGGCGTTCACCTGTTGTCCCAGCTACTCAGGGTGCTGAGGTGAGAGGATTGCTTGAGCCTGGGAAATCGAGGCTGTGGTGAGCTATGATCATGTTACTGCACTCCAGCCTGGGCAACAGAGCAAGACTCTGTCAAAAAAAAAAAAAAAAAAAAAAAAGGCAAACATTAGATATTTGAAAGAAGATATTTGAAACATAAACCAAAATTCTTATCCAGAATATATAGTTATGTATAGCTACGTGTCTAGATATATGTATGTATACATATATGTATGCATATATATGTGTTACAAAAGCATGTGAGGAAAACAACTCACATACTGCTGTGGTAATATGAATTCGTGCAACCATTACAGGGAGAGTAACTGAGCAAAATCAAGTGAAGTTAAAATTGTGCATACCTTCTGATCTAGCAATTTCTCCTCTAAAAATATTGTCCAGATAAATTCTTGCAATTGTGCTCCAGGAAGTAATATTTTAAGAATATCCACTACAGTGTTTTTTGGAATATGAGAGAAAAAAACTGCAAAGAGCTAAATATTATTCAGAAGGAATAAATAATTGTGGCCTAGTCATAATGTATAATTTTAGATAGCAGTTAAAATTCATGAACAGTACACTAATTTTTGACAATATAAATAGATCAAAATACTAGACTGAATAAAAAAATGAATTGAAGGTTTTTATTTATTTATTTATTGAGATAGGACATGGTGGAGTGCAGTGGTGTGATAATGGCTCACTGCAGCTTTGACCCCTTGGGCTCAAGTGATCCTCCCACCTTAGCCTCCCAAGTAGTTGGGACTACAGGAATGCACCACCATGTCTGGCTATTTTTTATTTTTATTCTATTTTTTTAGAGATGGGTTGTCGCTATGTTGCCTAGGCTAGTCTTAAACTCCTAGGCTCAAGCGACCTTCTCACCTTGGCCTTCCGAAGTGTGAGGATTACAGCATTGAACCACCATGCTTGGCCTTGAAGAGACCTTTAGTACAGTATGGTAGTATGTATGTAAAAATTTAAAAACACAAAAGAAATATAATACCCATGTATATTTAAGAAAAATGTAAAATATCAACTTGAAGAATGTGTGTCACATCTTTAAAAGTGGTTCACTCTGGGGACTGGTCTGGGGAAGGAGAATTAAAAGTACATTAACTTTATTTAAAACATTTTATTTATAATGTGCAAAAAATTAAAGACAGATATACTAAAATATTAATAGTCAATGCCCCTGGAGAATGGCATTTGGGGCAGTATTTGTACTATTCTCTATTTTTCTCTATTTTTTAATTTTTCTATTATAA
Source organism: Homo sapiens (assembly GCF_000001405.40). Lineage (NCBI taxonomy): Eukaryota > Metazoa > Chordata > Mammalia > Primates > Hominidae > Homo > Homo sapiens. The sequence goes on along the minus strand of NC_000008.11, from coordinate 72,497,905 downwards.
AATGACCAAGTATTATTTTTATAATTTTCCCCTATTTTTTGAACCATTCACATTACTAGAAACAATTATGGAATCTTTCATTTTAGAAGAAAAACTGGGTAGCAGTCGGCATGGGATATAAGGAAAGCCTTGTCATCTACGCTTAATGCTCTTCTTTGGCCAGGTGAAGGTCACAGTGGGCTTGAGATGCTAACAATTTACAATGTTCTGACCTCAGAAGCACATATGATTCTTTCCTTATTGTGTACTTGGCAAATTGAGAAAACTACACCTAAAGCCATGGTTTCCATTACAATTTTTCCAGGGTCACATCCTGGTTAATGAAATATATGGATGAATCCCAAATGATTGTGTACATGTTTAATGCATGCATTCTGTTTTTAAGCATACTCAAAAATAAGGCTTTTTAGATACTCTTCCTAAATTTATTTTGCCCAGATTTTTTTCTTTTCTCAAAGTCTTCTTATGTTCCCACAATTAAACCTCTTAAATCAGTTTTTCTGTTTCCACATGCCTCCCATCTTGTCCATCATTTTTTAAGTCAATCGAGCCAAAAGAGAGCATGTCACAATGTGAGGAACATGGGATTTGATATGGGAAGTCATGGGTCTGAGTTCTGCTTCTTATTAATTGTATGACTTTGAGCAAATGATTGTCTTTCTGAGCCTCAGTTTATCTCCAAGTTGGAGATTATATCACCCGGACCTCAGGTGAATGTCAAACTTGGGGATTGCCAGCTTAGTTGGACTAGTGGGGTTGCTCCAGTATATCAAAGGAGTGACAAAGGAGAAGGGCCTGGCCATATTCTTCACAATCAATGAGCCAAAAGATTTGTATTTAGTTGTCCCTGGAAACAAAGTAAATTACTCTGTGAAAATACGCTGCTATTTGGATGATCAGTGACCACATAAATCCTAGGCAGAAAGAGCAGATCGATGGAATCCATACCTATTTTTTATAGCTTTACTTCCTTTTTTTCTTGAGTTTTTGACCTATATTCCATGCATTCAGTTGTACACTGCCACAATCCAAACCAAATGGAAATACAGAAGAATTAATATTTATTAATAAAATTAAATGAAATTTTCAAAAGCATTTTATTATGTTCTAGGCACTGTTTGAACCTCAGTGAACAATGGATTAAAACTCTTGCCCTTGTATAGGGAAGCAGGCAACAAACAAAGTAAACCAGTAAATGATATAGACTATTAGAAAGTGACATGTGTATGGAGAGTAATAAGGCAGGCGTAGCGATAAGGAATAAATGGCTGAGCTGAGACTTTACATAGGGTGGTGTGGAAGTCCAGAGAACGTGTCTCACTGTCCTCCAGCTACAGAGGGTGTGTATTAGTTTTCCATTGCTGCTGTAACAAGTTACCCCAAACCGTGTAGCTTAATAAAACACATAATTATTATCTTACTGTTCCTGTAGGTCAGAAGCCTGGGCAGGCTTGGCTGGCTCTACTGCTTTGGATCTTACGAGCCTGAAATCAAGGTCTTGATAGGCCCGGCCTCTTCTCTGGAGGCTCTGTGGGAGAAATCACTTCTCAGCTCACTCAAGTCTTTGGCAGAATTCAATTGCCTGCAGATGTAGTACTGATTTCCTTGCTGCCTGTCAGTTGGAGATTCTCTCGGTTCCTAAAGGTCACTTGCTTTCCTGCAGCAGCACAGCAAGCCTTTCTCATACTTTAAATCTCTCTGATTTACCCTTCTGTCACTCTTCTGCCTTTAGTCAGAGAAAATTCCCTTTTGCCACATGATGTAACATTTATAGGTTACAGGGATGAGGATGTGGACATCTTTGGGAAACATTCTGCCTATTACAGAGTTCAAGGGCTCCAACTGCTGCACCTTGAAATCCATCATTGGGTTTGTGCTGAGGCCATCCTTTCCATGGGCTGCTCAATGATGGAATGTGGCAGAAATACTAAGGCAGGCCCATCCCTGAGATGCATGGGACTCTGCTGACAGCTGAATTTGGCTTGAGGACTTCCTTAGGGCTTTGCAGAACCTTCCCTAGACAATGCAGCAGTCTATGATGCCTCCATCCAACCTTTCTTTCCTCTTTTCTTTCACTCGGGTTAGGTTAATATCACAGGAATTTACCCTAATAAACTGCATGTGAGTTTAATCCCATCTTGGCATCTGCCTCTTACAGGACCTAGATGAACAAGAGTGGTACCATCAGCGGTCCTAGGAAAAAAGCAGTAAGATGGGGATTTGGGCCTGGCTCACCCATCACCCAGCAGCAGGTAGCGATAATGCTTTCCTGGTCAGTAGTTGGCACATCAGGTAGCACCTCCATTGCTAAAGTTTTCACTGGTGGTGACCTGTAGCCATGACCTGCTGGTAATGGGAATGCCAGAGCAGGTGTGATACTTATAGGCATTTGCAATATATCAAGGGATCAGCGCCCACAAAGACATCAGAGTTGGTGGTTATTGCTAAGTTGAATTTACATCTTACATTAGGATAATGAACAAATGAGGCTATCAGCAAGCGTGACAATCTCAGGGCTTTCTTCTAGCATTCAAGGAAGATTTTATCTCCTACTTGGCAGGGCAGACATAACTGAAAGTAGGCTGAAGACCTAATTACTATAGTCACAGAGATGTTTGGATGCTCAGCTTATTCAGGTCTGCTATGCAAAGACCAGGGGATTCTGAAAAATGGGATGTGGATATCTTTATAGATGTCCTGAGAATTTGACCTTATGACCCCCTTTCTGCTAGCTCTGACTTTTATGTATTTAACATTTTTTAAAAATTTTCTAAAACATTTTAATAGACATACTTTCCAAGAATGTTATGTACTGCAGTTGTTCACTGAAGATTCATTAAGCATCCATTTATTGAGTGTCCCCTATTGCTGAGAACTCTGCTGGAAGGTGCTACGTAGGCCCTTGGGACACAATAGTGAGAAAGGGAGCCTTAGTATAAATTCATGGAGCTTACAGCCAAAAGGGAGAGACAAAATTTAAATAAGCAAGCCCAGAAATGAACAATATTAACTATTGTGACAAGAGTGTCCAAGGAAAAAGAATAAAGATAAATGAAAGGGTCACATGGAGGAAACTACTTTAGATAGTGGAGTTAGAGAAGCCCTCTCTATAGAAATGACATGAAGTTGAGAATAAAATCATAAGTGACACTTGGTCCAGTGAAAACCGGGGAAAGACCCTTCCAAGTAGAGGACAACAGTCTGCCTGTGTGTGGAGAGGTAACAAAAAGCCAGGTGCCCTGGGGCAAAGACAGAGGGCTCATGTGTTGGAACTGCCCAGCTATCCAGGGCACTTGTACCCAACTCCCTTTCCTCTCTCCTTCCCTCAGGGTCAGCCTGATATAATTCTCTTAATGCTTCTAGTTCTCTACTAATGTTCCTTTATAGGTGTTTCTCCTTATAAAATCCTTGCATGCTTACCGCCATCCTGGTATCTGCTTTTTGGAGGATCCATATGAACACAAGCAGTAGAGGAAGGCCTCGGTGAAAAGGTGATGTTAAATTCCATTGAGCCTAAAGCTGTCTTCTTATATATTTTAAATTTAGTCTAAAGATTTCTCTATGCACAGGGAACTGTATCCTAACTGGATGTGTAAACAGACTGTAACCTACTCTTGTGTCAACACAGAATATTGGCCAATCACAGGTGGCCAACTGTTCAAATCATGTTCAATAAGGCAAACGTTAAGCTGTAACCAACCCAGATGTTTCTGTACCTCATTTCCTTTTTCTTTAAGTCACTTTCCTTTTTCTGTCCATCTATGTCATCAGACAACGTGGTAGCCCCAGAGTTGTTCTGAACCTATTCTGGTTTTGGGGGCTGCCTGGTTCACAAATTGTTTTTCCCCCAATTGAATTCTGTTAAATCTAACTTGTCTATCATTTTCCTTTTAACACTGACATTTGAACAAGACATGCAGGAGGTGAAGGAAGCTAGCCAGGAGGGTATTTGGAGAAAGAACACTCCAGGCAAGCAAATAGCAATAGCAAAAGCTTGGAGAGGAAGGAGTGTTCTCTGCTGTCCTCAGAGAGAACAGGGTCCGTGGAGAAGTGAGTGGGTCGGGTCATAGCAGGCAAGGCCAAAGAGGTGGGTAATGGGGACCTTTTACTCTGAGTGAGAAGGAAGAAACTGAGGCTTCTGGGTGGAGAAAGGGCATGACATAACATAAGTTTTAAAAGGATCTTTCCTGCAGCTATTTGAGAATTTGACTGTAGAAGGCCCAAGGTGTAAGCAGAAATACCAGTGAGGAGATGATTGCGAGATCCAGGTGAGAGATGATCAAACTGGGCTAGGGTGGAAGTGATGAGAAGTGATCAGAATGTGGATGCACTCTTAGGGGAAAGACAACTGAATGTCTTGAATATTGGGTGTGAGATGTAAGTTGAAAAATGGTGAGAAGGATGGAGATGCCACTCATGAAAATGGAGTCATGAGCAGTTGCAGGAGGCTTGCGGAGCAGGTTAGGAGCTTGAGACATGTTAGGTTTGAGCTGTTTATTCAACATGTATGTGGAGATGTCAAGAGGCAGTTGGATGTATGAGTCTGGTGTTCAGGGGAGAACTTTGAGCTTGAGACATAAATTTGGGAGTTGTTGACGGTAAGATGGTATTTGAAGCAGTGAAACTGGATAAGCTTACCAGGGAGTGATTATGAATAGCAAAAATATGTGGTTAATAAAATCATATATAAGCAAGTGAATTCATATCACTCACAGCTGAATTCCATGTTCAAAATGTAACAGAATGTCTGTATGTTTTTTTCGCTATATTTGAATTTCTGAGATGCAAATTCTAAACCCATTCACTCTACATCTCTGCCGAAGAACCAGTGGAACAATTTTTACCTCTAGCTTTCCTTCTTGATTAACAAATTAAGAACCAAACATGTTACTGAGTAAAAAAGATTTTTTTTTTTACGTAGTAATTCTACCTGCAGAACTGAAACCTAATATTAAGGCTGGAGGCCAATTTACTTATGAATTTCATTTCTCTCTATATTTTATACCTGAATTACAGTCATCATTATTTTCAATTTTCTTTGATCTCTGCTGCATTCAGACTAAAATAAAATATATTTTATTTTATATGTTTAAAAAGTGTGTTAACTATTTTGAATCAAATAGTTTTCACTGAAATTCTTTGAAGGGCAATCTCACACATATACTTCACATATACTTCACACATATATTTCACAGAACAATCCAAAGGAAATGTTCTTATTTCCATTCCTGAAGAAAAGATGTACTGAGTAAATATAATAAGCCTGTACTGCAGGGAAGCCTTGATGTAGCATGGCCCAAGCTAAGAAGCACATCAGAGTTCCATCTCACTCATCTTCCCTTAGTTCCTCAAAAATACATTAGGTAATTATTTAGCGCAAAACCTTTGTAGACTCATGAATGTTTTGGGCTGGAAGGAATCATTATGATCACTTACTAGTGCCTCATTTTATAAATTATGTAAAAGTTTAGGACATTTTCAAGTACTTGCAATTCTTGCTTGTTTATCTTCTTTCCTCATATGTTTAGGTTCATAGGGCTGTTGCAACAAATTGCCACAAATGTGGTAGCTCAAGATAACATAAATGTATCCTTTCATAGTTCTGGAGGTCGGAAGTCTGAAATTAAGGGGTTGGTAGGACCATGCTTCCTCCAAAGGCTCTAGGGAAGAATCTTTCCTTGCCTCTCCCAGCTTCTGAGTCCAGGTGTTTCTTGGTCCATGGCAGCATAATTCCAATCTCTTCCTGTGTCTTCCCATGGCCTCCTTTCCTTGGTGCCTATGTGTCTCAAATATCCTGCTTTCTTCTCTTATAAGGACACCAGTCATCGGATTTGGGCCCACTCTAAATCCAGAATAATTCCATCCTAAACTCCTTATCTTAATTACATCTTCCAAGACCCTATTTCCAATTAAGGCCACATTCACAGGTACTGGAAGTTAAGACTTGGACACACATTTTTGAGGGACACAACTTAATTCCCTCCCTTCCTCCTCCCTCCTTCCCTCCCTCCCTCCCTCCCTCCCTCCCTTCCTTCCTTCCTCTCGATCCACACCTCACATCAGTCAGTTTCTTTTATCCTTTCATGTTCTACATTGATTCCAATCTGTCACTGACTCTTCAAGGTGGTTACAATTTCTCTTAAGAAAAAAAAACAAAAAGACCTAGGCCAGAAGAGTTAGTGGAAAAAAAATAGTCCGCACTTCTGTGGTTTGTTCGGTCAGGCCACAGGTATTATTACATTATCTTCCTTTTCCACTATTTATTCTATTATGTAATTTCTTCACCTCTGACCATTTAGATCATTCTAGTCTGGTTTGCTTGTCCGGAAGAACACAGGCTTTTATCCCTAAGGACTCTAAGCCTTTGGTAATCTTGCCTTTATCAGGCTGCAATTGTGGCATTGGTGAATCTGCTATGTTTCGTTGTTCTCCCTGGTCCCATTACATAGCAACAGTCTTAGGTCATCATGATTAGTAAGGCTGATTGCTCTTCCAGCATAAATGCTTTCTGGTCTGCCAGCAAGAGGATCTCAAAGTGAATGGCAGTAATCATAGATTTAGGTTCAGTGGAACCGTTGCTGTGTTTCCTGATGGAAATGTCTCCCACCTCCACTGAAACTAGGGCCTCTGTGTTATTCATTTATTGTATCATATGCCATCTCAAAGCTCAGTAACCTCCAACAGTAAACATTTATTATAGTGCTCACAGATCTATTGGGAAACCTCTGTTTTAAGTTGTGGGCCTCGGGTTGGCTGGGATGATTCTGCTCCATGTTTCCCTTACTCTTCTTAGAAAGGCAGGTTACCTTTGCATGTTCTTCTCATGGCAATGGCAGAAACATAGGAGAGCAAGGCCAGCTGCACTAGCACATATCAAGCCTTTGCTTGCATCATCTCTACTGCCATATCACTGACTAAAGCAAGGCATTTTTCTGAGCCCAAAGTCAAAGTATAGAAATTTATACTCCAAGAGGCCCAAGCATACCACATTGTCAAATTCAACATCAGTAGAGCAGAGAAGTATATTCTTCCCATGGACTTCGTGTGTGTATGTTGGGGGAAGTTAATATTTACTGAAGAATACTCTAATTTATACAACCTCCAGTGGGAATGAGATATACAACTTTTCAAGTGGGACACTAGGATGATGGCAAGAGGCACCAATCCTACTTCCACACAATCATTCTTTGCTTCATGTATATGCTGCATCCTGGGAAACTTTACTCCAACCCTTCAAGGTGTGATACCTAAGTTGTGCATTAGCTGAGCCTTTCATCAGTTATTCCAGTATCTGTCAGGCTGGTGTATGCGAGAAAGAATGGATACTAGGGTCATGTGCCATTTAGGGCACTGCTTTTCTCATAAAATGGGTCCCTTGGCCTAAAGCTATGAAGCTATGTTGTAAGAGACCCCACATCAGTAAACTAGGTCTCATAGAGCCCTCATTGTAGTGCAGATAGAGGCACAATGGACAGAAAGCTTGTCCCTCTCTGGTCTAAGTGTCAGTTCCACTCAGGACCAACTGCTGACCTCTCCAGAATAATAGAGATCCATTGCAATTAATGTATCATCAAGTGGCAGCCTGGTTCCTTGAGGTATGGTATCATACCAAGGGCTGAGATTTGTTTTCTGCCATTGATAAGTCAAGCTTCAGCAGTAGCATTGGTAAGAGGGAGCTCCTATCCATAAATAGGTTTTAGTTCTACCACCATAGCTTCTCTTTTCATGGTCCTCTTGTATACTGGGATGGCTAAAGATAGAGTCTAGCTGACATCCACTGGGAGAATCATCAAGTCCATTGAAGTCATAAGTGCATTCTCTATGAAGTATAATCTCTGGTGGGCAATGACATGTGTACAGATATCTTCCCAATTTGTTCCATTTCACAGGTCCATCCATATGTTACTAACCTCAAACCCCTTGCCTCCATTTTTCTAATATTCTAAACCTATCTTAGTTTATTCAGGCTGCCATAATAAAATACCATAAACTAGGTGGCTTATAAGCAACATAAATGTATTTCTCACAGTTCTGAAGGCCGGGAAGTCCAAGATCAAGGCACGGGCAGATTCAGAGTCTGGTGAGGTTGTTTTCTGCTACATAATTGGCACCTTCCTACTGTGTGCTCACATGTGGGAAGGGGCCTCTGTTATAAAGGCACTAATCCCATTCCTGAGACCTCTATTTTCACAATCTAATCATCCCAGCCAAAGGCCCCATTTCCAAATGCCATGACATTGGGGATTGGGTTTGAACATGTGGATTTTATGACGACACAAACATTCAGATCATAGCAAGGCCCTTGACCAACCAGCCAAGCCATTGTTTATATTCTTATGTCAGGCTATTTATTCCTTCATATAAGTCGAGAATCTGGAATACTCACAGCTCTACCCACAGAGAGAATTTCCCCTCACCCCTAACGTTTAGGAACATCTCTGAGTAGGATTGTAATTTAGGAGTGGCTCATTTTTGGCTTGCACCAACATATCGAGCCAGTCCCTCCCTAAGTCAGGCATAAGCATTTTCCTACCTCATTAGGGAAATTCTCACAAGGCCATAGGTAGGAAGTGACAATACAATAGTGATGGATAAAATGAGGATCCTAGCCACATTTTAATGTATTTCACTAATGCCTGCTGTAGCAGGCTGGGCTTGATCCCCTGTGTATCATTTCCATTGTATAAGAGATTGCTCTAGAACCCACAAACTGTAAGACTTTGAGGATCTGACAATCACAGTTCATGATGGGAAGCTGTTTGCATAGTTACTGATATTTTGTAGTCAAGCTCTTAGTTCCTAGCAGGACCTGGGAGCATGCCAGGACTTAATTTATTTTTTAAATTAAGACATTTTTATTTTCCAGAGTAGTTATAGGTTCAAAGTCAAATTGAGTGGAAAATACAGAGCATTTGCATATATTCTCTGCCCCTACATATGCACAACCTCTCCTACTATCAACATCCCACACCAGAGTGGTACATTTATTACAATTTATGGATCTACATTAACATTTAATTATCACCCAAAGTCTGTAGTTTATATTTAGGTTTTACTGTTGGTGCTGTACATTCTATGGGTTTTTTAAAGTATAAAGACATGTATCCACCATTTCAGTATCATACAGAGCAATTTCACAGCCCTAAAAATCCTCTGTGTTCTGCCTGTTCATTCTTCCCTCCATAGTAACCTCTGACAACCACTGATCTTTTTATTGTCTCTGTCATTTCATCTTTTCCAGAATGTCACATAGTAAGAATCATAAAGTATATTGCTTTTTTCTATTGATTTATTTCATTCAGTTATATTCATTTAAGTTTCTTCCACATGTTTTCATGACTGATAGCTCATTTCTTGTAAGCACTACATCTTGGTCACCTCCAAGTTTTGGCAATTATGAGTAAAGTTGTTGTAAACATTCATGTGTGAGTTTCTGTGTGGATATAAGTTTTCAATTTATTTGAATAAATACAAAGGAGCATGATTGCTGGATTGTATGTAAGAGTATATTTAATTTTGTAAGAAACTGTCAAACTGTCTTCCAAAGTTGCTGTATCATTTTGCAATCCCACCAGCAATGAATGATAATTCTTGTTGTTCCATATCCTTGTCAGCATTTGATGTTGGCAGTGTTTTGGGTTTTGGCCATTTTGATAGGTGTGTAGTGGTATCTCATTTTTGTTTTAATTTTGCAAGTCCCTAATAGCACACGATGTTGAACATATTTCATATTGTTAGCTGTCATCTCTATATCTTCTTTGATGAGGTGTATTTATGGGTTAAAAATAAACAAAATAACAGATGTTGGTGAAGTTGTGGAAAAAAAGGAATGTTCATATACTGCTGGTGGGATTGTAAAGTAGTTCAGTCCTTTAAGTATTTTGTTCATTTTTAACCAGGTTGCTCATTTAAAAAATTCTTTTACTTTTTAATTTTTATTTTATATTCAAGGGAATATGTGCATGTTTGTGATGAGGGTGTGTTGCATGATGCCGAGGTTTAGGTGTCTATTGATTCTGTCACCCACATAGTGAACATAACATCCAGTAGGAAGATTTTCAGCCTTTGTTCCCTCCCTTAATCCCCTGTTTTGGAGTCTTCAGTGTCCATTAGTCCCATTTTAAGTCCATGTGTATCCAGTGATTAGCTCCCATTTATAAGTGAGAACATGTGGTATTTGGTTTCTGTTTCTGTGTTAATTTACTTGGGATGATAGCCTCCAGCTGCATCTACATTTCTGCAAAGGACATGATTTTATTCTTTTTTATTGTTGGATAGTATTCCATGGTGTATATGTACCATATTTTCTTTATCCAGTCCATTACTGATGGAAACCTAGATTGATTCCTTGACTTTGCTATTGTGAATAGGGATGTGATGAACATACGAGTGCATGTGTCTTTTTTGTAGAACGATTTATATTCCTTTGGGTATACATCCAATAATTCGATTGCTGGGTCAAATGGCAGTTCTATTTTTAGTTCTTTGAGAAATCTCCAAACCGTTTTCCACAGGGGCTGAATTACTTTACAATTCCACCAAAAGTGTATGAACATTCTCTTTTCTCCTCAGCCTCGCTAACATCTGTTGTTTTTGGCTTTTTTTCATTTTTTCATTTTTATTATTTTTTTTTTTTTGGAGACAGACGGAGTCTTGCTCTGTCACCCAGGCTGGGGTGCAGTGTGGCACAATCTCAGCTCACTGCAAGCTCTGCCTCCCGAGTTCATGCCATTCTCCTGCCTCAGACTCCCAAGTAGCTGGAACTACAGGTGCCCGCCACCACGCCCGGCTAATTTTTTTGTATTTTCAGTAGGGACGGGGTTTCACTGTGTTAGCCAGAATGGTCTCCATCTCCTGACCTCGTGATCCACCCGCCTTGGCCTCCCAAAGTGCTGGGATTATAGGCATGAGCCACTGCGCCTGGCCTTGGCTTTTTAATAATAGCCATTCTGACTGGTGTGAGATGGTGTCTTATTGTGGCTTTGATTTGCATTTCTCTAAACATTAGTGATGTTGAACATTTTTCCCTATGTTTGTTGGCTGCCTGTATGTCTTCTTTTGAGAAGTCTGTTCATGTCCTTTGCCTACTTTTTAATGGGGTTATTTGGTTTTTGGCTTATTGACTTAAGTTTCTTATAGATTCTGAATATTAGTCCTTTGTCATGTACATAGTTTGTGAAAATTTTCTCCCACTTTGTGGTGTGTCTTTTTACCTGTTAAGTTTCTTTTGCTGTGTAGAAACTCTTCAGTTTAATTAGGTCCCAATTGTCAATATTTGTTTTTGTTGCATTTGTTTTTGAGGATTTAATCACAAATTCTCTGCATAGGCCGATGTTAAGAAGACTATTTCCAAGGTCTTCTCTTAGGATTTTTATAGTTAGAAATTATATTTAAATCTTCAATACATATTGAGTTAATTTTTGTATATAGTGAGAGGTAGAGGTTCAGTTTCATTCTTTTGCATATGGTTAACCAGGTATCCCAGGACTATTTATTGAATAGGGAGTCCTTTCCCTATTGCTTGTTTTTGTCAACTTTGCAAAGATGAATTGGTTGTAGGTGTACAGTTTTATTTCTGGGTTCTTTATTCTGTTCCATTGGTATATGCATCTACTTTTATACCATTACCATGCTGTTTTGTTGCTGTAGCCTTGTACTATAATTTCAAGTTGGAATTCATATTCTTCTAACATATGAATTTTAGAATAGTTTTTTCTAGTTCTGTGAAAAATGATGTTGGCATTTTGATAGGAATAGCACTGAATCTGTAGATTGCTTTGGAAAATATGAACATTTTATTGATACTGATTCTTCCAATCCATGAGCTTGGAACGTTCTTTCAATTTTGTGTTGTCTATGATTTTTCTTCAGCAGTGTTTATAGTTCTTCTTGTAGAGATCTTTCACCTGCTTGCTTAGATGTATTCTAGAGTATTTTCTTCTTTTTGTGGCTGTTGTAAGTGAGACTGCATTCTTGATTTGGCTCAGTTTCAATGTTAGGGGTATATAGAAATGCTACTGATTTTTGTACACTGATTTTGTAACTTTCCTGAAACTTTACTGAAATCATTCTGGCAGAGTCTTTACGGTTTTCTATGTCTAGAATTATAGCATCAGCAAAGAGAGGTAATTTAACTTCCTCTTTCCTAGTATAGATGTCTCTTATTTCTTTATCTTGCTTAATTTCTTTGGCTAGGACTTCCAGTACTATGTTGAATAGGAGTGGTGAGAGTGGACACCCTTGTCTTGCTTCAGTTCTAAGGGGAATGCTTCCAGCTTTTGCCTGTTCCATGTGAGGTTGACTGTGGGTTTCCCATACATAACTCTTATTATTTCGAAGTATGTTTCTTTGATGCTTGGTTTGTTGAGGGCTTTTTTGTCATTAAGGGATGTCGGAATTTATTAAAGGTTTTTTCTGCATCTATTGAGATGCTTATATGGTATTTTTTTTTTATTATTATACTTTAAGTTTTAGGGTACATGTGCACATTGTGCAGGTTAGTTACATATGTATACATGTGCCATGCTGGTGCGCTGCACCTACTAACTTGTCATCTAGCATTAGGTATATCTCCCGATGCTATCCCTCCCCCCTCCCCCCACCCCACAACAGTCCCCAGAGTGTGATATTCCCCTTCCTGTGTCCATGTGATCTCATTGTTCAATTCCCACCTATGAGTGAGAATATGCGGTGTTTGGTTTTTTGTTCTTGCGATAGTTTACTGAGAATGATGATTTCCAATTTCATCCATGTCCCTACAAAGGACATGAACTCATCATTTTTTATGGCTGCATAGTATTCCATGGTGTATATGTGCCACATTTTCTTAATCCAGTCTATCATTGTTGGACATTTGGGTTGGTTCCAAGTCTTTGCTATTGTGAATAATGCCGCAATAAACATACGTGTGCATGTGTCTTTATAGCAGCACGATTTATAGTCCTTTGGGTATATACCCAGTAATGGGATGGCTGGGTCAAATGGTATTTCTAGTTCTAGATCCCTGAGGAATCGCCACATTGACTTCCACAATGGTTGAACTAGTTTACAGTCCCACCAACAGTGTAAAAGTGTTCCTATTTCTCCACATCCTCTCCAGCACCTGTTGTTTCCTGACTTTTTAATGATTGCCATTCTAACTGGTGTGAGATGGTATCTCATTGTGGTTTTGATTTGCATTTCTCTGATGGCCAGTGATGATGAGCATTTTTTCATGTGTTTTTTGGCTGCATAAATGTCTTCTTTTGAGAAGTGTCTGTTCATGTCCTTTGCCCACTTTTTGATGGGGTTGTTTGTTTTTTTCTTGTAAATTTGTTTGAGTTCATTGTAGATTCTGGATATTAGCCCTTTGTCAGATGAGTAGGTTGCGAAAATTTTCTCCCATTTTGTAGGTTGCCTGTTCACTCTGATGGTAGTTTCTTTTGCTGTGCAGAAGCTCTTTAGTTTAATTAGATCCCGTTTGTCAATTTTGTCTTTTGTTGCCATTGCTTTTGGTGTTTTAGACATGAAGTCCTTGCCCATGCCTATGTCCTGAATGGTAATGCCTAGGTTTTCTTCTAGGGTTTTTATGGTTTGAGGTCTAATGTTTAAGTCTTTAATCCATCTTGAATTGATTTTTGTATAAGGTGTAAGGAAGGGATCCAGTTTCAGCTTTCTACATATGGCTAGCCAGTTTTCCCAGCACCATTTGTTAAATAGGGAATCCTTTCCCCATTGCTTGTTTTTCTCAGGTTTGTCAAAGATCAGATAGTTGTAGATATGCGGCATTATTTCTGAGGGCTCTGTTCTGTTCCATTGATCTATATCTCTGTTTTGGTACCAGTACCATGCTGTTTTGGCTACTGTAGCCTTGTAGTATAGTTTGAAGTCAGGTAGTGTGATGCCTCCAGCTTTGTTCTTTTGGCTTAGGATTGACTTGGCGATGTGGGCTCTTTTTTGGTTCCATATGAACTTTAAGGTAGTTTTTTCCAATTCTGTGAAGAAAGTCATTGGTAGCTTGATGGGGATGGCATTGAATCTGTAAATTACCTTGGGCAGTATGGCCATTTTCACGATATTGATTCTTCCTACCCATGAGCATGGAATGTTCTTCCATTTGTTTGTGTCCTCTTTTATTTCCTTGAGCAGTGGTTTGTAGTTCTCCTTGAAGAGGTCTTTCACATCCCTTGTAAGTTGGATTCCTAGGTATTTTATTCTCTTTGAAGCAATTGTGTATGGGAGTTGACTCATGATTTGGCTCTCTGTTTGCCTGTTGTTGGTGTATAAGAATGCTTGTGATTTTTGTACATTGATTTTGTATCCTGAGACTTTGCTGAAGTTGCTTATCAGCTTAAGGAGATTTTGGGCTGAGACAATGGGGTTTTCTAGATATACAATCATGTCGTCTGCAAACAGGGACAATTTGACTTCCTCTTTTCCTAATTGAATACCCTTTATTTCCTTCTCCTGCCTAATTGCCCTGGCCAGAACTTCCAGCACTATGTTGAATAGGAGTGGTGAGAGAGGGCATCCCTGTCTTGTGCCAGTTTTCAAAGGGAATGCTTCCAGTTTTTGCCCATTCAGTATGATATTGGCTGTGGGTTTGTCATAGATAGCTCTTATTATTTTGAAATACGTCCCATCAATACCTAATTTATTGAGAGTTTTTAGCATGAAAGGTTGTTGAATTTTGTCAAAGGGCTTTTCTGCATCTATTGAGAAAATCATGTGGTTTTTGTCTTTGGCTCTGTTTATATGCTGGATTACATTTCTTGATTTGCGTATATTGAACCAGCCTTGCATCCCAGGGATGAAGCCCACTTGATCATGGTGGATAAGCTTTTTGATATGCTGCTGGATTCGGTTTGCCAGTATTTTATTGAGGATTTTTGCATCCATGTTCATCAAGGATATTGGTCTAAAATTCTCTTTTTTTGTTGTGTCTCTGCCTGGCTTTGGTATCAGAATGATGCTGGCCTCATAAAATGAGTTAGGGAGGATTCCCTCTTTTTCTATTGATTGGAATAGTTTCAGAAGGAATGGTACCAGTTCCTCCTTGTACCTCTGGTAGAATTCGGCTGTGAATCCATCTGGTCCTGGACTCTTTTTGGTTGGTAAGCTATTGATTATTGCCACAATTTCAGATCCTGTTATTGGTCTATTCAGATATTCAACTTCTTCCTGGTTTAGTCTTGGGAGAGTGTATGTGTCGAGGAATTTATCCATTTCTTCTAGATTTTCTAGTTTATTTGCATAGAGGTGTTTGTAGTATTCTCTGATGGTAGTTTGTGTTTCTGTGGGATCGTTGGTGGTATCCCCTTTATCATTTTTTATTGCGTCTATTTGATTCTTCTCTCTTTTTTTCTTTATTAGTCTTGCTAGCGGTCTATCAATTTTGTTGATCCTTTCAAAAAACCAGCTCCTGGATTCATTAATTTTTTGCAGGGTTTTTTGTGTCTCTATTTCCTTCAGTTCTGCTCTGATTTTAGTTATTTCTTGCCTTCTGCTAGCTTTTGAATGTGTTTGCTCTTGCTTTTCTAGTTCTTTTAATTGTGATGTTAGGGTGTCAATTTTGGATCTTTCCTGCTTTCTCTTGTGGGCATTTAGTGCTATAAATTTCCCTCTACACACTGCTTTGAATGCGTCCCAGAGATTCTGGTATGTTGTGTCTTTGTTCTCGTTGGTTTCAAAGAACATCTTTATTTCTGCCTTCATTTCGTTATGTACCCAGTAGTCATTCAGGAGCAGGTTGTTCAGTTTCCATGTAGTTGAGCGGTTTTGAGTGAGATTCTTAATCCTGAGTTCTAGTTTGATTGCACTGTGGTCTGAGAGATAGCTTGTTATAATTTCTGTTCTTTTACAATTGCTGAGGAGAGCTTTACTTCCAACTATGTGGTCAATTTTGGAATAGGTGTGGTGTGGTGCTGAAAAAAATGTATATTCTGTTGATTTGGGGTGGAGAGTTCTGTAGATGTCTATTAGGTCCACTTGGTGCAGAGCTGAGTTTAATTCCTGGTTATCCTTTTTGACTTTCTGCCTCGTTGATCTGTCTAATGTTGACAGTGGGGTGTTAAAGTCTCCCATTATTAATGTGTGGGAGTCTAAGTCTCTTTGTAAGTCACTCAGGACTTGCTTTATGAATCTTGGTGCTCCTGTATTGGGTGCATATATATTTAGGGTAGTTAGCTCTTCTTGTTGAATTGATCCCTTTACCATTATGTAATGGCCTTCTTTGTCTCTTTTGGTCTTTGTTGGTTTAAAGTCTGTTTTATCACAGACTAGGATTGCAACCCCTGCCTTTTTTTGTTTTCCATTGGCTTGGTAGATCTTCCTCCATCCTTTTATTTTGAGCCTATGTGTGTCTCCGCACATGAGATGGGTTTCCTGAATACAGCACACTGATGGGTCTTGACTCTTTATCCAATTTGCCAGTCTGTGTCTTTTAATTGGAGCATTTAGTCCATTTGCATTTAAAGTTAATATTGTTATGTGTGAATTTGATCCTGCCATTATGATGTTAGCTGGTTATTTTGCTCGTTAGTTGATGCAGTTTCTTCCTAGTCTCGATGGTCTTTACATTTTGGCATGATTTTGCAGTGGCTGGTACCGGTTGTTCCTTTCCATGTTTAGTGCTTCCTTCAGGAGCTTTTGTAAGGCAGGCCTGGTGGTGACAAAATCTCTCAGCATTTGCTTGTCTGTAAAGGATTTTATTTCTCCTTCACTTATGAAGCTTAGTTTGGCTGGATATGAAATTCTGGGTTGAAAATTCTTTTCTTTAAGAATGTTGAATATTGGCCCCCACTCTCTTCTGGCTTGTAGGGTTTCTGCCGAGAGATCTGCTGTTAGTCTGATGGTCTTCCCTTTGAGGGTAACCCGACCTTTCTCTCTGGCTGCCCTTAACATTTTTTCCTTCATTTCAACTTTGGTGAATCTGACAATTATGTGTCTTGGAGTTGCTCTTCTTGAGGAGTATCTTTGTGGCGTTCTCTGTATTTCCTGAATCTGAACGTTGGCCTGCCTTGCTAGATTGGGGAAGTTCTCCTGTATAATATCCTGCAGAGTGTTTTCCAACTTGGTTCCATTCTCCCCATCACTTTCAGGTACACCAATCAGACGTAGATTTGGTCTTTTCACATAGTCCCATATTTCTTGGAGGCTTTGCTCAGTTCTTTTTATTCTTTTTTCTCTAAACTTCCCTTCTCGCTTCATTTCACTCATTTCCTCTTCCATTGCTGATACCCTTTCTTCCAGTTGATCGCATCGGCTCCTGAGGCTTCTGCATTCTTCACATAGTTCTCGAGCCTTGGTTTTCAGCTCCATCAGCTCCTTTAAGCACTTCTCTGTATTGGTTATTCTAGTTATACATTCTTCTAAATTTTTTTCAAAGTTTTCAACTTCTTTGCCTTTGGTTTGAATGTCCTCCAGTAGCTCAGAGTAATTTGATCATCTGAAGCCTTCTTTCAGCTCGTCAAAGTCATTCTCCATCCAGCTTTGTTCCGTTGCTGGTGAGGAACTGCATTCCTTTGGAGGAGGAGAGGCGCTCTGCTTTTTAGAGTTTCCAGTTTTCCTGTTCTGTTTTTTCCCCATCTTTGTGATTTTATCTACTTTTGGTCTTTGATGATGGTGATGTACAGATGGGTTTTTGGTGTGGATGTCCTTTCTGTTTGTTAGTTTTCCTTCTAACAGACAGGACCCTCAGCTGCAGGTCTGTTGGAATATCCTGCCGTGTGAGGTGTCAGTGTGCCCCTGCTGGGGGGTGCCTCCCAGTTAGGCTGCTCGGGGGTCAGGGGTCAGGGACCCACTTGAGGAGGCAGTCTGCCCGTTCTCAGATCTCCAGCTGCGTGCTGGGAGAACCACTGCTCTCTTCAAAGCTGTCAGACAGGGACATTTAAGCCTGCAGAGGTTACTGCTGTCTTTTTGTTTGTCTGTGCCCTGCCCCCAGAGGTGGAGCCTACAGAGGCAGGCAGGCCTCCTTGAGCTGTGGTGGGCTCCACCCAGTTCGAGCTTCCCGGCTGCTTTGTTTACCTAATCAAGCCTGGGCAATGGCGGGCGCCCCTCCCTCAGCCTCGCTGCCGCCTTGCAGTTTGATCTCAGACTGCTGTGCTAGCAATCAGCGAGACTCCGTGGGCGTAGGACCCTCCGAGCCAGGTGGGGGATATAATCTCATGGTGCACCGTTTCCTAAGCCCGTCGGAAAAGCGCAGTATTCGGGTGGAAGTGACCCGATTTTCCAGGTGCTGTCCGTCACCCCTTTCTTTGACTGGGAAAGGGAACTCCCTGACCCCTTGTGCTTCCCAAGTGAGGCAATGCCTCGCCCTGCTTCGGCTCGCGCACAGTGCGCGCACTCACTGACCTGAGGCCACTGTCTGGCACTCCCTAGTGAGATGAACCTGGTACCTCAGATGGAAATGCAGAAATCACCGGTCTTCTGCGTCGCTCACGCTGGGAGCTGTAGACCAGAGCTGTTCCTATTCGGCCATCTTGGCTCGAGCCTTGGTATTTGTTTTTTAAATCTGTTTATGTGGTGAATCACATTTATTGATTTGGGTATGTTGAACCACCTTGCATCCCAGGAATAAAGCCTCCTTGATTGTGATGAATTTATTTTTTGATAGCTACTAGATTTGTTTTGGTAATATTTTGTTGAAGATTTTTGCATCTATGTTCATCAGGAATATTGGCCTGAAGTTTCCGTATTTATTGTGTCTTTGCCAGGTTTTGGAATCAGGATGATGCTGGTCTCAGAATGAGTTAGGGAATAATACTTCCTCCTCGATGTTTTGGAATGGTTTCAGTCAGACTGATGCCAGCTCTTCTTCGTATGGCTGGTAGGATTTTGCTATGAATCCATATGGTCCAGGGCATTTTTTGTTGCTAGTTTTTTATTATTATTACTCAATTTAGTAACTCATTATTGATCTGTTCAGCATTTCAATTTCTTCCTGATTCAATTTTGGGAGGTTATATTTTTCCAGGAATTTATCCATTTCCTCCAGATTTACTAGTTTGTATATATGAAGACGTTCAAGGTAATCTTTGAGGATCTTTTATATTTCTGTGGAATCGGTTATAATATCACCTTTGTCATTTCTGATTGAGCTAATTTGTACCTTGTCCCTTTTATTCGTTACTCTTTCTAGCAGTCTGTCAATCTTGTTTATCCTTTCAAAGAACAAACATTTTATTTCATTGAATCTTTGTATGGTTGTGTGGGTATTAATTTAATTTAGTTGTGCTCTGATTTTAATTATTTTCTTTCTTCGGCTAACTTTGGAATTAATTTGATCTTGTTCTAGTTCCTTTAGGTGGGATATTATTTTGATAATTTCTCTCTTTTTGATGTAGCCATTTAGCCCTATGAACTTTTGTCTTAACACTTTTTCACAGAGGTTTTATTATGTTTCATCTCTATTTTCATTTGTTTCAAAGAATGTTTTGATTTCTTTCTTAATATTGTTGTTTACACAAAAGTCATTCAGGATCAAATTATTTAGTTTTCATGTAATTGTGTGGTTTTGAGGGTTATTTTAGGTATTGATTTCTATTTTTATTCCACTGTGATTTGAGCAGATGCTTGGCATGATTTTTATTTTTTTTAAATTTATTGAAACTTGCTTTATAACTGAGCATGTGGTCAATCTTAGGGCATATTCCATATGCATATGAGAAGAATATATATTCTATGGTTGTTGGGTGGAGTATTCTGTAGATGTGTTTTAGGTTCAATTTGTCAAGTGTTGAATTGAAGTCCAGAATTTCTTTGTTAGTTTTCTGCCTTGATGATCTGTCTAGTGCTGTTAATGGAATGTTGAAGTCCTCTACTATTATTTTGTGGCTGTCTAAATCTTTTCCTAGTCCCAGAAGTAATTGTATTATGAATCTGGGCTCTCCAATGTTGGGTGCATATATATTTAGGATAGTGAAGTCTTCTTGTTGAATTGAACCCCTTGTCATTATGTAATACCCTTGTTTTTCCTTTTTCACTGTTGTGGGTTTAAAGTCTGTTTTATTTAACACAAGAATAGTGACCTTAGCTCTTTTTTGTTTTTTTGCAGGATAGGTTTTTCTCCATCCCTTTACTTTGAGCCTATGGATGTCATCACATGTGAGATGGGTCTTTTGAAGGCAGCAGAGGATGAGTCTTGTTTTTTTTTTAAATCCACCTTGCTACTCTGTCTTTTAAATGGAGCATTTAGGCTGTTTATGACCAAGGCTAATATTGATATGTGAGGCTTTGTTTCTGTCATAACATTGTTAGCTAGTTGCTTTGTAGTCTCAATTGTGTAGTTACTTTAAAAGGTCCATAAGCTATGTGCTTATGTGTGCTTTTGTGGTAAGGAGTATTGTTCTTTCATTTGCACATTTAGAACTCCCTTAAGTGTCTCTTGTAGGGACTATCTGGTGGTGACAAATTTTCTTAGTGATTGTTTCTCTGTAAAAGATTTTGTTTCTCCTTCATTTATGAAACTTAGTTTGGCAGAATATAAAAGTCTCAGGTGGCATTTCTTCTCTTTAAGAATACTAAAAATGTTTCTTCTGTTCTGGCTGGTATGACTTCTGCTGAGAAATCCAGGCTTTCCTTTATAGGGAATATGACCCTTTTCTCTAGTTACCTTTAAGATTTTTTCTTTTGCATTGACCTTGGATAATTTGATGAATATGTGCCTTGTGGACAGTATTTTGCATCTTGTATAGTATCTTGCTGGATTTCTTATATCTGCATGTCAAGCTCTCTGGCAAAATTGGGGAAACCTCCATGAATTATATCCTCAAATATGTTTTCCACATTGCTTACTTTCTCTTCTTCTCTTTCAGGAATGCCAATAAATTGTACATTTGATAGCTTTACATAATCCCATATTTCTCAAGGGCTTTGTTCATTTTTTTAAAATTCTTAAAAAAAATTGTCTGACCAGGTTGATTTGAAGGACCAGTCTTCCAGCTCTGTAATTCTTTCTTCTTCTTCTTCTTCGTTTAATCTGTTGTGAAGCCTTCTGATTTGTAGTTTGGAATTGTAGTAGTAACATTTTTAATTCCAGAAGTTCCGTTTGGTACTTTCTTAATATAGTTACATTGTCTTTCAAATCCTAGATTGTTTTTCTGTGTTCTTTGTGTTAGATTTCAACTTTGTCTTGGATCTCATTGAGTTTTCTTGCCATCCATATTCTGAATTCTATATCTGTCATTTCAGTCATTTCATTCTGGTTAGGATCCATCCATTGCTAGGGAGCTAGTGCTATACTTTAGATGTCATTAAACATTCTGGCTTTTGTATTGCCTGAGTTCTTGTGCTGGTTCCTTCTCATCTGAGGGAGCTGATGCTTCTTTTTTTGCATATGCTATTGTTTGGATAGGACTTTTTAATTCTTTTTTCTCTTTAGGGTATGGCTGTGGTGTATGTTGTGTATGATTGATTGGTTTCAATTCTGAGTGCCTTCAGAGGGCCAAGGCTCTGCACAGGTTCCTTCATTGCAGATAGATTCATACAATGGCTTACTCAGACATTGCTTGGTGAGCTGTGTGTTCTTGTTTGGTGGTATAATCCAGGCTGCAGTACAGTATATGGTGCTTAAGAGTAAGAGCCAGCAGGAAGCTCTTACTCTGTGTGTGCTCATCTGGAGTGGAGAAAATGGAGAAACCAATGAAGTACCCTCCCCCATTACTGCTCAGCTTCAGCTGCAGATGGAGCTGCTGGAGAAGACTTAGAAGTGCGTCTTTCAGCCTGCATTCCCTAAGGCCCAGTGGGATGAGCCACTGCCATGTCTGCAGCAGTGCACTGGAGAGGCAGCAGGGGGTGAGGAGAGATGATTCCTTCCCAAATCTGTTCCTAGGCTTTGGTATTGCCCCATTCAATGGCTGGCACCACATTTGCATTTCCTTTGACCAAGGCAGGCTTTGGCAGGCTGTGCTACCCTTCCCTTAGGGGCAGTCCACAACAAGGGTTGGATCTCCAAGGGACTGAAGTCTACTTTCCTCTGTGTCCTCAGAGCTGGTCAGGCACTCTCCCCCAATGGACCAAGGGAGCAGATGGGGGTAAAGCTGTGCCTGGCTGTAAGTCATGCTATCCAGAATAAATGTCAGCTTCAGCAACTCTCCTTCTGCTCCAGTTCTGCTAAAGGAGAGAGCCTAATTCCAGAGGCTACTGCTGGGGCACTCTCCACACTTTTTGCTGAATTCTGGCTGTGGGGGCCCTTACCCGACTCCAGTGCAAGCACTTCGATCTGTCTGGCCAGAGACTGAAATGTCTGCAGTGGCTGCCATTGGC
Organism: Homo sapiens; assembly: GCF_000001405.40. Lineage (NCBI taxonomy): Eukaryota > Metazoa > Chordata > Mammalia > Primates > Hominidae > Homo > Homo sapiens. The sequence goes on along the minus strand of NC_000008.11, from coordinate 72,475,663 downwards.
AGGTTGCCAAACAAGGACTGATTTTATCTGAGCCTGGATTAAAAACAGCATCCATCTTTCAGTCCCAGGCCTGGGAAAATATCTTCAGCTTTCCCCAGTGTCTTTTTTTCTTTCTGTCTTTCAGCCTCTATCTGAGCTAGCTCCCAGGTTTGGGAAAAGCAGGATGCCCTCCCTTGGCCTGGGTTGCACAGATCACTAGGGGAAAGGTGTGACATAGAGGGAGACTGGCTGCCTCACTCAGGTACTGGGGCTTCACTCACTTTATTAGCCAAATGCTAACAGGGGGCTGCTCATCTTCTCCTCCCCAAGGTCTTGGGTGTCCTTCAGTATTCCAGTGAATTCCCATGTTTTTTCTTGAATTAGAGTTCACAGAGTTGATTTTTATGTACTATTTTGCTATTCCCAAATGGCCGAGGTATGCTAAAAGTCTAATCTACCATCCTGGAAAAACAGAAAACACCAAAACCTCATTTTTGTAAATTGTTGAGATTTAAGAGTTTTTGTTGTTGTTGTTGTTGTATATTTTGGATATCAGTCCGTTATCAGATGTGTCTTTTGCAAATATTTTCTACCTTTCTGTGGCTTGTCCTCTCAATCACTGACATTGTCTTTCAGAGTAGATGTCTAATTTTAATGAAGTCCAGTTATTTCTTACATGAATCACACATTTGGTGAATCAAAAAGTCATTGTCATAGCCAATTTTATCTGTGTTTTCTCCTGTGTTATCTTCTACGAGTTTTATAGTTTTTCATTTTACATTTAGATCTATGATCTATTTTGAGGTTGTTGGTTTTTTTTTTTTTGTAAAGGGCATAAGATTTGTTTCTAGATTTTTTTTTTTTTTTTTTGCATATGTATGTGTTGTTGTTCTGCCACCATTTGTAGAAAAGACTGTTTTGTTCCTTTGTCAAAGATCAGTTGAAATTTTTAAGTATGTTTATTTCTGGGCTCTCTATTCTGTTTCATTGATGTATTTGTTTGTTTTTAGACTTATCCCACACTGTCTTGATTACTGTAGCTCTATAGTAAATCTTAAAGTTTGGTAATGTCAGTCTTCTGATTTTGATCTTCTACTTTAGTATTGAATTGTCTGTGTCTTTTGCCCCACTATGTAAACTTTAAAATCATTTTTGGCCGGGTATGGTGGCTCATGGCTGTAATCCCAGCACTTTGGGAGGCCAAGGTGGGTAGATCACCTGAGGTCAGGATTTCAAGACCAGCCTGGCCAACATGGTGAAACCCCGTCTCTACCAAAAATACGAAAGTTAGCTGGGCGGGGTGGCAGGCACCTGTAATCCCAGCTACTCGGGAGGCTGAGGCACGAGAATCGCTTGAACCTGGGATGCAGAGGTTGCAGTGAGCTGAGTTTGTATGACTGCATTCTAGCCTGGGCAACAGAGCTAGACTCTGTTGTAAAAAATAAATAAATTAAAAAAATTAAAAATAAATAAATAAAAATAAAATCATATTTTCAATATCCACAAACAAAACTTGTACAGATTTATTGGGATTGCATTGAATCTATAGAACAAATTGGGTAGAACTGACATTTTAACAATATTAATATTGAGGTTTCCTACCATTGACACAAAATATCTCTTCATTTATTTAGTTATTTTACAATTTCTTTCATCAAAGTGTTGTGGTTTTTCTCATGTAGATCTCATACATATTTTGTCACATTCATACCTAAATATATCAATTTTAGAGAATGCTAATGACAATGTGTTTTAATATCAAATTCCTCATATTCATTGCTTATATATAGCAATGTGATTGACTTTGTATATTAAGCTTGCATCCTGTCCCCTTACTATAATAGCTTATTTGTTTCAGAAGATTTTTCATCAATTCTTTTGGATTTTCTACATGGATTATCATGTCATCTCTGAACATTAACAGTTTTATTTCTTTCTTCCTAATTCTATACTGTTTATTTCATTTTCTTGTATTTTTTGCATTGGCTAGGACTTACAGTGTGATATTGAGAAGAAGTAGTGAGAGGAACATCCTTGTCTTGTTTTTATCTTATCAGGAAAAGCCCCTAGTTTATTGCCTACTGTATGATGTTAGCTTTAGGTTTTGTGTAGATATTCTCTATAAAATTGAGGAAGATCTCTTCTATTTCTAGTTTGCTGAGAGTTTTTCCCTGAATGAGTGTTGGATCTTGTTGAGTGCTTTTGTTCTGAAGCTATTGATATGATCATGTAATTTTTCTCTTTAGCCTGTTGATGTGACAGATTACATTAATTGATTTTGTTAGACCAGCCTTATTTACCTGAGGCAAATTCCACTTGGTGGTACTGTATAATTCTTTATTTATATTGTTGGATTTGATTTGCTCATATATTTTGAGGATATTTGCATTTATGTTCATGAGAGATAATGGTCTATAATTTTATTTTCTTGTGATGCCTTTGTTTGGTTTTGGCATTAGGGTAATGCTAGACTTATAGATGAATTAAAAAGTATTGCTTCTGCTTTTATTTTCTGGAAGAAATTATAGAGAATTGGTATAGTTTCTTCCTTAAATGTTTGACAGAATTTACCAGTGAACTCATCTGGGCCTGCCTGATGTTTTCTGTTTGGGAAGTTTATTATTAATTTAATTTCTTTAATGAATATGGACATATTCAGATACTAATATAATATTTTTTCTTGTATAAGATTTGCAGACTGTGTCTTTCAAGGAATTGTCTCATTTCCTCTAGGTTGTCAAGTTTGTAGATATAGAGTTTTTCCATAGTATTGTTTCATTATTCTTTTAATGTCCACGGGATTTATAGTGATGCCTCCTCTTTCATTTATATTAGTAATTTGTGTTCTGTATATTTTCTTAACTTGGCTAAAGGCTTATTAATTTTATTGATCTTTTCAAAGAATCAGCTTTTGGTTTTGTTGATTTTCTCTATTGATTTTCTATTTTTAATTTTATTTCTTCCCTAATTTTTATTATTTTTTATTATGCTTACTTTAATTTATTTGCTCTTCTGTTTCTGGTTCTCTATGGTGGAAGTTTAGATAATTTATGTTAGATCTTTCTTCTTTTCTAATATATGTATTCAATGTTGTGAATATTTTTCTAAGCACTGGTTTTGTTGTATCCCAGAAACTCTGATAAATTGTACTTTTAGTTTGCATTTAGTTCAATGTATTTTCAAATTTCTCTTAAGGTATTTTCTCTGACCCATGTGTTATTTAATCTCCAATTATTTGGAAACTTTCCAGCTGGGTTGTGATTCTTTGTATTCACCTATCTGTCCCTTTAGTTTTGAGGGCAGTGTTTTCCTGTGACCTCACTTCTTTAATGGATATAAGAGTTGTTGATTTCTCAGTTTGTTCAGCTTTTTATTATCATTCAGATGGAGTAAAGACTTCTAAGCTCCTTACATGCCACACTGGAAACTAGAAGTGGGACCTATTTTTCAAGTGATGAGTAGTTACTTGCTGAAGAGGGTGTGGTCTTGCTCTAGAACCCTGTGACTCTTCTTCTGGAATTTGCTAGAGACTCCAAACAGTGTCCTCTCCCCTACTCATGGATCTGCAAGATTGTATGACCCAAGTGGCAAAAAAGGTTGAACCACAGCTTGGACCTGCTGCAAAGCCTTTTCTTGACTTGGGCCCTATTTAACGCTAGTCTTCTAAGTCACCTAATGGAAAATGAATTAGGGCAATATTCTCAGGTGTGACTTATGCTGACTTAAAATACAAATATCCCCAACAAACATTCTATCTCTTAATGGCAGGGGGTGAATAGAGCAATAACTCATCCTTTACTTTAGAGAGGTTTTCTTGTAATGTCTCTGAACAATGTACTTACCCAAAATTTGCCAACATGGTAAATATGGTAAATTATTTATTTATTATTATTACTCACACACAAGTGTATTAGCAGAGCATCCAGTGTACTTGACACTTTCTCCTTAACATGAAGTTATCAATATATTGGACCAATGTATCACTTTTTTTCAGAAATTTAAGGCAATCTATATCTTTGTTGACTATATTGTGGAAAAGAGTATTAGAATTAACTTAGACCTGGGGAAAGACAGTGAATGTAAACTACTAATTTACATTTAATATAAAATGAAATACTTCTAGCTCTCTTTACTAAAAGAAATGGAAGAGATTGTATAGTTAGAGCAATATCAGACACAAGAGTGGCAGCATTTTTGTTGATCTCTTTGAATAAATATAAAAAATCCAGTATAGGTTTGGGCCACAGAGCCATTGGACTCACTCAGGCATCCATTTATAACCTGACATTCATAAGCCTTAATTCTAGCCACTATGATGGAATTTGCAAACACCTAACATCATTGCCACCTCAAACCTTGTCCAATAGCCCTCAAATGAAGTCTTATCATTGTTTTAAAAAAATTGAATCTAGACCTATTGAAGACAATTAGAGGAGGAAATTACTATCCATTGAGTACTTACTTGATCAGATATTATACATGTCTTATTTTATCTAACTCATAAAACTTTGAAAAGATAAGCATTATTGCCACTTTTTTTTACAGATGGGAAATTAAGAAACAGATAAATTAAGCGATGTTTTCCAGAAGGCCTTGTAGAGAAAAATACAAGGTCCATCAAATCCCCAAAGCCAGGTTTATTCATCATTCCATATGACATAAATGAATCTTATCTCTCTAAGGAAAACATTGAAACAAAATCCTTAGGTCTAAATATTTGTTAGAGAACATACAGAACATGTAGTCCAATAGTCTTGTTCTGTGGACTTCAGTAGAGATATCTGGTGGTGCTCAGGAGGATGCAAAGTCTATGCCTTGAGAGTGAAGCTGCATCTCCTCTGGGAGCCAAAGGTTCAGCCTGAGTAACAACCTAAAGGAAATAAACAAAAACACACAAATGAACAACAACAAAAAGAATCAATCGGCTGGGCGTGATGGCTCACGCCTGTAATCCCAGCACTTTGGGAGGCAGAGGTGGGTGGATCACTAGGTCAGGAGATCGAGACCATCCTGGCTAACATGGTGAAACCCCGTCTCTACTAAAAAAAAAAAAATACAAAAAATTAGCTGGGCGTGGTGGCGGGCACCTGTAGTCCCAGCTACTCAGGAGGCTGAGGCAGGAGAATGGCGTGAACCCAGTAGGCGGAGCTTGCAGTGAGCCGAGATCGCACCACTGCACTCCAGCTTGGGTGACAGAGAAAGACTGTCTCAAAAAAAAAAAAAAAAAATCAGTCAACACAGGGAGGAAAAAATTAAAATTAGAGACATTTGTTTTAAATTTTCCATCATAATGTTTCTTGGTAAACAACAGAGCATAAAGTTGTTATAAAATATAAGGCACAAAAAAAAAATTCCATTTATGTCTAGGCTCATCTAATGGTCTTCTCAACAAGTTCAGAGGTTGTCCTCCAGGAATGGTTTAGCAAGCCAGAATATAGAGTGACTGTATTTTGATGCAGACTAGGGCAAACACCTTAATAAAATATGCATTGTATTTATTTGTGTTTTTAAAGTAACAGTAGATGATTAGCATTATGCTGAACACCTTCATCAAATGGAACTTATTTTGAAATCGAATTTAATTTTTTTTTTTTAAGAAACAATAAAAACATCAAAGCTTTTGCACTAACTTAGTGACTTGGTATTTGGCAGTTATGGATGGGCTAAGATACCTATCAGCATATGGAATATTTGGCCCATGATGAATGATTATGCTATTTTCTGAAATCATCTTCCTCTCCCTGTCCATAGTGATGATGAGCTACCACATGGTCTCACCATACTTCTACCCCTGACCTTTGACCTCCATCCTTCACTCTCACTAAGACATCTTAGTTACATCTTAGCCCCTGCCATCTTGAATCCATGTCTTATACACCAAATTCTGTAATACCTCTTTTGGTTGACCACATCTGCCACTTTTTTGTTCCTGTTAAGGCTACTCACCCTTTCCTAATGATTTCAGCCTGTCACCCATTCTGCCTTCACATGCCTCTCTCCTCAACCAGACTTTACAGTCAGATGGAGCTAAAGTGCCCTCATTACCACACTACATTCTTAAAATGTTAACTTTCCTTCTCTTTTCTTCCAACCTTCCCCTCTTCCCTCTCTTACCTTCTTGCTTTCTGCTAGCCCTGTGCAACTGCCACTGTCTGCTTCTCTCCTATTCTTTAGGCTTATAGTCTCTAGAGATCAGAGACCATGAAACCATGCTGATTGGGCATCCTGTTTGATGCTATCTATGCAGCACTGGTTAATTTTATAGTTATGTAAAATTACTAATTAGTTACATCTGTAGTCTCCTTGAGATATTTTCCTAGGGAAACATTTAAATCAATCTTCCCTTCATGTGTTAACTGCTATCTTTGTGCCCTCAGACAATGAAAACTAGCAGTGAGACTGAACTCTAGCTACACTTTGGCCTCAGTTCCCCCTCCTATAAAATCTCTCAGCCAATGTGTGCTGTCTTCTCAGCCCAGTGTTTTTATGTAAAATGTACTATGCTGTCCACCTTGGCTTCCATTGATGTTCTGTTGAGCCATTTCAACCCATAATGGCTGACAAAGTGTGTACCATTGATAGAGAAACTCCTGGAAATAAGCAAAAGAGAAAGATGGCAGGGCGCAGTGGCTCACGCCTGTAATCCCAGCACTTTGGGAGGATGAGGCGGGCCAATCACCTGAGGTCAGGAGTTTGAGACAAGCCTAACCAGCATGACGAAACCCTGTCTCTACTAAAAATATAAAATTAGCCAGGTGTGGTGGCAGGTGCCTGTAATCCCAGCTACTCATGATGCTGAGGCAGGAGAATTGCTTGAACCCAGGAGGTGGAGGTTGCAGTGTGCCAAGATTACGCCATTGCACTCCAGCCTGGACAACAAGAGTGAACTTGGTCTCAAAACAAACAAACAAACAAGAACAACAAAAGGAAGGCTTATGCTGGCTTTTAAAAGGGTAATTTTCAGGTTTCTTGAGCATCCTCAAGAACATTGTATAGTCAGAGTGCTTTTGGCTTCGAACAACAGAAAAACCGGACTCAAAGTGGTTTAAACAATAAAGAAAATATATTTCCTTATCTCCCTGCAGGGCTGGCTTCAGAGTTGATATAGCAGTTTGACATCATGAAGAACCTTAGTTTTTTTCATCTTTTTTCTTTGCCTCTCCCCATTTTAGCTTTGCTCTCAAGCTATCTTTCCTCACGACTGTAGAATAGCTGTAGTAGTTATAGAGATGATCAAGAGATAGCAACATTCAGGTACAGAAAGGGGCTTTCTCCTCCAGGGCCTCCATTTGGGCAGTGAACAAAGTTTTCCCCAGACCCCCGCCCTCAGTAGATTGACCATCCCCTGGCATGGCCTCTATAACTGGCTAGCAGTTAAAATTCACCTTGCGACTTCGTGATGGGAGAAAAGGTTGAACACCTAAGCAACCCCAAGAGTAAACCCTAACAGACTCTAAGTCACTTATTTATAGGTGTCATGATGCATTATTCCTGGTTCCAATGTGGCATCACAGTTCTGGTGACTCTTGGCCACTTCTGTGCCCAGGATTTGTGCACAGGAATCAGCTGCTGCCACAAGACCTATGGGGCCTGACAATACACTGTGCAGCTCTTTAAGATCCTATCTGCCTGCATGTAGCTTTCAGGCCCATGATGGCATCTTCCCATTTCTGCTCCATCCTGAGAGCTTCTGTCTGCTGAGACACACTATGTATTCATTTCTCTGCTATTATTCAACTGCCTCCTTGAAGGTCTACTCAGGAAGACAGGCTATGATCTTCTCCACTCTCAGACCCTTCAAATCTGTGGACATTGTGTTATTACCTTCTACCCCCCACCCTCCCTTCTCCTCTCATGGAGCTCAGTCCAAATGGCACAGGGCTCAACCAGCATCTAAACTTTTTTCCTCTGAAGTTTCTTTCCTGCTCCAAATCCTCCTACTTTGGAAATATTTACATAATCTTATTGGTGTGAAGGTGCACTTTGATTTATCAGGATTTTATTTGCACCAAATTCAGCACCCAGGCGTAATGAAACTCAAAATGCAAACAGGTGTGTTTTTGCACTGAAGTCTTCCTTAGGTACACTTAAGGAGCACTTAAGACTGACTGTAAAAGTGTCAGAAAGCTTTACAGAGAAGGTTTTTGAAAGGAGGGTTAAAAGATGCAAAGGAATTTTCAAGACTATTGAGGAAGCCAGGGTATGGAGGGAGTATCTCCAGGAAGAGGGTCGTTCGTGGGCAGGCACAGAGCTGTGTGAGGACATGAGTTGTTCTGAGGCTAGCAGTGTGGGAGATGAGGCCAAAAAGAGGCTCTGGCAGCAAGAATTTGATAGAGTATTTTGATCTTATCATTTGGTGTAATGAGGCACCACTGAAACACAGAAATAGGTCAATGACATGGTCCAAACTGTGAACTAGGAAAGTTCTCTTGCAGCAAATTGAAAGGATGACTGAGGATGGGTAAAATTCGGAGCACAGAGACCATCAGAAAGTTCTGATAGTTCTTCTATAAGGGAAAACAGACAAAAGGCCATAATATGTCAGTAGTACAAAAATGGCAGCAGTGGGGTGATGTAAGAGGAATAGCTGATAAAAAAAGATGATTGATTCGATATAGAGAATAAATGGAAAGGACAGATTTAGGATGACTCCTCATTCTGGCTTTAGTAAATCGGTGATGGTGATTTAATTCTACAAGATAATGAATGTAAGCTGTAACATGCTTGTGGGGGAAGAGAAATCCCTCACTGAACATCTTGAATTTGACAGTGCTCCTTGTCAAGCTGAGTAGAAGGCATTGACATTGGACATATGGGTCTGAAACAGGCAAGATGCTAAAGCTAGCTGTAAACTTGGAAGTCATAAGCAGCAAGATTATGATAAAGTCATGAACATGCATAACATTGTCCAGGGAGAATGTGTAGACTGCATAAGGAAGGGGAAGAGTGAAGAAATAGAAGAGAAGGAGCCTTGAGAACATCTTCACTGAGGATGAGAAGCCACAAAGGATACTAAGTGACAACCAAGGAGAAGAGCCAGGTCTACTTAAATGGTGAGGGTAGAACTGGATTTGAGTAGGTTCAGAAGGGAATGGGAAGTGTGAAGGCAGAGGCAGTAAGTGCAGATCACTCTTTGCAGAACTGTGTTCAGGAAAGAAGAGAATAAATGTTAAACGGAAATGTGTTGTCCAAAGGAGAGTCGTAGTTAGGAGAGGGATAAAGAAAAGCTAAAATGATGATCAGAGTCAATAGATGAACAAGGTAATTCCAAAGGAGCAAGAATCAAGATCTCGCAGTTAGGTGGTTGGCCTCAGAAAAAAGGCAAAGCATAAAGCATGTGAATGTTTAATATAGGAAAATTTTAATGTAGGTAATTGGTTACATAGGTTAACGGAAGAGTTAAGAAGCCAAGCAAGAATAGTAATTTACCCCAGAGATTAGCATCAGTGGGAAACCACTACCACCTCTAGGAGAGAGGAACAGAGGGAGAAGGCAGTGCGTCTGTAGCCCAGTGGCCTGTACTTCTGGGTAGAAGTGAGCATTGCTTGTGAATTACTCCCAATTCACAAGCAATGTTTCCGCAGGGAGTCAAAGACTCAGCCTGTAGACTCGAGGCTGCACAAGAGCTGCAGCTGTCTGAAGGACAAAGGAAGAGTGAAATATCTACAAGCTCTTCCTCTTCCACCTTCAACCACTTACCTGTGCTTTCCACTGGAGGAAACACCCAGAAGCCAGGCTGAAAAAGGCAGCCTGTAGAGATTGGGCTGCTGAAATACAGAAGAGAGCAGGGGAAGGGAAGAAATGGATCTGAGAGCAAATAGACCACAGACAGGAAGGACACAGTAGCAACTTCAACAGAAGACTGAGCTTTTGGAGTAGTCATTGAGAAGAGAAGGAGCTGACAGTTCACTAAAGACATGGTGTAGGTGAACATGAGATTGGATACCATAAATCTGTACTGGCTTCCATCTGTACGACCACATGGTGTCTGCAGTGGTTCTGAGTAACCCAAATGCAGGAGGAGAGAAGAAGGATTTGTAGGCTTCTTTAATTTTATTCTCCTCAACTGAAAGGCTCCTAAATCTTCATTTTCCCTTTCGTCTGTGCCTGTCTTCTTTGGGCTGACTCCTCCACCTTTGCATGTGTTCCCAACCTTCCAGCATCCTCAGGAGTGTTCACCCATTGATCCTACTCAAGCTGACGTTACCGTTCTTTCCCTCTGTTGATTCCTTCTCCTTTCCCTACAAGATTCTTGCTCCTAAACCTAACTAATCCCTTCCAGCTGATTTTTGTCTTCCTGTATTTAAATCTGTTCTATCCTTATTTGTTCTATCCATTATGAGAACTGGGATGAGGAAATCTGACTATTATGCATTTCTTATTTCTGTTCTTTTGGGTTTTGCTCTATGTTGTTTGAAGCTTTGATATTAAGAACATAGATATTTAAGGTTCTTATGTCCTGTTGAGGAATTGACCTTGTTAGCATTATAAAATGATTTTATATCTGGTAATATTCTTTGCTCTGAAATGTACTTTGATAATATAGCCACTGTGGTTTGCTTCGTAGTAGTGTTAGCATAGTATGTCTTTTTTATTATTTTAGTTTTAACTAGTTATGTCTTTATATTTAACACTGGTTTCCTTTAAATAGAATCCAGTTGGGTCTTGCTTTTTTTGGTCAAATCCGGTGTTCAGGTCATTTATATTCAATATGATTATTATATCATTTGGTATAAATCTACCAGCTTACTATCTATTTATCTTATCTGTTCTTAGTTTTCCTTTTTGTCACGACTCTTGGTTAGGTGAGTAATTTTTATGATTTCATTTTATCTAGTTTTTGGTTTATTAGTTACTTCTTTGTTTTTTTTTTTCATCCTAATGTTTGATTTTGAGTTTATACTATAAACTCTAAATATATTATAGCCTTCCATAAAGTAATGTATGACTTCACATATGGTATAAATACTTTTCAACAGTATATTTCCAATTCCCCTTAGCAAATTGTTGTCATTCATTTTTGCTTCTACATAGTTTATAAACATTACATTATTTGTGGTTTTAATAATTATCTTTTGAAAAGACTCGAAAATAAGATAAAAATTTATTTATTTGTCCACACAGTTACCATTTTCTGTGCTGTCATTCCTTATCCTTCCTTTCTGCCTAAGAACTTCCTTTAATATTTCTTATTTTTTAGTTCTCCTGGTGATGAATTTAGATATTTTTGTCTAAAAAAGTCTTTATTATACTTTTGTTTTTGCATGATATTCTCTCTGGGTACAGAATTCTGGGCTCGTGGCTTTTTTTCTTTCAGTATCTTAAGATGTTACTCCTCTGTGGCCTGGTGCGGTGGCTCACGCCTGTAATTCCAGCACTTTGGGAGGCGGAGGCGGGCGGATCACAAGGTCAGGAGATAGAGACCATCCTGGCTAACACGGTGAAACTCCGCCTCTACCAAAAATATAAAAAAATTAGCCGGGCCTGGTGGCGGGGGCCTTTAGTCCCAGCTACTGGAGGCTGAGGCAGGAGAATGGCGTGAACCCGGGAGGCGGAGCTTGCAGTGAGCCGAGGTCGCACCACTGCACTCCAGCCTGGGCGACAGAGGGAGACTCCGTCTCAAAAAAAAAAAAAAAAAAAAAAGATGTTACTCCTCTGTCTTTTGGCTTGTTTCCAACAAGAAGTCTGTTATTATTTCTATCTTTATTTCTCAATATATGTAATATGTTCCCCCATTACTGCTTTTAATATTTTCTATCACCTGTTTTAAGCAATATGATTATAATGTTTTGGCATAGTTTTATTCATGCTTCTTGTTTTGGGGGCTCATTGAATTACTTAAATCTTTGGTCTTAAAGTTTTCATCAAACTTGGGCATTCTTTGACCATTATTTCTTCAAATACTTTTTTTCTGTCTCTCACTTTCCTATCCTCCTGGGGCTCCAATTTCACACCAATAAACCACTTTAAGTTGTCACACAGCTCACAAATGTTCTGTTTATCTTTTTCTAGTCTTTTAAGAACTTTTGATGCTTTCTATTGCTATGTCTTCAAGTTCGTCAATCTTTGCTTCTAAAATGACTGTATTTTAATCTGAGCAATGTATTTTATTATATTGTTTTATCTCTTGAAGTGTAATTTGTATATTTCATATTAGGAAAAGAGGGTTCACCTTGAGTAAAAGAAAAACAATCTCTAGGGACCTTAGATGCATATGTCCACATTTCCTTTTTTTATCCTATCTGATTAAAGTCTGATTTAATAGGGAAAATTATTTTCTCTGACTTCCTTATCAGACAACTTTGTGTATCTAAATTTTATAATTTTCAATAAGTTGCAGAAATGGAAAAATCTATGAGTTTTGAAAAATATTTTACAAATACAGAAAAAATATAAAATAAATTGCATTACTCATTTATGTTTTGGGTAATCCTTAATGAATCAGTTGATGGTTATAATCAGATTTTAGTAGTAAAAGAAGCAGAGAAATACAGAATAATTTCATTTATCATATACTTATTTTTATATCTTAGAAATATTATATTAAAACCTCATAATAACATGTTCTATCTTTTCTGCTTTGCCAGACAAAACAGAAAGAAAATTATGCTATCTTGTGCATGAGGCAAAAAATTAACTGTTTTGATTATTGTTTGTATGTGTTCTTCTCTGATTTCCTAAATTTAAAAAAACTCAGGAATGCTAATTGCTGTTATTATACATTTGGGGAAAGAAAAAAGAGTAAGGTATCCTTCAATGTAAGTATTTGATCTAAAAGGATAAAAACAAGCCAGAATAGGACAGCACATGGATTAAGTCCTATACAATGAAGAAAAAAAACTAGTGAGCCATGATTTAGAGTATTTTTAAATATTTAAAAATGTACAAAAATATGGATAATGAACAAAAAGCCATAAAATATTTGAATGTTTTAAATGATAATTTTTAGTGATAGCTCTATGTTTTATAATTTTCTCTAAGATGCAGACACAACCACCATTAATGTAGACATAGATGTATTTAAGAAATCTCAAAATAATTACACTGAACCACCTACTTTTCTTAAATATTCTTGCCTTATGCATTTTTTTCATACTGAATGACATTGATATAGCATAGAGATGTGACATTTACTATAACAAAAAACATACTTCTATGTGATTTATACACATATATGGCTATTATCAAGTTCCAAGCTCAGATAGAAACATCTCTGTAACATATACATATTACTTTCAGAAACGGTTATTTGAAACTTTTAAATTAGTCTAAGCACTTACCTAAATTTGTCAAAGTTAGTACAGGCTGCATGAAAGATGATTATACTGTAGATAATTTATACTATAAATATTTGTATTCAATCCACTAATGACTTCTCCAACCTCTGTAATAAATATAAAATAATAACTAGTTTATAATTGGGCATCATTTTTTATACAGAAGGAGGAGGTAATTGCTCCTCATCATATATAGTATGTCTTTCAAGTGTTTTTAGAAAAGAAGGTTAAAAACTCACTGTAATGTGAAAATAAAGATAATATCAAGAGAATCAGCATAATAAAAAGTTGACTTTTTTTAAATAGAAAAATCTAGTGAGCATGGAACAATAAAAAACATTAAAAATGATAAAGCATACATAACTGTGAATCCAGCAGAGTTTAGAAAAACAATGAAATAATATTAAAAACAACTTGATTTCAATAATTTTACAAAGATAAATGGAATGTGTGTATTTCCTGAAATATGTAACTTCCCAAAAGAGAAAGAATAGAAAATTTGAAAAACAATAGACAATAAAATAATTGAAACAATGGTTAATATTATTTTAACAACAACAACGGCGAAACACTAAGGCCCAGAAGCTTTCATAGATAAGAACCACCATACATTCAAGAAAAATTATTATTCCAAATTTTTGCAAAATTTTCTAAACATAGAAAAAAAAGAGAATAATCTCTGTGGTAGATTGTGGTATGGCTCCTAACATTTCCTTCACTCTCTAGAAGATAGTACTCTCACACTCTGTTCATGTCGTTTTCCCATGGACTTTAGGCTTGGCTGTGTAAAGATCATGTCCCAGGGAGTGGCTGCTCTCTAATATGGGTCCTGGCTTAAGGAGACATGTGGAACCCAGCTAAGCACAAGGCAGGGCAGCTTGGCTGCAGCCAACCTGCAGACTGTCAGGCAAGAAATAAGTATTTGTTACTCAAGCCATTTAGATTTTGGGGTTACTTGTTACCAGAATATAAATTGATGAATACAATTGCCCACTCATTCTGAGATAGTGTAACCTTGAAACACAAAGCTGCAAAGGACAGTAAAATAAAAACAAAATATTGAAGTTTCATCCATGAACACAGATGCAAAAATCCTAAGTAAAATACTAGCAAACAGTGATTTTTTTTCTTTCTTTTTTTTTTTTTTAATTTGAGACGGAGTCTTGCTCTGTCACCAGGCTGGAGTGCAGTGGCGCAATCTTGGCTCACTACAACGTCCACCTCCCAGGTTCAAGCGATTCTCCTGCCTCAGCCTCCTGAGTAGCTGGGACTACAGGCACACACCACCACACCCAGCTGATTTTTGTATTTTTAGTAGAGATGTGGTTTTACCATATTGGCCAGGATGGTCTTGATCTCCTGACCTCGTGATCCACCCACCTCAGCCTCCTAAAGTGCTGGGATTACAGGTGTGAGCCACCATGCTCAGCCCAGTAATGTTTAAAGAAGATTGTATATCATAACCAGTTTTGTTTTATCCCAGGAATTCAAAGTGGCTTAGCATTGGAAAATCTATAAACGTGACTCAACATATTAAAAGATTAATGGAGAAAATCCATATAACTGAAAACATGCAGAATACACTTTTAATAACAGGCAATATTTATTCAAATAACAAAGCAATCTCTTAGTAAAATAACAATAGAATGCCAACATTGTTGTCTGTGGTGAAGCATTAGAAACATTCTATCTAAAAACTGTGAAAAAGACTATACTCAATAATACCATTTCTATTCACCAGTGTATTCAAGGTATTAGTCAACACAACCAGACAATAAAAAGACAGAAGAGATTGTAGAAGATGAAACAAAACAATTCATATAAAAGCTAATATGATTGCTTCCATAGAAAACCCAAATATGACTCACAGATTAAAAATGGAACTAATGGTAATAAAAGATATCTGGACTTCTGGTTTCCAATCCAGCACATAAGGTACTTGGAAGTCATTATTCTGTCTTAACAAGTAAAAAGCTAAATAAATGGAAGAACCAACAACTCTTCTTGGATCTATCAAACAAGGTAGGTTGTATAGCAAACCACTGCCCCCAAAGTTGGAGTGACGGCCAGGTGAATACAGAGAATCACAACTTACCAGATCAGAAATCCAGAAGCAGAGATCCCTGCATGAACTGGTATCAGTAGGGAAACCTAAACTGGAACTGACAAATTGCTGGAGGCTCAGTGCAGACCAGCCTGGCAAAGAAAAACCTCAGGAAGCGCAGTCATGGGAGGACCCTCACACTTTTGTGAGTTTTACCTAAAAGAGCTCCACCAGGTCCTCACAGTGAATTTTGGAGGAAAATCTCACACTTGAGGCAAGGGGAGGGACAAAATAACCATTTTGAAACACCCCAGAGCATTCTGTTCTTAATAAGACCTGTCCTCAAGCAAAACAGTTTTACTAGAACCTTGCCTGGTGGGGTTTTATCAAAGACTAACTGACCTACGGAAGGGAGTTATTCAACTCCAGTCACTGTAGCCATTCTGCCCCACTTAAAGGGGAGAAAAACCTGAGAAGCACATGCAAAGTTTACGACTGAGGGGCACAAGATCACCAAAGACTGAAACCTAATCACAGGACTATAGAACACTTCCCCTCCTCAGGTGCCTTACTACCACACAACTAGACTATGCCGTGGAGTCTGGCTTTTAAAAAATTACAACGCATACTAAAAGGCAAAACACAGAATTTTATGAGACTGAAAAAATATCAGAACCACACTCCAACACAGCAGGGATGATAGAATTATTAGCCTGTGAATTTAAAAGAAGTATGATTCACATACTAAGGGCACTAACAGCTAATGGAAAAAGTAGACAACATGCAAGAACAGATAGATAACATAAGCAGAGATACGGATATTCTAAAAAAGAATGGATAGTCTAAAAAGGAACAAAAAAGAACTGCTACAATCAAAAATACTGTAACAGAAATAACAAACAGCTTTGATGGTCTCATTAGTACTCTGCACACGGTCGAGGAAATCATCTCTGTGCTTCAGAATATGTCAGTAGAAACACCAAAACTGAAAATAAAGAGAAAAAAGAATTGAAAAAATTTGAACAGAATATCCAAGAACTGTGAGACAACTACAGAAGATCTAACATATATGTAATAGAATACAAGGAGAAAAAAAGACAGAAAAGAACAAAAGTAATATTTTAAGCAGTGATGATTAACAATTTTCCCAAACTAAAGTCAGACATTATGCCACAGATCCAGGAAGCTGAGTGAACACCAAACAGATGTAATATGAAAAAACGACACCTAGCCATATCATATTAAAACTTCAGAAAATTAGAGACAAAAAAATCTTTAAAGAGGCCAGAGGGAAAAAACGTCACTTTACCTATAGAAAAGAGATAAGAATTACATCTGACTTCCCCTCAGAAAACATGCAAACAGGAAGAAACTGGAGTGAAATAATCAAAATGTTGAGATCAAAACCCACCAACTCAAAATTTTGTAGCACATAAAATTATACTTCAGAAGTGAAAAAAATTAAAGACTTTCCACACAAACAAAAACTTAGGGGATGTGTTGCCATTACAACTGCCTTGCAAGAAGTGTTAAAAGAATTTCTTCAGACAGAAAGAAAATGGTATAGGTCAGAAACACCGATGTCACCCCAACCAAAATCCCAGAAAGTTAAATTGTGGGAGTCAACAAACTGATTCTAAAGTTACATGGAGAGGCACACTATTGAAGGAGAGAAAAGTCAGAGAACTGACACTATCTGAATTCAGAATTTACTATAAAACTATAGTCATCAAGACGGGGTAGTATTAGAAAAAGAAATTGACAAGTAGATTAGTGAAACAGAATAGAGAGCCCAGAAACAGACCCACAGAAATATAATCAACTGATCTTTGACAAACAAGCAAAGGCAATACAATGGAGAAAAGATAATCTTTTCAACAAATAGTGCTGTAAGAATGGGACATCTACATGCCAAAACAACAACAACCACAAAAATAAACACATGGAAACATAGATCATACACTCTTCACAAAAATCAACTCAAAATGAATTACAAACCTACATGTTTTATGGATACGAAGATTCCATATTGTAAAGAATCCCCTAAATTGATTTACAGATTTAATGCAATGAAAATCCCAACAGAGTTTGTTAAGGAAATGTTCAAGATGATTCTAAAATTTATATGGAAGAACAAAAAACACAAAGAGCCATGACTTCTTAAGAAGCATAAGCTGGGAGACCTTGCTACACCAGTGATAAAGCCTTCATATAAAGTTATAATAATTAAGAAATTGTACAGTGTGGATAGCTATTGACCAATGGAACAAAATAGTGATCTCAGAAGCAGATTCAGGCTTATATTTAAACTTGACTTATAAGATAGGAGACATTGTGTGTCCTTGGAGAAAGAGTGCCTAATTCAATAAGTGATGCTGGGACACTGAAACAGAAGTGATAGTAGATCTCTACTTTACACCATAAACAAGAATTATTTATTGATAGACTAAAGGTGAAAATGTGAAAAGGAAAAATATAAACTTCTAGAAGAAATAGAGGAAATTATTGTTTACATCAAGTTACAAAAGAATTTCTTAAACAAAAGAAATAGGCATAAGCCATAAAGAGAAAGATGAATAAATTCAATTTATCAAAATTAATAATGTCTTAAAATATTTTATTTTATTAAAAAATTTTTTATTACTGCTCCTTTCAGAGCAGGGGTCACCCATGGGCAGTGTGCCCAGAGTAGCTCAGAATTAATAACTTTTGTTCCTCAAAAAAATTGCTAAAACAAGAAAGGACAAGTAACAAAGTGGAGAAAGACATTTAAAACACATATAATTAAGTACTGATATTATACACACATATACACACGTATTGAATATAATGTATAAAATCTCCAGTAATTCTGTCATAGAGTGGCAAAGAACTTAAAAAGAAAATGGGCAAAAACCTGGGTAGGCATTTCACAGGAAAGGAAACGTAAATGGTCAATAAATATGAAAAGATGCCAAACTACAGGAACACACATTAAAATCACAAAGTATATCATTTCCTACTACCATGTTCACAAAAATTAAAATGGCTGGTAAGCCAGATGTTGATTAATGTATTTCTTTGCTAGGGCTGCCATAACAAATTACTATAGATTGGGTGGACATTTATTTTCTCACAGCTCTAGAAGCTGATAGTACAAAATCAAGCTGCAGGCAGGGTTGGTTTCTTATGAGGCCCACCATCCTGGCTTGCAAATGGCTACCCACCCACTGTATCATCACATGGCATTTCCTCTGTGTGCACTTGAGGAGAGTGGTATCCAGGGCCTATTCCTCTTTCTATAAAGATATCAGTCCTATCAGGTTAGGGTCCCCTTCCTTATGACTTCATTTAACCTTAATCACCTCCTAAAGGTCCTGTCTCCAATTACAGTCACACTGGGGATTGGTACTTCAACATATGAATTCTAGGGGACACAGTCAATCCATAACACTAAGGATATGAAACAATGAAAACTCATAATTTCCTGGTGGTGGTGTGTGTGTGGCATATTGCTTCAGCAATTTTAGAAAACATTTTCATACTTCAACCAACAACCACAGAATATACATTATTCTCAGCACACAGAACATATTCTAAAATTAGACATATGCTCAGTCATAAAGCAAGTCTCAACAAATTCAAATAAATTGAAATCAGACCAAGCATCTTTTCAGACTACAGTGGAATAAAAATATAAATCAATAGCAAGAGGAACTCTCAAAATCACACAAATATATAGAAACCAAAAAATTTGCTCCTGAATAACTTCTGGGTAAACAAATAAAATTAAGGCAGAAATGAAAAAATTCCTTGAACAAATGAAAATAGAAACACAACATATCAAAACCTCTGGGATGCAGCAAAAGCAGTGTTAAGAGGAAAGTTTACAGCACTAAATGCCTACATCAAGAAGATAGAAAGATCTGAAGTTAAAAATCTAACATTACACCTAAAGGAACTAGAAAAGCAAGAACAAACTAAACCCAAAGCTGTAGGAGAAAAGAAATAATTAAAATCAGAGCACAACTAAATGAAAATAAGACCAAAAAAACATACAAAGGCTCAACAAAACAAAAAGGCGTGTGTGTGTGTGTGTGTGTGTGTGTGTGTGTGTGTGTGTGTGTGTTTGGAAGAATAAACAAGATTGATAGACCGCTAGCTAAAGAAGCAAAGAAAAAAGGAGAAAAGTTCCAAATAAGCACAATCAGAAATGACAAAGGTGACATCATAACCAATCGCACAAAAATACAAAAGATCCTCAGAGATTATGATGAGCGTCTCCATGAGCACAAACTAGAAAATCTAGAGGAAATAGCTGAATTCTGGAAACATACAACCTCTTAAAATTTAATTATGAAGAAATTGAAACCCTGAACAGATCAATAACATGTACTAAACTGATTCAGTAATAAGAAACCTACCAAACAAAAAAAGCCCTGCACCACATGGATTCATAGCAGAATTCTATCAGACATACAAGGAAAAGCTGGGACTAATCCTACTGAAACTATTACAAAAAATTTAGGAGGAGGGATTCCTCCCTAACTCATTCTACAAAGTGAGCATCATCCTGATTCTAAAATTAGTCAAAGAGACAACAAAAAAAAGAAAACTACAAGTCAATCTTCCTGATGAACACAGATGCAAACATTCTCAACAAAAGACTAACAAAACAAATCTAGTCACACAGCTGAGAGATAATCCACCACGATCAAGTGGGCTTTATTCCTGGGATACACCATTGGTTCCAAATAAGCAAATCAACAAATGTGATTCACCATACAAACAGAATGAAAAACAAAAACCGTATGATCATCTCAATAGGCACAGAAAAAGATTTCAATGAAATCTAACATCTCTACAAGATAAAAATCCTCAATAAACTAGGTATGAACGAACATACCTTAAAATAATAAGAGCCACTGATGACAAACCCACAGCCAACATCACACTAAACAGGGAAAAGTTGTAAGTATTTCCCCTAAGAACTTGAAAAAGACAAGGTTGTCCACTTTCAACCTTGTACTTATTCAACACAGTACTGGAAATCCTAGGCAGAGCAATCAGGAAAGGGAAGGAAATAAAAGACATCCCCAAAGGAAAAGAGGAAGTCAAATTGTTTCTCTTTGCTGATGATATGATTTTATATCTAGAAAATCCTAAATATTCCACCAAAAAATTTCTGGATCTAATAAATGATTATAGTAAAGTTGCAGGATACAAAATTAATTTACAAAAATCAGTAACATTTCTAAATGCCAATAACATTTATCCTGAGAACTAAATCAAGAATATAATCTCATTTACAATAGCCGCAAAAAGAATAAAATACCTAGGAATATGTCTAGCCAAGGGGGTGAAAGATCTCTACAAGGAGAACTACGAAACACTGTTGAAAGAAATCATAAACAACACAAACAAATGGAAAAACATTCCATGTTTGTGGATTGGAAGAATTAATACCGTTAAAATGTCCATACTGCCCAAAGCAACATACAGACTCAATGCAATTCCTGTCAAATTACCAACATCATTCTACACAGAATTAGAAAAACACTATTCTAAAATTAATATGGAATCCAAAATAAAGCCCAAATAGCCAAAGCAATCCTAATCAAATAGAACAAGCTGGAGGCATTGTATTACCCAACTATACTAAAGGCTGCAGTAACAAAACAGCATAATAGTAGTATAAAAATAGACACATAGAATATGGAACAGAATAAAGAACCCAGAAATAAAGCTGCATACCTAAACTCAACTGATCTTTGATGAAGTTGACAAAAATAAACAATGGGGTGAGAACTCCCTAATCAATTAATGGTGTTGGAATAACTGGCTAACCACATGAAGAAGAATGAAACTAGACTTCTACTTCTTACCATATCCAAAAATAACTCAAGATGGGTCGAAGACTTAAATGTAATACCTCAAACTATAAAAATCCTAGAAGAAAACTAGGAAATACACTTCTTACGATCACCCTATGCAAGTATGTTGTGATTAAGTCCTCAAAAACGAATGCAACAAAAATAAATATTGACAAGTGGGACCTAATTAAAGAGCTTCTGCACAGCAAAAGAAACTATCAAAAGAATAAATAGCCTACGAAATGGGAGAAAATATTCACAAACTATGTATCTGACAAAGGACTGTACTCAGAATCTATAAGGAATTTAAACAAATTTATACGCAAAAAACAAATAACCACATTAAAAAGTAGGCAAAGAATATGAACATATACTTCTTAAAAGAAGATATACAAGTGGCCAACAAACATATGAAAAAATGCTCAACATCACTAATGATTAGAGAAACCCAAATCAAAACCACAATGAGGTACCATCTCACACCAGTCAGAATGGCAATTGCTAAAAAGCCTAAAAATAACAGATGTTGGCAAAGTTGCAAAGAAAAGAGAATGCTCATCAGCCGTTGGTGGGATTGTAAATTAGTTCAGCCCGTGTGAAAAGCAGTCTGGAGACTTCTCAAATAACTAAAAACAGAATTGCCATTTGACCGAGTGATCCCATTACTGAGCATATACACAAAGGAAAATAAATTGTTCTACAAAAAGACACATGCAGTTGTATCCTTTTCATAGCACTATTCACAATACCGAAGACATGGAATCAATCTAGGTGCCTATCAGTAGTGAAATTGGATAAAGAAAATGTGGTACATATACAACATGGAATACTATGCAGCCATAAAAAGAACAAAATCATGTCCTTTGCAGCAACATGGACACAGTTGGAGGCTATCATCGTAAAAGAATTAACACAGAAACAGAAAACCAAATACTGCATGTTCTCACTTACAAGTGGGAGCTACACATTGGGTACACATGGATGTAAAGATGGGAATAGAAGACACTGAGGACTCTAAAAAGTGGGGAGGGAGGGAGAGGGAAAGAGTTAAAAACCTCCTTGGGTACTCTGTTCACTATTTGAGTGATGGGTTTAATTGAAGCCCAGATCCCAGCATCACACAATTTACTCCTGTAATAACCTGCATGTGTACCCACTAAGTCTAATTTTTTAAAAATAATTAAAAGTAAGTAAATTAATGAGCAAACAACTTACTGTGAAAGCATTTACCACCAAACAAGCAAAAAACCTAAATTAAAAAAAGAACATTTGACAATACCTAAAGCGTTAAGGTTGTGCATTCTCCATGGCTTAGCAAGAGCCTGGCGTGAGCACTCTTTGGCATGAGCATTTCATAAATTTGCTAGATTTAGCAAATAAAAATGTAGGCCACCTAGTTAAATTTAATTCCAATGATATGACAAAGTAAATTTTAGTATAAGTATGTCCCAAATATTGCATGAGACATCGTTGTATTTTAAAAATTATTTGTTGCTTCTCTAAAATTCTATTTTAATTGGGTGTCCTATATTTTCTTTGGCAACTCTAGAAATTTGTTTACGTGTGCACAGGAAACATGTACAAGATTGCATACTGTAGCATTGTTTGTAATACAAAAACAAACTAACAAACTGGAAACAACTACACATTTGGTAACTGGAAATGGTATAAATAAACTGTGGGATATTTAAAAGCAAACATGTCTCAAATGTTACACCGCCTTCTAGATGAATGTCATGAACTTGACACTGAGAGGAAAAAAGCAAGTCACGGAAGAAATATACATAGACTGATTCCACAGATGTAACTTCAAAGTTATATAAAGGAAATAATTCATTTTTAAAGACTTGTTTAAATGTGGGACTACAATGTAGCTATGCAAGGGGAAGATGAACACGAAATTCAAGATAGCTATCACTTCTGGGGAAGGCAAAGCATGAGACATGGTAGGGAGGAGCACATAGGGTACTTTGAAGGTGTGGCTACTATTTTTTTTCTCCTGGGCACATGAGTTTATATTTTATCTTTATAATTTTTTAAACATATTCAGGTGTATGTGTCTGTGTGTATACGCATATATTTGTATTCTTCTGGATGTTTGAAACAACTTTATAGGAAATGAAACATCCAGGCCAGGCGCGGTGGTTCATGCCTGTAATCCCAGCACTTGGGGAGGCGGAAGCGGGCGGATCATCTGAGGTCAGGAGTTCGAGACCAGCCTGACCAACATGGAGAAGCCCTGTCTCTACTAAAAATACAAAATTAGCCTGGCGTGGTGGCGCGTGTCTGTAATCCCAGCTACTCGGGAGGCTGAGGTAGGAGATTTGCTTGAACCCAGGAGGCGGAGGTTGTGGTGAGCCGAGGTCGTGCCATTGCACTCCAGCCTGGGCAACAAACGCAAAACTCCATTTCAAAAAAAAAAAAAAGAAAGAAAGAAAGAAATGAAATATCCTATTTAATAAGAGCTTTAGTAAATACATTTTTCATTTATTTTTGAATGAATAAATTTAAATCAGGATTATATATATACATATGTATGTATATTTGATTCATTCATTTCTGAACTAATATATGCCAGATCCTGTTCTAGGGGGTCCATCCTACCTATTCAGAACAACATTCCTATAATTAATTCCTCACTTGTTGCGTAGACTTGCTCCATGCCTGGTATGGAGAAGGTGCTTATCAGTGATAATTGGTATCATGATCACAAGTCCCTGAAGGGTAAGTAGATTGCCTTAGGCAGCATAGTTAATAAATTTTGAATCCAGGATGGAACCTAGGTCTGATTTCAAAGTCCAGGTCTTTTTTCCAGCAGATTTTACGTGTAAAGCCTTCCACTCTAAGGAACAAAATGTCCTCAAGCACTCTTTGTTAGTTAAGTTGAACTTCTATATTCACAGTCATTAAATGTATCATATTATGGAGAGATAATAAAATAGCACAGGAATAGAAAATACCAGAGTGCATTATATGTAATAAGGGTAATTACTGCTACATCAATTTTTTTGTTTTCATATCTGTGTCTATGGGTATAATGATGCAAAATTTAATCCTTACTATGGGTCGTAGTCAAAAAACTTGCAGGCCTCTAAAATACAGAAATCATTCTTTCTTCCTCATTAGACTTTTTCTAATTTTCTCCTAATTGTACTTTTAACAAGACTAAAAAATAGAAAGCCAACACAAAGAGTTTGGACGTCTTTCAGTTGACCTACCAATAATTCCAATTTTTAAAGTCTCCCAGACTGACTTCATTAACTCTTCCAACATTCCCTGCCTTGCTGAATGGCCGCATCATTTCACACATAGAGACCATATTCTATTTTCCTGCATTGTCTTCGCCACTAGTTGACTTTTTGGACTACCACCATCATTGAACCTCTTCAAGTAAAGCCTGTCAAAATAGGTCTCTCAGTCTCCTGTTTTTGTTTCTGTTCATCTTTTAATCATTTTAAATTGCTCCACCTTGCTATAGAAGATTGAACTTTCTGAAGGGCACATTTGATAGTGTTACTCCTCTGCTTACAGCTTTATAAGTCTCCTTATGTTCAAAATGGGGTGCAAACTCCTTGGCAATACACAGAATCCTAGCCCCACCCTGTCTCTGCCCACTTTGTAACATTTCCTTCACTCCCTCTCCAACAACAACCGGCCACTGTGGACTGTCTGCAGTTCCCCTAGTGCACCATACCCGCTGTCATCTCGACTACTGAGTGCCTGACCTCAACAGTCTCTGACAAGCCCAACCTAAGTTAGGATACTCTGCACTTTTCTTTTTCACATCATGTGAAGGCATTTGAATTACATTCTCTTGTTTACTCATCTCTACCATCATTACTGGCCTGCAAGCTCCTTGAGGTCATGGATGGAGACTGGTTCGCTACATCATCCCAACACCTAGCCCAGTTCCAGACTCACGGTCGATCTGGGAATTGATTGAAAAAAAAATATAGGTAAATAAATTCACAATGAATTCTAAAAAAATTAATTCTGAAAGATTTTGGATCAGGTCATCTGTAACTAGTTATTCAAAACTGACCTCTCATTAGGCAGCTTTTGTGAGTATGCACCCTTCAATGATAACAGCAGTTCTGAAACAGTTCTCAGAGGTATATAAATAAACAGTGGATTTACACAGTGGTGGGTTGTTTAATCTTTTCCAGAATCATACTGATCCTACCAGTGGATGGAGGACTTTTCCATGGTAACATTCCTCTGAACACAAACGATCTCTGCAATCTGAAAGCAACTACTTAGGGATGCTACTCCTGCCAACTCCAAGTCCTGATTAGCTGGAACCTTGGATGGAAAAGAGTGCCCACAGAACAAGTGATACCTTGTGTTCTATTTATTGATGAGATGAAAAGAAGACACAAACTGTGACTTCTATATCTCTGCATTATGATCGTTGCCACAAAACACTGGTAAACAATACCTGCTCTAAGTAAGAAACCAAATACAACAAATACATTCTTTATTTTTAAATAATGAAACAATAGTAAAGTCAACTGACTCTGAGGTGCCTTCATCCTCCTCAAAGATTCTGTGCCTCCTACTTGCATACAAATTTACAATTTATAAGGGTAAATATTGGATAAGTCTCTAACACTCTTTGAAACACCCAGACTTGCTGAGACACTCAAGCACTAATAGGAGTACAGAGAGGCAGAAAGAGATAAAATGTCAATAGTAATCTATTGCTATAGCTTTAATGCTCCAGCATTAAAAAGATAGAGAACAAAATATGAGGCACAGTGAAGTCTAACCAGTAATTAAGGTGATTACAAGTGCCCAGAAACCCATAGACTTAAATATTTGATTTTAGACATATTCAATTTAGATTCTCTGTTTTGGAGAAATTTGGACGCAAACCAGGAATAAAGGTTTTCATGAAATAGTAAATAGCAGGATTGTTCTGTCCATAATTTCTAAAATTCATCACAATACTGTGGAAATGGTTGGAAGGAATCATTACATAAAAGCTCTATGAGATGGGTTACCCCTTTGTGGGGTTAAAGTCCATAAATTCCAAAAATGAAATAAAGTAATTAATTTAACGAATGTGTATAGAGTGCCTGTTACGTGTCAGGCAATGTTCTAGACTTTTGAGATATACAGTGAGCAAACAATGCTCTCAGCCCTCTGGAGCTTATATTCTAGTTATTCTAGTGGGGGAGGCAAGACAATAAGAACATAAGAAATGAGAGTAAATGATACAGTATAAATCAGAAAGTGATGACACTATGGCAAAAAATAAAATAAAAGAATAAGGAGATGAGAGCAGGGAGATGGCCTGCTATTTTGAATACACTGGTTAAGAAGGTGCCATGGAAAACAAGAGTTAAGTGAAAAATGGACAGAGGTGAGGAAATTAGCCATGAAGATGTCTGGAAAGGAACATTCTGAGCAGAGTAAACAGTTAGTGAATTCTCAATTTGTTGCAGGAACAAGAGAGAGGCTAGAATGACCAGCATGGTAGTTATTTTATTGGTTAAGTTAATGCAATGGAATCTTAGTGCTTTATCAAAACAGAAACTGTTTTTTGCTCACATAAAGTCCAGTGGGAGAAGAGGCAGTAACTCTCTTCACTCAAAAGCCCAGGCTGATGGTGGTTCTGTTATTGTCAACATGTGACTTTCAAGGTCACTCTGGACATTGATATCCAGCAGGTAGTAGAAAAGAATATGAAAGATTTCAAGAGATTTTAATAGGCCAGGGTTGGGGTGGCTAACTGTTCTTGTTTTCTCAGCATTGAGGGGTTCTCCCAGGATGTGGGGCTTTCAGTGTTAAAACCAGGACAGTCCTGAGCAAACCAGAATGGTTGGTGACGGTTTGCCGGGCCTAGAAGTATATCGTGATGAGCCAGATGCCATGGCCAGAAGTCAGTTACACAACCTCACATGATACAAAGGGGCTTAGAAACTGCAACCTAACTGAGTACCAGAACAGAGGAAACAAAATCAGACAAGAATGGGGAACAGATTGCAAGGGACAGGCCATTGGATGGACCTTGTATTTTACTCTGAGAAGAGAAGAAATGACGAGGAAAGGATTAATTTTTAGTTATTGTACTGTTTTTTGATAATACACATATCATTTTTTAAATACTAGGCACTCATAATAAGTTACAAATATTTAAGTAATTTAATCCTCAACAACCTTATACAATCAGTATGCCTATTACTCCCATTTTACAGAGGAGGAAACTGAGGCACAGAAAGGCTTGCTAACTTGCCCTAAACTATTGAACTGTAGACGATGAAGCTGGCATTCAATCAGGTAGTCTGGATAAAGCCTGCATGTTTTTAATCACCTATTCACCACCAATATAATTTCCAGTGTTTCGCAGGATGCTCAGGAATGGAAGTAATAAATGTGACTTGTCTATTATTGGCCCATTACATCCAAGAGCCGCCTTCCTTCTCCTGTATGTGGTCCTGTCATTCCCCAAGGTGGGCCCACCCTCCCCATTAATATCTCTTCTCCAGGGGATTGATGGCCAAAAGCAAGAGCCACGGTGTACAACTTGTGGTGGACGGAACAACAGAGAAAGAAAAGGAATAAGATACTTTTACAACAACCTCAAAGGCCTCCGCCCACCACTGACTCTCAATATCTTTTTATTTTCTTTCTCCTTATTTCATGTCAGATTAAATTATTTTTTCTGTGTATACATTTAGAGGGTACAAGTGCAGTTTTGTTACATGGATATATTGTCTACTGGTGAAGTCTAGGCTTTTAGTGTAGCCATCACCCAAATACAAATTACATTGAACCCATTAAGTAATTTTTACCCTTCACCCTTCTTCTACCCTTCTGAGTCCCCAGTGATGATTATTCCATACTCTATGTCCATGTGTACACATTATGTAGCTCCCACTTACAAGTGAGAGCATGTGGTATTTGACTTTCTGTTTCTGAGTTACTTCATTTAAAATAATGGCCTCTAGTTCTATCCATGTCACTGCAAAATACATGGTTTCATTCTTTTTGGTGGCTGAGTAGTATTATACACACATACACCCACACCACTTTTTCTTTAAATTTTCTTGCCTAACAATATGGAACTTTTGCTTTAAATTCATATACATTTTGCTTTATTATAATTTACTTAAATATAATTTCATAATTTAGGCTCATGCTTTCATGAATGTTTTAAATAATAGTGTCTAAATGTTGGAAAATCCTGCCATCTGCTAGCATATACTATCAGTTTGAAAATAAGGTAAAGTAAGCTCTGTGAATATGTTGAGTAAACATTCATTCTCTCTCACAACCAAAAAGTGTTAAAGACATCAAAAGATAAATATGATACATAGTTCATTTCCTAAATAACCTTTAAAAATGAGATGCTCTGGAAAAAATCATGGTGATAGCAGTGTTAAATACCAGCAGATGGAAAAAATATTTAAAATACAAACCAGACTAGGGCGAGACAGTCAGAAAAACTCAGTATGAACAACAAAGAAAAAAAGCATACTAATCTTGGGATTAAGAACTGGGTAAGAAATAGATCTCCCTGGGAGCTGGTTACAGAATGATTAACAAGGTCAGATTACACTTCCTATCAAGTTTCCATCAGGTAAATTGATGGTTTTCAGTTGATCTCTGCCAAAACAAAAAAACAAACAAGAAAAAACAAAAACGAAACTCATTTAGCAATTTTTGTCATTAGATAAAACAAGATGTGTTTATATATGGAGAATAAAGCAGGTTCATTGCTCACATCATTTTTTAAAATAAAATCATGGAAATTCACCTCTTGTAAGCTTGAATATTATAAATATTTCTAGTAGGAGTGTGGAATTGCTAAAACTTCCTTCTGAGAACTGAACTGAGTATTTAATTACTTGGCTACATTGGCAGCATTGCAAGGATATAATGAGTGTGCTTTTATTTCATTTATAAATTAAGAGGAAAATGTCTTTCCAAACCTTATTAGTGAGTTATGGACTTGGCTTCAGGGCAGACAGTAAATCTAATGAATATAAGAATATACTTCCTTTTATCAGTGTATTATTACCAGAAAATAAAGGAATTAAGAGAAATTCATGGAGCTTATAACATTAATGAGCTTCATGTAAAATGAAATTTATTGGTAGCTTTTAGTAACCAGGTACAAACAAATTTGAAACAGGAGTTAAGCAGTGCAGCCGCAATTTTCTTATTTCAGACTCATATTCTGGGGAAAAACAAGATGTTTACATACATCTCAAAATTCTTAGTCTCCAAAATAAGAGTATGTCCGATGACATATTGAGGTTGAAAACATGATTAAAAGTTATATTTGTATGTATTTAAAACTTATTAAATTATTATATATTGTATTTCATTGCTATCTATGTATACATTTATATTCTATATATATTATATTGCAGTTTATATAATTTAACAGTGTTACAATACTTGTATATAATTTATAAATAACCAAATATACATATATTTGGATTAAGTTCTCAATTTTTTAAAATTGATAAGGCATATAATCCAAAAAATGAGGACTTACTGAATGTCACATGATACTTTTCTTATTTTTTATACATTGGTATCTTTAGCTACTTTGATGTGTGAATGAAATAAGTAAATTATCCCCAAAGGGGCAAGAGAGTAACAGCTAAAGTAGAAACATTCCTGCTCAATACAATGATACAAAACAGTTCTTCTGCATCAGCAGCAAGCGGTCCAGCTGCCCCAGCACACGCCCTTAGCCTACCTCTGATTTCAATGATAACTGTGGGCACTGTTCATTGGGAGCTCAGACTCACACTGACAGTTGCCACTTCCAGTCTGGCTTCAGTCTTTACTACTTTCTGCCCCTCAGTCTTCCCTAAACCACGTTTCACTTAAAAAAATAATAATAATAATCTAGAAGGGGACAAGTAAATGTCATTGTCTATGCACATTTGTTTTGTTACAGAATGGATGTTGGCAACGATTAGGTATTTCTGGTTTAACAATATGGGTATGAATAATTTATTTTTATTTTATGTTATTATTTTTAGAGACAAGGTTTTACTCTGTTGCCAAGGCTGAAGTGCAGTGGTGTGATAATAGCTCACTGCATTCTCCAACTCCTTGGCTCAATCCTCCTACCTCAGCCTCCCAAATAGCCAGGACTACAGTGGCATGCCACCATGACCAGCTATTTTTTTTTTTTTTTTTTTTTATGTAGTGACAGGGTCTCATTATTTTGCCTAGGCTGGTCTCAAACTCCTGGCCTCAAGCCATCCTCCACTTCCCAAAGTGCTGGGATTACAGGCGTGAGCCACTTGCCTGGGTTGGTATGAATTATTTAAATAATAAGGAAGCATAAACTGCAGGTTCCAAATATTGTTTATGTGAGCACACAACACTCTTTTTTCAGGATTAACCAGGTAATTTCAAACTAAACTTTTAGTCAAGAAGATAACTTGTGAGTATTTTTTGTAAGTAAAATGTAGGAATAGCCGTGAGTGGAAAACATGGCCAATTTAAGACAACTCCAATAATGTATTTGGAATGAATGGTTCTTCCAGAAAATGAATCGGTTGCAAAATCCAACTAGCTGATTGTGCATGTGCACAGTGTAGCTCTTCAACATTGCTCAGCTTTGTATGGGAGCCATACTGAACTTTAAGGATGTGCTCATCTTACATAGCATAATAGGCTCCTTGAAAATGACTTGTGTGTAAAAATGAACATCCATAGAAATATATATGATCTTACTGATACAAACTAAAGAAAGGATTTGCATTTTGCATCAATTCTCAGCCTGTTCCAGAGACCCTAGCAGCAGTAGGCCACTGACTATACCTTTACAATCACCAAGGTTGGTGTTTCTAAAGCAGTAAAGAGTAACATCTCTATACTCTACTGGCTGTGGGGGCTTTATAGCGTCACTCGCAGAAGAGATGATGTTGGTTGAGCCTTTCTGTCTTATTTGCTCTTGTTTTTAATTTTCTGTCGTTATATTTTAATCTTTCTTTTATCTTTGGCTTTTTGCATTTGCACACTGCTGAGTGGGAGACAGTACCCTTAATCTATTTTGGAAAAACAAGACTCCTCTTTTTATCTTTAGTAAGCTGTGCTTGAGCTGTCTTCATCTGTGCTGGGCTTACTTTCCAAGTGCTCCTCTAACTTCTGTATTGAGATCGCTGCACTTCTGTTTAGTGATACATTTTGGGTTTCACATAATACTCAGGCCTGCTAGTCTTTGAGGGATCCACCGAGAGCAGCACAGCTGTAGAATCATGATCTCATCCAGAGCACATTTTTTTGTACTTGTCAGCCAACTTGGCCAACCTACCACTTTGATCTCAAAGCCAATTTCCAGTTGGTTCTAAACAAAGGTCTCAGTTCTTTGGTCCTGTTCAACCAATGTAAGGTTTTTATGTAGAGGGAAAAAATTATGCTTTAAAAATACAAATTTATAAAGAATTTCATTTCAACAGTTTCGTTTATTATTAATAGTAATGACAGTATTTATTCCAAATTTACTATTTATGAAAATCTTTAAATGTGTTTTCTCATTTAAATTAACACAAGTAATCTTATGAGATAGATTTTTTTTGCCTTTTACAAATGCAGAGTTTCAGAATTATTTTTAACAATTCTTAAGTTGAATTACATTTTCCATGGATCACACAAAACACTACTTCAATCTGCTTGTATATTTTGGTATTCTAACCTACATCTCCATTTCAAAAAGCAAACATTATATGTCTATGAATTGTAGATAGTGGGAGATAGGTTTCTCACTATGGAAGAGAGAATAAGAAGGGAAGAATAGAATGAACCTCATAATACAGGATTAGAACCAGAGACAACAATATGAACTAATATTTATCTTAATAGTTCTACAAATGGATAGACATAGAAATAATTATAAAGGTATGAGTATACATAAGTCATATGTATGCATAATCTAGTAGTTCTG
Organism: Homo sapiens; assembly: GCF_000001405.40. Taxonomy (NCBI): domain Eukaryota; kingdom Metazoa; phylum Chordata; class Mammalia; order Primates; family Hominidae; genus Homo; species Homo sapiens. The sequence continues at coordinate 72,443,593 of NC_000008.11, read as the reverse complement.
CCAGCTCAGAGAACCTAGAAGCAGTAAGCCCCAGTAGCAATGAGCATCCCAGTGCCCAGGTCTTGGTTTCTAAAAAGAATTCTGCAATAAAAAGAACCAGGGTTCCTTGGAGAACTCACTAATTCTAGGACTAGAAGAGGGAAAGTACAAGATGATCCTGGAGCTTCCTGTAGCACCAGAAAGTAAGGAAGTGCTCAAAAAACAAGAGCATGGAGCATGTCAAAGGGACACAAGAGCCATCATCAAAGAGCTCCCAATGACTAAAGCAGAAATAATTCAGGCAAAAAAGAAACAAATGACGTACTACCCAAAGAATAAAATAAATATGAATCCATAATGATTTTTAAATGATTGAGTAAATATATACATTGTAGAGAAAGGATACATTTTCCTTAAAGAATAAGTCTTAAAACTATAGGTAGGTACTCTCTCCTTTTCCAGGAGGTAGAACTTAATCTCTCCCCAGCTTGAATATGGACTGGATTTAGTGAACTGGCTTCAGAAGAATAGAGTATGAAATGGAAATAGTAGTAATTTCACAGTATAGAAATCTGGCAAACACTGTCTTAACCAAGTAATCAAAGTTAGCATCACTATGTTGTATCATGTTGATATCAAATACCTCTTCCGATACCTCAATTACTTCTGGACATAACAGAATGAGAAGGACACCTCACCTCTGATATTCTTTCTAAAAACCCATAACCTTAGTTTAATCATAACAAAACACACCAGACAAACCCAAATTGACAGACATTCTATAAAATACCTGAGCAGTACTCCTCAAAGCTGTCAAGGTCATAAAAAGAAAGGGACTGAGAAACTGTCCCAGAACAGAGACTAAGGAGACATGAAAACTCAATGCCATGCAATGCCCTGGATTGGACCTGGGGAAAGAAAAAGGACATTGATGGGAAAACTAGTGAAACCAAAATAAAGTTTGGAGTTTAATTAATAACAATGTATCATCACTGGTTACTCAGTTTTGGCAAATACAGCATGGTAATGTAAAATGCTGACATTAGGGGAACCTGAGTGAGGAGTATGAGGAAAGTGTCTCAATTACCTTTGCATTTTTTCTGTAAAAATATTCTAAAATAATTTTATCTTACAAAAAGCAAAGTGGAGAATTAGGATAATCATTTCTGTCAAGTATCCATTTTCCACTAGCAACAGTGATAAGGTCTTCAAAAGTTTGCCATGATACCTGAAGGTATTACTTTCAAGTAAGATGATGAAAGTTAACCCATTTCAAACCAAATGCTAGTATATTCAAAAATGCTAGAATCTCTCTTTCCATTTTAATTATAGTTCTTTTTTTTCCTTTTGAGCAGCAGAATAAAGAGTCATGGGAAAAGTGCTTTTGAGCAGCAGAATAAAGAGTCATGGGAAAAGTGCTCTTGATGTGTATATATTCTTAATTTTCTGAGCACTAAATGATGCTGCAACCTGCTATTTAGTGGGTGCTATTGAGAAAAAATATTTGCAAACCCATCTCTCCCCATAAGGTTCTCAAAGGAATATATTTTTCAGAAGTTATTAAAGCAAGTGAAAATTTTGAGTGTCCCTTCCTTATGAGAGGGGGTCTGGCTCATTGCTATAGTGGGGAGCGCTCTGATGACCTGAGCCAGGACAAGTGGTTTAGGCTCATGGCCCGGGGGGAGTTTCTTCTCCTTTCCAAGGCCAAGACCAAATCTCATCCCAGGTTCCAAAAACTGAAGTAATCATTCAAGTGTGTGATATTTGTGCATTTACATTTTATACCCAGAGCATCTCAAGTTTAACAAGTAGTGATTTCAGGTCTTATGAATCTCCCCTGACTTTGGGCGGCGAGTGGGTGCCTTGTAGTGGGTGGCAATAGTTTCACAGCACCTTGCTTGGGAAGGGAAGGTACTGAGGGTCTTGTGAAAGTTGACTCTGTAACCATATCAGAGCAAGTTTGAAGAAGGGATGTTGTAACTGGTTAGTTTTTTACTTTTTCCCTATCCCAAATCTAAAAGCTGTATTTTTATGTACTTTCTCAACATTAAGGTATTGGCTCGTATGCTGATATACTGACATTTCCATGCTTCTATTAATTAGCAATTAATGTCAAAAGTGAGGAGCAGGCATTTGCAAAGAGGCCAATTAAAGACTACATCATTGTCAAAATGTCTGAAAGCCAGAAACCCAGCAGGCAAGAGAGTCATGGCAGGCAACGCCCCACTGAGCTATTGTTCCTGTTCAGATCCTCTGCAGTATGAACACTTGTCAAGCTGCCTTGAAAATACTTTCTCCTGGGTTGATACTGGTGGAGGTAATACAATCTTAGTCAAGTTCATGAGGAAAAAATTGAAAAGCAATGCATTCAACATATGTCTGTATTTCAGTTTCGAACAATGCTGAAGAAGTTGCTCTCATAATTAAAAAAAAATCCACCAAGTAGACACTTAGAATAATCCAAATAAATGAGATACTTATAAATCTATTCCACATTTTAATGATATAGACTATTTCATCACGAAAGCCACAAGTTTGATTTTACGTTTTGGGGCCTATCAGACCTAAAGCTACATTTCCAATCTGCTACTTAATAGTTGTGTGACCTGGGAAAATCATATTCCTTTGTTTTAATTATTTTGAATTTGAGTTTTCCTGTTCATAACATTGAGACAGTAACACATATCACCTTGTGTCACTGTGCTGACTTGATGTTAGGTTGGATTTTTAAAAAAATTTTTATTTATTTATTTGAGATGGAGTCTCACTCACTCTGTGGCCCAGGCTGGAATGCAGTGGCTCCATCTCTGCTCACTGCAACCTCTGCCTCCTGGGTTCAAGTGATTCTTTTGCCTCAGCCTCCCAAGTAGCTGAAACTACAGGGCCCTGCCACCTAATTTTTGTAATTTTAGTAGAGATGGGGTTTCACCATGTTGGCCAGGCTGGTCTCGAACTTCTCCTCTCAAGTGCTCTGCCCGCCTTGGCCTCCCAAAGTGCTGGGATTACAAGCGTGAGCCACCGCACTTGGCCAGGCTGGATATTTTAAGATATTTTTATCCTTGCACTTTTTCTCACCTTTTCTTCTTTCTTCCTTCTGCCTTTTCCAAGTGGCTGGCTCCCTTGACTTACTTCTGTCTGGGGTCGGGGAAGGTGTGAAGCAAAAGTAGCCTGGAACTCTATCTGGATGCATTTTTCCAAAAGCAAAAGCTCATAGGAGAATGTACAGGCTGTGCATAGGGCGGAGAAAGAAGAAAGGAATGGAAAAGGCAAGAACATGGAAAATTTGGCAGGAGAAAGATTTCCCTCAGTTTACACAAATAACCCTGTGACTGCCAGAGGGGCAGACAGAGGTCTGTAGATTCTGAAAGCAGGAGGTATTCATGCACCTTTCTGGCTGCATCCAGAGAGAAAGCAAAACTCCAGAGAGGGGAGTGCCTACCTGGTGAGTACAAGCTGAGGAGACCACAGAAGACCTTCACAACGGCACCTGTCCCATGTGTGGCCTGGGAGCAGCCAAGCCCTGCGGGACTTGAGAAGCCCTACAGGTAGGGAGGATATGCAATTCAGTGGGACCTGTGAAGATACATTATCAGCGCACAACAATCCTCCCACTCTGTTTTTTTGTATGATCCTAGGCAGTAGTACAACACTGGGGTTGGTGAGGAGAAAGCCAGTGAGTGACTGACACTAAGGTTCCTGCCAGCCAGAGGAATGGGCATTAAAATAAAATTTACATTGATTTATTAAAAATACAGATATATTTCTTGCATTCTTGACTATGTGGAATGAGACTCATACCATATGTAAAACAGTGCTATCTCCAGTTTGTAGAAGATGCTCAGTTAATATTAGCTGTCATTATTTATCAACTATTTTCTTATATCTTCTTAACTCCGAAAAAAAGACTCTATTCCATAGGAGCCAAGTTTGGATATACTGCACATATTTTCTTTGAACTCACAGTTGGAACTCATTTTTCATTGTAATATTTAACTGATTGTCAAAATGGTTGAGATATGATTTAATGTCCTGGGGGAGGGAGAAGAGTATCAGTAGACAAATATGACTTCATAATTTGGATTTAAAACACTTACTCTCATTTAACTGAATAATAATAGGGCCTTAACACATTCATCCAAGGGCTTTCTGACTGTTTAGGTTTTGCTTTTGGTATTTAACTCTGTTGACATTAGTGGTGGGAATCTTAAATGGGTGAATCTCACCATTTTGTGTAGATGATGATTTTGACTGGTTTGGGGAATATAGTATTGAATTGAGATTCAAAACCAAGGAATTTGAGTCTTGGTTATGAACGTTGAGCTCTGTTACCTAGGATGAGCACAGGAGTCAGAGCTGGGGAGGAACACTGGAGATGCCTTGAGTTTCCAGCAATGGCTGGTGTGCACTTTAACCTATTTTTGTTGACCTTCTTCATGAATAGCTTCCTGTCTGGCATTTACCCTTTCAGTCTTCAGAAGCCTTTGAGTTCAGAGATCTGTCTGGAAAGAGTATATTATGTTACTAAAATAACAGTAGCTTTTCATCCAGGCAAAAAAGGCAATGGTCATTTTTCTATTTGAATTCTTCTAACATTTGCCTAGTTCTACGATTCTGGGCTAAGAATTCTGTCCTGCATGCTAAGTATGGAAAATATGGGCAAAAGGGTTAAGGAGGTAGAGGTCATCTTTTACCTTTCTCCAGCAGTTGTGCCTTGTGCCCAATCCCAACCTCCAGGGGTCCAGGGGATTCAGGATGGCTTTGGTTGTTCATCTGAGTCCTTCAATACAGGGTTCCACTGTATGCCTATGGTGACCATATATTTGGTTTGCCTGGAACAGTCTCACTCTGCTTGTAAAATTTTCCCTATACTACCTTCTAATTTTAATATATCTTTTGCTGTCCAAGATGGCAATTTTACTAATCTGATCAATCAGTTCATTATTATTGCTGCTAATAAGAAAAACTCATATCATAGATTACAAACATCCTGCCTTCATGACAATAGATGAATTTGCCTCTCTTAGGTGAATATGTCCATAGCATAACAAGTCTGCAGATAATGCCATCTCTCTGTGGTTCTTAACTGGGAGTTATACCTGAGGAAAGTGAAAACGTGGGGCAGCATTTTTGCCTATTCTGGTGAGGGGGAGACGTGCTACTGGTCGTTAATACCCCAGAGTCCAAGGTTTCTAAATGTTCTGATAATAATGCCGCATTGAGTGGTACTGGAGTGTCTAATCAAACTTTCTACAATGAGTATAAATTATGCTTGAAATGAAAATTAGAAATGCAAAAAGAATACCACGTTCAAGAAAGAGACCACAGGGAACATTTTGATGTGTTTTCGCCTAGTCTATTTTTTGTATGCAAGCACGTGTACGTTAACATGACTGCTTATAAAGTACAAAAACAAATTTTGTTTGCACAGTTAATTTATGTATTTGAATTAGCAAGGTTTTCAAACTAAACATGTATTTGAATTTATCACAGTTTTAATCAATAGTTCTATTCCTGATTTCAAAACTTGTCAGAATGGCTTAGGTTTGCCCTGTCTTACTTGGTTCGTCAGGAAGATGGAGTACTTTGCCTTTGGTCCCACATGTGGACCCAAGTTGCTTCTATGGAGTCAAGGTGTTATTAGCAGCCATGGAATGAAAGGTGATGAACCTGCCTCCAGTGAAACCTGACATAAAGGTTGTTAAATTATTATACTAGATTATAGAAATTCACAATAAAAATTGTTTTTATGCTTCCACATATTTAACAATATTCTCCTAAATATTTAACAATAGTTTTTATTGTCTAAAGCTTTTAAACATATACAGTTGACTCGAATAATATGAGGGTTAGGGGCACTTACCACCACACAGTCAAAAATCTGTGTATAACTTTTGTTTCACCCCCAAAATTTACTGCTAATAGCCTATCATTGACTTGAAGCCTTACTAATAACATAAACATTGATAAACATATATTTTGTATGTTATATGTATATATATTGTATTTTTATAATCAAGCAAGAGAAAAAAGAAAATGTTATTAAGAAAATCATAAGGAAGAGAAAGTATATTTACTATTCATTAATAACATAAGCAGTCAATTAATACATATTTTGTATGTTATATGCACTCTTTACTGTATTTTTTTTTAGGACTCCTTATCTTTTACAGGGGAAAACTTGTCAGGAAGTGACTTGATTGTGTGTTGCCTCAAGAGACATACTGAGATCACTACCCATTGTTAAGGCTCTGAGACTGGTTTGAGTACATACTTTGGAGCTACTGAGAGTTAGTGACCTACCCTCAATCCCCCAGCTCAGGAAGAAGCTGGAAGACTGCTTAGTTGTTAGGAGTGTTGTGAGTGAGGGGAGGCTGAATCACCTCCAGTTTTATATAATTTAAAAATAACCAGAAAATCTGGTTGTGGTGGTGCACACCTATAGCCCAGCCACTCGGTAGGCTGAGGAGAGAGGATTGCTTGAGCCCAAGAGTTTGAGTCCAGCCTGGACAACATAGCAAGGCCTTATCTTGTTTAAAAAAAATGGCAAGAAGGAAAGAACTCAACCTATTGGGGAAAAAAAGAGAAGGCAATTCTTAGAACCAAATTCTAAATACAACTTAGTATAGCAAGCAAGCAGGGGAGGCATAGAGCCATTTGTTCAACTTCCAGAAAGAGTTACTCCCTCTATTTACCTCTTTTAAAAATCTTGAAGGGATGCCAAGTCTAACACAAGGAAATTAAGTCATTGGATGAAATATTCTATCTATTTCCTTTTCTGGTGTGGGCCACTTGAGGAAGAAGCTACTATCAATGATGTCAATAATGTGCCGTATTCTTAAAATAAAGTAAGCGTGATAAAAAAGACAATGTTACTAAGAAATAATAAGGTAAAGATATTCACTATTTGTTAAGTGGAAGTGGATAATCATAAGGGTCTTCATCTTCTTTATGTTCACATTGAGTAGGCTGAGGAGGAGGCAGAAGAGGAGACATTGATCTTGCTGTTTCAGGGGCAGCATATAAGTAGTAGGTCCCACACAGTGTGGTCCCACCTGTGTGGTTCACAGTTCATCTGTATAATTTTCTAGCAAGCTATTTTTTTACAGTTAATGTTTACTAAAGATTCAGGGACTAGGTCGTACAGAGCCTTGCAGGCTGTTCTAAGAGGTTTGAAAATTATTCTATGTGGGATGAAAAGGCACTGATGGGTTTTAAGGCAGAGAGTTATAGAATCTGGTATTTTAGCAAACAATCTGGGTAGAGTATGGATTACAGAGGGACAGAAATAGAGCACAGAGATCAAGGCTGCTGTTGCTTTAGTGCATGTGTGTTGACACAGCTTGGGTATGGTGGAGCCAGCAGATATGCAGAGAAGTGGATGGAGCTGAGCTGTGCTTTGAAGATAGAACAGGCAAGACATAGTAATAGATTGCTGGTGGTATGCAAAGGAGTGAAAGAAGCAAGAATAAGTCTTAAGTTTCCAGTTTATGCAACTGATGAATGGAGACATCATTTATAGGATGGAAAATATGGAAGGAGAAATATATTGCAAGGAAAGGTCAGGATTTCATTTTTGGACATGCTATTCTCACTATCTTGATTCTCACGATCTTGACATCCCATCTCCTCATGTATGTGGCCCTACATGGGGCACATGCCCCAGTTAGTGCTGATAGGAAACGTGTTGCCAGGTAGCTGAATGCTAAATGAATTCACAGTGTGGTATCTATGTCTGGTGGCCAGTAAAATGCTGGAAGACATTTACTGTATTGGGATTCTTTCTGTTTTAAATGGAGAGACCCAGTGTAAGCAAATTTATTGGTTCACGCATCTGAAAAGTTCAGAAGTGCTTCAGGCACAGCTGTATATGCAAGTGTCCAAATGGTGTTCTCTCTCTCTGTTTCTCTCTCTCTCTCTCTCTCTCTCTCTCATCTCCCTTTCTGTCTCCACCTCTTTTTCTTCTGTATTGCTTCATTCTCAGGCTTTTTCTCCCTGATAAGATGACTGTTAGCTTCAGGTTCACAGACCTCATAGCTCCCAGTCTCCCATATCTCCTGAAATATATGAGCCTCTGCCCTAGGGCCCACATGTCCTGTGCCAATCATGTCTAATTACCATAGGAATGGAGGAATTCTTTGAACAACCTGGATCACATGTTCAATCCTGGGCAGCACAGGGCTGCCTCCACTAGAACCACAAGAAATACGCTCTGCAAAGAAGAAAGTGGTTGTGTTCCCAACAGAGGGAGGACTATTAGGCTGGCTAAAACCTAGTCAATGGAAAGAAACAATGACTTTGTTTTCAAAATTGTTCTCTGCAGTTCTTCTCTTTGGCAGGAATTGCATTGCCAGACTAATTGTCTATTAAAGCTAGATAATGACACATCTTTACTTTCTGTATGTGCAAGAATGTTTACATTTCTATTTGTAGAAGGCATGCATCCACACCATTCAGAGGTGGTATCTAGTAGTCAAGCTATAAATGCAAAGGAATTGTGGAAAAAAAATTCAGAAAATAATAATAATCGGGAGGAGAAGTGGGAGGTAGATTGAAGAATATAGATGAAATAAGAAGGTAGAAATAATTATTGGAGCTGGGTTATGAGTAAATAATGGTTTTTCTATACTGTCCTATTTTATTTGTATATGTTTGAGTTTTTACTTAATAAAGGGTAAAAAAAATTTAAATGGTAGGGGTTGTTAGTGAGTAATAGGCAGAACACATCAGTTTTTCAAGGACAACTGGAAATTATTGTTTCCTATTTCAAGATGTCATTCTTCCTAAACTCCTGAAATAGCATTATGCCACAGGCTTAGGAATCTGCACTAAATTAATTCATCATAGCCCATAATTAACTTATTACCTGAGTCAAAGGCCAGAAAATGTTTAAAAAAAAACTGTAAATAACCTTAGAATATTCTTAGCAGGTTTCTCTAGAACATGATAATGTACATGTAGTTGCCATAATGGAAATGCCATGTGTTAGACCTGTCTGCTCTTTGTCTAGAATTTTGACCCACTGAGTCCAGGCTTACAGTCTTTTAAAAAGGAGACAAAAATTTCAAATGGAATGTGTTAAACTATTAGGTTTAATATCGTGAGAGCACTAAACATTCCTTTTTAAAAAATAGGATAGCCTGTACTGTGAGTTCCAACCATGGAGTTGAAAAGAGAGAGTGAAAAAGAAGAAAAGAAAAATCAAGGACCAACACCCACTCATCCACCGCAGTCCCTATGCAGTCCTGAAGATGAGAGAATTTTCCACAGACATTTTATTTAGCTGAAGCCCTTTAATCCTCTCTAGCATATGAGTGAGCAATACCCACATCTAGTAAGGAATTCTATAAAGTCCATAGCTCTTGACCTTGGTTTATAGAGTTGAGTAAATAAATTTCCTATGAGTTAAGTAAGAATAACCTAAGTCTCTCTCTGATACTACGCACCACCTTCATACCTTACATATCTAAATTTTTGCATCATATCCAGTGGTCAAATTTAGGTCCTCTGTGATGAGTTTATTATTTTGGTTTCACTGAAAATGACTTAAGACATAAGAGTTTTAACATATTTCAGTTTTTAAAAAGGCTACAGGTAGTTTATTTCAATTTTTACTTAATATGTCACCTCACTAACTTGGCTATGGTATGTAAGTGTTGTGAGGGTGTATAGGCTAAAATAGAAACCCACTCATATGGTAAAATAGTGTCTAGCATGTTATAAACATGCTCTCTATTTTATTTAAACCATTTTCCCTCAATGAATGTTTCTGTTGATCTGACTTCATCTGTATAAAAATATTATGAAAAAGGGAGTATGAAGTATGATTTATTTCACCTGTCCCCTTGCTTGTATGAACTTAAGGAAAAGGAAAGTCAGAAAATGTCCTCTGAGGGTAAAGTGTTGGCCAGATGGCTGACCTCTAAGTCATTCTTAGTTCTGCCATATTGATTGGAAACACCACCTCAGAGAAAAAGGATCTGAGTCTTTTGTCATTACTATCTTATTTCCTTTGTCCTTTGTTTTTGCTTGGTAATTGATATGGTTGGTATACCAAGAGGAACTTTTGAGCACTGGGCACAGATTTTCATATCCAAAAACAAACAAATAAAGAGATTCCAGTCAATACCACTGAGTGCAGAAGCTCACTACAGTCAAGTGGGATGTAGCTACACAATGGTTATGTGTTAAGTTGATAAATGTGTCCTTGCACTGATACATTTGCTTCTGTGCTACATTTGGCACTAAATACAAACCCTTTCTGACTTAGTAACTTCAATTCCTTCCATTAAACTCTCCATGTTCATCTCTTTTGTTTTTCTGACAATCTGTCATCAAAGTTACCAAAAAATTTGAAAATATCTTTGCTAAACTGAACAAATCACTTTTTCATGAATCAAAAAGATACCTTTTTTCAATGGCCCAAATCATTTAGAACAAGAGTAAAAAAATTAGTTTCTTTCCTCCTTTGAAACTAGTAGTGAATTAGTAGGTGAATTGAGGCCACACATTTTTAAAACATCACTGATTTTCACCATTTTATAGGTGTAGAGTTCTTCTTAGAGTTATTTAAAACATATTAAATAAATTATAGTTCATTTCGTTGTTTGAAGGATTTTAGGTTCAATATTGTACCAAGTAGCCTGTAGTCTAAGCCCCTAATGCAAAATCTTATACGTTGTAGACCCTCAAAAACAATTTGTCAAATAAATAAATTTAAAAATTGAATATTGCATATTTTGTTGAATTACAAGTAATGCTTTTAAATGCCTAACACAGGACTGGCATACAGTAGGCATCCAATAAATACTAGGTAAATTTAACATGCATATTGAACAATAATGTGGTTTGGCTGTGTCCCCACCCAAATCTCATCATAAACTGTAGTTCCCATAATCCCCATGTGTCATGGAAGGGACCCAACGGGAGGTAATTTAATCATGGTGGTGGTTACCTCTATGCTGTTCTTGTGATAGTGAGTGCATTCTCATGAGATCTGATGGTTTTCTAATGAGCTTTCCCCACCCTCCTTCACTCTGCACTTCTCCTTCCTGCCACCATGTGAAGAAGGATGTATTTGCTTCCCTTTCTGCCAGGATTGTAAGTTTCCTTTAGCCTCCCCAGCCATGCTGAACTGTGGGTCAATTAAACATCTTTCCTTTATAAATTACCCAGTCTCGGGTATGTCTCTATTAGCAGCATGAGAATGGACTAATACAAACAACTAGATATAATAGATGTAAATAAATGACTTTATTCATAAATGCATTGATTCAAAAACCTTTTATTAAGAACTGATTCTTTCCCAAGGATGGTTCTAGTACTAGAGAAAATAGAGGTGCAGTCCCTGATGCAGCAGATTTTACATGCTATGGGACAATAGATATTAACCCAATAATTACTCTTAAAATTGAGTGATGGGAAAGTACTTTGAGAAAGAAACCTGTTTGTGTGAAAAAATATAACAAAGAAATATTCTGTGTACTGGAGTTGGACAAAAGCTCAGGAAGACTTTCCTGTAGAATTGATTAAGCTGAGACCCAAAAGATAAGCCAAAAAGATAGCTGGAATGAAAGTTGGGGGTTTGGAAAAGGAATAGTGTGTCTGACATGATTCTGAAGAGTTAGGAAAGGCCAAATTATGTAGACCCTTGCAAGAAAGCTACTTAATGATTCTGAGTGGTGATGCTAGAGGTGTAGTAGGGTGGTATACATGTGAAGCATAATTAAACCTTATTTAGATTGTTAATCTGATTACAGAATTGAGAAGTCAAATGAGTGGAAGGGACTTACATGATTAAAACAAAACAGTGCCCTCTCCAAGTTGAGTTGAAGACAGGGGATTGCTGGAGCCCACACATGTACACTTGGAAGAACAGACTGTGTGCATCTCTTCCTAATGCTGCATTCAGTGACATCACACTGGTAGTTTGAAATCAACCATAATGGAGGTATTTATGGAAACAGGCAAATGTTACAAATGAAAACTTTTCTTCCCTGGAAAGCCAGTTGTTAAACATTCACCAGCACATCACTGATTGAAGAGGAAGGAAGATGATTGGGTCAGGGGAAGTGGAGGCGGCTAAGGATGGTGGGGTAATTTGATTTGCTTGGTAAATGACCTTTGCCTTTCAAACTTAAGTTAATAGTTCCGGCCATCTATGAATCTTCCATGATTCAGTAACTTTATAATGACAGCAATAATAGTAATACATCCTTGTTGCAAGTGCCTACTGTGTGCCAGCAATGTACTTGGTGTTCTTCCTAGGCACCTTATGCAATTTTAGCAACTTTATTAGTTGAGAATTATCATGCAAATCTTACATGTGACAATTCTGAGATCAAGATATTTCAGTGACTGCTCAAGGTCAATAATTATTGAGGAAGAGGATTTGAAATCATGGTTTTCTTCTTCAAAAGTCCAAGTTTTTCTTACATTCCGCCTCTCTCTTTTTGTCCCCTGCCTTCACTCCTACGTGCACAAAAGTGTTTTTTTTTCCCTCCACCACTTTAGCTTCCTAGCTCAAAATATCAGTGCCACCAGGAACCAAGGTATCAGAATTAGAATAAATAAAATAACAAAAGGAGTTTGAAAATATCAGATTACATAGTGCTATGGTTTGAATGTTTGTGTCCCCTTCAACATTCGTATGTTGAAACCTAAGGCCCATTGTGACAGTATTAAGAGGTGGGGCCTTTGGGGAAGTGATTGAGTCATGAGGGCTTTGCCCCCATGAATGTGATCAGGTGCTATCATAAAGAGGCTTAAAGCCCTTTCTGCCCTTCTGCCTTCCACCATGTGAGGACACAGTGATTGTCTCCTCCAGAGGATATAGCAACAAGGCACCATGCTGAATAAAGAGAGTAGGCCCTCAACAGAAACCAAATCTACTGGTGCCTTGATCTTAGATTCCCAGCCTCTAGAACTGTGAGAACATTTATTTCTGTTATTTATAAATTACCCAGTCTCTGGTGTTTGTTACAGCAGCACAAACAGACTAGGTAAGACACACAGTAAAAATAGAGCTGAGGCCCCTGAAAGAAATAAATAAAGTAGAGCAGGATTGGAAAGTAAGAACTTACTAGAGAGGCTAAACTTTTATCTAGATGTTGAAGAAAGCAACAAAGTAAAAAAAAGTTCTACCCCTGAACTTCTGCTATGCAAAGCAACGAATTCTCTTCACTTCATCAAAATTACAAATTTTTGCTCATCTAAGGCCATCACTAAGAAAAAGAAAAGCAAACCACAGACTGGGAGGAAATATTTGCAGAGAACTCATATCCAGAACATACATTAAGAACTCCTGTACCTCAAATAGCAGAAAGATACATACTCCATGAAAACTGGGCAAAATATTTGAATAGGTATTTCTCATAAAGGAAGATGTACGAATCATTAATAAGCACCTGAAAAAGGTCTTACCATCATCAATCATTAGGGAAATACAAATTAAAAGTGCAATAAGATACAGCTATACACAATAGAATAGAAAAATTCTACTTTTTTGTGTAAATTCATTGCTATCCTTCTTCAGACTTATGTTTGATTCTATCTTAGATTTACACGAGGTTTTAATTATTTTAATTCCTTCAGAATTATTTAAATCAGTTTTATTTTCGGAACCCTTTTGATTAGCTTTCTTGGTTTCTTTCTTTTTCTCTTCAACTAGATTTTTAAAATCGATTTCTTTTTTAGTCTGGGGTTTTTATCTTCTTTATTTTCTTTTGTTTCAATGCTTTGCTATCTTCATTAGAGAGATTGGAATCAGAATCTGAAAGGTCATAAAAATGTTTCAAATCCTCTGTAGTGCTATGGTTATTGGGGCGCCCTCTTTTATCCACAGCATAGTTCAACTTGAACTTCTTGTCATGAAACATGGCTCGACATCTCCTGTGAATTTTGACTTTTCGATCTTCTTCTGGCATTTCCCAAAATCTCGGGTCCTTTGCAACCTGTCTAAACAGCTGGTCACTCATTATTTCTTGTTTGGACGACATTTTTAATTTTTAATCTTGCTGAACAAATGCGTGAAGAAACCAAATATGTCCGGAGTTAAACAGCAGACATTTATTGTCTCACAGTTCTGGAGGCTAGAAGTCTGAGATCAAGGTGTCAGCAAGGTCAGTTCCTTCTGAGGCTGTGAGGGAGTTTACGCCGGCTTCTGGGGGGTTGCTGGCAATCTTTGGTCCTCCTTGGCTTGTGAATACATCACCCTAATCTCTGCCTTCATGTTCTTGTCATTCTCCCTATGTGTTTATCTGTCTCTATGCCCAAATTTTCCCTTTTTATAAGGACAAAGTCATATTGGATTAGGCCCACTGTAGTGACCTCATCCTATCTAATTACATCTGCAATGGACCTATTTCCTAATAAGGTCACATTCTGAGCTATTGGACGTTAGAACATCAGCATGTTTTTGGAGGCTGACACAATTCAACCCATAAAAACACCAAATGTTAGTGAGTATATGACACAATCAGAACTTTTTTACATTGTTTGGTGGGAATATAAAATGGTACAGCCAGGCACGGTGGCTCATGCCTATAATCCCAGCACTTTGGGAGGCCAAGGCAGGTGGATCACCTGAGGTCAGGAGTTCAAGACCAGCCTGGCCAACATGGTGAAACCCTGTTTCTACTAAAAATCCAAAACTTAGCCAGGCAGTTGGCATGCACCTGTAGTCCCAGCTACTTGGGAGGCTGAGGTAGGAGAATCACTTGAACCCAGGAAGTGGAGATTGCAGCAAGCCAAGATTACATCACTGCACTCCAGCCTGGGTGACAGAGGGAGACTCCATCTTAGTATAATATAATATAATGTAATATAATATAATATAATATAATATAACCACTTTGGAAAATATTTTGACAATTCCCTACAAAATTGAATATTTACCTAGCTTACAACCCAGCAACTCCACTAGTAGCTATTTACCCAGTGGTTTGCTGGATAAATACAAGCTTGTATGAGCTGATTGTAATTTTTTTTGAACTTTATTTTTATTCAAGGGAAAAAATTTATATCTACACAAAACTTTGTAGAAGAGTGTCCATAGTGATTTCATTTATAATATCCCCCAAACAGAAACAACCCAACTAGCCGAATATCCAATTATTCAACAAGTAAATGAGTTCTCAAGTTGTATACCCATATAATGACATACTATTCAGCAGTAAAAAGGAACAACATTTACTATAAAATAAATTAGATAAACTTATTGTAAAATAAATTATATTAAAAACAAAGGAAATAAATACTCAAAACATCACTTTCTAAATATTTTATCACATTTTGCTACTATCTGTGCTCTCAAGGTTATATATGCCTATTTTATTTGTATGGTGGAAATGTTGTATAATAGTGTGCTAGTGTACATTTCTTCCCAACTCTGCATTGAGATAAATCAGGTTGATAACTAGAAATTGGTCATAGTGTGAGTATTTACACAAGAGGAATTGGCAAATTTTACACATTAGGTCTGGATATATTGTCCGGTTGATTGCCTAAACTTGAGAAAGTGAAGAATGTCAATAATGCACAATAAACTTAAAAGTGTGCTATATTTAAAATAGAAAACATAAAACATTTAGGAAAAATCAGAGACAAAAATCTTTGGGACCTAAGACAGGGTGAAGATTTCTTGCACCTGACACCAAAAGCACCATAAATAAAAGGAAAATTTGATAAATTGGTCCTCATCAAAATTAAAAGCTTCTGCTCTATAAAAGTCCCTGCTAGCCAGGCACGGTGGCTCATGCCACTTTGGGAGGCTGAGGCAGGTGGATCATGAGATCAGGAGTTTGAGACCAGCCTGGCCAAGATGGTGAAACCCCGTCTCTCCTAAAAATACAAAAATTGGCTGGCCACTGTGGCGGGCATCTGTAATCCCAGCTGCTTGGGAGGCTGAGGCAAGAGAATCGCTTGAACCCAGGAGATGGAGGTTGCAGTGAGCTGAGGTTGTGCCACTGCACTCTACTCTGGGTGACAGAGCAAGACTCCATCTAAAAATAAATAAATAAATAAATAAATAAATAAATATAAAAATAGTCCCTGCTAAGAGGACAAAAAGACAAATTACAGACTGGGGGGAAAAAATTTGCAAACCACATATTTGACAAAAATGTTTGTATCTAGAATAGTATCTAGAATTCTCCAAAGTCAACAGTAAAAAAACTAAACAATCCAATTTGAAAACAGGCAAAATATATGAATAGACATCTCACCAAAGAGAATACACAGATGGTAATTAAGCACATGAAAAGATGCTCAATATCATTAGTCATTTGGGAAATACAAATCAAAACCATAAGAAAGTGTCAGTACAAACCCATCAGCATGGCCAAAAAAGAATGATAATACCAAATGTTGGTAAGGATGAGGAGAAACTAGATAATTCACATATTTTCATGGGAATGTAAAATGGTACAGCCATTCTAGAAAATAGTTTGGCAGTTTCTTTTAAAGCAAACAAATATATATGTACTATTCTACCCAGCAATTACACTGTTAGTATCTATTAAGAGATATGAAAACTATGTTCACACAAAAACCTGTAAAGGAATGTTCATAGCAACTTTATTCATGATAGCCCCAAACTCAAAACAACCCAAATGTCTTTCAATGGGTGAATGGTTAAACCAACTGTGGTACATAAGGTATTGTGGAATACTATTCAGTAATGAACAGGTATGAACTATTAGATACATGCAACAACTTGGGTAGGCCCTAGGAGAATTATGTTGATTGAAAAAAGCCAGTTTCGAAAGGTTATATAACATCCTGGATGTAATGAAATTATAGAAAGGATCACAGATTCCTGGTTGCCAGGAGTTACTATTTGGGGGCCAAGAATGGGACAGGTATGACTATGAAGGAATAACATGGGCATATTTGTGGTGATGGAACAGTTTTGCATCTTGATGGTGGAAGTTTCATGAAGCTACACAGGATAAAATTACGCACACATGAGTGTATATAACTGGTGAAATCTGAATAAGCTCTGTGAATTGTAGCAATGTCAATTTCCTGGTTTTTATATTCTCCTATAGTCATGTAAGGTGTTAACAGTGGAGGTGGAGAAGTGAAGGGTGTATGGGACCTCCACATATAACTTTTTACTTTTGTGAACCTCTAATCATTTTGAAATAAAGTTTTATTTTTAAAAGTATGTATACTCTGTAGCTGTCACATTGTGAATAACAGAAAAAGTGATCAAATCGTAGATATATTGCAGCCATCATTGGCTTTGGATTTAAGAAATTGGCAAGAGTCAGTGAAAGCATTCTTTGAGAATTAATTGGCTAAATGAAAATTACAGTAAAGAATATAATGTATTTTAGTTGTTTAAAGTGGTATGCTACATACATCTTTTATATCAGTAAAATTCATAGTCAACTTCTATATATATAATCATGTATATATGTGATTCTTAAAAAAGGGAGGGAGGAGGATCAGAAACCTCTTCTTTATTGTGTAATGCAAGCTAATATCTGTAGGAGAAATAATAGAATTTTTTTTTTGATTTATAAAGAACAGAAGTTTATTTCTTACAATTCTGAAGCTGGGAAGTACCAGATCAAGATACCAGTAGGTTCAGTGTCTGGTGAAGGCCTCTTCCTTATAGATGACACCATCTGTGTCTCTTCACATGGCAGAAGGGATGGAGGGGCAAAAATAGGGGTACAAATAATATTTCTTCACATGGGAGAGGAGCAAAAGAGAGTAAACCCACTCCCTTAAGCCCTTTTATAAGGGCCCTAATCCCATCCATGAGACCTCTGCCCTCATGACTTAATCACCTCTTAAAGGCCCCTCCTCTTAACATTATCACATTGGCAATTAAGTTGCAACATACAAATTTTGTGAGACACATCTGGCTTAAAACAACAACCAATGTCTTATGGCTCAAATCTTGTCAGCCATTAATTCAGATATGTCTCAGCCAGGCGATTCTATTTTTGCATGGTATTGACAGAGGTTTAAGAATCACAATTCGACAACAGTGAAGGCAATACATGACTCAGGAAACAATCACAGATGGAGTCCAAAACCACTGGGTGAAATGTTTTTGGAAAACAGGTTATTCACATGGTTTCAAAGTACTTCTCAGATTATTGATTAATTACAAAGGAACAACCTTACCTTTATTGTGAAAATGCCTTGCAGACATGGCCTTAGCCAAGTGAACAAACTAAATATCAATATTGGGACACGTTGATCTTGTGTACTTCCTGATGTGAAGAATGAGAAGTACCCATCGCTGATGTACTGTTCTTGAGAAACGTGATTAACCTGAATTTAATCTTGAGGAAACAATTGATTAAATCTGGAGTATGGGTAGTTGTTAAAAATAGAATGTCAGTGGGGAAAATGTGAGTAATTAGTGTCTAAGGTGAAATGGGGTTCATATTATAACCAGGTGCATTAGCTATCTATTGTGGTGTAAAAAATTATCCTCAAACCTAGTACCTTAAAACAATAATAAACATTTATTTTTTTTACATAGTGATATGGTTTGGCTCTGTGACTCCACCCAAATCTCATGTCAAATTGTAATTCTTAGTGTTGAGGGAGGGACAGAGGGGAGGTGATTGGATCATGGGGGTGGATTTCCCTCTTGCTGTTCTCATGATAATGAGTGAGTTCTTATAAGATCTGGTTGTTTAAAAGTGTGTAGCACATCCCCCTTCACTCTCTCTCTCCTGCTCCACCATGGTAAGATGTGCTTGCTTCCCCTTCACCTTCCACCATGATTGTAAGTTTCCTGAGGCCTCCCAGCAATGCTTCCTGAACAGCCTGTGGAACTGCGAATCAATTAAACTTCTTTTTTTCATAATTACCCAGTCTCCAGTAGTTCTTTATAGCAGTGTGAGAATGGACTAATACACATAGTTCTGACCAGCAGGAATTCTGGAGCAGCTTAGTTAGCTGATGATTCTGGCTCAAAGTTTCCTGAGGTCTCCCAGCCATGCTTCCTGTACAGCCTGTGGAACTGCGAATCAATTAAACCTCTTTTTTTCGTAAATTACCCAGTCTCCAGTAGTTCTTTATAGCAGTGTGAGAATGGACTAATACACATAGTTCTGACCAGCAGGAATTCTGGAGCAGCTTAGTTAGCTAATGATTCTGGCTCAAAGTCTCTCATGAGATTGCAGCTACAGTCATTTGGAGCAGCAGTCAGCGCATAGCAAATAGGTTTTGTGGACACCATCATTCTTTGTCATATCATCTTCTTTTTGTTCACCTGCTTTTAAAAATGTAAAATCATTCTAGGCTTTAGGACTATACAAAAACAGGCCACCAGAGGGATTTGGCCTATGCACTATAGTTCATTGACCCCTGTTGCAAGCTTGATTAGAGGTACAAGATCTGCTTCCACAGCAGCTTGTTCACCTGGTTGTTGGCAGGAGGCCTCAGTTCCTCGCCATGTGGACTTCTCCACATGGTTGTTTAAGAGTCTTCAAGATGTGGCAGCTGCCTTCCCCTAGAACGTGGGCTCTAACTGCAAGACCAGGCAGGAAGACACAATTCATCTTATGGCCTAGTCTTGGAATTCATACACGGTCTCTTTGGCCATATTAGAAGCAAGCCATTAAGTAGCTGTCACTCAAAGGGAGGAGGACTGACCTTTCAAGTAAAAAATTGTCCAAAAAATTGTGTGCAAGATTTAAAACTACCACCCCAGCCTTGTCTTCTATGACTGTCACTATAATCCTAATATTGAAACAATAATTAGCAAACAGCACTGGGCATTAAGAAGAATTATCTTGTTTACTTCAAATACCTTCTGTATTTATTAACTGAAGCAAAAGATATTTAAACAGAAATATCTCTTTTAAAATGGCTATAATATTGACAAGCATCTTAAAACCAAATTAAAGTTGGCCTTGAAATTTGAACCAATGCTAGCATGAAAACTGGTAAGGTGAAAAGGAAAGGTGAGTTACAATGTCCCTCTCGAGGTTTTCATGCCTGTTATCACTGAAATAATAAACATACTATTGTTTTGTGGGTCAGTAGCTACAATGTATATGATACCATCTAGAAGATAGATTAGCACATAAAAGATACTCATTAAATCTGATATTATTTCAACAAAGAAGTGTAGCCTGTATTTAAGACATTACAACTTTGGAATGACCATTGGAAACTAGCAGGGTGAGATGTTACCCTCACCCCTAAATTAAAAACAGAAGCGACCACAAAGCAACACATAGAAGGAATAGTGTCATTTTTGTCCTTGTCATAGCAGGCCTGTTACATTGAGAAGTACGCCTGCATTTATAAATGGACTAAGAGATGAGTATACTGACTTTGTGTCCAGGATGTGTGGTCTTCCTACTTAAAGATTATGGTGCTTCAAGGACTCCAGAACAGGTAAGCCAATACTAACTCTATTAATATGGGGCTTCACATCAGCAGTAGTGGGTGAACTTAAAATAAAGCAGTTAGAATTCAATTGCCTTTAGAGAACACACATTTTTTTTTGTTAGCACTTAGCATAAACACAAAATTACATTTCTTTTACATCAGGTATTTTAACTATAATACTGAAATAATGTGGCAAACTAAACTACTGTGTCAAAAAATGGTTTTGAAGCTGTTGATTTTTATGCAATTGAACAATGATCATCATCACAGAAAGGTCACCTTGACATTAGGGCTTCTATTGACCATTTTCACCATGTTAACTTGAGGCATTACATAGACAGCTCAGGTGTTTAAAAATGACCAGCTTATGTAGCTGAATGTAGTGGCTCGTGGCTACAATTCTAACTACTCAAGAGGCTGAGGTGGGAGAACTGCTTGAGGCCAAGAGTTTTAGATCAGCTTGGGCAACATAGGGAGGCACTGTCTCTAAAACAAACAAACAAACAAACAAACCAAATTTAATGACCAGATCCAAAGAGTGGTAAAGCTAGTAATTTATCATGTGTATATCAAGAACATCAAGAGGCATAGGAATAAAGCCCACATTAGCATTGGATGTTTAAGGTTTCCAGAGGATGTCAAAAATTACTTTTAAAAATCTTTTTAAAAGAACCCCAAAATCTTTTATAGGATTCTTATGTAACTAAAGGCACTAGTTTCAATATTTCTCAGGTTTTTTTAAGATTCTTTGGAGGAGAGGGAGAAAGGAGCCATCCCTTTGATATAAGTTGTTATGACCCTTAAAAGATTTCTCAAAGGCAAAGATTGTTGGAGTGACATGATAAAACTAAACCCATAATAAGTCAGAACAAAGGTACTATTTCCTCCTAATATTATGAGCAACCTTGTTGCTTTTGGTAACTTTAGATTCTTGGAAAAGACTAATCAAATGGTAGCACGGCCACAGCTCAGCTATCAAACATGATGGTGCTAGAATAAATTAATAATTTATTGACTGAGTCCTTTGGGGATGGAGGAGCATTGCAAATAAAAGAACTGGAATATAACACCAGGAGATGTTTTTGACTCATATGATTTTCCCTCCTACTTGGTTTTTTCTCCACTAGCTGCAAAGCTGTTAAAAAACCACAAAATCCAATTTTTTATACATCTTTCAGAAAATGAAACTGAGAATGATTGTAATCTTAGGAGATGGCTGAATGTTTTCAGAAGGATTTCCTTTTGCCCATCATTGGTGTGCCAGCTTTGGGTTTTCTGCTGCCACCTGAAGATCAAAGGGGGTGATTGGAGAGTTCTTGCTTTCCTAATGTTTCTAGCAGTGGAAGCATTTGACAATTTGGGTTTTTTTTTTTTTTTTAACTTCTTTTCCTTTTGAATTGCTTCTGTATAATGTCACATGATTTTGAATACAAATCTACAAATCTCCACTTGTAGGAACAGTTTCAATAGTAAGGCTTTGATAAGGTCCAAGGGGAAAAAAGGGGGGCCATGATTGGGGGTGTGTTATGCTGAATGAAGGCCCTAAACATTGCTCATGTATTCATAAGCACATTCATAATAAAGTGCCATGATGTTGTAAACAATAGTCGGTGACAACACTGTGCATATGAGGCTGGAAGAATAGTCAGACTAAAAGGGAGAGAGTTTTGATTTATACAAAAATACTCTGGTGGTTATCACCAGTAAAGGCAAATGAAATACAGCAAAAAAAGTGTATTTTGTTTTAATGGACTTCTGTAAAATATTTTTTTCCTTTTTTGTTTTGCTTTTTTTATTTTTTATTTTATTATTATTATACTTTAAGTTTTAGGGTTTAAAAGCTCATTCGAGTTTGTGTTAGTGCTCCTTGAAAACTTCAAGAAATTTGATAGATGGAGATCTTAATAAAGTTAAATTTTAGCCAGTTTTGAAATGACAATACCATATATTTTACAAAATTATTGCTTGTCTTTCTGTAGAATGCAACTTCAGATAGTGCCCAAGATTCAAGAAAAAAATGGGAAAATGTGCCTCACAGAGGACTGGAACACTGTAAATCATCTAATCTTAGAATTCTTAAAATTGGAAATCAGAAACTTATGAAGGATTTGTAGCTCGGGAAATAGCTTAAAAATATGTATTTACAGCTGTATTACTCATGAAAGATGTGTGGAGCAAACAACTTGATATCATTGCAGCTTTGTCATTTGAGCATTGTAATAACAAGTTCAACCAAACTAAAGAATAACACAATGAATTTTTAAAAATAGCCATGCCACAGTCCAAGAAGTGTTATTTTAAACATCACAACCAATGCTCTGTTTTCAGTGGTGTGTTTCATTCATCTATCTATTCATTCATATGCTCAGTCAGTCATCACATAGTACATTGAGCCTCTCCTACATGAGAGGGTCTATGCTGATCAGAGACAATAAAATAGTGGGGAGGTTGGGCATGGTTCTTGTCTGCATGAAGTTTATATTCTGGTGAGAGAGCAAACAATCAGCATACCATTTAGAAAATCAAACAGAAAAAAAATGTGTCATAGTAATTCATCTGGGGGAACTGAGCAAATGCTTTGAGAAAGAGACTAAAAGAGGAAAGCCTATTTTTGGCAGCATGATCAGAGATGGCCTCTCTGAGGGACATATAAGGTGAAACTGGAAGTGGAGGAGGAGTGGGGAATCATGCCAAAGGGAGAAAAGGATACATAGGAATGAGGAGCGAGCAAGTTGAAACATCTCTTCAAATATATTTGGTTGAGAAAGGGTGCAGCAACCATGGCAGTTGCTGGAGAGGAAGATGCGGGCAACAAAGGTTTGACCCCACCTTCCTCTCCAGCAGGAAGTTTCTTTGCTTTTAGGAAGGAGATACTAGAACATATAAATATGCTGATGAGAATTATGCTATAGAACAAGATGGATTGATGATGCAAGAAAATGAGGATATAATTGCGGGCTGGGGAAGCCCTTCAGGCAGTAAGAATAGTTACAGACATACAAAGCTTGAGGGGAGAAGAACATCCTCCCGGAAAGATGCAGGTGTGAGTTGTGCAGCTTTAGTGGAAAGAAGGGGAGTGGGTTTGTGTCTGACAGTTTCTTTATGCTCTGAAATATGAGAGGAGGTCATCTGCTGTCAATGAGAGTGGAGGGGCTTTAGGCAACAAATGAGGAGAGAAGTGTATAACCACTGGGAGCCTCCCGAAGAATGAGATGATATTATCATAACCATTCTTTAATGCACTAGTTCAAGATTGAATGCTTAATAAGCCGCTAACTGCTTAAAAGATATCTTCCTATAGGTCTTGGTTGCTCAGTTGTCAGTGAATTCAACATAGGAATTATGTCAGGTTTCTTGATTGTAGATGAAGCTCTAAGTCTCTCTCTTGTACCGGGGAGTTACACTGGAATTTAGGAACTAAAGAGACATAGGTCATTTGTAATAAAATGTGTTACTAAGAAATTAGAATAACTGCTGGTAGCATCACCACTCTTCACACCCACTCCAACCAAGAGGGGCTGCCATTACCTTCCTAAAGGCCCTTAGAGAGAGCCATGCTGAGGGGCACCAGAAAAGAGAAAGTAATCTTAGGAATTCCCCCAACCCTTTTCTTAGGGGAAGGGTTAGGGCAGAAATAGGGCCATGGAAAATGGACTTGACTGTTCTGAAAAGATGTCTGAGCTTCCCCCAGACTTAGGAGATGAAGGAAGCCAGGTATTTCCCTGGGACTCAGGCCTCCACATGAGAAATGCCGCAGGATGCTGGCTCTGTGGTCAGAGGAGAGGATAGGCACAAGGGAACCTTAGGGGTTTCCTGAAGTGGGTGGTAGGGACAGGAGAATGACCAAGTGGCCTGAAGCCAATGTGACAGTACCAAAGAAGGTGGTGCCATAGACCCAGGCCTTGGTGTTCAGACACCATGTAATTCTGAGATTTCCATACGGTCCCATAGAGGAAAGAAAAGTGCCTCCAAATTGACATTGAATACATTTCCATCCTGCCCTACATGAAGGGTTGGGGGAGCATGGGACATTGGAAGAGTTTAAATTTTAAGAAATAATTGTGAATGTTCTGCTTCTGATTAGTATATAGAAAGCTGCAGGATACAGTCATCACCCTTGAACAGTGAGAAAAATCTGGACAGTGCACAAAATTGTAACTTTTCCTGAGCCTATGAGGGAGCTAAGTAGCTAAGGCACCCAGGTGTGCTGAATTCCAAAGAGTGACAACTCCTCCAAAGAGAGATGGGGTGACTTTTGCAGAGCAGGGGAGGAAGAGGAAGAAGTAAATAGCTGAAATGTTAGTCAGTTTTTAAAGGCAGAGTATAGGCTACCCTGGGAGTTAAGAATCTGGGGAAGCCACGACACTAGGCAAGTCTGTGCTCCCTCACAAAGTCTGTGCCATGGGCCCCCACTGAGTTATCCCAAGACTGGAGGGTGCCCTCTTGGAAGCAGTTTTAGTTATCTTTTCCAGTGTAACAAGTCCT
Source organism: Homo sapiens (assembly GCF_000001405.40). Lineage (NCBI taxonomy): Eukaryota > Metazoa > Chordata > Mammalia > Primates > Hominidae > Homo > Homo sapiens. The sequence goes on along the minus strand of NC_000008.11, from coordinate 72,418,762 downwards.
AAAACTTAGCATCTTGAAACACCAAATGCTTAGTATCTGTTTCTGTGAGTCAGGAATCGGGGCATGGCTTCTCCAATTTCTCTGATTCAGCCTCTCACAGGCTGCAGTCAAGCCATCAGTTGGAGCTCCCGGAATGTCAAGGCTCAACCCAGGCAGGATCTTGTTTCAAGCTCACCCACGTGGTTTTTGGTAGGATTCACTTTCTCCTGGGTTGCTGGACTGAAAGTCTCAGTTCCTCACTGAGAGAGAGAGAGAGAGAGAGAGAGAGACAGAGAGAGAGAGAGAGAGAGAGAGAGAGAGAGAGAGAGAGAGACCGTATCACTGTCTTTTATAACCTAATTTCCCAAGTGATGACCTGTCACATTTGCCATATTCTCTTCCTTAGAATGAAGTCACTCACACCCAAGATGAGGGGGTTACACAGAATAAAACACACACATACACACACCCATAGGCACATGAATTTGAGTCAAACTGCTGAAAACCAAAAATACAGAAAATACTTTGTAGGCAGCCAGAGGAAAAAAGAAACACAGAGAAACCAAGATAAGAATTAAAGCAGACTTATCCCCATAAACTATACAAGTAAGCAGTTTATACCCAGTGACAATATCCTTCAAAGATAAGGCAAAATACTTTTTCAGACAAACAAAAGCTGAGAAAATACATTGTTGGGAGGAAGGAGGAGGGAGAGCATCAGTATAAATAGCTAACGCATGTGGGGCTTAATACCAAGGTGATGGGTTGATAGGTGCAGCAAACCACCATGGCACACGTTTACCTATGTAACAAACCTATGCGTCCTGCACATTTATCCCAGAACTTAAAATAAAATATAATTAAATTTTTTAAAAAAGAAAATACATTGTCAGCAGGTATGCACCATAGAAAATGTTAAATGAAGTTTTTCAGGCAGACACAGTATGATACCAGATGGAAATTTTAGTCAATATACAGAAAAATGAAGAGTTCCATAAATGGTAAAAATGGTGTCACACAGAAAAGATATTTTTTTCTTAACATTAAACTTTTGAAGAGAGAGTTTAGTATTTAAAGTAAAATAGTCATAAATGTATTGTGAGCTTAAAACACAGGTAGACATTTCCATACTCACTCACCATTCACCATTTAAATGTTGTTTCAGCATTCAAAAATCAATATAACTCACCAATTTGACAGCTTATAAAAGTAAAACTACATGTTTCACTTAATAGATACAGAAAAATAATTTGATAAGGTTTAACACCCATTCATCATAAAAATTCTCACTAAACCAGAAATAGAAGGAAAATTCTAGAATATGATAAGGATCATCCATGAAAAACCAACAGCTAACATTAGACTTATGATGGAAGTCTAAATGCTTTTCTTCTAAGATAAGGAACAAGGCAAGACTATCCACCCTCACCACCTCTATTCAACATTGTATTGGAGGTCCTATTCAGTGAAGTAAAGCAACAAAAAAACAAAAGAGATGAAGATTGGAAGTAAAAAATGTTGTCTTCATTTGCACATTTAATCCATATATAAACAGAAATAATCCAAAATACCTACGAAAATATAAACATCTATTGTTTTTCCATATAATAGCAACAAACAATCAGAAATTTAAAATGTATGCCATTTATAATAGCATTAAACCAGGAAATATTTGGGGAGAAAGCTAACAAAATATGTGTGATACATAAATTATTTGTAAAAATAAAACATTGCTCATGAAATACACCATACTCACATGTTAGAAAACTTAAAATTGTAAATATGTCAATTCTTCTCCAGTTGATCTACAGATTGATGTACGTTAGTATAATCCTAATTAAAATACCAGCAAGTCCTTTTCTAGAAATTGACAAGCTCTTCTTATTGACATGGAAAATCAAAAGCCTTAAACTAGTCAAAATTTTTGGAAAAGATAAAGTTTGGGAACCCACATTACCTGATTTCAAAACTTACCATAAAGCTATCGTAATTAAGACAATGGAAAAACATATTGATCCATAAAACTAAATAGAATTTTGAGATAAACTTACACATACATGGACAGTTGACTTTCAATAAAGGTGCCAAGGTAATTCAATGAGGGAAAGAGTAGTCTTATTGAGAAAATGATGTTTGAATGATTTGACATCCATATGAAAAATAACTCATGCCTCATGCCACATGCAAAATATTGCTCAAAATTGATCGCAATCTTGAATGTAAACCATGACGCCATAAAAAATCTGGAAGAAAACATAGAAGAAGATCTTCCCAGGTGAGAACACTGGCTTTTTGAGATTGAGGATCTTGCAGAAGTATATGCACGTAGTAAGTGGAGGAGCTATGATTCAATCCAACAGTTTGACTCCATAGTCCTACTTCACTTCTAAACTCCTTCCCCAAACTTCCCAGCTTTTTAGCTATTGCTAGGTAAGGAGTCTTCTGGTGCCAGAAACATGAAGTTCTCTTGTGGATGGTCTCTCTCCTTCATTCCATTACTGCCGTTTCGGTTCATCCCTTCTTTAAACTACTATACCTCTCTCTTAACCTGCTTCCAGTGCACTGTAGAAAAATGACTGGATTACTTTTCTAAATAAGCAATATTAATCACATCACTTAACTGTCTAAAATTCTCTGTTAGCTTGTTATTATAAAATATAAATACAAATCCACACCTATAGCGTTCAGGGACTTTCACTTGTAGCCATTCCCCACACACTTCTCTCTTTTTACTATCCACTCTCATGCCTGCCATGCTAGGCTTCCAACCTACCTCTTGGGAAGACAGACCCTTTGTTCAGACTTTCTTCTGCTTGAAATATATCTTCAATTTTGCCTCTTTGTGTCTGTTAGGGGTGCTTTCAGCTACAGGTAACAGAAAACCCGACCACAGTGTTGAACACAAGGTTGGGCTTAGGATTCTAGGAATTAGAAAGCCTAGATTATTTTCAATTATGTAATAATAATAGCTAATAGTAAGTAACACTTATTAGGTGCCAAACACTCTCTTAAGTACTTTAAATCCTAAAACAAGCTCATGACAGAGGTACTTTTATCATCCCCATTTTACAAATGAGAAGCCTGGGACACAGAGAAGTTAGGTGAGTTGCCCATGGTCATACATTTAACAAGCAGTGGAGCTAGTCCAGCTCCAGAGTTGATGTTCTTAACCATTGTGGTGTAATCTGCAGAAAGCTATTTAACTTCTCTGAGCTTTAGGTTTTACTCACAGCATATATCCAGCTATGGGGAACTGGATGAAATCCTTCAGGATCATCAAGAAATCATTCCCTGCAGAAATATGTGTAATCATAAAACCACAAACCTCTATAGTCTTGTAACCCAACTTGCAAACCCATGCAATCAATCACCTAAATGATTAACCAATAAATATTTGGTGAGTACCTAACAGGCAATAAAAAATAAGAACATGAGGATGAGCACAACAGAACTACTTGAAGAAGTGAATAATAAGGAAATTATTTTACAATTGTATAACTGAAAATGATAATAATAGTTTGAAAGAAATATTTGTGATGCATTGAGACAATAATGGGAGTTACAAATTTAGATGGGTTTATGAGATCAATCATGAGGAAATATATGTAATGGCATACGACTGAAAGCAAATCTTGAACAATTAATTGATAATTAGCTCAAATGACATTGCTACTTGCAAATCAAAAGAAGTTAAATTCAGAGCCATGACTGATTTAACTTAAGAGGTTACTTGCATTGAGGCTTTGGAATAGCATAAATCTTCTCTTTTGAGATAGCTGGGCTTCCTTCCCAAGTGACACTTACCACTATCTAGGCATAGCTTGTGGTTTACATTTCTTTGCCTTGCACAGTCTTGAAAGTTATGTGACTGTGACTATAAACATGAAAGATTTGGGGAACTCCAATTTACTGTTGTTCTACTCTAATAAGCTTTTTCCTAACACTGACTGCTTTTAGTGCTGCTCTTGCTCTCTGAACTAAATGGAACTAGAACTAATAAATGACTCAAAGCCTCTCTGAGACAGATAGAAGTTCAAAGGAGATACCTTGTAACATAAATGTGGGTAGCAGAGCCCCTATCAAGAAGATTTGCGGGATGGCATGATTGGTGAATTTAACATATGAGGAAGAGGCCCTTGGCCTTGCAGATCCAGATAATTTTTTTTTTTTGAGACGAGGTCTCACTCTGTTGCCCAGGCTGGAGTGCAATGGCGCCATCTCGGCTCACTGCAACCTCTGCCTCCTGGGTTCAAGTGATCCTCCTGCCTCAGACTCCCAAGTAGCTGGGACTACAGGCATGTGCCACCATGCCTGCCTAATTTTTTTTTCGTATTTTTAGTAGAGGCAGGGTTTCACTGTGTTAGCCAGGATGGTCTCCATCTTCTGACCTCGTAATCCACCTGCCTCAGCCTCCAAAAGTGCTGGGATTACAGGCGTGAGCCACCACGCCCGGCCCAGATCCAGGTAATCTTACTGGAGTCCTAGAACTTATCAGACTTGAGAATCCTGATTTAAATTTACAAACTAAACACACATGAGTTTGAAGTGTGCAATAAGAAATATAGCTTATTAATAGACAATGAGAAATTTACGAGTCTAAATATAGTAGTAAGTCAGACCAGGGTATTTGCTCCCAGTGAGGTAAGATACCTAGGAATCCAAATTTTCGGCATGGTAATGGGGAGTGTGAAGATGGGACAAAAGGAGTGATCTGGATTATCCTAATAATTCCAACTGATTCTATTCCCTAACTATGTTTTGGATCTATCTATTCTCCATCTTCCCTGCCCACACTCTACTTCTGGATACATCACTTGTTTTCCGGACTCTATACAGCAATGGCCCACTCACAATCATATTAGTGGAGTGAGTTCACTGAAACATCAATCAGATCATACAAATTCTCTGCCTGAATCCTTTTATTGGCATCCCATTCTTCATAAGACAAAGCCCTGGCTCCTTTTTATGGCTTTCAAGCCCCCAAGCCAACTGGCACCTGCCAACCCCTCCAACCATCTCTACTGATCATCCCCCATTCATGCTCACTCATTGAACCTCTTTAATTTCCCATAATGTGCATGTCCCATCTCACTTTTAACATGGTATTCCTGGACTTTTCTTGACCACAGTGTCCTCATCCCTCTATTGTACTGGATAACTTTTATTGATCCTTTGGAAATAAGCTTATCCTCACTTACTCTAGAAGTCTTCCTTTCCTTGGTTCACTCTTTGTCTAGTTGAGTTGCTCTTGCTGTCCTCCATAGCAATCTTTTATTTCCTAGCTACTTAAATGTCTTTCCCACTGGACTACATGGTTAATGAGGGCTGAGGTCACATCATTCTCAGAAGAATCTGCAAAGGCAGAAGCTATGTCGATCTCATTCACCATCGTATTCCTGGTACCTAGTAGAATGCAAGAGGTTCAGTAGATGCTAAATAACATCTGGTTAAATAAATGCATATATTCCAATATACATTAGTATCAAATTATTATAAACTGACTGTACATTTTAATACTTGCCAGAGAACTTAGTAGTCTACTTCTTATTGCTGTACCTCAAACCAGTGCCAAAGTATGGCTCTTAGGTTCCCCCCCCACAAGATAAAATCTCCTATGTAATACTTTAGATATATTATTGGCACCAGTGAGTTTAGAGAGAGATTCTTATTCTCATTTCTGGAATAAGAAAAACATTGTCTCCAAATAACATTTTGAATGTTATTTCCTGCTATCTATTACGGTTTCATTCTGTACTTTAAATATTAGGGGGTCTTTGCTGTTACCCCTGCCAACAGACAAAGCCACTGAACTCATCACTAGAATAATGGTAACAGAGCTGATTCTTATTATTCTGAGGTAATGAAGAGCACATTAATTGGACAGAATAAGAATGAGCTAGTAAGGGAAAGAATGCAATTTACAGGGATAGAAATTGTTCCTCAATCGAGATCTTCATTAGTTGTTCCCAATGCTTGGTCCCAAATGGCTTTCTCCCTGATTTTCAATAAGAAAAGTAAAAAGTAGGCTAAGTTGACGAGTAAAAAAATTTTATTTAATTTAACTGAGATACCTTAAGTTCCTCAGGACAAGTCATGATAATTTCCCATGACACCTAGACATCGTCCTCCATCTTGCTTGAAAATAACTATTTTAATTCCCCTCCAAGGCTGTTCTCAGGTTTCAGAGAGAGGCACTTGTTTATATTTGAAACTTTGAAAATTATTAAATGCTTAATGCTTATGAAGACATTTCTGGAAATATCATACTTTGAAATATTAAACACACAGTGTTTTTGTATTAGTCAGACTTTGCTGAAGCAATAAACAGCTAAAAGCCCCAGGGACTTGTAACAACAGATTCGTTTCCCTATCCCATTATAGGTGGTCTGCAGGTTGACCTGCTGTCTTCTCTTTCTGAGCTCCAGGCATAAGGAATAGCCCCTATCTGGGATGTACTGTTCTCATGGAAGAGAGGAAAAGTGCAAGAGACTAAATCCAATCATGTAATTGCCTTTAAAGCTTCTATGGGGCTAAAGCACACAGCACATCTATTCACATTCCACTGGCCAAAGCAAGTCACACGGCTAAGCCCAGGACCCACTGCACAGGAAAGTATAACCTTCTTACAGTTATTAAGAAAGTGAATTATTAAGAACAAAAACATCATTACCATGGTTGCTTATCCAGACACCGCTTCTACTAAAATTTTCACTCAGGAATATTTTTTGGCATATCAAATGTATCACATAGTTTTAATGCCATTATATAGATCATTGTAGATTTCCAATACTTGCTCCATATCATATTTTTCATGAAAATTATCTTTAATGGCTACATAATGTTTCATTAAATTGAAGGACCACGATTTCTCTATAATGTGGCTATTTAAATTTCTCCCAGTTTTTTGCCCTTATAGTGATCCCTAACGGTTTTATGAAAATCTTTCTCTATAATTTTTTTTCTGGACATAAAATCCTCTCTTTTGATTAGAAAGAAGAATAATAACTGGGTCAAAGAGTGAATATTTTTAGAGTTCTTAAAAATAATTTGACAAATTGCTTTTCAAAAGCATGGTAACAATTTTTACTCCTATTTGCAGTATATAAGAAGGTCCATTTGTGCTAAATTCTTACCAGCAGTGGTATTATTAATGATATGAAATATTTGTAAAACCATTCCTTGCCCAGGTATATGTGACTCCTCCTTTGATTTTCTTTGCACCTCTTTTTCCTATTTGAGCCTTTCTCTCTTCACTGGGCTGAAACCTCACAGGTCAGGGACTCTGGGTGTCCAGTAACTAAATTATCATCATCTTGCATGTGCCTGTTTAATAAAGGCCAGTTGAATCAATCAACTGTTGAATAAGTAATAAAGGAGTTAAAATGGAATCTCAGTTTTTTTTTAAATATTTCTTTGTTTACTACAAGGTGAAGCATTTTATTTTTATTTTATTTTATTTTATTTTTTAAGTTCCAGGGTACATGTGCAGGATGTGCAGGTTTGTTACATAGGTAAACGTGTGTCATGGTGGTTTGCTGCACCTATCAACCCATCACCTAGGTAGTAAGCCCAGTATGCATTAGCTCTTTTCCCTGATGCTCTCCCTCCACCTGCCCTCCCCTAACAGGCCCCAGCGTGTGTTGTTCCCCTCCCTGTGTCCATGTGTTCTCATTGTTCAGCTCCCACTTATAAGTGAGAACATACAGTGTTTGGTTTTGTCTTCCTGCATTAGTTTGCTGAGGATAATGTCTTCCAGCTTCATCCATATCCCTTCAAAGGACAAGATCCCATTTCTTTTTATGGCTGCATAGTATTCAATGGTGTATATGTACCACATTTTCTTTATCCAATCTATCATTGATGGGCATTTGAGTTGCTTCCATGTCTTTGCTATTGTGAATAGTGCTGAAGTGAATATATGCTTGCATGTATCTTTATAATAGAATGATTTATATTCCTTTGGGATATAACCAGTAATGAGATTCTGGGTCAAATGGTATTTCTGGTTCTAAATCCTTGAGGAATCACCACACTGTCTTCCACAATGGTTGAACTAGTTTACCACCAACAATGTAAAAGCATTCCTATGTCTCTGTAACCTCACCAGCATCTGTTGTTTCTTGACTTTTTAATAATCTCCTTCCTGACTGGCATGAGATGGTTTCTCATTGTGGTTTTGATTTGCATTTCTGTAATGATTAGTGATGTTGAGCTTTTTGTCACATGTTTGCTGGTCGCATGTATATCTTTTTTTGAGAAGTGTCTGTTCATATATTTTCCCACTTTTTTAACGGTTTTTTTTTCTTGTAAATTTATTTAAGTTCCCTGTAGACTCTGGACATTTGACTTTGGTCAGATTAATATATTTCAATTTTTTTCTCCCATTCTGTAGGTTGTCTGATAACTCTAATGATAGTTTCTTTTACTGTGCAGCAGCTCTTTAGTTTAATTATATCCCATTTGTCAACTTTTGCTTTTGATGAAATTGCTTTTGCCAATTTCATAATAAAATCTTTGCCCACGCCCATGACCTGAATGGTATTGCCTAGATTTTCTTCTAGGGTTTTTATAATTTTGGGTTTTACATTTAAGTCTTTAACCCATCTTGAGTTAATTTTTTATAAGGTGTAAGGAAGGAGTCCAGTTTCAATTTTCTTCATATGGCTAGCCAGTTCTCCCAGCACCATTTGTTAAATAGGGAATCCTCTCCCCATTGCTTGTTTTTGCCAGGTTTGTCAAAGATCAGGTGATTGTAGATGTGCAGTTTTACTTCTGAGTTCTCTAATTTTTTCATTGATCTATGTGCCTGTTTTTGTACCAGTACCATGCTGTTTTTGTTACTGTAGCCTTGTAGTATAGTTTGAAGTCAGGTAGTGTGATGCCTCCAGCTTTGTTCTTTTTGCTTAGGATTGTCCTGGGTATATGAGCTCATTTTGGTTCCACATGAATTTTAAAGTAGTTTTTTCTAATTCAGTGAGTAATGTCAATGGTAATTTAATGGGAATAGCATTTAGTCTATAAATTGCTTTGGGCACTATGGCCATTTTCATAATATTGCTTCTTTCTATTTATAAGCATGGAATGTTTTTCCATCTGCTTGTGTCCTCTCTGATTTCCTTGAGTAGTGGTTTGTAGTTCTCCTTGAAGAGGTCCTTAACTTCCCTGGTTAGCTGTATTCCTAGGTATTTTATTCTCTTTGTAGCAATTGTGAATGGGAGTTAATTCATGATTTGGCTCTCTGCTTGTCTGTTGTTGGTGTATAGGAATGCTTGCGATTTCTGCACTTTGATTTTGTATCCTGAGACTTTGCTGAAATTGCTTATCAGCTTAAGGAGCTTTTGGGCTGAGTTGATGGGGTTTTCTAGATATAGGATCGTGTCATCTGCAAACAAAGACAATTTGACTTCTTCTCTTCCTATTTGAATGCCTTTATTTCTTTCTCTTGCCTGATTTTCCTGGCCAGAACTTCCAATACTATGTTGAGTAAGAGTGGTGAGAGAGGGCATTTTTGTCTTAGGCCAGTTTTCAAGGATGATGCTTCCAGCTTTTGCCCATTCATTGTGATATTGGGTGTGAGTTTGTCATAAATGGTTCTTATTATTTTGAGGTATGTTCCTTCAATACTTAGTTTATTGAGAGTTTTTAACATGGAGGGATGTTGAATTTTATCAAAGGCATTTTCTGTGTCTACTGAGATAATTAAGTGGTTTTTGTCTTTAGTTCTCTTTATGTGATGAAGTACATTTATTGATTTGTGTATGTTGAATCAGCCTTGCATCCTGGGGATGAAGCTGACTTGATCATGGTGGATAAGCTTTTTGATGTGCTGCTGGATTTGGTTTGCTAGTATTTTATTGAGGATTTTTGCATCGATGTTCATCAGGGATATTGGCCTCAAGTTTTCTTTTTTGTTATATCTCTGCCAGGTTTTGGTATCAGGATGATGCTGGCTTCATAAAATGTGTTAGGAGGAGTTCCTCCTTTTCAATTGTTTGGAATAGTTTCAGAAGAAATGGTACCAGCTCCTCTTTCTACCTCTGGTAGCATTCAGCTGTAAATCCATCTGGACCTGGTCTTTCTTGTTTTTTTTTTTTTTTTTTTGGTTGGTAGGCCATTTATTACTGCCTCAATTTCAGAACTTGTTATTGGTCTATTCAGGGGTTCAACTTCTTATTGGTTCAGTCTTGGAAGGGTGTATGTGTCCTGGAATTTATCCATTCCTTCTAGATTTTCCAGCTTTATTCGCATAGAGATTTATGCTATTCTCTGATGATTGTTTGTATTTCTGTGGAGTCAGTGTTGGTATCCCTCTTATAATTTCTGATTGTGTTTATATGAATATTCTTACTTTTTTTCTTTGTTAGTCTAGCTAGCAGCCTACCTATTTCTTTGATTTTTTTCACAAAACCAGCTCCTATATTCGTTGACTTTTTTGAAGGGATTTTTTGTGTCTCTCTCTCCTTCAGTTCTGCTCTGATCTTAGTTATTTCTTGTCTTCTGCTCTCTCTGGGGTTTGTTTGCTCTTGATTCTGTAGTACTTGTAGTTGTGATGTTAGGGTTTCGATTTCAGATCTTTCTAGCTTTTTGATGTGGTTGTTTAGTGCTATAAATTTCCCTCTTAACACTGCATTAGCTGTGTCTCAGAGATTCTGTTATGTTGTCTCTTTGTTCTCATTGGTTTCAAATAACTTCTTTATTTCTGCCTTAGTTTCATTATTTACCCAGAAGTAATTCAGGAGCAGATTGTTCAGTTTCTATGCAGTTGTGTGTTTTTGTGTGGGTTTCTTAATCTTGAATTTTAATTTCATTACAATGTGGTCTGAGAGGCTGTTTATGATTTCAGTTCTTTTGCATTTGCTGAGGAGTGTTTTACTTCCAATTATGTGATCAATTTTAGAGTAGGTGCCATGTGATGCCAAGAAAAATGTGTATTCTGTTGATTTTGGGTGGAGACTTCTGCAGATGTCTATCAGGTCCACTTGGTCCAGAACTGAGTTCAAGTCCTAAATATATTTGTTAACTTTCTGTCTTGATTATCTGTCTAATACTGATAATGGGGTATTAAAGTCCCCCACTATTATTGTGTGGGGGGTCTAGGTCACTTTGTAGGTCTTTAAGAACTTGTTTTACGATTCTGGGTGCTGCTGTATTGGGTGCATATATATTTAGGACAGTTAGCTCTTCTTGTTCAATTGAACTCTCTACCATTATGTAATGCCCTTCTTTGTCTTTTTTGACCTTTGTTGGTTTAATGTCTATTTTGTCAGAAACTAGGATTGCAACTCCTGCTTTTTTCTGCTTTTCATTTTCTTGTTAAATTTTCCTCCATCCTTTTATTTTGAGCCTATGTGTGTCTTTGCACGTGAGATATGTCTCTCGAATGCAGCACACCAATGGGTTTTGACTTTTTATCTTGTGATTCTGTGTCTTTTTATTGGGGCTTTTAGCCCATTTACATTTAAGATTAGTATTGTTATGTGTGAATTTGATCCTGTCAACATGATGCTGGCTAGTTAATTTTGCAGACCTGTTAATGTAGTTGCTTCATAGTGTCATTGGTCTGTCTACTTCAGTGTGTTTTTGTAGTGGCTGGTAACAGTTTTTCCTTCCCATGTTTAGGGCTTCCTTCAGGAGTCCTTGCAAGGCAGGCCTGGTAGTGACAAAATCCCTCAGCATTTGCTTGTCTGAAAAGGATTTTATTTCTCCTTTGCTTATGAATCTTAGTTTGGCCAGATATGAAATTCTGGGTTGGAAATTCTTTTCTTTAAGAATGTTGAATATTGGCCCCTGATCTCTTCTGGCTTGTAGAGTTTCTGCTGAGAGGTCTGATGTTAGTCTGATGAGCTTCCCTTTGGAGAGTGACATGGCCTTTCTCTCTGACTGCCCTTAACATTTTTTCCTTCATTTCAACATTGGAGAATCTGATGATTATATATCTTGGGGTAGATCTTCTCATGGAGTATCATACTGTGGTTCTTTGGATTTCCTGAATTTGAATGTTGGCCTGTCTTGCTAGGTTGGGGAAGTTCTCCTGGATGATATCCTGAAGTGTGTTTTCCAACTTGGTTCCATTCTCCCCATCTTTTTCAGGTACTCCAATTAGTCATAGGTTCAGTCTTTTTACATAGTCCCATAGTTCTCAGAGGTTTTGTTTGTTCTTTTTCATTCTTTTTTCTCTAATCTTGTCTGCCTGCCTAATTTCAGCAAGATCGTCTTCAAGCTCTGATATTCTCTCTTTCACTTGGTCGATTCAGCTTTCAGTACTTGTGTTTGCCTCATGAAGTTCTTGTGTTGTATTTTTCAGCTCCATCAGGTCATTTGTGTTTCTCTCTAAACTGGTCATTCTAGTTAACAGCTCCTGTAATCTTTCATCATGGTTCTTAGCTTCTTAGCATTGGGTTAGAACATAATCCTTTAGTTCAGTGAAGTTCTTTATTACCCACTTTCTGAAGCCTACTTCTGTCAGTTCATTCATCTCAGCTTCAGCCCCATTCTCTACCCTTGCTGGAGAAGTGTTGCAATCATTTGGAGGAGAAGAGGCATTCTGGATTTTGGAATTTTCATTGTTTTTGTGTTGACTTTTCATCATCTTCATGGATTTATCTAACTTTGATCTTTGAGGCTGTTGATCTTTGGATAGGTTTTTGTGGGGACTTTTGTTTCTTGATGATGTTGTTGTCATTGCTTTCTGTTTGTCTGATTTTCTTCTAACAGTCAGGCCCCTCTTCTGCAGGTCTGCTGCAGGTTGCTGGGGGTCCACTCCAGACCCTACTTGCCTGGGTATCACCCGTGGAGGCTGCAGAACAGCAAAAATGGCTGCCTGCTCCTTTCTCCAGAAGCTTCTTCCCAGAGGCACATTGACCTGATGCCAGCCAGAACTCTCCTGTATGAGGTGTCTGGGGAACCCTGTTGGGAGGTATCACCCAGTCAGGAGGCATGGGATCAGGGACCTACTTAAGGAAGCAGTCTGATTGTCCCTTAGCCAAGCTGGTACGCTGAGCTGGGGGAATCCCCCTTGTCTGGATCAGTTGGACTCTTTAGAGCCAGCAGGCAGGAAAGATTAAGTCGGCTAAACCTGAGACCGCGGCCACCCCTCCCCCCAGGTGCTCTGTTTCAGGGTGATGAGAGTTTTGTCTGTAAGCCCCTGACTGGAGTTGCTTGAATTACTGCAGGGAGGCCCTGCCTAGTGAGGAGGAATGGATCCAGGTCCCACTTAAAGAAGCAGCCTGGCCATAATCTGCCACAGCCACTGTGCTGTACTGTGAGGAGTACTGCCCAATTCAAACCTCCCAGTCTCCCTAATACTGGCCGGGAAAACTGCTGATTAGAGCCACAGTAATGGTGGTCACTGCCCCCCCTCCCTCAGTCATCCTAGGCAGATTCCAGGCTGCTGTGCTGGTCAGCAGGGATTCCAAGGCAGTGGGTCTTAGCTTGCAGGGTTCCATGGGAGTGGCACCCACTGAGTGAGGCCATTTGGCTTCCTGGCTTCAGCTCCTTTTCCACAGGAGTGGATGGTTCTCCTGCCTCACAGGAGTTCCAGGTGCCGATGGAGCATGTACAAACTCCTGAAGCTCAGTGCCTGTCTGGACAGCTGTTGACCGGAGCAGCTGCCATGGGTCTGCCCAGTTTTGTGCTTGAGACCCAAGGCCCTGGTGGTGTAGGCTCCCAAGGGAATCTCCTGATCCACGGATTGCAAAAATCTGTGGGAAAAGCACAGTACCCTGGGTGGGTAGGACAGTTTCTTGCTGCCTCTCTTGGCTGGGGGAAGGAGGTCCCTTTGCCTTGTGCAGCTTCTGGGTGAACCATCACCCCACCCTGCTTTTCCTTGCTCTCTGTGGGTCACACCAACCACCTCGTCAGTCCCAGTGAGATAAACAGGGTACCTCAGTTGGAAATGCAGAAATCATTCGTCTTTTGCATTCCTCTCGTGGGGAGCTGCAGACCGGAGCTGTCTCTTCTCGGCCATCTTGGCTCCTCCCCCAGTCAGCTATTTATTGACTGATTTGTTAAAATCAGTGAATACATATTTATTTCGTTCTTAGTAAAGATGCTAGGTGCAGGGGATGAGAGGTGCAAGGAATACAGCTGAGAACAAAAAAGACATAGAAGCATTTTCTATATTTTTATCAACTGGTCATGTTTTCTCTTTGGTTAGTTAAGAGTGTTCTTGTCTTTGGCCTACTGTCTTATCAGGCCTTAGTGTTTTCTTTTTAAAGTAAGTTAACTACCCTTCTATAAAAAATGGTAATCCTTTCCAATATAGCAAACAATTTTCTCCAATACATTGTTTGACTTTTAATTACTATTGTATTTATTAATCAGGGACATTTAAAGTTTTTACGTACCACAAATATATATATTTACAACCTTTTATTCTGTAATTTCTCCAATTGCTTCCACATTTAGACATTTTTTGCCTAAATGTTTGATGAATAATTGCATCTGTTTTTCTATATTTAACTTTGTATTTATCTCTTCCATATATCTAGAATTTGCTCTATTGTAGGGAGTGAGATGAGATTATAAACTAATTCTTTCTTCTAAATGATTGATGAATTTGTTCCTTTTAGGACCCACAGACTCCCTTAGCTGCCTTCTGGTGAACAAAATTGAATAAACCTTGTGTATCTTATACCTTAAACTACTTAAATTCTTAAAATTTCTTATATGGTTAAGGGGTACGTCACCAAAGATGGATTTACCTTTAATTTTTAATGATTAGTCTGTCCTCCTGAGCCAAGTTCACAGTCTGACTAGCTTTTCTTGCTAAGCACAAAAGAAACTGGATGGATCAGCACAAATTTATCATTTCAAACAGAAAAACAGTGCTTAGAAAGTGCCCTGACCTCAGCGAGTCAGGAAAGCCAACTACATGTCTGAAGGAAATATTTAGCTCAGAATTACGTAATCCAAGTCCATGGTGATTTGCATTGCAAGGGTCATGGCCAGATAGCACATAGAATTGTGGCTGGAATTTAATATGAGGTAAGTGGCTGTTGTCGATTAAGCATTATACCCAAGAGCCACTCTAGTCATTGTGACCTTCACCCTTCCAGGATGACTTCACCTACAGAGGAAAGACAGGAGGGCCTGGGAGCAACTGGCTGCTCCAGAAACACGCAATGGGCCCCTCATGTTCAATAGACCAATATATAAGCTGTGGAAGAAAAAAGACATTGCTTTTTGAGAAGCTTCTATAAAATCTGCTGTACAATATTGTACTTATAGTTAACTATATTGTGCACTTAAAGTTTGTTAGGAGGGTAGATCTCTTGTTAAGTGTCCCTGACACAAAGGACATTTAACAAAACAAAACAGAAAATAACAAAACCAAAGGGGAAAGAAGAAACTTTTGGAGGTGATGGATACATTTATTGCTTTGATTGTGGTATTTTCCCAGGGGTATACATACATATGTCAAAACTCATTGAACTGTATACTTTAAATGTGCATATTTTTGGTGTATCCATTATACCTCAATAAAGCTGTAAAAAAAAAAAAAGAAAGAAAGAAACAACTCTGTCTGTCCTGGTCAAGCTGTTGGATGCTTTTTTGAAATTAGGGATATGGACTCTGATGAGAGAAGTGAGCCATTAGACGCCAAGGTAAATACCATCCTGACAAGTCTCCAGGTGCCTAGGAGAGTGCAGGGCCAATTCAGATGACTGAAGGAGTGACTGGGGGATCATGGGCGTGGTAAGCTTAGGAGAGGCTTTGAACCATATGGTGTGAAAACCCTGCTCTGAGCTGTAGGTGAATGTGGAAGATTTTGTTTAACTAGTAAAGCCATTTGAAATGTGCAAATGTGGCAGTGTCAGACTATCCAGTAAGACTGTCATGTTTGTTAAAAATCAGTCAATAAATATTTATTTAGTGCTTAGTAAAGATGCTAGGTGCAGGGAATGCTTGGTGCAAGGGATGCAGCTGAGAATAAAAAAGACATAGTTGTTCCCTCTTGTGGTATTTATAGCCTAAGGGAGAAACAGACATTAAACAAGTAAGTGTAAATAAGGAACTGAACAACCAAAATAAGCAAAGTAATCTTTATACCATAGAAGCCTCTGATGCATGTACTATTTTCTGGATTCTTTCAGAATACACAGTTAATGCTGGCCAAAGCTGCTGCAAGTTCTATGCACTTTTGTTTGACCTCTTGAAAACAAAATGAATTCCAGCTGTATTTCTTCTTTTTCACTTTGAGAAAATGATTAAATCTTCAATTTTATTAATTAAACACAAATGACTCTAACCAAGTTTCATTAATTTTCCATCTGTGATAGGCAGACTAATGGCCTCTCAAAGATGCCCCTGTCCTGATCCCCAGAAACTGTGATTATGCTAGCTTACATGCCAAAGGGGAATTGAAGTTGCAGATGGAATTACAGTTGCTAATTAGCTGGCTTTAAAATAGGGAGGTTAATCTGGATTACCCAGATGGGTCCGATGCAATCACAGGGGTCTTTAAAATGTGAAAGAGGATAGCAGGAGAATTAGTGTAAGAGTGATGAGATGTGAGAAGGACACAACCAGACATTGCTGGCTTTGAAGATGGAGGAAGGGGCCAGGAGCCAAAGAATGTGAGCTCTGCTAGAAGTGGGAAAAGACCAGGAAACAGGCTCTCTTATGGAGCCTCCAGGAAGAATGCAGCCCCACCAACACCTTGATTTTAGCCCCATCAGAGGTCAGATTTCTAACCTACAGAACTCTAAGATAGTAAATGTGTTATTTTAAGCCACTGAATTTGTGGTCATTTGTTATAGCAAGTACAGAAACTAATACCCTACTCTATCAGTTCAATATATCCAGCATTCCCTCCTTCCTTTCCTAATTCTGAATAATATAACTTATTTTCTCATTTTCAAGTTGATCTCTTTATCTGCAGACTTATTTTCATTGAACATCTTCTCTTTTTTTTAAAAAAAATTTCTCTAATCTCTCTCCCCTCTTCAGTCTATACAAGGAAGTCTATTTCTTTCTCTTTTAAGTTACCAAAGGACTCCTAGTTGTTTAACATAAAAGCTCGTACTAAATCTTCATTAATTTCACTTTTCTACTTTTTACTGAATTTTCTGAAACTTTTTTCACTAGCTTCTAAATCATGAAAGAGAAAGACAGAGAGAGAGAGAAGGAAAGAGAGAGAGAGAGAATGCCATACAAAGTGAACAGAAAGACTGAACATTTTCTGAGTGGAGGAGATGTTAGTCATTTCTGTTTTGTTATTAAGTTCAGAAGTGAAACAATGGAAAGGTCAAAAGGTCATGGGTTTTACATGATAGCTGATAGCATGAGACATGTCTTTGGCTGAACTTAGCCCTAAGGATGCTGATTAATGATCCAAGTCAATCTGGGGTGAAATCTCCCACTGTGATAGGTCTGTGCAGTGCCTTCCTCCCCCAACACATATGCACTTCATCATCTGCTCATTTTTATTATCAGAAGCTTTCTTGGGTGAGCTGTACAACTTACTGTAATGAAATTGAGAGATGCTAACTGGCCCAATGGGGCTGCTGAATCCCCAGCAAGATGAGGTAATTTGGGTGATAGCATTTTATACTCTCACCATCATCATCTTCTCTGTAAGGCAGTTCAACTCCAGGCCCTATCCAAGAGCACAGAGTTGTTAGAACACCATAGAAGTCTTATTACCAAGTAGGGTCATGTCTAAAAAGGCCCCACACTCTAGATTTGGAATAGAGTTAGTGGAGGGTACCAAGAAATTTCTTTTCCTATATCTGGACATGGAATACATCCATTACCTAATATGTACTTTGATCTTTTCCTTTAGAAATTATTATATCTCAGTAAGACCAGACATTATTTTTTGGTCATCTAAAGCTAGATTACTCCTGCAAAATAAATAAAAACTCTTTTGTGCTTTAACATTATGTGAAACTGATGAACACTCACTTCCAAAACCAATATGTGCCCCATCCACTCTTTCTTCATCAGGCCCTTCTGTCTACTCCCTCCAACTGCTGTCAGGCTATTTGTCTCACAAACTTATAAGCAGCTCTGGGTATGTTCTGACAGGTGAAGAGAGCCATGGTGCTAGGCACACGGCTGAACAGCTGGCTGTTCAGCTCCAGAAGGCAGAGAGGGGATCAATGAATGGATGGATATTCTGGTGGGGCAAGTTGCAGCTCAGTGTATAAAGGAAGTTCTCTTAGCAAAATTGCACAGCCATGGAGAGTGTTCCCTGGTGAGTCTCCATGCTCCTCCTCCCAGAAAGCTTTCTAAGGAGGTTGATGCAGGGGGAGGCCAGCATGGTGAGAAAGGTTGGATTACATCATCTCCAAAGGCTTCTCAACTCTACATGGTTAAGAATCTATATTTCTGTCATATCCAACTTTTCTGTGGTGTCAATAAACTTGGGTTACTTGAAACTGTAGACCCTCAATATTATGCAGCCCTAGAAGGTCAGAAAGTATAACCCTCTAAACTTATATCTAATATGAATTAGTAAAAATCATTGATGAGGCATCTCAGATATATCTCACCTTGCTGGATAAAGATTTTGCTGATGAGTGAAAGGTATCTCCTAAATATCAACGAAGAGGAGATCATTTGATTAATATAAAGTGAGCGTAAGCAAATTAAACCTAATTATTTCAAAAGGGTGCATGCTTTTTCTGTTTACAAAAATAGTAATATGGTTTGGCTGTGTCCCCACCAAATCTCATCTTGAATTGTAGCTCCCACAATTCTCATGTCTTGTGGGAAGGACCCAGTGGGAGGTGATTCAATCATGGAGGCAGGTCTTTCCTGTGTTGTCCTCATGATAGTGAATAAGTTTCACAAGATCTAATGGTTTTACAAAGAGGAGTTCCCCTGCACAAACTCTCTCTTCCCTGCCACCATGTAAGATGTGACTTGCTCCTTGCCTTCTGCCATGATTGTGAGGCCTCCCCAGCCATGTGGAACTGTGAGTGAATTAAACCTCTTTCCTTACCACTATAATTTCCTTTGTAATTATAGTCTCAAGTATGTCTTTATCAGTAGTGTGAAAATGGACTAATACAGTAAATTGGTACCAGTAGAGTGGGGTGCTGCTACAAAGATACCTGAAAATGTGGAAGTGACTTTGGAACTGGGTAACAGATAGAGGTTGGAACAGTTTGGAAGGCTCAGAAGAAGACAGGAAAATGTGGGAAAGTTTGGAACTCCCTAGAGACATGTTGAATGGCTTGGACCAAAATTCTGATAATGATATGGACAATGAAATCCAGGCCCAAGTGGTCTCAGATGGAGATGAATAACTTGTTGGGAACTGGAGCAAAGGTGCCTATTGTTATGTTTTAGCAAAGAGACTGATGGCATTTTGCCCCTGCCCTAGAGGTTTGTGGAACTTTGAACTTGAGAGAGATGATTTAGGGTATATGGTGGAAAAAATTTCTAAGCAGCAAAGCATTCAAGAGGTGACCTGGGTGCTATTAAAGGCATTCAGTTTTAAAAGGGGAACAGAGCATAAAAATTTGGAAAATTTGCAGCCTGACAATGCAATAGAAAAGAAAATCCAATTTTCTCAGGAGAAATTCAAGCTGGCTGCAGAAATTTGCATAAGTAACAAGGAGCCAAATGTTAATCACCAAGACAATGAGGAAAATATCTCCAAGGCATATCAGAGGCCTTTGCAGCAACCCCTCCCATCACAGGTCCGAAAGCCTAGGAGAAAAAAATGGTTTTGTGGACCAGGATCAGGGTCCCTTTGCTGTGTGCAGTCTAGGGACTTGGTGCCCTGCATCCTAACTGCTTCAGCCATGACCAAAAAGGGGCCAACATACAGCTCAGGCCATGGTTTCAGAGGGTGGAAGCCCCAAGCCTTGGCAGCTTCCACATGTTGTTGACCCTGTGGGTACACAGAAGTCAAGAATTGAGGTTTGGGAACCTCTGCCTAGATTTCAAAGGATGTATGGAAATGCCTGGATGTCCAGGCAGAAGTTTGCTGCAGGGGCAGGGCCCTCATGGAGAACCTCTGCTAGGGCAGTGCAGAAGGGAAATGTGGGGTGGGTGCCCCCCACACAGAATCCCCACTGAGGTACTGCCTAGTGGAGTTGTAAGTAAAGGGCCAGCATCCTCCACAGCCCCAAATGGTAGATCCATCAACAGCTTGCACTGTGTGCCTGGAAAAGCCACAGACACTCAATGCCAGCCTGTGAAAACAACTGGGAGGGAGGCTATACTCTGCAAAGCCACAGGGGTGGAGCAGCCTAAGGCCGTGGGAGCCCACCTCTTGCATCAGCATGACCTGGATGTGAGACATAGAGTCAAAAGATATCATTTTGGACCTTTAAGATTTGACTGCCCCATTGGATTTTGGACTTGAATGGGGCCGGTAGCCCCTTTGTTTTGGCCAATTTCTCACATTTGGAATGGATTTACCCAATGCCTCTACTACCATAGTATTTAGGAAGTAAATAACTTGCTTTTGATTTTACAGTCTCATAGGCGGAAGGGATGTGCCTTGTCTCAGATGAGACTTTGGACTGTGGACTTTGAGTTAATGTTGAAATGAGTTGAGACTTTGGGAGACTGTTGGGAAGGCATGATTGGATTTAAAATGTGAAGTTATGAGATTTGGGAGGGGCAAGGTCCTGAGTGATATGGTTTGGCTGTGTCCCCAACCAAATCTCATCCTGAATTGTAGCTCCCGCAATTCCCACATCTTGTGAGCGACTCGGTGGGAGATAACTGATTCATGGGGACAGGTCTTTCCTGTGTGCTCATGATAGTGAGCGCATCTCACAAGATCTGATGGTTTTATAAAGAGGAGTTCCCCTGCACAAGCTTTCTCTTCTCTGCCACCATGTAAGATGTGACTTGTTTCTCCTTTCCTTCTGCCATGATTATGAGGCCTCCCCAGCCATGTTGAACTGTGAGTGAATTAAACTTCTTTCCTTCATAATTACCCAGTCTTGGGTATGTCCTTAGCAGCAGCATGAAAATGGACTGATACAAATAGTGTATGTTCTCTGTCAAAGAAAACCATGCTTTACAAAAATATATAAAATTAGAAAGTAAATATTTCATGTTCTCTTAGAGATAACCTGTTAACAGGTTGGTGTAGTTTTATCCAACTTTTTTCTATACGCATACTAGAATATCAAGCTAACTAATTTTAAAATATTCTCAAGACAGGAGAGTATTATATTGCATAGTATCTTTAAAAAGAGGAAACCTCAGCAGTAAGACTTTTTTCTGTGGCTCTACCCCTTTCCAGAGCAGAAGCTAGGCTTACTCTAAAGACCATTTCCAGTTCTGTATTCAGGAGTAGTTGAAAGAAGGGCAAATCAGAAAGGTGGCATGATCAATGGAAATATTTCTGAAGTCTCTGAATATTAATTGGGCACCTATTAGCATATAAGGGTCTCTAAAGACATGGAGGTACAAGTCAGAAAAGTTTCCTTGGAAATAGAATGATGAATAAGACATTGTCCCTGATGTCAAGGAGCTAATAGCCTAATGAGGAGAGATACATTTTTTGCAGTTATATGTTTTTTTTTCTCATATAATTCTACACCACAAACATGCTGGTACAGATATTGCACAGATAATTCAGAATGCAGGATAAGCTCTTTCCCTTAGTATTCAAACTCACACAGCATGAAATGTTGCAAGAAGCAATCAGTAGTTCCCACACCAAGAGCTGATCTAGGAATCTCTAGCGGTCTATTTGAAAAGCCTGTATGTTGGCTGTTCTGCTAAAATACTGCTAGCAAAGGGGAAATAATAGGCTATTGCTTAGCTTGTAGCTTGAAATGTATGTCCATATCTTGAGAACGTGCTTCAACATAGGTTTCTCTTCTTGTGTGATCCTCCATTCCATCAAAGGCAGATTACAGTGCCTCCTAAGCTGAGCTGATTAGGGTGCCAGGCAGAGGGGCATGTGTTCACTGCTTCTGGTGATGTGTGAAGCAAGACCAGGAGGAGCTTTGCTCCCCTGCATTTAGGAAACCGACACATAATGAAAGGTCCTTGGATGGCTATGAATCTGAAGGCTCCATATGTAATGCCTGGCATTGTCAAGATGATAGATGGGGTTGTTATAGTTTCCTGAGGAAAGGAAGCCAGTCAAAACAGCCATGTCCACTGATTTCCAACACATCAGTTTTCCTTCCCAAACATAGGATTTGTTTTTTTTTTTTGAGAAGGAGTCTTGTTCTGTTGCCCAGGCTGGAGTGCAGTGGCACAATATTGGCTCACTGCAAGCTCCGCCTCTCAGGTTCATGCCAGTCTCCTGCCTCAGACTCCTGAGTAGCTGGGATTACAGGTGCCTGCCACCATGCCCAGCTAATTTTCTGTATTTTTAGTAGAGACGGGATTTCACCATATTAGCTAGGATGGTCTCGATCTCCTGATCTCCCCACCTTGGCCTCCCAAAATGCTGGGATTACAGGCGTGAGCCACCACCCCCAGCCAGGACTTGTTTTTATAATCAAATTTATGATGATCCCAGGGACTTAGCTGACAGCAGAGTAAAAAGGAAATAGAATCTAATGGGCAACACTGACTAGGCTGTGGCTCTATTTTTAGACATGAACATCACAAATTGATGTCTTATCTGGAACTCATCTACATGCTGAAGTGATACATTATAAAACAGTTGCAGAATCCAGGCTTGCTGGGACTAGTCAGTGAAATCAATTACCTGAGCACATTATTTCAGATGCTTATTCCTTCACAGAGGATGTACTTTTTGCATAAGAATGTGACAATACTCACAATTTTTGGAGGTATAGCCTCAGCCAAGGTAAAAATTATCTTCTCTCTTATAAAAGGGGGCTCTATGTATCTAGGGGTCTTACTACTTACAGACAAATGCATTCTACACTTGGAGCTTCTAGCTGGCTTCATATTTGCCTGACCCTTAACTGTCCCTTCTCCTTGAAAATTTTAAAATGTTGCCAGTGATACTGTGTCTGTGGCCGTGAAAACCACATAAAGAATTTCTGCAGGTAACACTTCAGCTTCCATATCAGAGGTCACAAAAGTTGTGGCAATATCTAGACCACAGAAGTGTTTGTCCAATACACTTGTTTTTGGTTTTTTCATTTGCTTTTTCCATTTTGAAAATTATTTTTTCATTTGCTCTTTTATTTTTGACAATATCTTTTTTACAGTTTTGTTGAAATATGATTGATACAAAAACTATACATATTTAATGTATACAAGCTGATTAATCTGCACACATGCATATACCTACCATACTATCACTGTGTCTGGAGTTGGTTCCTTCCAGTGGGTTCATGGTCTCGCTGACTTCAAGAATGAAGCTGCAGACCTCTGTGGTGAGTGTTACAGCTCTTAAAGATGGCACAGACCCAAAGAGTGAGCAGCAGCAAGGTTTACTGTGAAGAGCAAAAGAGCAAAGCTTCCACAGCCTGGAAGGGGACCCGAGCAGGTTGCTGCTGCTGTCTGGGGTGGCCAGCTTTCATTCCCTTATTTGTCCTTTCCCATGTTTCATTTTTGTCCTATCAGAGTGCCCTTTTTTCAATCCTCCCTGCTATTGGCTACTTTTAGAATCCTGCTGATTGGTGCATTTTACAGAGTGTTGATTGGTGCATTTTTAGAGCACTGATTGGTGCATTTTACAAACCTCTTGCTAGCTACAGAGCGCTGATAGGTGCGTTTTTACAGAGTGCTGATTGGTGCATTTTACAAACCTCCTGCTAGTTACAGAGAGCTGATTAGTGCGTTTTTACAGAGTGCTGATTTGTGCATTTTACAAACCTCTTGCTAGCTACAGAGCGCTGATTGGTGCATTTTTACATAGCGCTGATTGGTGCATTTTACAATCCTCTTGTAAGACAGAAAAGTTCTCTAAGTCCCCATTCAACCCAGGAAGTCCAGCTTGCTTCACCTCTCAATCCCCCCTCTAAACAGGACACACCAATTGCTGTTGAGAATTGGGTGATGACTGCTCTAGCTACTTCCTGCTGGATAGGGGCAAAGAAGGGGCCCTGCAGTTGTAGTGTCCTCCAGAGGGGAACTCTCTAGGCCAGTCAAAGGGCCAGTGGGTTGGGCCAGGGGTCCTCAGTAGAAGTTGTGAGTTGAGCTCATTTGGGGTTCCATTTGTAAGACCATCTGTAGTTTGATGGCCTCGATCCTGGAGGAAATAAATTTGACAAGGAGGTGAAAAAATACAGGGCCTGAAGGTGAGTAATAGCAAGATGGCTGTCACAGGACCTAGAAAAAGGAGAAGCCATGTCGCCCAACTCCAGAGGTTGGTATAAGAATTTGAAAGACATTGTCTGATTTCAGAAGCCTTTTTCCTATAAATCCCAGGCAGCATCTTGTACTATCCCTGACTGGTTAGTGTAAAAGCAACATTCTTCCCCTAAGAAGGTGCAAGGTCCTCCTTTCTCAGCAGTGAGGATGTCTAGGCCTCAGCAGTTTTGGAGAGTCACTGCTGCCAAAGAGTCTATTTGGGATTATAGAGTAAGGATAGATATTGTTATTTCTTGCAAACTGTCTGAGAAATCCTTTGAGAGTGTGTGGTAGTAGGATAATGAAGTAGATAAACCTGCTATTCCAGTTCCTGTAGCAGTGGCCATTCCTAACCCTATAAGTATTAGTTGTATGGCCCTGTGCTGATGGACTTGAGCTTTGAGGGGCACTGATAGGGTCTGATTTCCTGGGGCAATGTCAATGTTGGGACTTAGGAAGACTAAGGTGTAGGTGCCTGTGCAGTTAGTGAGGAGGCTTATATAGGTTGAAGTTCCACATAAGAAAAATATGCCTTGGCTGGGTAGACAGAACTGGTTGTGTATGTTTAAAAGGTGAGTGAGTTTATTATTTTCATTTTCCCATAAGCTTTGGGGAAGCCCAAATCTAGGAATCATTTCATAAATTAGGACTTTAACCACTTTCTGAGGTTTCTCTGTCTTGCAGGGGAAGGCTTCTATCCAATTTGTAAAAGTATCAGCACAGACCAACAAGTATTGAAATCCCCTTAACTTAGGCATATGGGTGAAGTCTAACAGCTAGTCATCTCCAGGATAGTGCCCTATTCTTTGTTCCCCCAGAGGAGCCTTATGATGGACCAAGGGATTATTTCTTTGGCACACCTCACATGCTTTGACCACTTGCTGGATGGTCCAGAGGAGATTTGGTCCTGCAAATAGGGATTTGGCCATCTGATGAGTGTTCTCAATACCCATATGGAAAGTTTGGTGAAGGGTCTTAAGTATTTTCCACTGGCTGGCTTCCGGCATGAGTACCTTTCCCTCTTCTGTTGTTAACCACCCAGAGGGGAGGAAACTATGTCCCCATGAAAGTCCCCATTCTGTTTTGGCCAGGGAATACTGGGGCTTAATCTCTTGGAAAGGGTTGTTCCATACCAAGGGTCCTTCCATACGTATTTCTAATAGGAGGTTCCACCTGGCAGCAATTTTGGCCTCAGCGTCTGCCCAACGGTTTCCTTCTGCCTTTTCTCCTTCACCTTTTTGATGGCTTTAGCACTGTAAAACTGCCACCTCCTTGGGTTTTTGCACTGCATGCAATAACTCCATGATTTCCTTGTGGTATTTAATGGGGGTTACCCCAGAGGTTAGAAACTCCCTTCCTTTCCATATTGCAGCATGGGCATGTAGGATTAGATAAGCATACTTGCTATCTGTATACACATTTATTCTTTTTTCCCTTCCCAGTTCTAAGGCTCAGGTAAGCACCACTATTTCTGCTAACTGGGCGCTGGTCCCTGCAGGAAGAGGCTTACTTTTAAGTACTGTTACATCACTAACTATGGCATAACCTGCCCCTCATATCCCATTCTTCCCAAATGAACTTCCATTGTCATGTAGGTTAAGGTCAGGATTAGCTAAGGGGAATTCTAAGAGATTCTCTCAGGTGGCATAAGTCTGGCCACAATTTGTTGGCAGTCATGCTCGATTGGTTTCCCCATCTTCTGGGAGAAAAATGGCAGGATTGAGGGCTGCACACATGAGTATTTTAAGCACCAGTCTCTTAAGGACTAGTGCCTAATATCTAAGCAGGCTGTTATCTGATAGCCATAAACTTCCTTTGGCACCTAGTATGCCATTTACATCATAAGTAGTCCAGATGG
Organism: Homo sapiens; assembly: GCF_000001405.40. Classification (NCBI taxonomy): domain Eukaryota; kingdom Metazoa; phylum Chordata; class Mammalia; order Primates; family Hominidae; genus Homo; species Homo sapiens. The sequence continues at coordinate 72,392,721 of NC_000008.11, read as the reverse complement.
TGAGATCCTTTCCTTGTATTATTTTGATAGCCTCTGACACTAAGATGGCCACCGCTGCAAATACCCATAAACAGTGAGGTCAGCGTTTTGCTACTACATCAATTTCCTTACTTAGGTATGCCACTGGTTGTGGGGTTGTCCTATGAGTCTGAGTAAGGACTCCAAAAGCTATTCCCGCTCTCTCTGTGATGTATAAAGATAAGTTTTGTCCTGTGGGATGGTTTAAGGCTGGAGCTTGTACTAAGGCCTGCTTTAAGGTTTTGAAGGCTGTTTCTGCCTCTGGTTCCCATTCTACTAGATGAGTATTTGCCCTCTGGGTCTCCTTGATTAGAGTATAGGGTAGCCTGGCCATCTCGCTGTACCCGGGGATACATAGTTGGCAAAAGCCGGTGATTCCAAGGAACCCCCACAACTGTTGTAATGTCTTAGGGTGAGGATAAGCCAGTATAGGCTGTATTCGTTCCTTGCTGAGGGCCCTGGTTCCTCTGGCTAAGATTAGGCCTAGATATTTGACTTGCTGTAGGCAGAGCTGGGCCTTCAATTTAGACACCTTGTACCCTTGATTAGCTAGAGAGTTCAAGAGATCTAGAGTAGCCTGCCAGCATGAGGCTTCCGAACTGGTAGCCAAAAGTAAATCATTCACATGCTGAAGGAGCAGAGTGCCTGGACTTGAGAAATGGCCTAGATCTTGGGCCAGTGCCTGACCAAATAGATGATGGCTATCCCTAAACCCTTGAGGCAAGAACGTCCACCTAAGTTGGGATGTGTTGTCTGTGGGATCCTCAAAGGCAAAGAAAAACTGGGAGTCAGAGTTCAGGGGAATGCAGAATAAGGCATCCTTCAGGTCCAGAATAGTGAACCATTCTTCTTCCTCGGGTATTTGAGAGAGCAGGGTATAGTGGTTAGGTACAACTGGATATAGAGGAATTACTGCCTCATTGATGAGTCTAAGATCTTGCACTAATCTCCACTCACCATTCAGTTTTTGTCGTCCTAGAATTGGGGTGTTGCAGGGACTGCTGAATTTTCTCACTAAGTCTTGAGCTTTTAAATGTCTAACAATATCCTGTAATCCTTTACGAGCTTCAGGCCTAAAGGAATATTGCCTTTGATAAGGAAAAGAGGTGGGGTCTTTTAGGCTGATTTGAACTGGGTGGGCATTTTTTGCCCTTCTGAATTGTCCTTCCAATGCCCAGACTTCAGGGTTGATTCCCTCCTCATGTAGGGGACAACAAATGGTAACTTGTTCCCCATATTCATATAGATAATAGCTCCAGCTTTGGCTAATATGTCACTCCCCAATAAGGGTGTGGGACTTTCAGGCATAACAGGAAAGGCATGTGAAAAGAGCAAAGTCTCCCAATTACAACTGAGGAGGTGAAAGAAATACCTGGTTACAGGCTGTCCCAGGATTCCTCAGATGGTAATGGATCTTGAGGACAGCCATCTGGGGCAGGAGATTAACACTGAGAAGGCTGTGCCAGTGTCCAGGAGGAAGTCAATTCCCTGGCCCTCAATGGGTAAACTCAGCCGGGGCTCAGTGAGGGTGATGACATGACCTGGCGCTTGCCCTGGACACCCTCAGTCATGTTGTTGGATCATCTGGTTGGGGGCTTCTGGCCCAGAGAACCTTTGTCCTCTGGAGCAGTGCACCTTCCAGTGATTGCCTTGGGATAGTGGACATGGGTGAGGGGGTGGCTTGTTTCTCATTGGACAATCTTATTTAAGATTGCAAACCACACTGATAAAAAGCCCTACCAGGTGATTGGCCTACTCCATTTTCTGTCCTCTCTGAACCACCGAGGTTTGTTTGTCTGAGGGCCATGACTAAGGCTGTGGCCTTTCTCTGATCTCACTTTTCTTTTTCAGCCTGTTCCTCTTGGTCCGTATTATAGAACACCGAGGTTGCCAGGTTTAATAATGCTTCCAGGTTTTGTTCAGGGCCCAGGGCTCACTTTTGGAGCTTTCTCCTGATATCTGCGGTTGATTGGGTAATAAACTTATCTTTGAGGATCAATTGACCCTCGATGGAGTTGGGTGACAGGGGAGTATATTTTCTTAAGGCCTCCCATAGTTGCTCGAGGAAGGCGGAAGGATTTTCTTCCTTTCCCTGAGTTATGGTGGACATCACTGAATAATTCATGGGCTTTTTCCTAATTCTCCTTGGTCCTTGTAGAACACAGGTCAACAGATGTTTGTGACTCCATTCCCCATGATCTGAACCTAGGTCCCAGTGGGGATCCGTACCAGGGACGGTTTGCTGACTGGTAGGGAATTTGTCCCTTTCTTTGGCTGTCATTCTATCATTTACTTGACTAAGATATCAGGTATCTCCAAACTTTCAGGCTGCAGCTAAAGCCACATTCTTTTCATTAAAGGCCAGGGTTTGATCTAACAATGGTGTGACATCTCTCCAAGTGAGGTTGAAGGTTTGCCCTAGACCCTGTAGGACATCTATATACCTATCAGGATCATCTGGAAACTTTTCCAGGTCTACCTTGATCTGCTTTAAATCAGAGAGGGAGAAGTGGACATGTAGCTGGGTTGGGCCAAATTCCCCTCCCCCTACAGCTTGAAGGGGACATAACTGACAGCCGGGGGGTTTTTGTGGTCCCTTGGAGATTTCTTTGCTTGTTTCCTTCTGGGTCGGGGAGATTAGAGGAGGCTTATCATTAATAGGAAGGAGAGCTGTAGGAAGGCTAGGATATGGAGGTAAGCTGAGAGGTCCTCCTGTGGGATGTAGATTGCAAGCTTTGCATAGTTGTGGATTATCCTTCAGTGAAAAGAAAGCTTGGACATAAGGCATTTCACTCCATTTGCCTTCCCTCTTACAGAAAAGGTCAAGCTGCAGGATAGTATTGTAATTTATACTTCCCTCAAGTGGCCATTTTTCCCCATCAGAGAGAGAATATTAGGGCCAGGCCACAGTGCAGAAAAAAATGAGCCACTTCTTTTTCAGGTTTTGCGGGTCAAATTGGTCCCAATGGCTTAGGATGCATTTCAAGTGTGAGCCTCTTGATGCCTGAGCATTTCCTATCTGAAAGAAAAAACTGCCCATGGTTTTGGTTTGTTTTTTTCCCTGCCCAAGAACCTGCAATGTTCCCTGGACCCTGCTGTTCAGAATAGTTGCACTCACTGAAGCAGCAGTGGAAACACTAGATTTCCTCCTAGACCACAAAGAGGACCGAGGAAGGTCGGATTTAGTGGCCCTCACCAACGCATTCTCGAAAACCTGCACCATTGCCTTTCCTCTTAGACCACAAAGAGGAACGAGAAAAATCGGATTTAGTGGCCCTTACCGATGCATTCTTGAAAACCTTAGAGTCCTAAGCGTTACCCTTGTCCTATAAAGATAATATGCCTCAAAGTGGAGTGGATGGCCATATCTTGAGGGAGGGAAGGGATCTCCAGGGTTGGAAAAGTGATGCCTTTTGTCCTCACTTCTCATCATATGAATAGGAAGGATAAAATTTCTGAGGTTCCCCATATCCTAGCTTCAGTAATAGCCTTTGTTAGGCCTGCTAGTCTGAGGGAGGGTCCTAAAACTCCAGATAGTCCCCCCCACCATGGGGCTTTGGGCCAAATTATGTCTTTCTGATTGGTGAGCCCAGGTGCCTAAAGAAGGGAACAGAGTCCAGAAATTTATACTAGAAATCATTCTTATAGGAGAAACTAAAAGAGCACCAGGGACAGGGAGTGGTTTTTAGAAGCGGGACTAGCCTTCTAAAGGCTAAAGAAGAGAGGCAGGAGGAAGTTTGTCTGACAGGCTTTAGGACCCAGGAGGCAAGGGTCCAGATAGAATAGATGGGTGAGTCTCACTTGGGCGACGTAACTTTGAGAGTTCCACTCCCTGCAGTGTTAAGGAACTTTTTGTCAGGACCCCAGAGTTGAATGGCTTTCCTCTCTGTCGACCCTTGGCTCAGCCCAGAAGCTCAGGAAAAGCGGAAGCTGGTTCCAGGCAAACCAAAGCTCCCAACTCAAAAGAGTTGGGGGTTGTTAGAGAGCCCTTTCCTAGAAAGCCTGACACCTGTGTCTTTAGTCAGGTGGCTGCACTAGTTGCTTTTAACTGGCTGACAAGTGTCCGGTGTTTAACCCCTGAATTCTAAGGAAAAATAGGGCAGAATAGAAAGTGAAACAGGTCCGAAGGTACTCACCGTGTGGCAATATCCCAGACGAGTCCGATGGTACTCACCGTGTGGCAATATCCCAGACGAACACCCAAGATGTGTCCGGAGTTGGTTCCTTCCAGTGGGCTTGTGGTCTCAGTGACTTCAAGAATGAAGCCACGGACCTTCGTGGTGAGTGTTACAGCTCTTAAAGATGGCATGGACCTGAAGAGTGAGCAGCAGCAAGATTTACTGTGAAGAGCTAAAAAACAAAGCTTCCACAGCTTGGAAGGGGACGTGAGTGGGTTGCTGCTGCTGGCTGGGGTGGCCAGCTTTTCTTCCCTTATTTGTCCTCTCCCATGTCCCATTTTTGTCCTATCACAGTGCACTTTTTACAGTTTTCCCTGCTATTGGCTACTTTTAGAATCCTGCTAATTGGGGCATTTTACCGAGCACTGATTGGTGTGTTTTTAGAGCACTGCTTGGTGCACTTTAAAAACCTCTTGCTAGCTACAGAGTGCTGATTGGTGCGTTTTTACAGAGTGCTGATTGGTGCATTTTACAATCCTAGCTACAGAGTGCAGATTAGTGCATTTTTACAGAGTACTGATTGGTGCATTTTACAAACCTCTTGCTAGCTACAGAGCACTGATTGGTACGTTTTTACAGAGCTCTGATTGGTGCATTTTACAATCTTCTTGTAAGACAGAAAAGTTCTCCAAGTCCCCACTCGACCCAGGAAGTCCAGCTGGTTTCACCTCTCATCACCATAATCAAGGTAATAAATATATTCATTACTGTCAGTTTTAGGACACAGGTAATAAATACATTCATTTCCTGTGTCCCTTTGCTGCTGCTGCTTCTTCCTCCTCTTCTTCTTCTTTTGGTAAGAATGGTTAACCTAAGATCTACTCTCTAAATAAATTTCTAAGTGCACACAGTGTAGTGTTAACTATAGGCATATTGTGGTACAGCAGATCTCTAGAACTTATTCATCTTGTGTAACTATAACTTTATATCCACTGAACAACGCCCCATTTCCTTCTCCTTCCAGTCCCAGTCCCTAGCAGCCACCTTTCTATTGTCTGCTTCTGTAAGTTTGACTATTTGAATTTTTTAAGAGACAAGGTCTCACTCTGTCACCCAGGTTAGAGCACAGTGGCATGATCATAGCTCACTGTAGCCTTGAACTCCTGGGCTCAAAGGATCCTCTTGCTTCAGTTTCCTAAGTAGCTGAGACTACAGGCATATGCCATCATACCAGGCTAAGTTTACTTTTTGTAGAGACAGAGGTCTTGTTATGTTGCCCAGGCTGGTCTCAAATTCCTTGCCTCAAGCGATCCTCTCTCTTCAGCCTCCTAAAGTGCTGAGCAGTTTGACTATTTTAGATTCTTCATGTAAGTGGAACCATGTAGTCACCTCACACATATTACGATGGCTATTATTTTAAAAATTAAAGATAATATGTGTTGGTGAGAAAGCGAAATTAGAATATGTGCATAATGCAATGGGGATATAAAATGTCATAGCTGCTATGGAAAAGAGTATAGAGGTTCTTCAAAAAAACTAAAAATACAACTACCATATGATCCAGCAGTTCTACTCCTGGGTATATGTTCAGAAGGATTGAAAGAGTAATCTTCAAGAGATATCTACACTCCATGTTCACTGCAGCATTATACACAATAACCAAGAAGTAGAAATAACCCAAATGTCCATCGACAGATGACTAGATAAAGAAAATATGGTGGCCGGGCATGGTGGTTCATGCTTGTAATCCCAGCACTTTGGGAGGCCGAGACTGGCAGATCATGAGGTCAGGAGATCGAGACCATCTGGCCAACATGGTGAAATCCTGTTACTACTAAAAATACAAAAATTAGCTGTGTGTGGTGGTACACACCTGTAATCCCAGCTACTTGGGAGGCTGAGGCAGGAGAATGGCTTGAACCCAGGAGGTGGAGATTGCAGTGAGCTGAGGTCATGCCACTGCACTCTAGCCTGGTGACAGAGTGAGACTCCATCTCAAAAAAAAAAAAAAAAAAAAGAAAAAGAAAAAGGAAAAGAAAAAGAAATAGAAAAAAAAGAAAATGTGGTAAATACAGACCGTAGAATATTATTCAGCCTTAAAAAAGGAGGAAGTACTACCATTTGTGACAACATGGATAGAACTGGAAGACATTATGCTAAATGAAATTTGTCACAGAACACACACAGTTTTTCTGAAAAACTGAAACAATATTTGACAATTAGGAGATCTATAAAAATTCACATTTCTGGTTTCTTTCAAAAAGATTTTGAATCTCAGAACTCCAAGTTACCCCCCATGGTGACAATAGCTGGAGCTGAGGAGCAGAGACTTTACAGAGGAGGTGGGCTTTCCAGTTGGCCTCAACCCATACCCAAACTGCTTCTCTCCTCTATCTGCTTGATCCCTACAGACACTTGTGTTCTTGCCTTTAATCTCCCTCCTCCCCCTTTGGGTTATCCTTCTTTGTGGCTTCCAACTTTGACTTCCTCTTTTTATTTTTGCCTTTTTCAGAGACAGGGTGTTGCTCTGCCACCCAAGCTGGAGTGCAGTGGCACAATCACAGACCACTGTAACCTCCAAGTCCTGGGCTCAGCTGATCCTGCCACCTCAACCTCCCAAGTAGTTGGAATTACAGGTGCACATCACCATGCCCAGTTAATTTTGTTTTTTGTAGAAATGGGTCTTGCCATGGTTACCAGGCTTGTCTCTTGAATTCCTGGCCTCAAGTAATCCTCCTGCCTCAGCCTCCCAGAGTGCTGAGATTACAGGCATGAGCCACTGCTTTTGGCCAACTTCCTCTTGACTGATAGTTTGACAGAATTTTCCCTCCATCTGACCTGGCGTTCACTAAAGACTTGGTTTCTGATCACTCCCTGGGTACACATGTCAAAACAGAAGAGCCTTACTCTCACCCATCCCCTTTTGTAAGGTCAAAAGGACACTACTCAATGAGCCTGCAGTGCCTGGTGGCCCCAAGCTTTCAGGGAAGAAAGACTGAAACACAGAATTCCTAACTGCTGGGAAGGATGTAGAAAGCAGGCAGTGTTTGGGAATTCTACTTGGATAAAATGATTGGAATAAATTCTACTGTACCTGTGAAATGGTTCTGATATGATGACACAGTTCATTGAATAGGATATCTCTGGGTAATTAGATTCCATATTACCAAAGATTCACTCCACAAAATGAGAACTCTCAGTCATTTCTGCAAGAAATGTAATTTAGTACAACCTTTCTGGAACACAATTTGGCAATGTGCAGCAAGAGTCTTAATAAGTCTCCTGCCCCCATTATTTCCCCTATTAAGACTCCATTCTATGGGAGTAATGCAATATGCAGGCAAAAACCACTTTAGAAAGATTTCTATTCAACCATTATTATTTATGATAACAAGAAATTGAGAATGATTAAAGCATTTATTCTCCAATTGTTGGAAAACTAAGAAATGGTACCTCCATTAGATGGGATATTACACAGCCACTGAAAATGGTGTTTTGGAAGCAATTATAATCATATGGGAGAGAGTTTTGTGTTGGAATGCATGGAAAATGTTTTAAAACACAGATTTTAAAACTTTGTGTTCAGGATAATCTCAATGACATTTATAGGTTTTTGTGGTTGTGTTTTGTGTCTCTATAGTAGCTGTGGCAGTAGTAGTATAATAGGATGAAGAGGAGTAAACTTTAGGGGCATCTATCCAGGGAACAATGGTTATCTTTCTCTGATAAATGGCCCAGCTTCCACACTGAAGGTTGGGTCTTCAGTAACCATGTTATTCTATGTAGCTGTTTCCTTAACACGGTTGATTGGACCAAATGTGAACTCTTGACACAAGCTTGGGAAAACAGATTTACTCCTCTAGGAACACTGGCTTGTTCTTAATGGAGAAAGAAGGTAGAGAGTTGAGACCCATGGGATGGCTATGTTGGACTGTCTATCCCCCAAAGCAAGGAAACCAGGCTGCAAAAAATAAAGATAGAGCCTCTACTTTCTAAATGTCTGCTTCCTTCTAATTTCCAGTATTAGTCCCATGTACATTTCAGCTTCCCTTTGATTCCACAGAATATCCCGTGGGCTATACATAAATTCCCATTTTTGTTTAAATCAGTTCAAAATGGGTTTCTGTCATTAGCAACCAATTGAATATGTGATAAACAAATATACACAGAAAACAAAGTAGCAAGAGCTTTTCAGAATGTTAACGGTGGTGAGAAATTGCATATAACTTTTATTATCTTCTTTTTATTTTTCTGAATATTTAGTTTTCTAAAGGAAGCAGTACCATTCCTGTAATAAAAAAAATAAAGTGCATTATAAGAGAAGAAAATGTTGTTTAAAAGCATGTTTTTTTCCTCTTACAATAGAAAGAGCTTCATTACAAAATATGCTACTTAGATATCCTCAAATATAACTGTATTTCCTGTATTGGAGAATGAAATTTACCTTTTAAACATCCCAGAGTTAGAAAATTGGTACAGTTCTCATTACAGGTTTGATGGGACTTCAAGCTAAGCAAATCCAAGGTCTAGAGATGGGCCCTGTTGTGCTGAAGAGAGAGAATACCTTTATTTTTTCTTTTCTTCTTCTTTTTTTTTTTTTTTTTTTTGCCAATGATTGCTTTGTGAGTAGGCATGTGATGCAATGTGAGCCAATGAGGTTAAAATTGAAGCTTCTAGCAACGTGATTTACTACTCTTCCTGTAGAACTTCAAGAGGCAACACTCTCTCTCTTTACAGGGAATTTGTCTTATATTGAGAGGAGACCTAAGCAGCTGCCACCATCTTACTCCCTGCCCAAAGATAAACCCCACAGCTGGAGGAGAGGAAAGGTATGAGAACTGCAGGCCTGTTGAGCTGATGTTGCTCATTTAATCAATCCTGAAGCCCACCTCACCTTTGGACTTCCAGTTTAAGTAAGCCAATAATTTGCATTGTGTTTTAGCTAGTTTGGATTGGCCTTCTGTCTTTGGAGCTAAAGGTTCACGATATACCTATGAATTTAGAGGTATTACCATACGCTATGGTGTGAATATGGCTTGTTTTGTCCTGCCAAGTCTCATGCTGAAATTTGATTTCCAATGTTGGAGGTGGGGCCTTGTGGGAGGTGTTTGGATCCTTGGGTAGGGGATCCATCAATGGCTTGGTGCCATTTTCACAGGAGTGAGTTCTCACTCTTAGTTCCCGAAACAACTGACTGGTGAAGAGACTGACCCTTACTCATCTCTCTCACTTTCTGTCTTACCATGTGATCTCTGTACACACTGACTTTCCTTGCCCTATCCTGTGAGTAGAAGCTTCCTGAGGCCCTCACCAGAAGCAGATGCTGGCACATTGCTTCTTGTACAGCCTACAGAACAGTGAGCCAAATAAGCTTATTTTCTTTATAAATTACCCACCTCAAGTATTCCTTTATAGCAACACAAACAGACTAAAGCATCATATAATCTCACTCAGTTATTAAGACATAGTATATTATTTTCATACTTTTCCATTTATCTCTACTCTATCCTTTCTGTCTCCAGGTCAATTTCACTTATTTGCAGCATTTTTTTTTTTTTTTTTTTTTCTCTGAGAGGGAGTCTCGCTCTGGCACTCAGGCTGGAGTGCAGTGGCGCGATCTCGGCTCACTGCAAGCTCCGCCTCCTGGGTTCTGCCATTCTCCTGCCTCAGCCTCCCGAGTAGCTGGGACTACAGGCGTTCGCCACCAAGCCCGGCTAATTTTTTGTATTTTTAGTAGAAGTGAGGTTTCACTGTGTTAGCCAGGATGGTCTCAATCTCCTGACCTCGTGATCCGCCCGCCTCGGCCTCCCAAAGTTCTAGGATTACAGGTGTGAGCCACTGCGCCCAGCCATTTGCAGCATATTTTAATGTGGCTCAGCTTGTAAATAGCACACATGTGGAACCTATTCTAAGGTCAAATCTAAATCTGCTATTTCTACAACTTCTCTTTGACTGCACATCTATATTCCGGTTACCCCTCATGCTCCTCCCCCCTCCCGACCACAAAAAGTAGCTATGCTTTTCCTATATAGAGGACACTGCCGCTCCTGCAGGGGATCACTTACTCAGCTTACACTTTATCTAGCATATCCCAGCTTGTCTCCATGATCTGAGCCCTGGGATGTGTCCCGTGCTACCTTGAGTTGACCTTTGGAAGTCAATTGGAAAAAACAGTGGATACATTCTGCAGTTTTTCTGTCTTGGTCTATATTAGTTTATTACAAATAGCTTATTAAGAAATGGGTAGAATTTAAATAAAATAAAACCAATATTCTTATGTATAATATATTCTATAGTAAAGTGGTATAATCAACATCAGTGATGATGCTTCTGAAGAAAATTTAGCTATGAGAGCCCTTAGGAAACCTGACTGTATGAAGTTCCAGTAAACAAGCCCCATTTGTGTAAGAGATATTCAATCGAGGGCTTTATATCAGTTTCACCTGCTAATCAGCTGAAAGGAGAAAAGGATATGGAAAAGAATGATTTAAACCCAGAGACCATGGTAACACATCATTGCACATTTTCCCAGAGGCAAGTGAAGAAATGCTGTATCTTAGACCTCAACTTCCTAACTTCCTTCTAGTACCACACAAAGAAAAGGGTGTTGCACAATAGCAACTTCATATGATTTTTAGATTTCCAGTAATCAAAATAAATAATTAAGCTCATTAAGTTTTGTTTAGATAAGCTTTTTTTTCAGAATCTTATTAACACATTTAAATATTTTGAGTTCTTTATAATAAGCTTCTGATTTATCTGCCCAAATATTTCTGGCTGTAAGATAATATATGTACAGGCATCTAGTATAGTGGCTGGTATATCATAGACTATGAAGAAAAATGGGTCAATAGGTGTCAGACGGATTGTGGTAATCACTGAATGAAGTAAAGCAGGAGATTAAAGCCTGTTTTCAGCACTTGAAAAATGCTACAAAAATACAGCTACTTTTTCAGAACTGATTTGATAGGACTCTGACTATAATCATATTAAGTCACACAAGGTAGAACAATCAAATTGATGAAAAGAAGGGATATCAAAAACAGAATATGGTAGCCGAGTGGCATATAGAAAACTTTCCATGTATTGGTAACTGATATTGTTTGGCTCTCTGTCCCCACTCAAATCTCATCTCGAATTGTAATTCCCATAATCCCCACGTGTCAGAGGAGGCAGCCAGTGAGAGGTGATTGAATCATAAGGACAGTTTCCCCCATGCTGTTCTAGTGATAATGAGTTCTCATGAGATCTAATAGTTTTATAAGGCAGTTTTCCCTGGTCTTGCTAGCTCTTCTCTCTCCTGCTGCCATGTGAAAAAGGTCCTGGCTTCCCCTTTGCCTTCCACCATGATTGTAAGTTTCCTGAGATCTCTGCAGCCATGTGGAACTATGAGTCAATTGAACCTCTTTCCTTTATAAATTACCCATTCTCAGGCAGTATGTTTAAAGCATTGTGAGAATGGACTAATACAGTCACTACTAGAGGAGCTGAGAAATCTGTTTCTGAGGGGGGGCAGAGCAAAGGAACTGTAGTTAACACAGACATGAAGAGGATCCGCCAAATGGTAGAAAATGTGATTTTCTATTGCTTTTTGGATATGCTTTGAATGGCAGGACTGAAATATGTTTATTCATTATGGAAACATTATAAAATGCAATGTTCTGTCTTCATTAAGGGAAGGTTTTAGAATATAGCTCCCAAACACTACCATGTATATTCAAAAATTTACATACATAAGCATACATGGTATGGTAAATTCCTCTCTCCCTCCACCTCTCTCTGTCACTGGTCAGGGATTCTGATGAAATTTTTATTTTACTAAGATGAAAGTGAATAAATTTTTTTGTCTGTTAAACATTTATCAAGTACTTACCATATGTTAAGCAGTGACCCTAGGTAAAGAATCTTATTTATTTGTGTTTAATTTTTGTATATGTAAAAGTGCAGATTTCTTACATGCATTTATTGTGTAGTGGCTTTTGGTGTACCCATCACCCAAACAGTGAAAGTTGTACTCAACTGATGATTTTTCAAACTTCACCCACCTTCCACTCTTGCACCTTTTGTAGTCTCCAGTGTCTATTATGCCGCCTTGTAATCCATGTGCACCCATTGTTTAGCTCCCACTTATCAGGGACAATATGCAATATTGGACTTGTGTTTTCTGAGTTATTTACTTAAGATGGTGGTCTATGGCTTCATCCATGCTACAGAAGACATGATTTAATTCTTTTTTATGGCTGAATAGTATTCCCTGATGAGTGTGTGTGTGTCTATATATATATATATATATATATATTTCTTTATCCAATCATCAGTAGATTCTGTGTGTATAAATATGTTCCATATAAATTATATATATACACACACATATACATATACTTACATACATTATATTTTCTTTATCTAATCATCTATTGATGGACACTTAGATTGATTGTATGTATTTGCTATAGTGAGTAGTGTTGTGATAAACTTACGGGTGCAGGTGTCTTTCGATATAATGATTTCTTTCCTTTTGGGTAGATATCAAGTAGTTGGAATTGCAGGATTGAATAGTAGTTCCATTTCAAATTCTTTTGGTAATCTCCATACACTTTTCCATAAAGTTTGCACTAATTTCCATTCCCACCAACAGTGTCTAAGTGTTCCCTTTTCTCTGTATCCTCACCAACATGTGTCGTTTTTTCACTTCTTTGTATTATCTATTCTGACTAGCGTAAGATAGTATCTCATTGTGGTTTTAATTTGCATTTCTCTGATGGTTAGTGAAACTGAGCAGTTTTTCATATGGTTGTTGGTTGTTTGTATGTCTTCTTTTAAGAAATATTTATTCATATCCTTTGCACATTTTTAAAGGTTTTTTTTTTTTTTGCTTGTTTGTTTTTTCCTTGTTTGATTTCCTTAGAAAGTCTGGATATTAGCCCTTTGTTGGATGCATAGTTTGCAAATATTTCTCACATTCTGTAGGTTGTCTGTTTATTCTGTTGATCATTGCTTTTGCTGTGCAGACGCTTTTTAGTTTAACTACGTCCCATTTGTCTGTTTTTGTTTTTGTTGTGTTTGCTTGACATTATTTGCCAAGGTCAATGACCAGTACATTTTTCCCTTGGTTTTTCTTCTAGGATGCTTATAGTTTCAGTCTTAAATTTAAGTCTTTAGTCCATTTTAAGTTAATTTGACTATATGGTGAGAGATATGGGTCCAGTTTTATTTCTTTGCATATGGCTATCCAATTTTCTCAGCATCATTTATTGAATAGAATGTCTATTTCTCACTGTATATTTTTGTTGACTTTGTCAAAGATAGTTGGCTGTACAAAAGTGGTTTTATTTCTGGGTTCTCTAATCTGTTCCTTCGTTCTGTGTGTCCATTTTTACACCAGTACTAGGCTGTTTTGGTTACTAGAGACTTGCAGTATAAACTGAAGTCAGGAAATGTAATGCTTCCCACTTTGTTGATTTTGGTGGAGATTGTTTTTTCTATTCAGGCTCTTTATATATATATATATATATATATTTCAGCATTTTCTCTAATTCTATAAAAAATGACATTGGTTATTTGATAGGGGTTGAGCTTAATCTGTAGATAGTTTTAGGCAGTATGGTCATTTTAACAATATTGATTCTTCCAATTCATTTTTCCATTTGTTTGTGTTATTTATAATTTCTTTCATCAGTGTTTTATAGTTTTCTTGGAGAGATCTTTCACCTCCTTTGTTAAATGTATTCCAAGGTTTGTTTGGAATTTTTTTTTCATAGTTATTTTAAGTGGGATTTAGTTCTTGATTTGTTTCTCAGCCTTATCATTGTTGAACAGAAATGCTACTGATTTTTGTACATTGATTTTGTATCTTGAGACTTTACTGAATTAATTTATCAAAACTAAGGGTCTTTTGGAGGAGTTTTTAGGGTTTTCTAGGTATAAGAGGATATCATCAGCTAACAGATAATTAGACTTCATCTGATCCAATTTATATGCCTTTTATTTCTTTCTCTTGCCTGATTGCTGCAGCTAAGACTTTCAATACTGTGCTGAAAAAGAGGAGTGAGAGTGGGCATCCTTGTCTTGTTCCAGTTCTGAGGGAGGATTGCTTTCAACTTTTCCCTACTCAGTATGATATTTGCTATGGTTTGTTGTATATGGCTTTTATAATTTTGAGGTATGTTTCTTCAATGCCTGGTTTATAGAGGGTTTTTATCAATAAGAGCTGCTGGATCCTATTAAATGCTCTTTTTGCATCTATTGAGATGATCATATGGTTTTTGTTTCTAAATCTGTTATGTGTGAAATAATATTTATTGATTTACATATTTTGAACCATCCTTGCGTCCCTGGAATAAAGTCCACTTGATTGTGGTGTATTATCATTTTGATGCACAGTCGGATCAAATTTGCTAGTATTTTGTTGAGGTTTTTTGCATCTATGCAGGGATATTGGCCTGTAGTTTTCTTTTTTTGTTGTGCCTTTACTTGGCTTTGGTATCTGTGTAATATTGGCTTCATAGAATGAGTTAGGGAGGAATCCCTCTTTCTTAATTTTTTGGAATAGTTTCCATAGGATTGGTGCCCATTCTTCTTTGTATGTCTGGTAGAATTCAGCAGTGAATCCATCTTATCCTGGGCTTTTTTTTGTTGGGAAATTTTTAAAATGACTGATTCAATTGTGCTACTCATTTATGGCCTGGTAAGGATTTCTATTTCTTCTTGGTTCAATCTTGGGAGATTCTGTGTTTCCCAGAATTTATCTATTTCCTCTAGGCTTTATAGTATGTGTGTGTGCAGATGCTCACAATAGTCTCTAATAATCTTTTGTATTTCTGGTATCAGTTGTAATGTCATCTGATTGTGCTTATTTGAATCCTCTCTCTTTATTTCTTGGTCAGTCTAGCTAGTGGTCTACGAATTTTATCTTTTCAAAGAACCAACTTTTTATTTCATTGATCTTTTTTATTGTTTTCTTTCATCTCAAGTTCATTTGGTTCTACTCTGATCTTTGTTATTTCTTTTCTTCTGCTAGCTTCAGTTTTTGTTTGTTCTGTGTTTGCAATTCTTTGTGGTATAACATTAGGTTGTTAATTTGAGATCTTTCTATCTTTTTGATGTAGGCATTTAATGCTATAAACTTCCGTCTTAGCACTGCTTTTTCTGTATCCCAGTGGTTTTGGTATGTTGTGGCTCCATGCTCATTTGTTCCAAATTTTTTCCCCTAATTTTATTCTTTATTCAAAGATCATTCAGAAGCAAGTTGCTTGATTTAGATGTATTTGTATAGTTTTGAGAGTTTCTCTTGGTATTGATTTCTAGTTTTATTTCACTGTGGTCCAAGGAGATGCTTGCTATGATTCTGATTTTTAGAAACTTATTGAGACTTGTCTTGTGGCCTAGAACATAGTAAATTTTCAAAAATGTTTAATTCACACATGAGAAGAATATATATTCTATGGCTGTAGGATAGAATGTTCTGTAAATGTATGTCAGATTCATTTGGTCTAGAGTCTAATTAAAGTCCAAAATTTCTTTGTTGATTTTTTTGCCTTGATGTTCTGTTTAGTGTTTTTGATGGGGTTATTGAAGTTCCCTACTATTATTGGATTGCTTTCTATCTATTTTCTTAGATCTACTAGTATTTGTTTTATGAATCTGGATGCTCAGTGTTGGGTGCATATATATTTAGGATTGTTACATCTTATTGAATTGATTCCTTTATTATTATACAATGACTTCTTCCTGTTTTTATTTTTACTGTCATTGACTTAAAGTCTGTTTTATCTTATATAAGTATAGCTACTCCTGCTTACTTTTGTTTTCTTTTTGTGTGAAATATCTTTTTCCACCTACTTAAGTATAAATGCCTTTGACAATTAGGTGGGTTTCTTGTAGAAAATATATGTTTGGATCTGGTATTCTTGTCCATTCTGCCAGTATTTATCTTTTAAGTGGAGCATTTATTTCACTTATGTTCAAGGTAAATATTAATATGTGAAGGTTTGTTCCTATTGTGAGGTTGTTACTTAGTTGCTTTGTAGTCTTAATTGTGTGGTTGCTTTATAAGATCTATGAGTTTTATAGTTTCATGTCTTTTTATGATAGCACGTATCACACTTGAGTTTCCACATTTAGAATTCCTGTGAGCATTTTTAATAGGGCTGGTCAAGTGGTGACAAATTACCTTAGCATCTTGTCTAGGAAATATTTTATTTATCTTTCATTTATGAAACTTAGTTTAGCAGGATACAAAATTCTTGGTTGGCTGTATTTTTATTTAAGAAGACTGAAAATAGTACCCCAGTGCCTCCTGGCTTGTAAGGTTTCTGCTGAGAAATCCTCTGTTAGTTTAATGGAATTTTCTTTCTGGGCGACTTGATGCTTCTCTCTTGTTTCTTTTAGGATTTTTTTCCTTTACATTGACGTTAGATAGTCTAATGACTGTATGCCTTGGTGATGTTAGTATTGCAAAGTATCTTCCAGATGTTCTATGTGCTTCTTGTATCTGGATATCCACATCTCCAGGAAGACTAGGGAATTTTTTAAAATTATTCCCTCAAATAACTTCCCAAAGTTTTTATTTTTTCTTCTTCCTCAGAATGCCTGTAACCCATAGGTTTGGTTGCTTTACATAATCTTATCTTTCTTGAAGGCTTTGTTCATTTAAATTTTTTTTCTTTTTTATCTGACTTGGTTAATTCTAAATACCTGTCTTCAAGCTGTGAAATTCTTTCTTCTGCTTGGTCTAGTCTACTGTTAAAGCTTTTAACTATATTTTGTTATCCTTCAGCAAATTTTTCATTTCCAAAAATTCTTCTTTATAAAATATCTATCTCTTTAGAGAATGTTTTATTTATACTTTGAATTATTTTTCTTATTTCATTGTGTTGGCTTTCAACAATCTGTTGAACCTCATTGATCTTCCTTTAAATCCATATGTTGAATTAGCTTTCATTCAGAATTTTCATTTTGGTTAGGAGTCACTGCTAGAGAGGTAGTATGTGATCCTTTGAAGGTATTGCTACAGTCTGGTTTTTCATGGTGCCAGGGATCTTATGCCATTTTGTTTTCATCTGGAGAATCTGTCACTTCTTATTTTTGAATTTACTTTCATTTGGATGGGACTTTAATTTTTAGCTTTTGAGAGTTTGACTGTAGCATATGTTGGGGAGAGTCCTTCGACTTTGCTTCTTTGTGCTTTTAGGGGGCCAAGGTTCTGCATGAATTTTTTGGTTACAGACAGCCTTAGTGTAGTGGTTTTCATAAATACTGGTTGTTTGTAGGTGGTAATAGTGGTGTACTGGGTGTCTGTTTGGGCTCACTGCCATCAGTAGAGACAGAAAAGTGGAGGTCCAGGAGTCTTGTCTCATTCCCCAGTGCTGCCCAATTCTGTGCAGGAAATGGAATGGGTTGTGCAGTTCTCCCTACTGGCCAGTAGCTGTCTCACTTTTGTGGATAAATACTAGTTGAGGGCTATATGATAGTGTCATATAGCCCTGAAGAGAGGCAGCTGCAGTGGTAGCAGTGGGATTTTCTTCTTAGCTTTTACTAGCCAGGAGAAGTACTAATGTGTCTCCAGTGATGGGCGGGCTGTGGAAATCTCAGGGCTACTCATCCTTGTGCTTTGCTTCCAAGGTGATTGTAGGGGCCAAAGCTGGGCTGGGTGGGTCAGTGGAGGTGTAACTAGGCTATCCATGGCAAGCATAAGTGCTGACCCTAGTGGGGATTAGGGGGCAGCTCTCAAGCCACTGGGGTAATCTTCCAGGGAGGGGTGAAAGTACTTTTCCTGGGCCACAGTACCTATGTGGGGGAAGAGGGTTTGCTAGAGTCTGCAGCCTAGCAAGTGGCACTGGGACCCACCCAGCTTCCACACCCCAACCTGAAGGTTCTGTCTTCAGTGTCCAGCCAGCAAAAGCAGGCCAGAATGGTGAGGCCAGAACCAAGCAGTCTGCAGTCAGTTTGTCAAGCCATGGAACTCTCTTGTAGCTAGGATCACAAAGGTCCATGCTAAGAATGTAAGTTCCCAGGATCCTCCACTTACTTCTTCTCTGGGTACAGGTCCAGTGCCCACTCCTGGTGACCCCAGGCTAGGAGCCCCATTTTTTCTTTCTTTATCCTCAGTGTCTCCCATCACCTCTCTGTTGAATTCCAGTTTTCTCTCTCAGAAAATCTATTTGAAGTGTGAATATTTATTCAATATTTCCTCTCCATGGAAGAGGCACACCCTCGCCGCATCTCATCAGCTGTTTTGAACCTTCCCCTATGTAAACAATCTTGATGGATTAGAACACAAAACATTAGTGTTTGAGGAGATGGATAATATGTATAATAGTAACAAAGTGCAATATATCCATGGACTATAATCCTTGACATTTTGTAGCTTCTAGCCAAAGATAGCATGATAGCCAATAATTATATAACTATATATAATATGTTAATTATAATTTTATAACAATACATTATATTTATACTTATATATATTGTAATTGTAAGCAAACAAAATTTTTATCTAAAGATTGTAGAAAGGGAATAATTAGGTAGGGCTGACTTTGTGGCATTTGAACAATCACATAGGCACCTGAACTTGGACTCTGTGATTGATTTAATGCTCTTCTGTTGCCATCTTGAAATTCTGAATTTTTGAACATGAGATTCTGCATTTTTGTCTTGCACTGGGCCTCACAAATTATAGATCCAGTCTTGTTCTTAGATCTAGTTCTGAAATATATATGTAATCTGACATATTATATATATATATATACACACACACACACACACACACAAACATACACACATACACACACACATATAACATAAATGGAAGTGTTTTTTCTACCATAAAATCATCTGATTAACCCCCTCGGCTTTTGATTTTATTTTTTTTTTACTTGTGGTGTCAGGTTTTCATTAATTCACCTATCGTCTCTTTCTTATTCTCCTTTATGATCAACTATGATATATTTATATGCAATGTATTTTATGATTATGATTGTAGACAAGTTGGTCATGGTCTTAGGCAATTTGTTTTAGGTTTGCTTCAGTTCACAGGTATCTATTTTCTTCTTTACATAGTGAATGAAAAATCACAAACAAGAAAATCCCCCAGCAAAATATAACAACATAAATAAAAGCCTTGCATCTTCTGGGAAAATAGTGTGTCAAGGGGTAAGAAATTTATCTATCCTTTTACATAACCATCTACGCATCCATTCATTCACCAATTTATTAATTTATTCATGTAACACACATCTACTAATAAACACTTATTATGGAAGAACGTGGGATTCAAGGATGGGATGAGTACATGTGTTCCCTACATCTGGAATGACTCACTGCAATACAGGGAGGTTGATATATGCTACATGCAAAACAATGCAATTGAATCAAGTGTTACATAATGTTAATTAATTCATTGTCAAATGCATATTTTGTCTTAAAAGTCCCTAATAGTTACCCAAGCCTTATTTATTCACTGTAGCTGACTTTCTCTGTAGGGCTCACGGAGCTATCACTGAGGTGGTCCATATAGAATACAATGTAGAGAAGTGAGGGAGAGGATGTTCTTTCCTGAGTGGAGACATAAAAACATTTACAGGGAGGAAACCCTTTTGTTGAGTCTTGCAGGGCAACTGACTGACAGGGTATCATGTCTGGAATTGGAAGGCAGGAGATAGTTTCTGCAGAAGAAACAGCATTTGCAAGGGCCTGGAAGAAGGTAGAATTTTGCATGTTCGCATCAACCATCCTGGGGTGGCCTTGAGTTTGGTACAATTTTCTTCTGCACAAAGAGAAATGCTTGGAGTGAGGTGTAAACTCCAGAGTTTGATTTCATTGGTAGAGACTTGAACCATCTGAGCTATCTAATCTGTAAAACAAACATACAAAAATAAATATATTTCAATGCAAATGTGGTTGATGGATAGCACTACCATTTCATCTGAAACACGTTCATTGTGTAATCCAAGTATTCTTCTCCCTAGAATCCCCTAATCCTTTAGAATTATGGATTATCTTAATTTTGCAATTTTTAAATTAATATGTTTCAAATATTATTCCACCTGTAGTGAGAAACTCAACATCTTCTGCTACCTTCTAACATATACCTAAAGCACACACTTGCACACACTTCCAGAGATACACATCGCAATCCCAAATCCAGGAATTTTTAGGGGATTACCTTACTCCTGTCATTTCTTGCTTTAATGTTTCTTTTCCCACTGAAGTTTCAGCCTCCCCTGTGCTTTTCTTCCTGCCTGTGGCTGGTCTCTTGTCTCCCCCAAGATGACCTTAATGTGCACTACAGACCATTTTACTTTTGTGTTCCCTAAACAACCTCAAACACAGGATTGCTTTATGTAGCAGAGTTTTAAAGTCTTGTGGATATCTGAGGCAGTTAAATGACAGTATCACCAAAAAACTAGAAAGCAGATGTTAATAGCATCTTTGTTCCTTAAAATCCTTTATCAAACCCGCCACTGTTCATTTCCCATGGCTGTCTTTCTTTCCAGGCTCCTTGCCTACCATTAGTTTGTTTTGCCCCTCTCCCCTCTTTTCATTGCTTTCACCTTCTCTCTTCAGAGAAGCACTGACAATTTCAAGACCCTATTTGATTATGCAAAGAAGTGCAGCTCTACACACTGACCATGCACATCTAAAGGTGATATGATTAGATGAAGAAAATTTCCAAACAAATTTACACAGGGTCTCTGCCATTAACTTATCAGGATTTGTAATTTTACTCTTTCCACAAGCACCAACAAACTCTGTAAGTAAAATGGGAAGTGCAGGAATTAATTTTCCTAGTGATATAACTCATTCAACCCCCAACAGAGAATGTAAATAATGTGCTCAATCTGAGTGGGAGTAGCATATTTGCCTTCTCACTCTGGTTGGAGAGCAAGGACGTGCTCTTGCTAATGGGGAATAGAGCTGGGATTAGCCTGTTACTCTGTAGTTTTAGGATTTGACTTGTTTGCCAATCAATAACAGTGAAAGACATTCATGAAAATAATAGTTGGGCACTGAAAAAGCAGGACAAACAATCCTACATTCTGAAGAAACAAGTATAAATACAAATTTTAAAAAATATATAGCTAGTCAGGAAGAGGAATAAAGAAAGATCTTTGTGATTGAGAACCAGAGATAAAAAATTGACTAGAACTTGGTCATTAAGAAGTAAAAAATAATAATGCACACTGTGTAGAATGCTATTTTTAAATGTATGTCCAAAATAATGAAGTAGATCTATGCCATGTATGTAATGATTTGATGGCATAGCTGCACATATTGTGTACTACGGTAAACAATTTTGCATGCAGCAGGGTAGCAGTTTCTATTTCTGATTTGCTTTCATATACAGAAGAAATTGGTTTAAACAATTCATAGGCACAGTGTCTTGTATAAGTATCTCCATCACTAGACTTACCACATTATATTATCATTATCTGTTCAAGTGTTTATTTTCTTATGACATTGTAAATGCCTTGAAGTTAGAAACTGTATCTAACTTATCTCCCTAGCCCTGATGTGTAGCACAGTTTCTATCACATAGTAGACGTTCAATAAATGTTTGTTAAATGAAACGATGAATAAATGACCAGTGTTTAAAATAAATCAAGATAGGTCTAATGGGAATTTAGTGGAGCAGCCCAATAAAAGTCAGACAGCATTCACAAAAAAAAACCTGTTCTTATAATTACATTCGGGAATAGGTTTGTACTCATTTTAGACTAATTACTAGATTGCACAGCCTTATCCAACCTGATTGCAATTCCATTCCTTTAAACGAAAGAATGCCTATATCACAGATTGATGGTAAAGCCTCAAGAAACATGGTTACATATGCTATTTTGATTTATTAAAAATAGAAGTATGGTTTCCCTCTGCTCTCTGTTTCCTTGAATGGTAATAACAGACCAGCAAAGAGAAGCAATGAGAAGTATTGCCTAGTTCTGCTAGGGTCAAAGAAGATTCCATCTTGAATTCTGATCAGGTTCAGAGTTTCAGGGGACTTCTGGAGCATAGTTGAAGTGAGCTTATAGACACATGGATTGCTTTCTTAGACACATATCTCTTAAATTATATATTTGCAGTCTGAACTTGACATTTTAGCTTGGTCACTCTTCACACCCTCCCATTCCAAACTGCTTAGATTAAAATGTCCGTACCTATGAAGCTGGCAAACAGCAGAACATGTTTTAACCAATGAAGGAAACTTAACCACATTTTAAGATAAGAAGGTTGCTTTGAAAACACCTATTTTAAATGTAGAATTCTGATTTGCTGGGCTCAGCCTCCAGGAATTGGGTTGATAATAGCCAGTCTGTAGAGCCGCTGATGTATGTGCTTGATGACTGAGCACCTTACATTAAATATGTGGCTCCAAGGAAAAGTGGAGCCCTGTCAGGAGGGAGACACTAACCTAACTGCAGTAGACATTTTATGTCATTCTTACCTAGGACAGAAGGCCTGGTAAACCACCACACTTACAGAAGAATGCCAGCCAAAGGCATTATAATAAACTAAGCCTTTTAGAGATGGAACAAAGCAGTTCAGAAATTATATCCCTCTAAATATTATCAAATTAATATAATGAAATGTGTTCTCATTAATTGAGGAAGGAAAAAGCATGCTGAGATGGTTGGGAGCATTGACTATGCAGTTAGACTTTCCAGGTTCACATTGTGGCTCCTTCTGCTGTTAACTTGGGGCAAATTAGTTAGCCTCTTTGCACCTCAGCTTTCTCATCATTAAAATGGGATACCTTAATTCTGGTGTTTGGGATAGAATAAAACTGAGATAATATTTGCATAGCACATAATACTTGCCTTGCTCAGATTATGTACTCAATAAATTTATACATGTGCATATGTATGGATGAATGGATGGATTAATAGATAGATATGTAGATAGAAGATACAAAAATAGAAAGAGACATGGATATAGATGTATATATTTAGTTAAAAATGTATATAAACCTCTCAGGCTATAGATATAACATTGTTAAATTTCTTCAGTATTTAATTATTGTGCTTGGTACTACATATGCTATTTCTCCATATAATAGAGCTAAGCTAAGAAGCATCTTCAATGGAACATAAAGTCTGTAATTGAGACCCAGCTCCCCCATTTACTAAATTTGTGAGAATTTGAGCAAGCCACTTAAGCTTTCTGAGTTTCATTTTCTTTAACAATTAAACAGGTATGATAATGCCTATCTTACAATGTTGTTGGGGAGGCTTAATTGAATGAAATGATCAATTGATATGTTATAAGCTTATATGAAGGTTGTTATAAATATTTATTTGGTGACTGTACCTTGCATCAAATGCAAAAGAGTTAGATAAAAATATCATTCACTTCCTTCAGCTTTCAAATAAATTTTTTTGCAGCTCAGTAGACACACTTCTGATGAGATTTACAAAGAGTAGTATATTCACTTGGCACAAAGAAGTAGCCTCTGACTTTTCATTCATAAATCTTTAGAGAGCTTACTAAGGCTTTCTGATAGCTAAATATATTAATTCATCCAAAAAATACCTATGGACTGTCTACAATGTGCCAGGCACTGTTCTAAGGAGTTTGAGATATACCAGTGAATATGATGCTCACGAAGCCCACATTCTGAGTGAGAGAGGCAATGGACTAGAAACATGGGAAAATATGGTAGTCTCTCCTTATCCTTATCACTGGGAGTATGTTCTGAGACCACCCCCAGTCGATGCCTGAAACTGCAGATAGTACCAAACCACATATACACTATGTTTTTTTTCTATACATACTGTATTAGTCTGTTTTGACACTGCTATAAAGAACTACCTAATACTGGATAATTTATAAGAAAAAGAGGTTAAATTGACTCACAGTTCAACGTGACTTGGAAAGCCTCAGGAAACTTACAATCATGGTGGAAGGTGAAGGGGAAGTGAGCACATCTTCACATGTCAGAGCAGGAAAGAGAGCAAGAGAAGGGAACCACCACACACTTAAAAAAATTTACTGCCGTACGTTTTTGGGGAACAGTTGGTGTTTGGTAACATAAGTAGTGATTTTGGAGATTTTGGTGCACCCGTCACCTGAACAGTATACACTGCACCCAATTTGTAGTCTTTTAT
Source organism: Homo sapiens (assembly GCF_000001405.40). Taxonomy (NCBI): domain Eukaryota; kingdom Metazoa; phylum Chordata; class Mammalia; order Primates; family Hominidae; genus Homo; species Homo sapiens. The sequence continues at coordinate 72,368,483 of NC_000008.11, read as the reverse complement.
CCTTCACCCCCTCCCACCCTTTCCCCAAGTCCCCAAAGTCCAATGTTTCATTCTCATGCCTTTGAATCCTCATAGCTTAGCTCCCACTTGTAAGTGAGAACATATGATATTTGGTCTTCCATTCCTGAGTTACTTCACTTAGAATAATAGTGTCCAATCTCATCCAGGTTGCTGTGAATGCCATTAATTCATTCCTTTTTATGGCTGAGTAGTATTCCAGTGTATATATATATGACAGTTTCTCTATCCACTCGTTGATTGACAGGCATTTGGGTTGATTCCACATTTTTGCAATTGTGAATTGTGCTGCTATAAACATGCTTGTGCAAGTATCTTTTTCATATAATGACTTATTTTCCTCTGGGTAGATACATGGTATGCGATTGCTGGATCAAATGGTAGTTCTACTTTTAGTTCTTTATGAAATCTTCATACTGTTTTCCACAGTGGTTGTACTAGTTTACATTCCCACCAGCAGTGTAGAAGTGTTCCCTTTTCACCGCATCCAAGCCAATATCTATTATTTTTTGATTTTTTTGATTATGGAAGTTCTTGAAGGAGTAAGGTGGTATCACATTGTGGTTTGGAATTGCATTTCCCTGATCACTGGTAATGTTGAGAATGTTTCCATATGTTTGTTGGCCATCTCTATATCTCCTTTGAGAATTGTCTATTCATGCCCTTAGTCCACTTTTTGATGGGATTGTTTATTTTTTTCTTGCTAATTTATTTGAGTTTGTTGTAGATTCTGGATATTAGTCCCTTGTCAGATGTGTAGATTGTGAAGATTTTCTCCCACTCTGTGAGCTGACTGTTCCTTTTGCCATGCAAAAGCTCTTTAGTCCCTTTAAAATCTTCAGATTTTATGAGAACTACTCATGAGACAGCACCAGGGAGATGGTGCTAAACCATTAGAAACCTCCCTCATGATCCAGTCACCTCCCACAGGGCCCCACCATCAACACATGGGGATTACAATTCCAGATGAGATTTGGGTGGGGACACAGAGCCAAAGTATATCACATATACACCTATGACAAAGTATTTTTGATTTTGGCTTTTTTTTTTTTTTTGAGACAGAGTCTCACTCTGTTGCCCAGGCTGGAGTGCACTGGTGCGATCTCAGCTCACAGCAAACTTTGCCTCCTGGGTTCAAGCAATTCTCCTGTTTCAGCCTCCCAAGTATCTGGGATTACAGGTGTGTGCTACCACACTCAGCTAACTTTTGTATTTTTAGTAGAGATGGGGTTTCACCACGTTGGCCAGGCTGGTCTCAAACTCCAGACCTCAAGTGATCCACCTGCCTTGGCCTCCCAAAGTTCTGGGATTACAGGCGTGAGCCACCACACAGGGTCTGATAAAGTTGAATTTATAGGTTAGGTATGGTAGGAGCTTAACAACAATAGCTAATAATACAGTAGAACAGTTATAACAATATACTATAATAAAAGTTATGTGAGTATGGTTTCTCTCTGTCTCTCAAAATATCTCATCGTACTGTACTCACTCTTCTTCTTGTAATCCGTTGATCTGATAACTGAAATGCCTACTAAGTGACTAAGGGGCAGGCAGGGCATACAGCGTGGAAATGCTAGACAAAGGAATATTCATGTCTTGGGCAGGACGGAAAGGGATGGTGTGAGATTTCATCACGCTACTCAGAATGGCACCCAATTTAAAACTTATGAATTGTTTATTTTTGGAGTGTCCCATTTAATGTTTTCAGACTACAGTTGACTGCAGGTAACTGAAACTGCAAAATGAGAAATTGTGGATAAAAAGGGACTACTGTAGTCAATTACATTGTCTTTAGAAAGTAGTAAATATTTGTGGAAGAAAGGAAAAGCAGAGCACAATAAGAGGGATGGGAATGTGAAGTTAGGTTGCAACTTTAAGTAAGTGGTCAGGGTGGGCCTCATTGAGAAGGTGAAATATGAACAAAATCTTGAGGGAAGAGAAGGAGTTAAATAAGGGGCTATCTAGGACACGAATGTCTGAGTCAGAGGCACAAGCTGGAACAAAGGCCTTGTGGTAAGAGGGTGCCTAGGACTTCCAAAAAAAGGCAAGAGGAGTAAATGAGAGATACAGAACTGTAGGAGAGAAGATTCCAGACACAATGGAGAACCTGACCGCCCAGTGGGAACTTGTGTGGCCTTACAAGGACTTTTATTTTACTCTGAATGAAGAGGGGGAACATTGCAGGGTTTGGAGCACTGGGGTGACCTAATCTGACATATGTCTTAAAAGCACCACACTGACTGCTATGTGGGTTTATAGGTGGGTAAAACATGGAGGAGGGAGACTAGTTAGGAGCTACTGCAGTTATCTCAGTAGAAGAAGATGCTGCCTTGGACCAGGCTGGTAGGAGGGGAAGCAAGAAGCACTGCTGGCATTCCAGGGTCCTTTCAAGAGCCAGTGTCTCCAGTGCGCTTGATTTTCCTTCTTTTTTTCTATCCAAACTCATGGCTCCAACATCTTTTCAAAATCAGATGCACAGTCTTATTATTATTATTTTTGAGGCAGGGTCTCACTCTGTACCCCTGGCTGGAGTGCAGTGGAGGCTCACTGAAGCCTCAGCCTCCTGGGAGGCTCAGACTCCCAAAGTGCTGGGAGTACAGATGTGCACCACACTCTTATGGGATTATTCCCACTAGTGCACAAACATATTGCTATTTTTTAATAACTTAAAAAATAAATCCCCCCTTGGCCTTGCTTATCACCTAGCTTCTACCACATTTCTTTGCCTTCCTCCACTGTAAACTTCTCAAAAAATGTATCATTTCTGACTGGTCTCTTATAAATCCACTCCAGATATAAACCCTTTGCTCTAAATATGCCACCAAATTTGCTCTTGCCATGGTCATCACTGTAAGATCTAACAATGAAGTTTTAGTCTTATCTAAGTTGACTATCATTTTTTTTCTGGGGTGTGTTATTGTTAACTTGTTAAGCCAGGAGCTACCTTTTCCAGAATTCTCATCTCTGTTCACTTCTAGGTTAGAATTCATCAAAAGGAGAAGATGATGGTCATTACCCTCAGGAAGTGGTTGCTCTGAGATGTGGGGATAAATTCATGCAGCTTGCTCTTGCTCTCCTCTACTTTGTGTCTAGCTGGTCTTCCTGGCTGCTGGCATTCCTGGCCAGGAAAGACTTCAATAAGGTGGGCAATAGCTTCTTGTAGATCTCTCTAGACGCTCCTCTTTCTTTGTCTCATTTTGCCTGCAGGGCCCACTTGAAGTTCATGGTCATGAATTAAAGAGAGAATCTATCTCCATAATAACAAAACTGAGTTGGAAGCATCTTTCACGAAATGCCCATCCATCACCCAGTTTTTCTCTGAGATATTGGGAAACAGTGCAGTGGAATGAGTGTGGGCCTTGGGAAAGCACTGCGCCAATTCTTATGATGATGTTTGAGGAAAAGCCACTATTTCTGTCCCAGATGTTTAAATGGTTGAACTACTGCAGATCTTGTGACCACTCAAGGGCTGTAAGCTGAAGTGGAGGGGTCTTCTGGGGTGGTGAGTGCACAGAAATGATAGTACCCACTGTGGATTAGTAACCAGCCTGAGAGATTCTCATCTGTGAGTGTGGAGAGTGTTTAGGGGTCCCCTTCTGGGAGCCCTAACACTCCTAGTACACTCCTGGGAATGTAAGCTGCTCTGGGGGGAATCACTGGATTGTTTTTGGTATCCCTATATGTCATACTGGACCAGTGAATTCTCAGAATCACCTTCAGACCTTTGGACTGCTTTATGTGAGAAGCTGGAGCAGGCTTCCAAGGTGGAGGGGCTGTGAGTGCCGCACCAGCTCCTGAGTCACTGCTGATGCTCCCTAGAACCTAAGTTTCAAAACACTAGAAATTCAGAGCTGGAAATGTGGATTCTAGTCCTAACTCACTCCTAAAACACCACAACTGCTATCTGCCTTCACCAATTTGAAGTAATGAGTTTTCCAAAAAGCACTTTTAAAGTATCCAGGAGAACAGTGCACCATCCATAAATTGAGGGAGCATGAATACAAAAGGCTTAAAATTCCATTAAGAATCCCCTGAGTCACTCATCTTCCTCCCTTCTTTTAGTCTTCTCCGTGCAACTTTGGCTCAGTAGGTTTTCTAAATTGTTCTGTTAATTTTAGCTGTTTCCAGATAGATAGCCATACTCTAGGTGAATCCTGAGGAAAATTGAGGATAAGAGCAAATAGCACAATGCTCTATCATGAGCCACTTAATCAGCTCTTTAAAGAAAAGATAAGCAGGGTACTTCTTCATTACGTGGGTGTTTCTGAATAATACAGAATGTGTGTGTGTGTGTGTGTGTGTGTGTATTTGTACAGTTGTTCCTCAGTATCTGTGGGCAGTTTATTTCAGAACTCCCTGCAGATACAAAAAAATCTCTGTGTGTTCAATTCCCTTATATAAAATAATACAGTATTTGCATATAACCTGCAAATATTCTTCTGTATACGTTAAATCATCTCTATATCTTATAACACCTACTACAATGTAAATGCTATATAAATAGATGTTATACTGTATTGTTTATGGGATAATGTCCAAAAAAGCCTGTACATATTCAGTACAGACAGAACCATCCTTTTAAATTAATATTTTCCATCTGCAGTTGTTTGAATCCACAGATGAGGAACTCATGGACACAGAGGGTCACTGTGTGCGTGTGTATACACACATCTATACATACATGCACACACGTGTTCATACATGTGTGTATATGCATGCACAGTGTATGTGTAATAGTGATTGATGATGAAAAATACGATTGTATTCTTTGTTTTACCTAGCTTTCCTGTATCTATATTTTTTCAGTCAAATGCAGTCAAAGGACACCTATATTTGACTATTCAGATAGAAATATGTCACACAATTCTTATGTTTTTTCTTCCCAATTTGACTCATCATCATTTCTAGTGCAACTGAAGAATAATTGTATACCGTTAAAGTGTAAATGTGACTAACTGTAGATAAGAAAGACTTATTAGATCTACCCCAGGGTGTACAATGTGAATAAATATTGCCTTATTTGTTCATTATCTGAGATATCAGCTTGCCCCTATTCAGGAGATTTTATCGTTTTAGATTAAGAAATCTGTTTTGTAACCTGTTATTAAGCCAAACATCTTCCACACATTATAATTACAAAGGGTCGTATTTTCCTGTCCTTCTCACCCCCACATGGTTCTGCCTTTGATGCAGTTTGAACAATAGAACTGCATTTTTCTCTTCCAAATAATTCAGAACGAGACTTCTACCATGCAAAATGGCATTCACTTCAAGCCAGAGAGAACTGGAAAGGTGAGCAGAATGCACAAAATTTGTCCTGGTGTGATTGTCCAAAGGAATGTTTAATTGGTCACTCTTCCTTCTCAGAAAACCACATGATTCTCCAGTGATGTGTAAAGTAGGTTCCTGAAGTCAGATATAAATTAGAGACCAACTATCCTGTTTTCTCTATCTTTGTATCCCCCACAACGTCTTAATGGTTTTGGGAGGAATGTATTAATAAATCAATGGTTGGATAAACCAACGGAGTCAAACTTTCAAAATCAGGTTTAGAGACAGAGAAAAAATAAGATGTGAAGAGAATAAATCTTTTATATTAGTAAGAGCAGAGCTTCTCTACCTCAACACTATTGATATTTGGGGCAGGAATACTTTTTGTTTGGGACGGGGAGGGGTAAGAGCAGGGGCTTGTTGCACTGTGCCTTGTAGCAATGTTTAGCAGTGGGGGACCCTGACTACTAGCCACCAGATGCCACTAGTGACAACAAAATATGCCTGCCTGAGACATTGCTCAAAGTCCCTGCCTGGGAATAACTGAGTCAGATAATCTATTTCCCCTTGACCATAGGAGCTGGGAAGAAATCAGAGTTCTTTTAACACATGTGAGGTAGGACATAAAACTTGTAGAGTCACACTGCAAAAAATAACATTTTGTTATTAAGAAATTTTAGTTCCAAGAGAACAGAATCCAGACTGTATGAAAGTATATCATTATCAAGTTCATTATGCTTCTTGTAACTATTCTTCTAATGAAAGTCTGCCAGGGCCTGGGGGACGGGGGAATGGGAAAGTGGTGGTCAAACGCTATAGTTTCAGTTATGCAAGATAAATAAGTTCTGAAGATCAACTATACAGCATAATACCTAAGCTAACTTTGCTGTATTGTATATTTAAAATCTGCCAAGATGGTAGATCTTATGTTAAATGTTCTTGCCATGCACATAAAACTATAATGATAATGAAGGGGATGAGAGGAAACTTTGGAAGGTGATGGACATGCACATGACCTGGACAGTAGTGATGGTTTCACAGGTGAATACCTATCCCCAAACTCCTCGAGTTGCATACTTTACAGATCTTAAATGTCAATTCCACCTTAAAAAAGTGGTTTTTTTTAAAAAAAGAAGGTAAGGATGTCTGCTCTTGACACTTCTAATCAACATTTATTAGGGGTTCTAGCCAGAACGATTAGGCAAGAACATTAGGTAAAAGACATTCAGAGTGTGAATGAAGAAATAATCCTAAACAAAAAATAAAAGTCAGATATATAAGATAAACCATAGTCAGTTTGGTATACACAGCCAGTGGATCATTAGTCAGGCATTTGTATAGGTAATTGGACCATTCTCACCCTTCTTAGTGGCAATATGATTGGAATAGAAGGTAGATTCAATGAGAGAAGAGGATGTCTCTGTCTTTTACATGAGTGTAAACCCAGTTGATACAACAGTGTCAGGCCTAAGGTAGGCAATCAACAAATATTAACCAGACACATAGGTAAATAAATGGATCAATGAATATGGCTTCTACTTCCCAAATTTACTGCCAAGTTTTCTCTTATGTGTTGACTGAGCCCAGATGTTGAAATCGAGTCTGTCCTGTATTTTTGAAGATTTTGTAAGGTACAATATGAACTTTTTGTAGGACTTTAGTTTTCCACTTATGTGTGAATTTTATAATATTCAAGTTCTTTCTGCAATTGATTGTTCATTCAATAATTACTTTAAGTAATCTTTTTATAACTGAAGAAGAAAAAGTCCGTGGGTAACCTACCAGCACTCCCTTCCCCATGGTATTTTAAGTCTGTCTAGATTAGATACCTGGATGCCAAAAATTATGAATGAATTTTTTTATTTTAAAAAGTCATAATGAAATTTACAAGTGACTATACTAAAAGAATTTAAATCCAAATGTGGTCAGATTTGAATTTCTGTGTTCTCTACAGCACTTTCTAGTTATAAATATACGTATTATAATCACTGTTCCTGATAAAGTACTAGGTTGTGGTATATGAAATTGTTTATGTGGATTGAAAATCATCAAGTGGTTCAACCTAACAGATACTGAAATCACATGTATAGGGAGAGGAGAAAGAAAAAAATTACCTTTGGTGTATAGATCAGATAGTGGCGAATATTAGTAGAGAAAGGAGATAAAGCCAAGATAACTTTTCCAGCATCATCTGTGAATTCTCCTCCAAGGACAATAATGACTGCATCTAAGAATGGCTGAGATGCCCGGATTTAAGATGCACATTGGAGAAACTCTGCTCCCACCTTTCTTATTCACTGCTTCTCTCCAGTGATACATGACTCATTGACTATTCACACTGTTCATGGACCACATAACAACTAGAAATATTGGGGAGAAAATTCACCATGTGACTCAATGAAATACTTCTTATTTTTTATACTACACCTAAAATGATGCTGCTTTGACATTTTTGTTTTGTTTTGTTTTCATCTGTGGGCTTTGATGAAACCATAGGCATTTGCCTGTCTCTAAACAAAATGCCTTACAAAAGAATATTGTTGTTTCTTGAAATAATGCTTTTAGAAGTGCAAGGAAGTAGTAAAATTAATTATTTAGGAACATATTAGGTATGAAAATTACTTTATATCGAAGTTGGTTTTTTAAAATATTTTTTGTAAGGCTCAGGGATTTATTTTCCATTTATAGTCTTACAAATGACCTAAACAGTATACTTATTTAAAGAACAACAGCCCAACAAATCAAACCAATAAAAAATACTGCCTACCACCAAGTATTTAAGAAGGGTCATTACAAATCGTTTTCTGCAAACACTAGGAACAAGTTTTTCTTTATTGGTAACAATGGATGAATCCAAGTAGTGAAATGTGTAAAAGTTCCAATAGGCATCTTAATGACTTCTCTTTAATTTTAAAATGTTACTGCTAATGACCGATTGATTATAATCTCAACATTCAGCTTCTCTCACGGTGCTATATTGAGTCCAGTGAACTTCAGTTGTACTCATCAATACCTCAATTCTTCATGGCTTCAAATCCTCTTCAAAGACAGCCGTATATACCATCTCAGATCTTGTAGTTATATGGCTCTATCTAGAAAACCATGATTACCCTGGAAAACTCAGTGGCACTGCTAGTGAGTCTGTGACTACTTGGACATTTTGTCTGCTATGCTACTTGGCATGGCTACTGCTAAGGTGGCATGACCTTCAGAATTTGCAGGCATTGTTATCTATGTGTTCCTACCCCATTTTGTCTTGTTGGGAGGTATTTTGAACAATATATTAGAGCAGTGGTTTTCCAAGTGTTGTCCTCACACCAGCAGCATTAGTACCACCTGGCAACTTGTTAGATATGCAAATTCTTGGGCACCACTACTGACTTATTGAATAAAAATCTGGGAGTGGCATCCCCAGATACTGAAATCTGAAGGTGGCACCCAGTAATCTGTATTTTAATAGGCTCTCCAGATGATTCTGATGCTCACTTAAGTTTGAGAATCACTATGCTGGAGAGATCTCCTGGGAAACAGCTTTTTTCCCCTCCTATGACCAAGAACTTAAATTTGTCATTGAGTCAGGATTTTCTTATTCTTTCCTCTTTTCTGTAAGTGAACTGCTTGATTTGAGCAGATGAACAGGAATACTGAAGCCTGTAGACTCCCACAGCTGTGATCAGCAAAATACCTTTGGTTTAATGAGCCTAAGTCTCACCCATATATAAGGAACATTTTGAAATCCTTAAGGACTTTAGGAGACAGGAAATCGTGTAGCCCCCACTGTGAAGAAGGACAGGCAAGACCTTGTGCAGCAATAACCTGTCCATGAGATTCTTCATTGTTCAGCTTCTGAAAGCATTTCAAATTGTGCTGAATACTGTGGTAAACAGGATAACTGTGGTGTGTTGCTCATGTAAATGAAGACTGGAAAATATAGATTTTTGTTTTTTATTACTTTTTAGCAAAAACACTTCGCTAAGCCATTTAGCTGTGGGGAAAAGGCCTTAGGGAATGGCCAGGAAAATGAAAGATTGGAGCAAAGAGAACTAAATTTTCTTTGCAGAGGAAAATCAAACCATTCAGAACAGTCCAGGAAGAGGAGATGAGGCCCAGTGTTTGGATGGCACAAAACCTACTTTGAAGGGCATAAGTGAGAGCCAAAAAGAGAGAAGTGGCCAGTGAAAAGTTCCTAGTGGCAGGACTGCCCAAAACGATGGTATATCTAATACACATTAAAGTGAAAGTCACCAGCATTCTATGCTGTGCTGTATTCCCCTTCGATATTCTCAAAGAGTGGTGGGCAGACTGTAGGGTGGGTACCAAATGACCCTACCTCTTGATGTTCATGCCCATAGATAGTTATTTCCCCTGGAGTGACCTGTGACTTGCTACTAGAATATTAGATAATATCAGGCTCATAATCATGTACATATAATTGGATAAATCCTGTCCATTTGGCCATATTCTATTAGTTAGAATATAAATAATATTCTATTTAGTTAAAATATGGCCAAATGGGAAGGATTTATCTAATTATGTGTACATGATTATGACCTTAAGATTATACTGCCTAGTTTGCTGGAGTCTTCTCTCTTCCTGGCTGGCTTTGGAAGAAGCAAGCTGCCTTGTTAGGAGCTGTCCATGTGACAAATAACTTTGAACAACTTCTAGGAGATGAGGGTGGCCTTGAACCAAAGCCAGCAAGAAACAGAAATGCAAGGCAGAAATTCTGCCAACCTGAATGAGCATGGAAGGGGATATTTCTTGTTTGAGGTGGGTGTCAAATTAGACTGCAGCTCTGCCCAACACCATGATTATATCCCTGTGAGACCTCTAAGCAGATGATCCAGTTCAGTCATGCCTGGACTCCTGACCCACCAATGTTTTGACATGTTAAGTGTGCATTGCTGTAAGCCACTACTGTTGTGGTAATTTGTTATGCAGCCACAGATAACTAATACATGAACCATCAGCGAACTATGGTAAAGTTGACCTAGACTTGGAAGAATAAAAAAATAGAGGCAAAACATTTTAACTTTAATCTGATCGAGTCTACAGATTTAACTATCACTTTCTAGAACATATAGGAAGGATAGAAACAGGTTTTTAAAATGCCACAGGAATGCAATCAGCAAAATCCAGACCATGGAGAACTTGAAAGGACCAAAACAAAACAAATGAAAGAGGTTATAGATTTTTAAAAATATTTAAGAGACATATCAACAAATTAAAATGTGTGAACCTTGTTTGCATTCTGATTTGAAGAAACACATCTAAAACTGCATGAGAAAATTGGGGACATTTAAACATTGAATGGATGTTTTAGGAGACTAAGGAATTATTGTTAATTTTGGTGAATGTGATAGTGGTATAATAGGTTTAAAAAATCTTTATCCAAGCGCTATCCAGGCCTGACCCTGCTTAGCTTCTGAGATCAGACTAGATGGGGCGCACTCAGGGTGGTAATTGTCCTCTACCTCACGTGAAATAAATATTTTATATGGTTTTACTAAAAATGAGACTCATGTATCTGGTCACCTAGTTTACAAATTTCAAGTTATATTTATTGAAACATGACATACTTACTATGCTCTGAGCTTATACCTCAATTGTATTTTGTGCTGTTTTCCAGTTTCATGACTTGTAAATAACCTGTATAGATTGTGGATCAAATTCTAAAGAAAAACTTTTCATGCCAATAAAAAAAGTATTTATCACTTAGAGATGTAAAATGAAATATTGTGAAAAAGAAATTTATGATTTTGTTCAAAATAAAATACTGAAGACAAGAATATAGGAGGTGGGGAGAAGGATGATATTGTTGAAAGCAGTTTGACCATTCTTTCCTTTAAGCTGGATGATGGATAAATGAGTGTTCATTGCACTACTCTTTTCATTTTTGCTTTTTTTTTTTTTTTTTTTGAGATGGAGTTTTGCTCTTGTTGCTCAGGCTGGATTGCAATGGTGCGATCTCGGCTCACTGCAACTTCTGCCTGCCAGGTTCAAGTGATTCTCCTGCCTCAGCCTCCCGAGTAGCTTGGATTACAGGCATGCACCACCACACCCAGCTAATTTTGTATTTTTAGTAGAGATGGGGTTTCTCCATGTTGGTCAGGCTGGTCTTGAACTCCTGACCTCAGGTGATCCACCCACCTCGGCCTCCCAAAATGCTGGGATTACAGGTGTGAGCCACCGTGCCCAGCCTTATTTTTCCATATCTTTGAAAGACTTTTCTAATAAAAAGTGGTTTTGGTTTTCTTTTTAATGGGGGAATCTAAGGCAGTACACAAAGGTCAGAGTGGACCTGAGAGAAGGGTGGGGCTGCAACACAGATAGGGGCCTGGCAGTGGGACGAGTGCTTCCCCTGAATGTACTCCACCAGCAGCTTCCACGAATGATATGCAAGAAGATCTCCTGGGTTATGCTACAATGACAATTTCCATTCATTTATAATCTCATTCATTTAAAGTTGTATTTGTGTATATATATTTCATATGTGATTTATAAATGAATTATTTTTACATTGTGGTCATATAGGCTCTGGGTTCCATTTGGTTGGTTGTTTATGATGGAGGCATGCATAGGAGAAAGGTGGCTCTTGAAGAGAATGTGGGGAGGCCTCCATCTGGGCTACACTACAGCAGTTCATTCTGGGATGCAGTTAATTCTGAAGGAGGACCCACTTGCCTTTGTAAGTCAACCACTACTCCAGAATCGAAACAGAACAGCATTTTCACCATGGCACCTGAGCTGGAGAACCTAAAACCTGCATGATGCTGTGCCTGTTCTGGAAACACTAGCATAAGTCAGAGGAAGGGTAGGAAAAAAACTCTGACATTGGCGTTTTAGAAGTCGATGTCATACACTGTTCCAGACTGGATATTTGAGAAAGGTAGCAAAGTGTATGCACTGTAGGGATAGCTTATTAGAGTGATGATTCTGAGGAAGTTTCCATGACAACCTTAGGTTAGGGAGATTTTTGAGTTAGCTTTCCAGGATTTCAGGATATGATATGTCTTTTCTAATTGGTGTCTTTCTTGGTAGGGGAAATGAAATCCGTGGCAGAGGTGTCTGAAGTAAGCATAAACCATGACCTGCTTTGTTTGCCAGAAGAGAATCCAGGACTGGGCTCATATTGAACAATCAGGCAATCATCCAACCATAGAGGCCAAATGCTACTACAATTCTATGTCTCCTGTAAGAGCCAAGCCAAGAGCTAGACGATATTAAGATGTTGGATAGTGACTAAAGAGATAAGAAACTGGAAGTGCTTTTGTCAGTGAAGCAAAGGGGGCTGAAGTTTTTAAGTCATTCACAGCCTGAACACATTAATGCTGTAGTGTCTTTGGCTGATAACCTAACAGTATTTCTCAGTGTTGTCCACTGAAACCGGCATGAAAGTCTACTTGCTGCTGCATACTTCCAGAGTCTAGTGGCTTTAAAAAAATGAATATTTTACTATAATATCCTGTGGACCTGGAGGCTAGTGGAACTCAGCTGGAGAGTTCTATCTTCTGGTTTCCCATGCAGCTACAGTCTGATTGTGGCTGGGAATGTAGTTGCTTGAAGGCTTCTTCACCTACATGTCTGGCCCCTGGGCTGGGATGGCTGGACCAGATTGGGCTGAATAATCACATCTCCAACAACGCCCTTCCATGTGGCCAGTGTGGGCATCCTTAACCATGGTGTCCTCAGGGTAGTTAGACTTCTCAGCGGTAGGTAACATCTTACAGGCTGAGAATTCCAAGAAAACCAGGTGGAAACTGCCCACTCAAACCCTAGTGTAACTTATTGTGTATTCTATTGATCAAAGCAGCCACAGGCCAGCCTGACCTGAAGAGGTGAAATAACAGACTTTGTTCCTTGACAGCAGAATGGCATTTCCATACAAGGAGGGAAGGAACTGATGACAGCTAGCTTGGAGGCAAACTACCCCATACCTGTATAATATTCACCTGCTGTCAGTATTCCTTGGCTAAGGTCAGAAACTCTACATTTTGAACAGGCACCCCTAGAAAATCATTTCAGTGAGTGTTTGGTAGTGATTGAATATCTTCTCTTAGATTTTTAACTGTGCATTTAAGGAAAGGAGGAGGAGATACCACTTACGTATTTGGATCCAAAAGGCAGTTGCAATAGGTAGTATAGATGAGCACTCTTGAAGAGAAAATGTAACCACTCTCTATTAAAACAATTGACTTCAGAGGTTATTTACACTAACATCAGATTGATTAGAGATCTTCAAGATGCTGCAAATTCTCTGTTAGTAAAGTTTGGAAAGTGTAAGGAAAGAAGAGAAGGTATTTTCAGAGAACAGCACAGAAGAGCAGGCTCTCACAGGGAGCCCCTTCTCAGGATGCAGGGTAGGGGGTGATGTCAGATGGAGAGCCCAACACTCATGGCTCTAAAAAGTGAAGACAGGCTTGTCACCTCTCACCTCTAGTCAGATTGCTTCCACAAGTGACCCACAAGAGGCCCTGAGTCCTGACAGGTTACCACAGCCAAGTATCTCCTACAGGTAAGGAATAGGAGGATAACCCACACATCTTCTCTAGGACTTAACAAGCTACAGTGTTAAGCGACAACACAGGAAAGGTCATGATAATTTAGAGACTGCCTTAAAGCCAACAGGAAACATGGAAACTCAAAGGGGCAACCAAGAATCAGGGATTTCGCAAAGCCATTCCACGCCTACCACTGAGTCCTTGGCTTCACGTTATACTGCCTTCCCTCCTCAAAGAGGAAGCATTATAACCATCTCACCTCTGATGATTGGAAGGATGGAATGTTGGCTAGGTTCACCATTTTTTTCTCCTTAATATCCTGATCCAAGGGCCTTGAAAGAGAAATCGGCCATTAATACAGCTGCACAAATAAGCAAATAAAATAAGTTAGCAAATAAAAATTAACTTCAGAGTTGTATGCAATAACAGTGTTCAACCAGGGCACAGAATGAAGCAGCAGTGAACAAACTCCTCTTAAAATGAAATAACAAAAGAACATGACTTATATATTCCATTATCTGGGCAGATCTTGATGGCCCAATCTGTATACTCTTGAAGATAAACTACCTTAAGCCATGAAAATTAGGATGTGAAATGAATTATAATGACCCATTTTGCTCCCCAAATGATAAAATATCCATAGAAATCAAACAGAGGAGACATCTCAGTTACTCTAAACATAGAGTCTGTCTATTACTTTCAGAGCTGTAGTATATTATGCCTTAGGACCATGGTAAATTCTGGCAGTTTTTCCTCTAATAAGTACTTCTGAAAAACAGTAATGGGAATATACAATGTATAAAAGCAGAAACATTGTTTTATCCTGCTATTATCATTAATATAGTGACCGAAATGTGGATAATTTGAAGTCAGCAAGAGATATAACAATCTTATCTCACAAGGTGACTTTCTATTGCTCCAAATTTAATGAATAGTCTGTTTCTTGCAAGAGGAATTCCTTGAGAATGGCATGTGGCTAGATAGTCATGTGAATTAATCAAGACCTGAACTTCCCTCTCTGGTCAAGAGGGGTCATTCTTTTTTAACCTTTACATTCATCCTTGTATTTTCCAAATGTTTTTCAATTCAATATTACTTAATCTTCAGGACAGCCCAGTAAGGTAAATCAATATTATTAAATTGAGGTACAGGAAGATTAAATGATCTGACCCAAATTCCATAGAAAACCATTGGCAAGGAGCCAGATTAAAGTGTAACAGGCTAATCTCATGGGCAATTTTTTCTCTCTGGACAGATTTTGGTATTTGTAACAGACTCATCAAGAATTTTGGAAGCTGATAATTACATTTTGAAGGTATCCCTGCCTTATAAAAGAAAAAATCAGTGGAAAAATTCATATAAGACTTTGTATGGAAGCCATCGCTCCCTCCAAGAAGGGAAAAAAACAGAAAGTGTCATGTTATAGCATATTAGAAGAGTAATGTAATGCAGTCAAAAACTAAAAGAAATGTTGGTATCCTTCTTCAGCGATTATCTGAAATTAGCCAGGAATGAATGAATAGTAAGCAACAGATGGGAGGAAAATGGCAGATAGGAAGCAGGACTAACTTGCAGCTCCCACTTGGACAAACAGAGCAGTGTGTGGAGACCCACATCATAAACCTTTGCTCCAAGAACCACCATAGGAACATACCAGGAAAGCCAAGAGAATCCGCAGACCCTTTAAAGGAGGTGGATTGCTGCCGCAGGCTCTGTGGGACAGCTAAGGAATTGTGAGTCAGCTTACTTTCTCAGCTGGGAGGCTTGTAGCCTGGGGCAAGTTCTGTGCCCTGCTCACTAGCTGCCTGGAAATAAACTCAGTGCTGTTAAAGGGGCACAGTGGGAGTGAGACCAGCCTTTCAGGCTGCCGGCTGCATTGGAGCTGAGTGAGGCCTATGGCTACCAGCTTTTCCCCGACTTCCCTGGTGACTTGTGTGATGCAGCCGTAATCCCCCTAGGAACATAACTCCATTGGCCTGGGAACCACATCCCCAACCCCCACAGCAACTGCAGCAAGCCCTGCCCAAGGAGAGTCTGAGCTGAGACAGGCTTAACTCTTCCCCCACCTGATGGTCCTTCTCTACCCACCTTGATAGCCAAAGACAAAGGATATAATCTCTTGGGAACTCTATGACCCCACCCACCACCTGACCCTAAGGGAAGCTTGTATCCTCCCTATACTACTGCAGCTGATACACTGTTGATAGTGTCACCTCCTGGATGGAGGCCGACCAACACACAACCAGTGCCATTAACAAAAAAACAACCAAGGACATTCACAGAGTCCACTTCACTCCCCTGCTAACTCCAGCGGAGCAGGTGCTGGTATCTATGGCTGAAAAACATGAAGACAGATCACATTACAGGACTCTTTGCAGACACTCCCCAGTACCAGCCCAGAGCTCAGTAGCTCCATTGAGTGGCTAGATCCAGAAGAGAAATAACAATCTCTGTAGTTTGCCTCTCAGGAAGCCCCATCCTTAAGGGAAGGGGAGAGCACCAAATCAAGGGAGCACCCTGTGGGACAAAGGAATCTGAACAGAAGCCCTTGAGTCCCAGATCTTCCCTCTGATCTAGTTTACCCAAATGAGAAGGAACCAGAAAAACAATTCTGATAATATGACAAAACAAGGTTCTTTAACACCCCCAAAAGATCACACTAGCTCAACAGCAATGGATCCAAATCAAGATGTAATCTCTTAATTGCCAGAAAAAGAATTCAGAAGGTTATTATTAAGCTAATCAAAAAGGAACCAGAGAAAGGTAAAGTTCAACTTAAAGAAATCCAAAATATGATACAGGATATCAATGGAAAAATCTCCAGTGAAATAGAAAACATAAATTTAAAAAATCACAACTTCTGGAGATGAAGGACACACTTACAGAAATGAAAAATGCACTGGAAATCCTCAGCAATAGAATCAAACAAGTAGAAGAAATAACTTCAGAGCTTGAAGACAAGGCATTCAAATTAACCCAATCCAACAAAGACAAAGAAGAATTTTAAAAAATGAGCAAAGCCTCCAAGAAGTTTGGGATTATGTTAAATAACCAAACCTAAGAATAACTGGTGTTCCCGAGGAAGAAGAGAAATCTAAAAGTTTGGAAAACATATTTGAGGGAATAATCAAGGAAAACTTCCCCAGTCTTTCTAGAGATCTAGACATCCAAATACAAGAAGCTCAAAGAACACCTAAGAAATTCATTGAAAAAAAGATCCTCACCTTGGCACATAGTTATTGGGTTATCTAAAGTCAAGATGAAGGAAAGACTCTTAATGGCTGTGAGGCAAAAGCATCAGGTAACTTATAAAGGAAAACCTATCAGATTAACAGCAGATTTGTCAGCAGAAACCCTACAAGCTAGAAAGAATTGGGACCCTATCTTTAGCCTCCTTAAACAAAACAATTATCAGCCAAGAATTTTGTATCCAGTGATGCTAAGATTCATAAATGAAGGATACCATCTTTTTAAAATAAATGCTGAGAGAATTCACCACTACCAAGCCAGCACTATGAGCACTGCTAAGAGGAGCTCTAAATCTTGAAACAAATTTTCAACACACACCAAAATAGAACCTCCTTAAAGCATAAATTTCACAGGACCTATAAAACCATAACACAATTCAAAAAAAACACAAGTATTCAGGCAGCAAATAGCACAATGAATATAATAGTACATCTCAATACTAACATTGAATGTAAATGGCCTAAATGCGCCACTTAAAAGATACGGAGTGTCAGAATGTGTAAGAATTTATTAACTACGTATATGCTGTCTTCAAGAGACTCACTTGACACATAAGGACTCACATAAACTTAAGGTAAAGGGGTGGAAAAAGATATTGCAAGCAAATAGACACCAAAAGTGAACAGGAGTAGACAAAACAAACTTTAAAGCAACAGCAGTTAAAAAGACAAAGAGGGAAATTATATAATGATAAAATGACTAGTCCAGCAGGAAAGTATCACAATCCTAAATACATATGCACCTAACACTGGAGCTCCCAAAGTTATAAAACAATTACCACTAGACCTAAGAAATTAGACAGACCACAATACAATAATAGTGGAGGACTTTGATACTCCACTGACAGCACTAGGCAGGTCATCAAGACAGAAAGTCAACAAAGAAGCAATGGACTTAAACTATATCTTACAACAAATGGACTTAACAGATATTTAGAGAACATTCTACCCAACAACTGCAGAATATACATTCTTTTCACCAGCACATGGAACATTCTGCAAGATAGAACATATAATAGGCCACAAAAGAATTCTCAACAAATTTAGGAAAATTGAAATTATATCAAATACTCTTTCAGACCATAGTGGAATAAAATTGGAAATCAACTCCAAAAGGCATCCGCAAAACTATGCAAATACATGGAAATTAAATAACTCGCTCCTGAATGATCATTGGATCAGCAATGAAATCAAGATGGAAATGTAAAAATTCTTTGAACTGACCAATAATGGTGACACAACTTATCAAAACCTCTGGGATACAGCAAAAGCAGTATTAAGAGAAAAGTTCACAGCATCAAATGCCTATTTAACTAAGTCTGAAAGGGCATGAATAGACAATCTAAGGTCACACGTCAAGGAACTAGAGAAACAAGAGCAAACCAAACCCAAATGTAACAGAAAAAACAAACAAACAGCAACAAAAAAAGATCAGAGCAGAACTGAATGAAATGGAAAACAAAATAAATTACAAAACATAAATGAAACAAAAAGCTGGTTATTTGAAAAGATAAATAAAATTTATAGTCATTAGCAAGATTAACCAAGAAAAGAAGAGAGAACATCTGAAGAAGCTCAATTAGAAATGAAGTGGGGGTTATTACAATTGATACCACAGAAATACAAAAGATCACTCAAGGCCACTATGAACATCTTTATATGAACACCTTTACTATGAACATCTTTACATAAACTAGAAAACCTAGAGGAGATGGATAAATTCCTGGAAATATACAGCCCTCCTAGATTAAAACAGACTGAAATAGAAACTCTGAACAGACCAATAACAAGCAGCAAGATGGAAATGGTAATTTTAAAGTTGCCAAAAACAACAACAAAAAAGCCCAGGACCAGATGGATTCACAGTTGAATTCTATAAGACATTCAAAGAAGAATTGGTACTAATCCTATTGACATTATTCCAAAAGATAGAGAAAAAGGGAATCCTCCTTAAATAATTCTATGAAGCCAGTATCACCATAATAGCAAAAACCAGGGAAGGACATATAAAAAAAAGAAAATTACAGACCAATATCCCTGATGAACACAGAGGCAAAAATCCTCAACAAAATACTAGCTAACTGAATCCAACAGCATATTAAAAATCTAGTCCACCATGATCAAGTGGGTTTCATACCAGAGATGCAGGGATGGTTTAACATACGCCAGTTAATAAGTGTGATACACCACATAAACAGAATTAAAAACAAAAATAGCATGATTATGTCAATAGATGCAGAAAAAGCATTTTACAAAATCCGGCATCCCTTTATGATTAAAACCCTCAGCAAAATCGTCATAGAAGGGACATACCTTAAGGCAATAAAAGCCATCTGTGACAAACCCATAGCCAACATTATACTGAATAAAAAAGTTGAAAGCATTCCTCTTGAGAACTGAAACAAGATAAGGATGCCCACTTTCACCACTTCTATTCAACATAGTACTGGAAGTCCTAGCTAGAGGAATCAGTTAAGAGAAAGAAATCAAGGGCATCCGAATTAATAAACAGGAAATCAAACTGTCACTGTTTGCTGATGATATGATTGTATACCTAGAAAATCCTAAAGACTCCTCCAAAAAGCTGCTAGAACTGATAAATGAATTCAGCAAAGTTTCAGAATACAAAATTAATGTACACAAATCAGTAGCTCTGCTATACCACCAACAGCGTCCAAGCTGAGAATCAAATCAAGAACTCAACTCCTTTTACAATAGCTGCAAAAAAATAAATAAATAAAACACTTAGGAATATACCTAACCAAGGAAGTGAAAGGCATCTACAAGGAAAACTGCTGAAAGAAATCATAGACAACACAAATAAATGTAAACACATCCCCTGCTCCTAGATGGGTACAATTAATATTGTGAAAATGACCATACTACCAAAAGCAGTCTACAAATTCAAGAAAATTCCCATCAAAATATCACATCATTCTCCACAGAACTAGAAAATATAATCCTAAAATTCATATGGAACTAAAAAAGAGCCCCCATAGCCAAAGCAAGACTATGCAAAAAGAACAAATCTGAAGGCAGCATATTACTCGACTTCCAACTGTACTATAAGGCCATAGTCACCAAAACAACACGGTTCTCATATAAAAATAGGCATACAGACAAATAGAACAGAATAGAGAACCCAGAAATAAACCCAAATACTTACAGCCAAGTAATCTTCAACAAAGCAAACAAAAACATAAAGTGGGGAAAGGACACCTATTCAACAAATGGTGATAGGATAATTGGCAAGTCACATGTAGAAGAATGAAACTAGATCCTCATCTCTCACCTTATACATAAGTCAACTCAAAATGGGTCAAAGACTTAAACCTAAAACCTGAAACTATAAAAATTCTAAAAGACAACATTGGAATAACCCTTCTAGACATGAGGTTAGGCAAAGACTTCATGACCAAAAACTCAAAAATAAATGTAACAAAAAGAGGCCAGGTGTGGTAGCTCACACCTGTAATCCCAGCACTTTGGGAGGCCGAGGCAGGCGGATCACGAGGTCAGGCGATTGAGACCATCCTGGCTAACATGTCGAAACCCTGTCTCTACTAAAAATACAAAAAATTAGCCAGGCGTGGTGGCGGGTACCTGTAGTCCCAGCTACTCAGGAGGCTGAGGCAGGAGAATGGCATGAACCCGGGAGGCAGAGCTTGCAGTGAGCCCATATCGCACCACTGCACTCCAGCCTGGGCGACAGAGCGAGACTCTGTCTCAAAAATAAAAAAAATGATTAATAGATGTGACTTAATTAAACTAAAAAGCTTCTGCACAGCAAAATAAATAATCAGCAAACAGACAACTCAGAGAGTGGGAGAAAATCTTCACAATTTATACATCTAACAAAGGACTAATATCCAGAATCTACAATGAACTCAAACAAATTAGCAAGTAAAAAACAAACAATCTCATCAAAAAGTGAGCTAAGGACATGAATAGACAATTCTCGAAAGAAGATACACAAAAAGCCAACAAACATGAAAACATTCTCAACATCACTAATGATCAGGTAAATGCAAATCAAAACCACAATGTGATACTGTCTTACTTCTTCAATAATGGCCATAATCAACAAATAAAAAAATAGATGTTGGCTTGAATGTGGTGAAAAGGGAACACTTTTACACTGTTGGTTGGAATATAAACTACTACAACCACTATGGAAAACAGTGTGGAGAGTCCTTACAGAATTAAAAGTAGATCTATCATTTGATCCAGCAATCCCATGACTTGGTATCTACCCAGAGGAAAAAAAGTCATTATATGAAAAAGATACTTACATTTGTCTGTTTATAGCAGCACAATTTGCAATTGCAAAAAGATGGGGCTGGGCACAGTGGCTCACCCTGTAATTTCAACACTTTGGGATGCCAAGATCGGTGGATCACCTGAGGTCAGGAGTTCAAGACCAGCCTGGCCAACATGGTGAAACCCTGTCTCTACTAAAAATACTAAAATTAGCTGGGTGTGGTGGCAGGAGCCTGTAATCCCAGCTACTTGGGAGGCTGAGGGAGTAGAATTGCTTGAATCCAGGAGGTGGAGGTTGCAGTGAGCCGAGATCATGCCATTGTATTCCAGCCTGGGCGACAGAGCAAGACTCTGTCTCAAAAAAAAAAAAAAAAAAAAAAAAAAGGACCAGCCCAAATGCCCATCAGTCAATGAGTGGATAAAGAAAATGTGAGATATATATATCTCACATATATATATCATGGAATACTACCTGGCCATAAATAGGAATGAAATAACGGTATTTGCAGTAACCTGGATAGAAAAGGAGATCATTATTCTAAATGAAGTAACTCAGGAATGGAAAACCAAACATCATATGTGGGAACTAAGCTATAAGGACTCCAGGGCACAAGAATGATACAGTGTACTTTGGGAACTTGGGGGAAAAGGTGGGAGGGGTTTAGGGAGAAAAGACTTCACATTTGGTACAGTGTACACTCTTCAGTGATGGGTGCACCAAAATCTCAGAAATCACCACTAAAGAACTTATTCATGTAACCAAATATCATCTGTTCCCCCAAAACTTATTGAAATACAAATATAAAAATTAATATAAATAAAAATTAATAAAAATAAACAAAAATAAAAAATAATAAATAAAAATTAATATAAAAATAGCACTATCTGAAATTCTTATAAAGATTTTCTCTACAGAAAGCATATTTTGTGTAAACCAAACTCAACTAAACATACTGTAATTCCTTACATCTTACCCAGTAATTTTTTTGGCAATATAAACTGTTTCTTAAAAATCTACCACTTAATTTTCAAAAATAAAAATAAAAGTAAAACAAGGGCAGTCAAGATGAGAAAATGCAAGTTGGAAGTATAAGGAAATGATGACAATTCCATTTAAAATATTCTGAGTTTGATGCCAGGTGTGGTGGCTCATGCCTATAATCCCAGTACTTGGGAAGCCAAAGAAAGAAAATTGCTTGCAGTCAAGACTTTAAGACTAGCATGGGCAACATAGCAAGACCTTGTCTCTACAAAAAATGAAAAAAAAATTGCTAGGCCTGGTGGCATGTGACTGCAGTCCCAGCTACCTCAGAGGCTGAGGTGGGAGGATCGCATGAGTCCAGGAGGTCAAGGCTGCAGTGAGCCATGATCACACCATTACACCCCAGCCTGGGGGACAGAGCAAGACCCTGTCTCTCTAAACACACACACACACACACACTCACACACACACACACACACGTAAAATCTAAGCAGGAATGTCTGGCACACAACAGAAGTGACACTGTAGCTTAGGAGAGTTACCCCTATGAATTTTTAACTAAGTGGTAGAAATACAAGAGAAGAGAAAAGAATATAAGATGTACACACAGACATGCTTACCATCAAAGTAAAAAATTGTAAGTACCATGTAAATGGGACAGACTAATTGTTCTAAGACAGCAAAGAAAATAATCACAAGCAATTGGGAAGACATTTTTGTGAAAACATTTCTGTAAGAGAGAGAAGAGAGGAGAATATTGGGGAATGTCT
This sequence comes from Homo sapiens, assembly GCF_000001405.40. Taxonomy (NCBI): domain Eukaryota; kingdom Metazoa; phylum Chordata; class Mammalia; order Primates; family Hominidae; genus Homo; species Homo sapiens. Next base: position 72,345,433 of record NC_000008.11, on the reverse strand, counting down.
CATTTAGCAGGCGAAAGGCACTGGAAAAAGGCAATCATTGATTGAAATAGGTAATCAATAATAGAGATATTAGAATAATGCACTTTGTGAAAATCAGAGGGAAAGAAAGTTTCAAGATTAAAGTACTCAAGAAAATACAATGCTACAGACAATTCAAGGAAGCTGGGGACTAAGAAAAGACCTCTGAATTTGGTTACCAAATGGACTCTCCAAGATAGTTTTCTAAATGCAGTTCTTGTCAATTGCTAAGGACAGAAGCCGGACTCTAAAGAGGTGTTAGAAGCTACAAGTGAAGGGACTGTATGAAGATGACTTCAGAAGGTTTGGGAGATGTCAAGGTGAAATCACACACCTTAGCCTCATCACCTAACAATTGTGCATGCCCTCCATAAAAGCCAAAAAATATGTGCTGTGCTTGCTGGACAGTGTTTCCTGTGCTGATTGTACTAAAAAGCTACTGTGATAGATTAAAGTCTATTGCATCTGTGAATAAAAAAAGAGTAAGCAACTAGGAAACTGACTACAATATGGTCAGAAAGATATGCTGTTATCACCTAAGCCCACTGAGATTTTAAGAAGAGGGGAGAACGGAATGTGTCATGAAGTGGTTTCTAAGGCTGTGTTAACTTCCTAGGACTGCTGGAACAAAGCAGTGTAAAGTGGCGGCTTAAAACAACAGAAATTTATGGTCTTACAGTTCTGGAGGCTGGAAGTATGAAATCAACGTGTCAGCAAGGTTAGTTTCTTCTGAGGCCTCTGAAAAGGAAAGTGTTCCATGTCTCTCTCCCCGCTTCTGGTGGTTGCCTACAACCCTTGGCATTTCTTAATTTGTAGATGCTTCACTCCAGTCTCTGCCTCCATCATCAAATGGCAGTCTCCCTCACTGTGTGTCAGCTTCTTGTAAGGAAACCAGTTATACCGGATTAGATCCACCCCAATGGCCTCGTCTCAACTTGATTACATCTGCAAAAATCCTATTTCCAAATAAGGTCACATTCACAGGTACCAGAGGTTAGGACTTCAACATCTTTTGGGAAGACACAACTCAGCACATAACAACAGTCAAGGGATTGGAGCAGAATCTCTGGGTAAATTTTTCATTGAAAGCTCACAATTTAAATTGGTCTCATAACTGTCAATTGTATATGTGGTACAATAATGAAAACAAAGTCATTGGTTATAGGTGGTTACTAACCTATTAGCTTAGTATATGGTCCAACTTCCTGCTGAGATTAATGATGATCAATGCAAATCAAGGATTCTTTGATGTGGGCACTTCTGTCTCCAGCAGACACCAATCTACGTCCATTCCTAGGTCATTGATGGAGTAGATAGTGTCTTATTGCAGGAAATAGCTCTTCTGTTTTATGTGGAGATTGTAAAGTTTCCTTTATTAATCTGAACTTCCCTTACTGGTCAGGAAGGGCCATTCTTGCTTATAAACCCTTGCACACATCCATTTTTTTCCTCAGCCCCACCCCATCACACACACACATAGTTCAGGAGCTGTCTTCTTTTTGCAAGACTATCACGGAGAAATCATTAACATTTGTATGAACAAAATATTATGAGAAGAACTTGTTTCCAAAAGGATGGAAAAGATTATTTGTGAATAAGCACTATATTTTTGAATAAATTATGCTGAACTGAAATGATTTCTTGTTCAATTATAAAGTTGCAGTTATGCCAGATGAATTAGATCTAGAGACCTGCTATATAGCATAGTGCTTATAGTTAACAACACTGTGCTATGCACTTAAACATCTGTGAAGAGATTTGATGTAATGGTAAGTATATTTACCACACACACACACACAAAAACAGAAGGATGCAAGGAGACTTTTGCGGGTCATGAATACCTATTGCCTTGGTGGTAATAATGTTTCCATAAGTATATGCATATGTCCAAACTCACCAAATTGTATACATTAAATATGTGCCATTTTGTATATATCAATTATACTCAATGGAACTGTTTTAAAATATTTTAAATATTGTGTACCAACAACAGCATTATTGACAATAACAATAAAATATCATAACCACATTATATTTTTTTGCTAGCCTGGGATATAAAGATGGCTCAGTGGCATAAAGTCTATCAGTTTAAACCACCATTTTGGAATATTAATAACAAAAAGCATATCATTATCTGATTAGATGAACAAAAAGCATTTGAAACAATTCAACCATCAACTATGAAGAAAACTTTAGAAAAAGGAGGCATCAAAAATTCCTTAAGCATATAGAGCCCAGCACAATATGCAATAAACATACTATGTTTATTATCCTTATTAAATACTCATTGAGGGTTTAATTTGTTTTAGGCATGATTGTAAATACTATATATATGAAGAGACTTTGAAAAGTTTGTGGAAAAAATGAAATTAAAAGATAAAAAGAAAAAAATAAACTTAATTTCTCATCATAAACTCCATCAAGGTGAAGCTACTTTTGTAAATAATGATATCAGCCATTTAGTCCATCTCTAAAGAACCGAGGATCCTAAGAATTTAACCATGTCAGTGCAATCTTTTAAATTATTAATTGAAGAAAAATGGATGCCCTTTAAAGATTACTTATTTATTTAAATTATTTTTTCAGGGAAATTCCTTGGAAATAATAAACATTTTTTTAAAATGAGGAAACAAAAGTCAGAAGGAGCCAAGTCAGGACTGTGAGGCAGGTGTCTACCATTTCTCATTGGAATTCTCACAAAATTACCAGTTTATTAAGAGGAATGAACAGGTGTACTGTCATGGTGGAGGACTCTGGTGAGGCTTTGCTGGGCATTTTTCTGCTAAAGCTTTAGCTAACTTTCTCTAAACACTCTAATAATAAGCAGATGTTATCATTATTTGGCTTCCAGAAAGTCAACCAGAAAAATGCCTTGAGTATTCCAAAAAGTGCAAAGGTTGCCATGACCTTTGCTCTTGACTGGTTCACTTGCGCTTTGACTGGATCAATTCCACCTCTCAGTAGCCATTGCTTTGATTGTGCTTTGTTTTCAGGGCTATACTGGTAAAGTTAAGTTTCATCTCCTGTTATAATCCTTCAAAAAATTCCCAAATTTTGATCCTATATGTTTAAAATTTCCATTGAAGGCTCTGCTCTTGTCTGATTTGCAATGGTTTTGGCACCTATTGAGTGGAAAGTTTACATAACTTTAATTTGTCTATCAGAATTTTGTAAGTGGAACCAGATGAGATGTCTATGGTGTTGACTATTGTTTGTTACTGCTGTTAATTGTTGGTCCTCTTCAATTAGGGCATCAACAAGATTATTTTTTTTTCTCACAAATTCAGTTGATGGTCTGCCACTGCAGGTTTTATCTTCAACATCATCCCATTCCTTATTGAATTGAGTTATCCATTTGTAAACTGCTAATGTCTTTGGGGCATTGTCCCCCCTAAACTTTTTGTAAAGAATCAGAGATTTCACCACATTCTTCTACCAACAAAATTCATCATGAATTTGATGTTTGTTCTTGTTTCAATTTTAGTGCATGTTGCTCTAAAGGGGCTATTTTAAAACTGATATCTTATCCTTCTTAGTGCCTAAATCTAGATCCTGTTTATACATGTTATAAATAGTATGAGTTTATTTTGATGCAATAAAAATTTCATATCCATTTTTAAATTCTGTTCAAGAAGGGCCATTCTTTCTTATATACCCTTTCACACATCCATTTTGCTCCTCAATCTCACCTCATCACATACACGCATAGTTCAGGATCCTGCTTCTTTATTTTCCTGCTCTTTTTTATAATACACATTTTCCATAAATGTTTTGAAGACTGCTCATATGTATATGTGCATATAAGCATATATGCTCATGCACATGAGTACATAAACATCTATGTCCACACGCACACATACATACATATATATACTTAATCCTTGCAATTTTTTCATATAAATATTATTATTTTTATTTTAAAGATGGAAAAACATACAGACACACAGTTAAGTAATCTGCCCCAAATCACACAACTTTTAGGTGAATGAATCTAAATTCAAACCTACTTGACCCCAAAGCTTGAATTTTTAACTACTATGCTGTATGGCCTCTCTAGTGATAGAACACTAGAAATATTCCCATTAAAATCTGGAAGAAGCCAAGGATGCCTGTTGTCACCCCTATTATTCAACATTGTCCATGAGCTCTGGACAATGTAATAAAGAAAATAAACAAAAAGTTATAAACATAAATAAAGAGATAAAATGACAATATGATTAGAAAATCTAAGAACATTTACAGATAAATATTAGAAAGATTCTAAAATTCAGCAAATTAAATTATCAACCTACAAATTTGTTAGTATACCCAGAAAAAAAGCTTTAGCAACCATAAAAGGTTATTAAATTAAAGATACTTCCACAATCACAAGAAAAACTCCAGGAACCCTTTGAATAATTCTAACCAAATGTAAGTAAACTTCTAAGAAAAAAAGCTTAGGAGTTTTGTTTTTAAAAAGAAGATGAAAGAAATCCTAAATAAATATTTATTGAAGAGAAGACTCACTAGTAAAGAAGAATCTGTACTTCTACCCAAAAGCCTAGCTACATATTTGTTACAATTTCAATTTAAGTCTCAATAAGATTTTCATTGAAATTGACCAGCCAGAGCTTTTACTCTTTATGTGCAATAATAAAAAATAATTTTTGAAGAAAAATAGTAAAGTACCAAGACCCAATATCAAGCCTTAAAATAACAGTATAATATGTAAGATCATATGTTATTGATAAAAGAGAGAATCGATAACCTTGAATCAGAATTATAAAAACTTGACATTACCAAAGATGCCATTTTAAATAAACGCAGAAAAGAGAGACTATTTAATAAACAGTACAAGGGCAATTAGCTTTCCACATAGAGTCAAAGTAAAATTAGAACCATAGTTTAGAGCAAAATAAATTCCAGGTAGATAGATCATAATATAAGACATAAAACTTTGTAACTTTTCTAAGAAAACAATTGAAAATTTAGTCTTTTACAGCATAATCAAGGATTTATTGAACCAGTTATAAGATCTCAAGCCCTAAAAAATAAAGTGTGATAAATTTGACTACAGCAAAACTAAAAATCTTCTACATGATAAAGACACCACAAAAAATATCTACAAACAATAAGACATGGACTTGGAGAAGTTATTAGCAAGATTTTGTCAGTTTTCAACTAACAACTACTATGTGTTAGTCTACGCAGGGGTAAACATTTCTACAAATTAATAAACACTAAAAGTCCAAGTCAAAAAATAGCAAAGGCATGAACAGGAAAGTCATAAGAGAGAAAGGAAAACCTCAGAAGTCAATAAGTTCATAAAGAGATAATTATTCACAGTAATAAATATGAATTAAAATGTAATAAGGGAATATGAATAAATTATTCTCAGGAACAAATGCAAATATAGTAAATGAAATTTCTATCCTCATATTGTCAAGTATCTGACAATACCAACTATTGGTAAGGATGTAGGGAAATGGAAATTCTCCTACGGTGCTGTTGAGAAGGTAAATTGTGTACAACAATGTTGGATAAAAATTTGATATTATTTAGTAAATATGAATTCGGGCATTTTATGTGACCTAGAAATTCCATATCTAGGTATTTATTCTATAATGATTTATATAAACTAGCGTAAAAAGATGTGTACAAGAATGTTTATTGTAGTGATGCTTGTGATAACAAACAATTGAAACCAATCTAAATGTATACCAATAAAAGAGTGGATAAATTAGATTGTGAAATATTCACATAAGGGTACTCCACAGAGCAGTTAAAAATGGACAAACTTTATCTAATCATATCAACCTAGCTATTCTTAAAACATAATGTTGAATTTTTTAAAAAGCAACTCACAGCATGATATATGTGATGTTTATACAATTTATACCAAACTTAAATGCATGTAAAACAGTACTATATATTGCTTTTATGGATGCATATATATGTAATAAAAAATGCTAACATTAAAAAATTATTTTTATAGCATTAGGAGATATACCTAATGCTAAATGACAAGTTAACGGGTGCAGCACACCAACATGGCACATGTATACATATGTAACAAACCTGCACGTTGTGCACATGCACCCTAAAACTTAAAGTATAATAATAATAAAATTAAAAAATAAAAAAAGCAAAAAGAAAATTATTTTTATACAAATCCCGTAACTAGCTTAGTAGTGTTCTGTTTTGGCAATCGATACCTGTAAGACAAATAGAATTTATGATGATAGAATTTTAAGCATTTTTGTCTTTTCAAAAGTAGGATATCAACCCCTGACTTAACATATAAGTTTATTTAAACAAACAAACAAACATTGGCTCCTTTTTTCAGTTATCTATAAAAATTCTGTGAATTTTCGAGGCAATTGCATGCTTCTGACTGCTGATGGAAGAGGTAACTTTTAAGATGGTATGGAAAAGGAGAGCACAAAGATTAAAATTTAAAGATATTAAGTTATAATAAACAAATGGGAATACATTGGAATGTATTTTATAGTTTGCATTTTAAGAAGGATACCACTTTCATTTCATATCTTTTCTTTTGCATTAGCTGTGCAATATTTGCCAAGTTCACATATTTTGTTTTTAAATAATTGAAATAATCTCTTGCCACCTGGGGACTGTCCTGCTGCTTAATTATTTTTTGATCATGTACTTGTTATCTTCAGATATCTAGACATATAAAAGTGAATAGAAAACAAAATTCTTTTATATGGGGTTTAAGGATACAGTGAGCTGTGATTGCACCACTGCACTCCCACCTGGGCAACAGAGTAAGACTCTGTCTCAAAATAAATAAATAAAAATAAAAATAAAATAAATAAAAATCTTGGTGGCTAACATACTATATATATATATATATATATATAAAATGAATTACAATAGAATAAAAAGTTATGTTACTATTGAGACAAGTAAGAGGATTGCTGACTTCAGATATATACTGTGCTCTATGCCTGGAAGTGTCAGGATTATACTGGAAAGGACTTGCACTACTAAAGCCTTTTTGGGGAGTTGAGGTGACAGGGTGGTGAGGCTAGGAACATGATTTACTACTCAGATGAAGAAATAGTAATGTCATTGTCCAGGCAAATCATTTCTTGGAACTTCTTTGGCTGGTCTCCTGCTGGAAGATTTAATTGATTTTTGAAATGAGCTTAGACATATGCAATTTACTTTAGGTCAAAGTCTTCATTAAAATGAAAAATTTTTGTTGACATCTCTTGAGTATTATGTAATTTTCTATGCAATAAGGAGTAGTGATGGTTATGGCCTCATTTAAAATACATTGTTATCCTTCCTAGAAAGTATACGAGATTTTTTTTAAAAAGAGTAAACAAGCAATTTGGGAAAGAACAAGACGTAACAGAATCAGGAAGGGTACTAATGGTGCTATTCTCACATTTTGACACAATCTCTCATTTAAGCATTTAACAAATTAGATACAACAGACAACTTGTTCTGGGGAATCAGCACTACATAGTGAAAATTTTACAAAACTACAGCTAGTACCCACAACCTTCTGCTTAATTTTTGGCCACCTCTATTATCACTGTCTTCCTCCTCATTGTTACAGTGATCATTATCATCTTCTTCACTATCATTAATTACCATCACCATCATCGTGATCAACAAATGTCACCTCCATACAGAGATATTCCCTAAACTAAACTCCTTGTCACCAGTGTTTATCTTCTCATATTTTTTGCATTTTACCCTGCCATAGGTTTCTTCATAATATATTTAAACAACAAAAATTATGTTCTTCCTTTAGTTGTTCCCCGCAGCTGCATGAGGAGGGGGATTTCATATGTCTGGGTTTCCAATGTGTCTTCAGTGCCCAAAAGAGTTCCTGGCATATCATTGGTACTCAATACATACTAGTAGAATGAATGAAGTATTGTTTATTAGCCATTCATACTGCCATGTTTGTTTATTTATTTTATACATTTTACACATATTGTTGAATTGTTAACTATGTGCCAGATACTCTTCAATGAACTGGGGATATAACAGGAACAAAAGAAGCAAAGCCTACCTTCACAGAACTCACATTCTAGTAGAGGAGAAGGAAAATCAGTGAGGTAAGAAAGTAAATTATGTAGTAATTAGATAATGATAAATCCCAAGGAGAAAAACACAACAGGAAGGAGAGGCTAAGAAATCTTGGTGGATAAAGTGACATCTGAGGAAAGATTGGAGGGACGTAGGAGAAAGAATCATGTGAATTTATTAGGGAAGAACGTTCTAAGCAGACATAATCTAAGATGCAAATGAGAGAGGCAGGGAGAATACCTTGAAAGGAGGCCAGGGTGGCAGAATAGACTAAGGTGGGAAGAGTAGCAGGAGATAAGGCAGAGATGCAATGGAAGCCTTGCACTCTGAGGGTGATGGGAAGCCACTGGAGGATTCTGAACAGACAAGTGACCGATAGTCTTTGTTAAAGATGTCTTTGTTAAAGTTGTTAAAGGCTGCTGTGTTGAGAATATGTGATGGAGCAAGGGCCATATAAAGGAAACCAGCTGGTTACCTTGGTGGGAATCCTACTGAAGTCCTCTAGCTTTGCTTGCCACCACCAGCTATGCCACAGCCTTTCCTATCTTCTATCCATTGCATAAAATTTATGTATTCACAAATACTATTTAGTTCCTGTTATGTATTTGACACTGTACTATATCTAAGAATATACTAGAAAATGAGAGGATTTCAAAATTTTATAAATTGGGTTAGTAACATTTATCATATGAATTATTTTGTAAAATATTTATAGGATTTAAAATTAAATGATAGCTCAGGGAGGAAAAAGTGCATAGATCAGGTATTACCTAAAAAACCAATTTTTTTTTCAATAAAACATTACATGGTATTCAAAGAACTAGGAAAGCATGACCTACACTCAAGATAAAGAAGCGAGCAATAGAAATTGCTTTTGAAAAAGTCAAGATGTTGAACTTACAAAGACTTCAAAGCAACTATTACAAAGTTTAAAGAACTTATGCAAACCATGTCTAAAGAATTAAAGGAGTATATGATGACAAGGTCTCATCAAACAGAAAATATCAGTGAAAATATAGAAATTATTAAAATAACCAAATGAAAGTTCTAAAGTTGAAAAGTACAATAAAATGAAAAAAGAATCAGTGAAACGGAAGATAGATCAATAGAGATCATACAATCTAAAGAAAAAAGAGAAAAATAAGAAAATGAATAGCGCTTCAGAGAAATGTGAAATACCTTTAAACACACCAATATACATATATTTAGAGTTGTAGAAGGAGATGAAAAAGAGGCAGAAAAAAAATTAGGAGAAATAATGTCTAAAAGGTCTCCAAATTTCTTGAAAAACATTAATCTACCTATCCAATAAAGTCCAAGTAGAACAAATGCAAAGAGAACTACAGTCATATGTATCATGGTAAAAAATGTTGAAAGAAGAAATCTTAAAGCAATAAGAGAAAAATAATTAAACAAACACAAGGGAACCTCAATAAGATTACAGATAATTTCATATGAGAAGTAATGGAGTCCAAAAGGCAATGTAATGGCATATTCAAAGTGTTCAAAGTGAAAAAAAAAATCAAACAAAAAAAATCCTCTCAACCAAGAATCTTATAGCCAGAAAAAGGGCTATTATTCAAAAATGAAGGCAAAATAAAAGCTTTCCAGATAAACAAAACCTGAGAGAATTTGTTGCTAGCAGATATCCCTTATGAGAAATACTAAAGTTCTCATACAGGTAATTAGGTATGTAATTACAAAAAACAGTTTAATTGCATATTTTTTCTCATTTCTTCTCTTAACTGATTTTAAAAGTAATTGCATAAACGCAAATATATATCTATGTATTTCTGTATGTGTATACATATATAGATTTTAGTTGTGTTGTTGGGCTTAGAAAATACAGAATTTTGTAATACATGTGACAAAAATAGCATAGTGGAGGCAGATAGACACAAAGCTGCATTAAAATAATGTAAGGATAACAAATGGTAAGTTCAATTATCAGGAAGAAATGAAGAGAACCAGAGAAGGTAAATTAAAAGGTTAAAGTAAAAAATCTATAAATACATACTTATTTTCCTTCTCTCTGCTTCTGTAAAAAGACATAAATTTGTAGAACAAAATTATAACAATGTGATACTAATTTCTAGAATACATAGATATATAGTAACACAAAAAATAAATAATAACACAAAAAGGGAGGGAAGGGATGAAGCCATATGGAGTAAAGTTCTTATATTTCACTTAATTTTTAGGTTTTGGTTAGCATAAACCTGAAATGGAATGTATTAATAGTATAGTCGAGATGTATACTGTAAGCACTAGAACAATCACTAAGAAAATATTTTGAAAAATATAATTAAATGTATTAAAGAAATAAAAAGGTTGCATTAGAACATATCTACATAAAACAAAAGAAGATAATAAATGGGGAACAGAGGAATAAAAGAAGCAATGGGACATTAAGCACAGAAAAAGCAAAATGGCAGATATAAATCCAGCCATATCACTACTAACATTAAAAGTGACTGCACTGGCCGGGCATGGTGGCTCACATCTGTAATCCCAACACTTTCTGAGGCCAAGGTGGGTGGATTGCTTGATCCCTGGAGTTTGAGAGCAGCCTGGGCAACATGGTGAAACCCCATCCCTACTAAAAGTCGAAAATGTAGCTGGCCTTGGTGGTACCCGCCTGTATTTCCAGCTATTTAAGAAGGTGAGGTGGGAGGATAGATTGAGCTTGGAAGGCAGAGGTTGCAGTGAGCCAAGAATATGCCACTGAATTACAGCCTGAGTGACAGATGGAGACATCATCTCAAAAAAAAAAAAAAAAAAAAAAAAAAAGGTTGGGGTGAATGGATTATACAAAAAATCAAAAGACAGATGATCAGGTTAGATTGTTAAAAACGTGATCCAACTATATGCTGTCTACAGGAGACAGAGTTTAGATTCAAAGATACAGATTGAACGTAAAAGAATAGAAAATGATATACCATGAACAACAACCATAAGAGAGCTGGAGTATATTAATATCAGACCAAAATGGCTTTAGTTTTAGTATTTTAGCAAACTAGATAAATATTTTTTAATGTGTTTTAACTCAAAGTAAAGAAACCCATAGTTAGTAGGATTCATGGATTGACTAGATCCATGAATGAAGATTCTAAAGGCATCTATTTTGATGTAAAAAGTCATCCATATTTTTTTATGTTCACATGGTCAAGGTTACCCACCTGGAAGTAGCCTACTGATTGTGGTAAGAGAATAGAAGTTGGCCTTTTATATGATCTTATGATACTTCTATTGTTTGTACCTCTATGACAGGGAATTATAATTGCCTATTTTATTCTCTGACTGATGCGTGAGCTTTTTGAGGGTAGTGACTATGTCTTGTTTAATATTTTATCTATAGACCAATTCCTGACACAATGATGTAGGGCTCAATTTTGTTTGCTCGTTGCATTAATGAATGAGCATTATATAGCCAATGAACATGTACATAACATAGCTAAGGAGTATTCCTAGGGGAGGAGGTGTGTGTGTGTGCATGTGCAAGTGCACATGTGTGTGATTTTGTGCCTGTTCTTGGCATTAATAGTTACATGTCATATTCAATGGTTCTAATAGGCCCAAATAGGTTATAATGTGAGAATTCAATTACATCAAATATTACTTACTAAGCAGGGTAGAATCAAGCTGTCAAAAGTGATTGGAAATTTTAAATGATCACTCCAGCCTTTAATTTCATATATGCACCATATTAAGTCATTCAAATTAATCAGTAAATGTGGCTTGTGATATAAGAATGACAGTAATGTCTATATGCATATATTCTTTGATTGTCAGTGATGGGTCAATTTATGAAAAACAGATAGTAAATTAAAATATACTTCACTACTTTCTAAATTCCAGTTTAATTAAGTTGAAAAATTCAAGTTTTATATGAACAACAACAAAAAAAGCCTACTGGAAAAGCCAATATTATGAAATTCCATTACTATCTTACCTTTTTGAGTCTGCAACAAATGATCCATTGTATTTTGGCAATGAGTAAATTCTCATTTGTCATAAATTAGCTATTCATCTTTTTTGTTCTCCAATATTAAAATTGAGTGGCATTGTTATTATACTCATTTCTTTCTTGGTTGAACTCATATGTACATTTTTCAGTCACAGTTTTTGTGAGATCCTCTGATTAATATTTATTTACTAAGGCTTTTGAAGTATGAAAATTTATAGGTCAATTCCATTAGAGAAATAATAGGGTCTTTGCCAACATTAGAACACAGTAAGTGATTGTAAATTACTCTTTTGAACAAATATAAAATTAGGAGAAATTGTCTATTACTGAAAAGGGGGTTGCATTGTTTTTAGACTCCCCTCCCAATGAGAAAAAAGGAAATATAAAATGTTGCTTTAAGTTTTTGTAGCATCTTAGAATAGACTTTAGACATTTACTTGATTTTACAACAATTTAGATTGGAATGACAACATTTGGACTAATAATTCTTTTTGGAGTAAATTGAACAATGAAATGGAAAAATTTATTTAGGATAAATAATACCATGTATTCCTTACATTGTTTTAATTACTTGTGTTGTTTCATTTAATTCACTGAAAGAGATATTATTGCTCTAATTTTTGAAGATGAAAAAAACTAAGGCTCAGAGAGGTTAAGTAATTTGTTTAAGGTCAGAACAATATTGTGCTGCCCAGTATTATGCCTGAGTTATACTACTGCAGACTTTGTAATTGCTTATTGTATGCTAGTTTCTGTCAGTAGTTTGATTCACTGCACAGTTGTTCAAATTGTGCAAGGTTGGAGAATCCTGAAGAAACTTTGAAATCAGTTAGACTTTGCCTAACTTAACAATAATTTTACATTTTAATTATACCATTATATTGACCAACTTTTTGGTTATTGTCACCTAAAATAAATATGTATGTGAGTGGGAATTTGTGGGATTTGGGGTAGAAAATCTCCGTGGGGCCATGGCTGCCCATCAGATAGTCTCACAAAGAATGGTACATTTGCTATAGTTAAGCTAGTCAAAGTCCTTTGGACCATTTATGAATCTAGAAATGCCATGTAGTATCTATATATGCCACACAAATTAGACTGGGAATTTTGAAAACTAGAAGCATTTTGTGAGTCTTTTAATAGCTAAATTCCTAACCTTTTACCTTAAGGGATTATCCTGTACTATCCAGCGATAATTCTGTGTTTCCCTAATTTGTGTGTTTCCTTGTTCTCAACTCTATTTGGAAACTTCCCCACTTGACCCAAAACTTTTTTCCATAGCAACTCCTACTCACTCTAGGCCTCCTACTCCTAGGAGAAAATAGAAACATTGGAAGATATGGCAAGCAGGGCATGGTGAGATGGACCCCAGTGACCACCACTGCCTGCTATGCATATTGTGGCTCATTCACTGACATTCACTCCACCCAGGTGTGGACTGACCTGAGGCCATCATTGCAGATCCATACCCTAGTGGAGGCCCCATACCTTGAGCAAGGTCTTGTGATTTGCTTCTCCCAATAGAATATGGCAAAGGTAATGGATGCCACTTCCACGAGTAGGTTACACACCACTCTGACCCTGCTGACCACTTGTGCATCTTGCTGGGAGGCTGCATTTCTTTCTGAGCCACCACACTTTGATAAATCAAACTGCCTGCAATAGGCAGAATTTCTAACCTGCCCTACCCCAAGATGTTGTACTCGAATCCCCAGAACCTACGGACCTGATAAGATATCACTCTCATTGTTATGTTATGTTACATGGCACAGTTGACCTTAAGATAGGAGACTATTTGGGTGTGCTTATTCTAATCACACAAGTCCTTCAAAACAAATAGTTTTCTTTGGCTGGTGGCAATAAGGGAAGTAAGAGATTTAAAGCATGAGGATTCAACACCCCATTGCTGGCTTTGTAGGTGGTGGTGACCACATGATGAAGAATGCAGGCAGCTTCTAGGAGCAAAGAGCAGGCCCTAACTGACAGCCAGCAAGGAAACAGAGATCTAGGGTCTACAGCCACAAGGGATCAGATGCTTCCAACAGCCTGAGTGAGCTTGGAAGTGGATTTTCTCCCAGATCTTACAGAAAAGAACCCATCATGACTGATACCTTGACTTCAGCTTTATGAGATTCACAGAACTTAGTCAAGCCCCTCTGGATTCCGTCAAGTTTCTAAAACTGGTAATTTGTTATCCGGTGATATAAAACTAATATGTCACCATATTAGAGGGGCCCATGTGGCAAGGAACTAATGGTAGACTCTTGCCAACAGCTGGCTAGGAACTGAGGCCCTTGGTCCAACAGTCCTGTGGAAACTAAATTCTGCCAAGGATCCCATGTCCCTGAAAGCAGCTCCTTCCTAGTCACGTGTTTGGATGAGACTCCACTTTTGATTGGCACCTTGATTGTTGCCTTCAGAGAAGCCCTAAAGCAGGGGACCCATGTGTGTTAAATTCGTGACCCACATGTACTGTGAAATAATGAATGTGTGCTGTGTTAAGCTGTTAGGTTTTGAGGGTAAGGGGGATCTTGTTATGAAGCAACAAATAATGAATACAGATGGAAATTCCCTCGATTCCTTTTCACTAAACTTACAACTGATCACTGTGAAAATGCAGTCTGCTACAGCCTGGCTTGCTCCTTCACCACCAAAGGTACCAATGAACTTCACACCAAATCCAATGGGCATTTGATATCTAATAAACGTTTGTAATTGCTGCCCATTCTTTCTTTGGCTTCCACCACACTCCAATTTCCTTGTTTTCTTCTTACTCACATCACTGTTAAGAAGACTCATGACCACCATCCTCCTGTGGGTTTTGGTCATCATGGGAAACATACTTTGTCCTTGCTTTTGGTAGGAAAGCAGCTTCCTCTGACTGTGTAGTAAGCTCTCCTTGCTCTGCCTTCAGAGTGGTTGGCAAGCCCTTCCCCATTAGACATTTTCAGGTAGGCATCAAATACCGGTCGCTACCTCCTCCAAATACTTACGGGCATATGCCAAGCTCTGTGAGTGGTGCTCTTGCAGCTTCCCTCTCTTGCAGTACACCCATCTCCACTCACCCATAGCAAAGGAAAGGAACACACACTCAGTGACAACCTTCAGCAAAGTAATCTACTGGTGCCTTTAACTTTCTTCTTTTTGGTGATATGGAGGAGAACGATCTATTAATGCTGGCAAAAACAGAATCACAGTCTCTTAGCATATCCTGCATGGCCAGACCGATTTCTCTGATTTTTCTTTTTCAGCCCCTGTGGCCTCTGCTAAAATTAAGCAACAGTGAAAAGCATCACTTAACATTCCTATTACAACTAATATTTAAAGGATGCATTCTTATTCTACAAGGATAAAGTAGATAATACAATTCATTCAAATTTTAGCTTTGGATAAGTTTATTAGCATTGTATCAGAGAACTCCAGCATGTAGTAGGTCTTGCAAATGTAACAGGAACATTGCATCAAATATACTTTTTAGTTCTGCACCCAAGAATCTGGAGCATACTATACCATGTAAAATATTTCTTTGTTTGCAACATACTAATGTCATGGCACTATGCACACAACCAGATAGTATGCCACCATCATCACTATTTAAACAAATTTGGAAGAAATTCACTACATATGAATATTGTGGCTGATTCCCTGACATTCATTCTACCCAGGTGACTGACCTGAGGCCATCATTGCAGATCCATCCCTCTTGCCAGTGAGGGGTTCAAGCATGGGCATATGACCAATGAGACATGAGAGGAAGTCTGCAGGGACCTTCAGGAAACATTTCCTTGGCTCAAAGAGAGACCTCAAGGAAAGGATGGTCTCTTCCCTTCTAGATACTGTGTCAGAATGAGAAAACTAGAACTGCTGCAGCTGTATTTCTACCAGCCTGAGAATGGAGCCTAAACTAAGAATGGATGAGAAGAGGTGAAATGATCCTGAATCCTTGATGACATCACCAAGTCAACCGAACTTGAAGGCTGCCTTGTCTCTGGACCTCTTGCTATGTGGAATAATGGATAGTTTAAGCCTGTTGGAATCCAGATTTTTATGATGTGCAGCAAAACCTATTCTCCTGATAACATACTAGGAGCACCAATAAAATTTAGATCTAAAAAGGGACTGATTATAGTTAAGCTTATGCAGACATACCTAGGAAGAAAATCAGAAGATTTAAGAAAAACTTAGAATAAACAGCAAGGCCTACTTTTACACTGGTTCTTGTGAAGGACTAATTTGGCACCAAAATCAAGATGTCACAGGAAGGGGAACATCACACACCGGGGCCTGTCGTGGGGTGGGGGGAGGGGGGAGGGATAGCATTAGGAGATATACCTAATGTAAATGACGAGTTAATGGGTGCAGCACACCAACATGGCACATGTATATATATGTAACAAACCTGCACGTTGTGCATATACCCTAGAACATAGAGTATAATTTAAAAAAAGCAGAATTAAAGTAAATAAATTGCACAGTCAAAAAAAAAATCAAGACAGAGAAGAAGCAGGCCAGAAACAAATAGTTGACAAATATAAACGGAGTCAAAAGTTGGAGGTGAAGTTTATGTTCGAGGTGAAGCTTACGTTCTTGCATCCCTAAAGCTATGACTTTGAGCCACTGCAAATTCCAAGTGAGGCAGAGATGTCAAAGCCTCTAGGCCAATACTGAGAAGTTTTTGAACCAAGAGAGGCCTGGAATGTTCTGCTGTCTTATATGAAGAACATAGGCGATTGTTCAACTTCTTGATTGGCAAGTAACTTACAAGATAAGAGAGGGTAACATGCAACATCCACCTGCTGGGTCCTGAAGGGAACAGGCACAGGCTGTAATCCCCTGGTCTACGGTAAGAGTGGGAAACCAGGAAGTCCTAAACATACACTGAGAACTACAGGACATTCCTTAAGATCATCATTAAGTCATTTTATATGACTGGTTTTATTTCAATAAATTCAATGAATGTTAAAGCAGATATGGTGTTTGTGCTAGAATTTATAATCTAAATACTAATTCATTTTTTATTGTTGCTATTGAAGTGTGGGTCTCACCTATGACAAAACATATCTACGGATACGATTAAACCACATTTTCAATTGTATGATCGTTGATGTGATGTTGGGTGTACATGGTCTTACATATTGTAGAAAGTTATGTCATTATTCTAATCCTTTCCTCTGCCAGTGCTAGAGGAAAAGTCTTCTATTAACTGCTTGTGTCAAGGACAGATTAAATTTTACAAATCTAGAAGTAGAGCTTTAAAGTCAGACTGACCATAGCTCAAATTCCAGCAATGACACTTTTCTATATTGTCTTTGAAAT
Organism: Homo sapiens; assembly: GCF_000001405.40. NCBI lineage: Eukaryota > Metazoa > Chordata > Mammalia > Primates > Hominidae > Homo > Homo sapiens. Next base: position 72,328,083 of record NC_000008.11, on the reverse strand, counting down.
GTTACTTAATCCCCCAAGTCTGTTTTCTTCTTAGAAAAATGGAGATAATATGTCTCCCTAAGAGAGACATATGTTCCTCATAAGACCTGAAGAGGAGAATGTGTGTAAATTGCTTATCAGTCAGCCATGCACATAACAGAGACCAAATAATGCCAGCTGTCATCCCATTTTTCCTAAAAAAGGACTTACATTGGAGACAGCAAAGTAATGGAGGAGATGAGAGAATTTTATCAGCCAATGAAAACATGTTTTTCTTTAGGGAGATTCACATTTAAAACTAAATACTTACATATCTATGAATTAATCTCCTTAAGCAAGGTTTACCACAATGGGGGTATAAGAAGTGAAAATGTTTTTGCTTGGATAAGAATTCTAGGTTACAGATATTAAAACATGGCACTATTTTTAGCTAGATTATACTTAACTATGTGAAAAAAAATGTCCGGACCTTATTTTTTAATTCTTAGAATAAAGAAAGAGACTCTGTTGAACGGCAATATTTGTTTAAATGCCTAGGAGACCCTCTTATTTTTAGCTCCTAGTAGCTCACAGTTCTAGCTGCGGGGGGATGACTGTAAGACTGTGCTCCAATGTTTACCAACAGAACTAAATCAACAAAATAAGTGTCTGACAGAAAATTGTGTTCACAGAAGTCAAGCCACTAAAATCTGGTGTGTGAGAGAGGAGACATGGCTTAGAGAAGAAGTAAAAACAATAGTAACCCTCCCTCCATTCAATCCTATGTAAACCCTTTTCAAGGAACATTAAAGTCGCAGATGTGGATGTGCAGGATCATAGGGTAGTGATCTCTGTTAAGGGCTCTTCAGCAGAAGGCTAGACTCAGGAGAAGAATGGAGAAGGATTAGAAGGAGAGGGACACTGGGGAGAAGAGTTTCAGCTAGGGCTCTTCTTCATGACCCTGTGGGATGAGGGGCACTCTTCTCATGCAGCTCTTTTTTTCTTTTATTATACTTTAAGTTCTAGGGTACATGTGCACAACGTGCAGGTTTGTTACATGTGTATACATGTGCCATGTTGGTGTGCTGCACCCATTGACTCATCATTTACATTAGGTGTATCTCCTAATGCTATCCCTCCCCACTCCCCGCACTCCACAACAGGCCCCGGTGTGTGATGTTCCCCTTCCTGTGTCCAAGTGTTCTCATTGTTCAATTCCCACCTATGAGTGAGAACATACAGTGTTTGGTTTTTTGTCCTTGCGATAGTTTGCTGAGAATGATGGTTTCCAACTTCATCCATGTCCCTACAAAGGACATGAACTCATCCTTTTTTATGGCTGCATAGTATTCCATGGTGTATATGTGCCACATTTTCTTAATCCAGTCTATCACTGATGGACATTTGGGTTGGTTCCAAGTCTTTGCTATTGTGAATAGTGCCACAATAAACATACATGTGCATGTGTCTTTATAGCAGCATGATTTATAATCCTTTGGGTATATACCCAGTAATGGGATGGCTGGGTCAAATGGTATTTCTAGTTCTAGATCCTTGAGGAATCGCCACACTATCTTCCACAACGGTTGAACTAGTCCCACCAACAGTGTAAAAGTGTTCCTATTTCTCCACAGCCTCTCCAGCACCTGTTGTTTCCTGACTTTTGAATGATCACCATTCTAACTGGTGTGAGATGGTATCTCATTGTGGTTTTGATTTGCATTTCTCTGATGGCCAGTGATGATGAGCATTTTTTCATGTGTCTGTTGGCTGCATAAATGTCTTCTTTTGAGAAGTGTCTGTTCATATCCTTCACCCACTTTTTGATGGGGTCGTTTGTCTTTTTCTTGTAAATTTGTTTGAGTTCTTTGTAGATTTTGGATATTAGCCCTTTGTCAGATGAGTAGATTGCAAAAATTTTCTCCCATTTTGTAGGTTGCCTGTTCACTTTGATGGTAGTTTCTTTTGCTGTGCAGAAGCTCTTTAGTTTAATTAGATCTAATTTGTCAATGTTGGCTTTTTTTGCCATTGCTTTTGGTGTTTTAGACAGGAAGTCTTTGCCTATGCCTATGTCCTGAATGGTATTGCCTAGGTTTTCTTCTAGGGTTTTTATGGTTTTATGTCTAACATTTAAGTCTTTAATCCATCTTGAATTAATTTTTGTATAAGAAGGAAGGGATTCAGTTTCAGTTTTCTACATATGGCTAGCCAGTTTTCCCAGCACCATTTATTAAATAGGGAATCATTTCCCTATTGCTTGTTTTTGTCAGGTTTGTCAAAGATCAGATGATTGTAGATGTGTGGTACTATTTCTGAGGGCTCTGTTCTGTTCCATTGGTCTATATCTCTGTTTTGGTACCAGTACCATGCTGTTTTGGTTACTGTAGCCTTGTAGGATAGTTTGAAGTCAGGTAGCGGGATGCCTCCAGCTTTGTTCTTTTGGCTTAGGATTGTCTTGGCAATGTGGGCTCTTTTTTGGTTCCATATGAACTTTAAAGTAGTTTTTTCCAATTCTGTGAAGAATGTCATTGGTAGCTTGATGGGGATGGCATTGAATCTATAAATTACCTTGGGCAATACCTTGAATCTATAAATTACCAATCACGATATTGATTCTTCTTATCCATGAGCATGGAATGTTCTTCCATTTGTTTGTGTCCTCTTTTATTTCGTCGAGCAGCGGTTTGTAGTTCTCCTTGAAGAGGTCCTTCACATCCCTTGTAAGTTGGATTCCTAGGTATTTTATTCTCTTTGAAGCAATTGTGAATGGGAGTTCATTCATGATTTGGCTCTGTGTTTGTCTGTTATTGGTGTATAAGAATGCTTGTTATTTTTGCACATTGATTTTGTATCCTGAGACTTTGCTGAAGTTGCTTATCAGCTTAAGGAGATTTTGGGCTGAGATGAGGGAGTTTTCTAGATATGCAATCATGTCATCTGCAAACAGGGACAATTTGACTTCCTCTTTTCCTAATTGAATACCCTTTATTTCTTTCTCCTGCCTCATTGCCCTGGCCAGAACTTCCAACACTATGTTGAATAGGAGTGGTGAGAGAGGGCATCCCTGTTTTGGGCCAGTTTTCAAAGGGAATGTTTCCAGTTTTTGCCCATTCAGTATGATATTGGCTGTGGGTTTGTCATAAATAGTTCTTATGATTTTGAGATATGTCCCATCAATACCGAATTTATGGAGAGTTTTTAGCATGAAGCGCTGTTGAATTTTGTCAAAGGCCTTTTCTGCATCTATTGAGATAATCATGTGGTTTTTGTCTTTGGTTCTGTTTATATGCTGGATTACATTTATTGATTTGTGTATGTTAAACCAGCCTTGCATCCCAGGGATGAAGCCCATTTGATCATGGTGGATAAGCTTTTTGATGTGCTGCTGGATTCAGTTTGCCAGCATTTCGTGGAGGATTTTTGCATCAATGTTCATCAGGAATATTGGTCTAAAATTCTCTTTTTTTTTTCTTGTGTCTCTGCCAGGCTTTGGTATCAGGATGATGTTGGCCTCATAAAATGAGTTAAGGAGGATTCCCTCTTTTCTGTCGATTGGAATAGTTTCAGAAGGAATGGTACCAGCTCCTCCTTGTACCTCTGGTAGAATTTGGCTGTGAATCTGTCTGGTCCTGGACTTTTTTTGGATGGTAAGCTATTAATTATTGTCTCAATTTCAGAGCCTGTTATTGGTCTATTCAGAGATTGAACTTCTTCCAGGTTTAGTTTTGGGAAGGTGTATATGTCCAAGAATGTATCCATTTCTTCTAGATTTCTAGTTTATTTGCATAGAGGTGTTTATAATATTCTCTGATGGTAGTTTGTATTTCTGTGGCATCGGTGGTGATATCCCCTTTATCATTTTTTATTGCATCTATTTCATTCTTCTCTCTTTTCTTCCTTACTAGTCTTGCTAGCAGTCTATCAATTTGGTTGATATTTTCAAAAAACCAGCTCCTGGATTCATTGATTTTTTTTGAAGGGTTTTTGGTGTCTCCATCTCCTTCAGTTCTGCTCTGATCTTAGTTATTTCTTGCCTTCTGCTAGCTTTTGAATGTGTTTGCTCTTGCTTCTCTACTTCTTTTAATTGTGATGTTAGGGTGTCAATTTTAGATCGTTCCTGCTTTCTCTTGTGGGCACTTAGTGCTATAAATTTCCCTCTACATACTGCTTTAAGTGTGTCCCAGAGATTCTGGTATGTTGTGTCTTTGTTCTCACTGGTTTCAAAGAACATCTTTATTTCTGCCTTCATTTCGTTAGGTACCCAGTAGTCATTCAGGAGCAGGTTATTCAGTTTCCATGTAGTTGAGTGGTTTTGAGTGAGTTTCTTAACCCTGAGTTCTAGTTTGATTGCACTGTGGTCTGAGAGACAGTTTGTTATAATTTCTGTTCTTCTACATTTGCTGAGGAGTGCTTTACTTCCAACTTTGTGGTCAATCTTGGAATAAGTGTAATGTGGTGCTGAGAAGAATGCATATTCTGTTGATTTGGGTTGGAGAGTTCTGTAGATGTCTATTAGGTCCGCTTGGTGCAGAACTGAGTTCAATTCCTGGATATCCTTGTTAACTTTCTGTGTCATTGATCTGTCTAATGTTGACAGTGGGGTGTTAAAGTCTCCCATTATTATTGCGTAGGAGTCTAAGTCTCTTCGTAGGTCTCTAAGGACTTGCTTTATGAATCTGGGTGCTCCTGTATTGGGTGCATATATATTTAGGACAGTTAGCTCTTCTTGTTGAATTGATCCCTTTACCATTATGTAATGGCCTTTTTTGTCTCTTGATCTTTAATGCCTTTTTTTGTTTTCCATTTGCTTGGTAGATCTTCCTCCATCCCTTTATTTTGAGCCTATGTGTGTCTCTGCACATAAGATGGGTCTCCTGAATACAGCACACTGATGGGTCTTGACTCTTTATCCAATTTGCCAGTCTGTGTCTTTTAATTGGAGCATTTAGCCCATTTATGCTTAAGGCTAATATTGTTATGTGTGAATCTGATCCTGTCATTATGATTTTAGCTGGTTATTTTGCTCGTTAGTTGATGCAGTTTCTTTCTAGCCTCGATGGTCTTTACACTTTGGCATGTTTTTGCAGTAGCTGGTACCGGTTATTCCTTTCCATGTTTAGTGCTTCCTTCAGGAGCTCTTGTAGGGCAGGCCTGGTCGTGACAAAATCTCTCAGCATTTGCTTATCTGTAAAGGATTTTATTTCTCCTTCACTTATGAAGCTTAGTTTGGCTGGATATGAAATTCTGGGTTGAAAATTATTTTCTTTAAGAACGTTGAATATTGGCCCCCACTGTCTTCTGGCTTGTAGTGTTTCTGCCAAGAGATCCACTGTTAGTCTGATGGGCTTCCCTTTGTTGGTAACCCGACCTTTCTCTCTGGCTGCCCTTAACATTTTTTCCTTCATTTCAACTTTAGTAAATGTGACAATTATGTGTCTTGGAGTTGCTCTTCTCGATGAGTATCTTTGTGGCGTTCTCTGTATTTCCTGAATTTGAATATTGGCTTACCTTGCTAGGTTGGGGAAGTTCTCCTGGATAAAATCCTGCAGAGCTTTTTCCAATTTGGTTCCATTCTCCCCGTCACTTTCAGGTACAACAATCAGATGTAGATTTGGTCTTTTCACATAGTCCCATACTTCTTGGAGGCTTTGTTCCTTTGTTTTTACTCTTTTTTCTCAAAACTTCTCCTTGCTTCATTTCATTCATTTGATCTTCAATCACTGATACCCTTTCTTCCAGTTGATCGAATTGGCTACTGAAGCTTGTGCATTTGTCACACAGTTCTCGTGCCATAGTTTTCAGCTCCATCAGGTCATTTAAGGACTTCTCTACATTCGTTATTCTAGTTAGCCATTCATCTAATCTTTTTTCAAGGTTTTTAACTTCTTTGTGATGGGTTCAAACTTCCTCCTTTAGCTTGGAGAAGTTTGATCGTCTGAAGCCTTCTTCTCTCATCAAAGTCATTCTCTATCCAGCTTTGTTCCATTGCTGGTGAGGAGCTGCGTTCTTTTAGAGGGGGAGAGGTGCTCTGATTTTTAGAATTTTCAGCTTTTCTGCTCTGTTTGTTCCCCATCTTTGCGGTTTTATCTACCTTTGTTCTTTGACGATGGTGATGTACAGATGGGGTTTTGGTGTGGATGTCTTTTCTGTTCGTTAGTTTTCCTTCTAACAGTCAGGACCCTCAGCTGCAGGTCTGTTGGAGTTTGCTGGAGGTCCCCTCCAGACCCTGTTTGCCTGAATATCAGCAGAGGAGGCTGCAGAACAGCGAATATTGCTGAACAGCAAATATTGCTGCCTGATCATTCCTCTGCAAGTTTTGTCTCAGAGGGGTACCCGGCCATGTAAGGTTTCAGTCTGCCCCTACTGGGGGTGCCTCCCATTTAGGCTACTCAGGGATCAGGGACCCACTTGAGGAGGCAATTTGTCCGTTCTCAGATCTCAAACTCTGTGCTGGGAGAACCGCTACTCTCTTCAAAGCTGTCAGATGGGGACATTTAAGTCTGCAGAGGTTTCTGCTGCCTTTTGTTCGGCTATGCCCTGCCCCCAGAGGTGGAGTCTACAGGGTCAGGCAGGCCTCCTTGACCTGCGGTGGGCTCCACCCAGATGGAGCTTCCTGGCTGCTTTGTTTACCTACTCGAGCCTGGGCAATGGCAGGTGCCCCTCCCCCAGTCTCGCTGCTGCCTTGCAGATTAATCTCAGACTGCTGTGCCAGGAATGAGCGAGGCTCCGTAGGCATGGGACCCTCCAAGCCAGGCTAGGAAAGGGAATTCCCTTTGTTTGGCCAGGTGAGGCAATGCCTCGCCCTCCTTCAGCTCATACTCGGTGCACTGCACCCACAGTCCTGCACCCACTGTCTGACAAGCCCCAGTGAGATGAACCCGGTACCTCAGTTGGAAATGCAGAAATCACCCGTCTTCTGCGTCACTCACGCTGGGAGCTGTAGACTGGAGCTGTTCCTATTCGGCCTTCTTGGAACCCCTCTCCCTCATGCATCTCTTGACCAAGATTTAGAGGGGTGTGGGGAGGAAGAAACACCCAGCCCAAACCTGTTCCATTTTCTAAATGTGTAAATAGTTCATGTCTTCCACACACTTAGAATCTCTTCACTGAATCTCATTTTTATTAGCCTGAATTTTAACAGGAGCTCCATGACTTCTAATTCAACTATTTTTCTTGTGAGTGCAATGGTACTGATGTTTTATGTTGCTGACTGATGAGGGACTCATCTATTTTGACTAGTAGGTGAACAGTTTGCAAAGCACCTCAATGGTACTTCTTTTTGAAGACTAAGACCTGTTCTTTATTGGAATTTCTTGCCCCTTTTATTCTTCTCTAACAGTGGTATGTATAGCTATCTATCTGTAAATATTTCTGAATCTCTGAAAATTATTTGTTTACAAGTTCTACCCCATCAAGGTGCCAATTCCCTGAGGGCAGGAACCTGGCATTATTTGAATTTAAAGTCTCTGCACCTAGCAAGTGACCGATAGATGTTAAGCCCTCAATTCTCCTGTTGAGTGGGTAAATAAATGCTGACATTCCTTTGCAACAATTGCAAAGATGGAAAGCCAGATATAACTGGAAGGGAATTTTACAAAATCTTATGATTCTCATAAGATTGAGTATATCTTTGGGTTGTTTCTGTTCAATAAATATCCATAGGTACCAGCCAATGTTATGGGTATGTAGGATAATAAGATAGTTAAGACAGTAGTCCCACTTTAAAGTAGTTCAAGACAAACTGTTACTTTTAAAATTTGATCTAGAGAAAAATGATGCCTTGACATGTCCATGTAGCTCATTTCTATGTCTGATGGCACTTAATCCACTTGGGATTATGATACCATTTACAATGATTTTCTTATTCTAATTTAAAAACTATAATCAATATTGTCAATAGATCATAAACAAAACCCAGTAACGTTTTAAAGAAAATGCTCACTTCTACATACTATACAGTTTCATGAACTTGCACACTTTCTCTCATGGGGTACACAACTAGATTATTGGGGTTTTGTAGTTATCTGTTCATATATTTGTTGTTTCACTTGTCCTCTAATTGAGATCGTCAACATAGTAAGGCAGTGTGCAAAACTCCTTTGATTTTTGAACCACTGTTGCCATCCAGTGGGAGAAGATGGTATTTTATTAAATAGAAGGAAGTCCATTCCCCTAAATAACTAACATTATAAGGGTAATTACATTTTTATAATCACAAACCAACCAAAATTAAATTTCTTATACTACTGAATTAAAACCAAAACTAATAAAACCTGAGTTCTCTAAAACAGTTATGACTCAAAAAAATTTTCATCACTATTACAGATACTGTAACTGACGTTTCATGCTCGGATTGCTGAGCACATAGTTGGATAATGTATTTCTTTTATGTTATCCTACATTTATTACAGTTAGTTATTCAAATACGGTTACTCTTTATGATTACTCTTCCTGTTTCCAGTGTTTCTTCCGTTTCTTAGGGTTCTCTGTGAAAGAAACATGTAGGTTCATTCTTGTCCTGCTGCTCCTTGGATGTCTCTTTAATATTTCATTAGCCTTTTTTCTTTCTTTTTTTTTTCAGAGTTCTAATTCAAAGTTCAACCATAGTTCTACTTCCTAAAATTTTAAATGAATAAATGCTTGAAAACAAAAACAATTCTCATATTTTTTTTCACTGTTTAAGTTTGAACTAGCTGATGTGCTACAGAAATCTGAGCTTGATTTTTTTAAATATTAAACAAATAAATGCTCATAAATTCATATAATTTCTACACATAGTCACCAACTACCCAGCACCGGCAGAATCAAGATTTATAAACAAGGAAAAGTAACCTTTACTTAATCAGTGTATTTCTAAAAGTGTGTTCTCCAACATAGTTAGAAATATACATCTGAGTTTTACAGAGAGTCTGCCCCAATTCCTTTTCAGAGAGAAAGTCTCAGAATCCCTTGTATAAATTCCTGAAAGTACTACCCAATTTAGATGGTTCTTTCCAGCAAGTCACATTATCACAGTCTCCTCCCCAAGCACTGACTCTTCTGTGGATAGGATGTGAGGGAGAACTTTAATGAGCAGACAAGAAGAAATAAAATTTACTAAACAGTGTGCAATTGTGATTTATTTTAGGGTGAGTTTATTTTTGCTACATTACCTAGCACAAAGTTCTTTTGATATTAATCATGATATACTTATTTTGAAAGGACAACTCTTAAAAAGAACTGACATTTTGGGAAACTTTTAAAAAGTCCGTTAAAACCTTTTTCTTACAATTTTCTTTATAATTTTAGAATTTTTTTATTATGTAACAACTGACCATTTCTTTGTGTATATTAAAATTGTTAGTGATGAAATTTCTGGGGCTTTCCTTGGGAGACTGTAGCTTGAAATTTAAAATGCTGAAGTGGGCATTTTTTTCTGGATTATTTAACGTCTGCTCATCTAAGTTGACCAGGTAATTTAAAAATATTCTGTCATAATTTCCAGTGTGACTTCACTAAAAAAAAATTAGTCATAATCGTGTTAGTATGTTTTGGATGGCTCTCTCTGTATGCGATTTTTTTTCTGTGATTTTCATAGATATTTAAAGGGAGGCAGTCAGGCAGGAGGAATTCCCTCTTATTAGAGGGAAGATCAGTCTTTTTGTTCCATCGAGGCTGTCAACTGATTGGATGAAGCCCACCCACATCAGGGAGGATCATCTGCTTTACTGAGTCTATTGATTTAAATATTAAACTCATCCAAATACATCCTCACAAAAGCACTCAGAAAACATTTGGTTAAATACCTGGGCATCCCATGGTCCAGTCAAGTTGACACATACAATTAATCATCACACTCTGTATTGCTTAAAACATATAATGCTGAAAGTGCATGTTAAATCTCCAAAATTGGCAGTGGTAAAAAATATGAAACATACATAATAGTGAAAACGTATGAACCAAAACATTGATTTAATCAATGTTTACTGTGACTATGTAAATGCCAAGCCCCACTGTTCTAGGCACACGATATAAGGTGGCAAACAAAGACAGTTTTCTAGGCCTGACAGAATTTACACTCAGTGAAAGACTGAGAGTAAAAGAATAAGCATATATTTACAGGACATGATTTCAGGGAGACACAAGTGCTGAGAGGAAAAGCAAAGTAGGCCCAATGGAGAGGGACTAGGTGGGTTGACAATCTGGACAGCCAGGATGTGAGGAGAGGAAAAGGCTGTCTTTATAGTTAATATTTTAGCAAAGACAGTAATGATGTGAAGGAGTGGGGCAGACAGAGATACAGGGAGGAGCATTCCAGGCAGAGGGAACAGTTCCTGAGATGGGAACAGATTAGTGCACTTGAGGACTAGCAAGAAGGCCAGGGTGGCTGCAGAACCACTTAGTAGTAGGGGTGCAGTTGGAGATTGCCAGAAGCCAGATCAGATAGGGAGCAATTAGCATTCATCAATTATCAATTAATAAGCATCTCTGCATCAATGTTTTCATTCTCAACTTCTTCCTTTATTTAATACATTAGAAGCACACTAAAAACCATAGAATAGAAAAAAAAGGAAAAATACCACAAAATTTGAAAATGTCTACAAACACTATGTTAATACACAACATGCCGCAAGGACACGAGTTTCCAGTTAAATAAGCAAATAATTATATTGAAGATAAACGTATCTCAGCATGAGAACATTTTACTTTTAGTTGAATATTTAAGTACTGAGTTAAATGTTTCATATTACTAGTTTCTGGATCATGGATTGCTTTGCATTGGTTCTTACTAGAAGTGTTAGCACTGTACTAGTTTCCAGATGTTAAAAAACTTTGATCATATGCATGGCCTTCTAGAGAAAAATGAAGGTAAATACTATAGTTTCATGTATTTCTGAAATATTTAGAGATAAAGAGGAACTTCTGCGGAATATTTAAGCTTGTTGTTTCCCAAAATGCATCTCCATGAAGCCTGAGAATCTGTCAGTCTTATTACGTTAGGAAAATGTAAACTACTTTAAGGATTTAAACTAGAAGAGATATAATATAGTGAATGACTTATAAAGTGATTAGGAAGGCTGAAGAACAAAAAGGAGAAGTAGGGGATGCTAGAGGGATTTTTTTAAAAAGGGAGAGAAATGAGAGTAAAAGGTCAGAAAGCAGCTAGTACCCCTAACTGGAACCTATGTGTTGCACTTGATTTTTGTGCTGTGGGTAGCTCTGCAGCTGCCAGCACTGGAAATGCTGAGAAGCTATTCTTTCTGACAACGTTGGAATCAAAGAGTGGTCACCAAGGTAGTAGAGTCACCAGAGAGGTGGTGCACTTCCTAGGCTGCTGGACTCACAGCAGCCCACCCCTTCTTGCACTGCCTTCATTGCCGGCAACTGTCACTACTGTCAGAGCAAGAACCACACAGGTTCTATTTTCTGGTCTCCTCCAATGCCTCCCATTGGCAGAACAAACAGGAAGCCAGCTGGCAAAGGCATCTGGGAAATGTAGTTTTCAATTCCCAAGCCCAGCAGCATTGATCAAAGAATAGAAATGTGTGGGAGCTAAGACCAAACAGAAAAATAACCAGCCCAGCCCAACCATTTGGCTAGTCAATATTCAAACACTGCCTTTACCCACATTTAAGCTTCCAGACAGCAATAACACCCTCTTTATGCTTCCACCTAGTATGATGCAATTAAGCCTTGTACAAGTGAAGATGGTCTTACCCCCTCTTAAAAACAAGCTGAGATACAAAGATCCACCAATCATGTTATTCATCTCTTGCTCAGGCACAATCTCATCTGATTATTCTGTACCCAAGAGTCCAAATTATTAAGTAAACCACCACAGGACTCATAATATAAAATTGTAATGAAAAGAAAGGAGATTAGCTAATATTTATATATGTGAATATAACAAGTGCATTATTTACCTATTCCTGTATAGCAAATTACCCCAAGATGTAGGAGCTTAAAATGAAAAAACATTATCTTTCACCAGTTTCTGAGAATCAAGAATCAAGAAGTGGCTTAATGATAGTTCTGGCTCAGGGCTTCTCATAAAATTGCAGTCAAGATGTTGGCCAAGGCTGCAGTCATCTTGACATAGTTTGGCTCTATGTCCCCACCCAAATTTCATGTTGAATTGTAATTCCCAGTGTTGAATGATGCGCCTGGTGGCAAGTGCTTGGATCATGTGGGCAGAATTCCCCCTTGCTGTTCTCATGATAGTGAATGAGTTCTCACAAGATCTCACAAGATTGTTTAAAAAGCTGTAGCACTTCCCTCTTCCCTCTCTGTCTCCTGCTCCACCATGGTAAAATGTGCTTGCTTCCCCTTCCCCTTCCATAATGATTGCAAATTTCCTGAAGGCTCCCAGGCATGCAGGAGTATGCATGGAATGTACAGCCTGCAGAATTGTGAGTCAGCTCGAGCTCTTTTCTTCAAAAATTACGCAGTCTTAGGTAATTCTTTATAGCAGTGTGAGAATGGACTAATCCACATCTGAAGGCTGGACAGGAGCTGAAGGATTCATTTCTAAGGTCATGCACATGGTTGTTGTCTGGAGTGTTTAGATCCTTGCCATGTAGGCTCTTCCTTGGGACTCTTCATGACCTGGTAGCTGGCTTCTGCCAGAGCAAGAGGTGAGAGAGAGGGAGAAAGAGAGAGAAAAAAAATGAGAAAAGAGAAGGGGAGGGAGAGAGAGAGAGAGAGAATGGAAATACCAGGAGTCAGGAATCACTGGGACTTTCTTGGAAGCTGGCTACCAAGACAAACAAGAAATAAAATATACATGGCTGCTATAATTGTTTCCGTAACATGTCATAAGGCTGAAGTTGATATCTATAACTTCCTGTCCCACTACCCTTTCTCTGTTCTCTTTTCACTCAGTCAGCACTTTAGCTAGCTAGGACATTTTACCACAATACTCCAAACTTTTATTCTTGGAGGATCAAATTCCCCAGTCAGTTGGCCTCAATTAAACTGTTATTATTTTCTATAAATTTTACTAATTGACATAGCAATATCAGGAGGCGTCTCACAAAATCCTCTGGGCTCCAGACATAGTCCTCCCTTTCCACCTCTGTGTGTTGCAGCAACCAAATTTCCTCTTGCTAATCAGAACCAATAATAATTGCCTGCACTGGAACCTCCTTCTTTGTCTATTTGCTCTATAGCATGACAAGACCAAAATGACCAAATGGCAGTCCCAGTTTCCAACTGGAAACAATTGTTGTGTTCTCTGAGAACATACAACAGTCCAAAGACATGAAGATGAGAAATGAAAATTTTGTGAATGATTTTTAGGTATAATAGTTAGACAAGCCCTTTCAATTATCATGCTTTGATTCCTGGACTCATATATTCTGGCTATAGGAGAAAGATAATCAAATAGTGGCAGTGATTTTTGCATACAGCATGTCCTTTTGGATGGCACATATACTTTGCAGAGAATTAGCTCCATAACTGGGTTTTCACTAAGCCAATTCTATCAAGTACACTGAAAGACCAATGAATTCTTTGACCATGGTATTATTGTCACCCTTATCTTTTTGTAAAATGAGCTTCTTTGTTAGAAGCAATGCTATAATGGAAACAGGATGGTAAACATGACACTACATATAATGAATCTAGGGAAATATAGTGGGCAGAAAGACAAACCCATAACCAGAAAAGGTATCTATTTCAGTAAGGACATGTCATTGTTCCTTGTAGGGTAGAAGGGTCTATTGCAACCAGCCTGCCTCCAGGTGGCAGGTGTCATATCAGAGGTTTAGCATTAGTTCCTTCTACTGGTCAGTTGGGCAGTCAACAATGGTGGTGTTCAGCTTCCAGAGCTAGAGCAAGGAAGGTATAAGATGGGATTTCTTATTATACCTGAAATTAACAAAGTTCTCGAAGAATAATGGGGGAATGTCAGAAGGATGTAGGAGCCAAGTTGAAGGGGCTCTCACTGGCCAAATCTGGGGAAAAGTGAGTTTCAAAATGAATAATGATAGTAAAGAGTAATAATCCATTTCTAGATAAGCTCTAAGATGGCCCACAATGATCCTCACCTCCTAAGGCTCACGCCCTTGTGCAGTTCCCTCCCACATTGAATGGGGGCTGTGTTAGCAATGGAATGCTGTGGAGGCAGCAGAGCATGACTTCCAGGGCTAGGTCATAAGACAATGCAGTTCTCACCTTAGTTTATTGAATGGCTCACTCTGGGGGAACCCAGAGTCCATGCTGTAGGACACTCAGACAGCCCTGGGAAGAGGTCTCCCACCAGCACCAAACACCAAATTGCCCACTTTGTGAGTGGCCACCCTGGAGGATAACCTTTCCTCCCAGTCAGACTTTCAGAAGACAAGCTAGCTCTGGACTGCAACCTCATTGGAGTCCTGCGCCAGGTCCAGCCAGACAAATCACTGAATTTGTGGCCCACAGAATGGGTGCGAGACAATAAATGATTACTGTTGTTTTAAATCACTAAGTTTTAGAATGATTGGCTATGCAGTATTGGACAACAAATCTATCCTAGAATAAAATAAGACTCCATGAGTTTCCCCCACATGATGTAAATAAATAAATGGGAGGAGCAGGGAAGAAAAGGGCTTACAATAGATTGCCAAGTAATACATGTAAAAGGATAATGGAGTTAGAAAATCACCATTTTTCAACCATCAGAGTGATAATTGGATTGGTAAAATAGTTGTCAGCAGCTGCTAAAATTAGAGGGTGGGAATCTGATGAGAAGCAGGATATTACATAGTCTCAAAGTATCTGCCACAAGAGGTTTATTAATGAGGAAGGGGAAAATAGTGACTTCACCTAGGAACAACATGGCAGACACCACCTTAACTGAATAAAGTTAACCTCCTCTGTAATGGGACTGTCACAGTTCATAATACTCCTTTCAAAAATGCATAATCTAAATTGAATGAGGAGGAAACACCAGACTAAGCCTAAGCTGAGAGGCATTCTATAAAATTATGAAGTCATAAGATTGGAATTCTTTCAGATTAAACTAGCCTAAAGAAACGTGGTGACTGCATGCAACACATGAGTTTCTGTGCTTATGTGCCACTTTGTTTGTGGGTATAACAGCTTCAAAGAATTAACCAAACTGTCTTGTTTGCAAATGAGCAGAAAATATAACATGGGGTTGGTAACTCTGGGAACTCTCTGGGTGAAGAACTTGTTAACACTCTAACTTGTTTGCATTATATAGACGTTCCTTATGGGCAATATTTATGTAAACCAGATTATATTTATTGTAAGCAGATTAATCTCCAGGCTATTTGTTTATCCTATCCCTTTTATTCGCCCTGATACATGAAAGGATATAGCTTTGGTTTAGTTTTATCCCACCTTCCTCTACCTTGTAACTTTCCTACCATAATGTATAAACAGGTATTAGTTTTTGAAGATTTTGTCATTGGATGTACATAAGTGAAATCTTTAGCTTCTGCCCAGGAGGATTAAAAACATGAACTGGCCTTTTCTGAAACAGATTTTTATCAATATGGCTAAGTTTCTTGCTGAACATTATGAAGGAATTCATTGCATATGTGAGTATATTTAGGTGAAGCATTAAAAAAACCTTATAATTCATGAATCTTTCTAAAAGGCATGAGTGTCCTAACTAGAATGCTAAATGCGTTGGTGGGTGATGGTACCTAGCTTTGAGGTAACATGGGACAGATGAATTGCTTTGCAATACAACTGGCTAAGAATTGTGAGGAGGGAAAACAAAGCAGGTAAGTTAGGTTGGACAAATGGGGGTGGGCTAAGATGTAGAATATGTGCATAGGAAGTGAAGACTTGGGGAAGGAACAAGTCTAAAAGTCATTTTAAGGGGAGCATGGTCTGCAGCATAACCTTATGAATCTCATTAAAATGTTTGGTGTGCTTGGAGTTATGATGTAAACTGATAGAAAGGCAAGTTCTGTGTGTCTATTGACATGGCTGATTTTCTCAGCTCTGACAGAGGAGGACACTGCAGAAGACTGAGCTACATAAGCAAATAAACAGCTGCTAACTTAGGAAATGAGTCCCTTGGAAATGTCTTCTTTCCTGGGCCTTAGTTTGGTGGATGTTTAAAGATGATCAATAGTGATTTCCTGCCTCTTTTGGTACTAAGCCATTTTTTCAATGAGACAATTAATAAATTTGGTGGATTTCTTAGGTCAGTTCACAGGCAAACAAACTCATAAGAGGATGGGTAACAGTCTGTTCACTGGCTTTTTCTAAATAGATATGGTGAGTCATCTCTTCCCCTTGGGTTACCATCTGCTATGGTTTAGAAATCAGTTCCAATTTAAATAATCTACTTTCCACCTCTTTTTCTTCCTTCCTTTGATACTCTTGCACATGAGAAGTATTGACCTAGGACTCTTACATTCATTTCTTTTTCTGCATAATAAACCATATTTTCTGAAAGTCTCACTCTCTTATAAACTAGGTAACCTAGTAAGATGTACTACCATTTTGAGATTTGAAAGGGTAAACAATAAAAATGCTAAATGTTCTGCAAGACTGAAGATTTTGAGTTAAAGAAAATGTATCATAGAGCTTCAGATAATGAATAGCTATGTTATAGCATGCAGAGGTTGTCATACAAAATCAGCAGCAATCTAAACAACTTCAGCAAAGTCTCAGGATACAAAATCAATGTGCAAAAATCACAAACATTCCTATACACCAACAATAGACAGAGAGCCAAATCATGAATGAACTACCATTCACAATTGCTAAAAAGAGAATAAAATACCTAGAAATACAGCTAACAAGAGATGTGAAGGACTTCTTCGAGAAAACTACAAACCACTTCTCAAGGAAATAAAAGAGGACACAAACAAATGGAAAAACATTCCATGCTTGTGGATAGGAAGAATCAATATTGTGAAAATGGCCATACTGCCCAAAGAAATTTATAAATTCAATGCTATTCCCATTCTTCACAGAATTAGGAAAAACTACTTTTAAATTCATATGGAACCAAAAAAGAGCCTGAATAGTCAAGACAATCCTAAGCAAAAGAACTAAGCTGGAGGGATCAAGCTGCCTGACTTAAAACTATACTACATGGCCACAGTAACCAAAACAGCATGGTACTGGTACCAAAACAGACACATAGACCAGTGGAACAGAATAGAGATATCAGAAATAAGACCACACATTTACAACTGTCTGATCTTTGACAAACCTGACAAAAACAAGCAATGGGGAAAGGATTCCATATTTAATCAATGGTGCTGGGATAACTGGCTAGTCATATGCAGAAAATTAAAACCAGATGCCTTCCTTACACCTTATACAAAAATTAACTCAAGATGGATTAAAGACTTAAATATAAAACCCCAAACTATAAAAACCCTAGAATAAAATCTAGACAATACCATTCAGGAGATAGACACAAGCAAAGATTGCAACAACAGCAAAAATTGACAAATGGGAACTAATTAAACTAAAATGGATCTACACTGCAAAAGAATTTATCATCAGAGTGAACAGACAACATACAGAATGGGAGAAAATTTTTGCAATCTATCTATCTGACAAAGGTCTAATATCCAGAATTTACAAGGAACTTAAACAAATTTACAATTAAAAAAAAATCAAAAAGTGGGCAAAGGACATGAACAGACACTTCTCAAAAGAAGACATTCATGCAGCCAACAAACATGAAAAAAAGCTCAACATCACTGATCAGTAGAGAAATGCAAATCAAAACCACAGTGAGATACAATCT
Organism: Homo sapiens; assembly: GCF_000001405.40. Lineage (NCBI taxonomy): Eukaryota > Metazoa > Chordata > Mammalia > Primates > Hominidae > Homo > Homo sapiens. The sequence goes on along the minus strand of NC_000008.11, from coordinate 72,310,418 downwards.
CATGCCAGTCAGAATGGCAATGATTAAAAAGTCAAGAAACAACAGATGCTGATGAGGCTATGGAGAAATAGGAACACTTTTATACTGTTTGTGGAAATGCAAATTAGTTCAACAATTGTGGAAGACAGTGTGGCAATTCCTCAAGAGTCTAGAACTAGAAATACCATTTGACCCAGCAATTCCATTACTGGGTATATACCCAGAGGAATATAAATCATTCTATTATAAAGATACATGCACATATATGTTCATTGTAGCACTATTTAAAATAGCAAAGACATGGAATCAACCCAGATGTCCATCAATGGTAGGCTGGGTAAATAAAATGTGGCACATACACACCATGGAATACTATGCAGCCATAAAAAGGAATGAGAGCATGTTTTTGCAGGGACATAGATGGACCTGGAAGCAATTATCCTCAGCAAACTAACAAAGGAAAAGAAAACCAAACTGCTGTTCTCACTTATAAGTGGGAGCTGAACAATGAGAACACATGGACACAGGAAGGAGAACAACACACACTGGGGCCTGTCAGGGGAATGGGGGTGGGGTAGCATCAGGATAAATAGAAAATTCATGTGGGGCTTCATACTTAGGTGATGGGCTGATAGGTGCAGGAATCCACCATGGCACATGTTTACCTTTGCAACAAACCTGCACATCCTGCACATGTATCCTGGAACTTAATATAAAATAAAATAAAATTAAATTAAGAATAAACAACAAAAACAAAATCAACAGTAATCTATATCAGGCCTAGAAATGACAGATGTCTCCCTCATAGAGACCCACCAGTTTCATAGCTAAAGTTATAGGCAATGCTAAGTATCAAAATCATTTTTATAGCATTCTGTTTATTTAACTATGTAGCAGATAATTGAATATTTTTACCATAAATAAATATGGTCATTCTGAGAAGATAAACTTGTTGACAACTAATATACAGAGAGTCCAATGATGGCAACACATTTATGGAGAATTCCTCAATGGTTTAAAGAGTTTCTACTGATCTTATTGGTAGTTAATGGTTTGCCATATTGTCATCTTGGAGAAGATCTTTAGAGACAAAAAAGATAATTCATGTATTTAGCGAAGCAACTGCTTGGGATCAAAGAGACACAGAGAGGTATAAATCCTGTTTTTTATGCTGGTTAGATGGATCCAGTTCTAACTGACAGCACCCTTGTCTGCTGGCCTCTCATGGGGCCCCAGTCTGGCTGCACATGTTTGCAGCACAGTCTTGGATGCTCAATCAAGGTGCTTCCTGGAGGCTCACATCATAGCTCCTTCACCAGCAGACTGCACCTGAGCATCAGAGAGCTCTATCAGTGCAGCCTCCACTGACACGCAACAGCCCACCCACACCCTCTCCCACTGCAGCCTCCTCCATGCCTGCATTGCCAGGATGCACTAACCCATGGCCACACCCCCACTGCTTTGCCAGCATGGACACAGGCAGAGTTCACTTTTTCTCCCCCACTGGGTGTGTGTGTGCATGTGTACTGTGCCATCCAGCTGCTGCCTGTGTGAGCACATCCTGCTGCCCCTGCTTCCCTGATGAGCAGGCAACTGGCTGCACTGCCACTGCTGACATCAACACTCACACAGATGCAAGCAACCCCACCCTGCTCCCCACACCCCCACTGCTGCTGCTGTGAATGTATGAATGGTCACTGGTGGCTGTTGGCCCCATCCCCATCTTATGCTGCCACTGCCACCCAGCACTGTGAACATGCACATGGAGACCACCAGCCTCATGTCCACTGAAGCCAAGCCCCCACAGCCACTTCTGCCAGCAGAAGTACAAACATGGACACTGGCAACTCTGCCCCAGCTGTTTCCCCCCAACCCTAGCCACTGGCAAAAGTGTGCACAGTAATGATACAGCTCCCTTCCCGGTGGTCTCTGTCCCAGTCAACACCCATGCATCCTGCTGTGCTTCCATGGCAGCAAGCATGTGTGCAAATGAGCATGAGTCCTGCTGCCACTGCCCAGATGAAGCACTTTAGCTGGCACCACCCATCAGTGTGTTCTGGCCAGCAGACCAGGAACACCTTGGCTCCTCAGCTCAGCAGGTTCCTAATCTCAAGGAGCCAGAAAATAAAGCCAGGGCTTGCCACCAGCTCCCTACAATTAGAGTATACAGCCCAGGAGTGCTGAGCTGAGCTGTGGCCCCCACTAAATTCTTCCAGAAATGAGGCCAGTTGACTGAATCCACCTTATACCACAATCAAACTCCCAAGGGCATCAAAGAAGATGCAAGCAAAGAAAACCATCCAAAGGACAGTAACTTCAAAGATTAAAGGAACATCAGCTGACACAGATTAGAAAGAACCAGCACAAAAACTCAGACAACTCAAAAAGCCAGAGTGCCTTATTTCCCTCAATGACCACACCAGTGTCCTTCCTAGCAATGATTCTTAACCAGGCTCAAATGGATGAAATGGCAGAAACAGAATTCAGAATATGGATAGGAATGAAGATAATTGACATTCAGGAGAAAGTTGAAACCCAATGCAAGGAATCTGAAGAATACAATAAAATGATACAGGAAATGAAAGATGAAATGGCCATTTTTAAAGAAAGAATGAAACTGATTTGAAAGAGCTGAAAACCTCACTTTAAGAATTTCATAACACAATCACAAATATTAGCAGCAGAATTAACCAGCTGAGGAAACAATCTCAGAGCTCGAAGACTGGTTCTCCAAAATAATTGAGGCAGACAAAAATAAAGAAAAGAGAATAAAGAAGAATGAACAAAGTCTCTGAGACATATGGGATTATGTAAAGAGACCAAATCTATGACACACAGGCATCCGTGAAGGAGGAAAAGAAACCAAGCAACTTGCAAAACATATTTGAGGATATCATCCATGAAAATTTCACTATTTCAAATTCAGGAAATACAGAGAACTCTGCAAGATACTATACAAGACAATCATCCCCTAATCATCCCCTTGTATATATCTATACAAGACACATAGTAATCAAAGACCTCCAAGGTCAAACAGAAAGAAAAATGTCAAAGGCAACTAGAGAGAAAGGTCAGGTCACTTACAAAGGGAACTCAATCAGGCTAACAGTGGACTTTTAGCAGAAATTATACATGACAGAAGAGATTGGGATCATATATTCAGCATTTTTAAAGAGAACAAATTCCAAACAAGAATTTCATTTCCAGCCAAATTCAGCTTCAAAAATGAAGAAATAAGATCCCTTTCAGACAAGCAAATGCAAAGGGAAATCATTACCACTAGATCTGCCTTATAAGAAATCCTTAAGGGAGTGCTAAATATGGAAAAGATCATTACAAGCCTCCACAAAATCACAGTGAAGTACATAGACTATTGACACTATAAAGCAACCACAAATCAAGTTGGCACAAAAACCAGTTAACAACATGATGACAGGATCAAATCTGCACATATCAAGAGACCCATCTCACATGCAGTGACACCCACACAGCTCAAAGGAAAGGAGAAAGATCTACCAAGAAAATAGAAAACAGAAAAAAGCAAGAGTTGCTCTTCTAATTTCAGACAAAACAGACTTTAAACCAACAATAATAAAAAAGAAAAAGAAGAGCATTACATAATGGTAAAGGGTTCAATTCAACAAGAAGACCTAACTATGCTAAATATATATGGACCCAGCAGGAACACTCAGATTTCTAAAACAAGTTTTTACAGATCTATAAAGAGACATAGATAACCACACAATAACAGTGGAATACTTTAACACTCCACTGACAGTGTTTATTTGATAGATCTCTGAGGCAAAACACTAACAAGATATTTGGGCCCTTGACTCGACACTTGACCAAATAGACCTAACAGACATTTACAGAACTTTCCACCCAATAACAAGATAATATGTATTCATTTCATCTTCACATTGGACATACTCTAAAATCAACAACACAATCAGCCATAAAACAATCCCCAGCAAATTAAACATATACTCACACAACCAACCACATTCTCAGACTACAGCAAAATAAAAACAAAAATCAATACTAAGAAAATCACTCAAAATCAAACAGTTGCATGGAAATTAAACAACCTTCTCCTGACTGACTTTGGGTAAACAATAAAATTAAGGCAAAAACCAATAAATTTTTGAAACCAATGAAAAAAAAATACTAGAATCTCTGGGACACAGCTAAAGCAGTGTTAAGAGGGAAGTGTATTTGCTAAAAACCCACATCAAAAAAGTTAAAACAATCTCAAATTAACAACATAATATCATACCTAGAGAAATTAGAGAAAGAGGAGTAAACCAATTCTGAAGCTAGCAGAAGAAAAGAAATAAAAAAATCAGAGCTGAACGAATGGAAATTGAGATGGAGAAAACCATACAAAAAAATCAATGGATCCAGTAGTTTGTTTTCTGAAAGAATAGGTATGATCGATAGATTGTTAGTTAAACTAATGAAGAAGAAAAGAGAGAAGCTCCAAATAAACACAATGAGTAATTACAAGGAGGACATTACCAACCACCCCACAAAAATACAAAAACTCTCAGAGACTACTATGAACACCTCTACACTCACAAACTGGAAAACCTGGAAGAAATGGATAAATTTCTAGAAACAAATAACCTCCCAAGATTGAACAAGGAAGAAATTGAATCCCTGAACAGACCAATAATGAGTTATGAAATTGGATCAGCAATGAAAAGCCTACCAATCAGAATAAGCCCAGGACAGATGGATTCACAGCTGAATTCTGCCAGATGTATAAAAAGCTGGTATCATTCCTACTAAAAGTAATTTAAGAAATTGAGGAGGTGGGACTCTTCCCTAACTCATTCTGTGTGGCTAGCATTATCTGGATACCTAAACATGGCAGAGACACACACAAAAAAGAGAACTTCAGGCCAATATTCTCAATGAACATAGATGCAAAAATCTTCAACAAAATACTAGCAAACCAAATCCAGCAGCACATCAAAGAGCTAATTCACTATGATCGACTAGGCTTTATCTCTGGTATGTAAGGTTGGTTCAACATACGTAAGTCAATAAATATTATTCACTACATAAACACAACTGAAAATAAAACCCACATCATCATCTCAACAGACACAGAAAAGAATTTCAATAAAATTCAACATTCTTTCATCTTTAAAACCCTCAACAAACTAGGCATTAAAGAGTATCCCTCAAAATAATAAGAGCCATCTATGACAAACCCTCAGTTACCATCATCCTGAATGGGCAAAAGCTGGAAGCATTTCCCTTGAGAACATCAACAAGAAAAGGAGGCCCACTCTCACCACTCTTATTCACCATAGTACTGGAAGTCCTAGCTAGAATAATCAGGGAAGAAATAGAAATAAAAGTAATTCAAGTAGGAAGAGAGAAAGTCAAACTATTTCTCTTCACAGATGGTATGTTTCTCTACCTAGAAAATCCTATAGACTCTGCCCAAAAGCTGCTAGATGTAATAAACAACTTCAGCCAAGTTTCAGGGTACAAAACCAATGTACAAAAACCAGTAGCATTTCTATAAAACAACAACATCCAAACCAAGAATGCAATCTTATTCACAATAGCCACAAAAAGAGTAAGATACCTAGGAACACAGCTACCCAGGGAGGTGAAAGATATCTACAACGAGAATTAGAAAACACTGCTCAAAGAAGTCAGAGGTGACACAAACAAATGAGAAAAACATTCCATGCTCATGGATAGGAAGAATCAATATTTTGAAAATGGCCATGCTGCCCAAAGAGATTTATAAACTCATGCTATTTCTATCAAGTTACCAACGACACTCTTCATAGAATTAGAACAAACTATTTTAACATTCACATGAAAGCAAAAGAAAACAAAAAAGAGAGAAAGAGAGAGCCTGAATAGCCAGGTCTATCCTAAGCAAAAGAACAAACTGAAGGCATCACATTACCTGACTTCAAACTATACTACAGGCTACAGTAACCAAAACAATGGTACTGGTACAAAAGCACATAGACCACTGGAACAGAATAGAGAGCCCATAAATAAGGCCACATCTACAACCATCTGATCTTCAACAAGGTCTACAAAAAAGAGTAATGGGGAACTGACTCCCTATTCAATAAGTGGCGTTGGGGTAACTGGCTAGCCATATGCAGAAGATTGAAACTCTTTTTACATCACATACAAAAATCAGCTCAAGATGGATTTAATACTTAAATGTCAAATCTAAAACTATAAAATCATTGGAAGATAACCTAGGAAATACCATCTTGATATAGACCCTGTCAAAGATTTCATGAGGAAGACACCAAAATCAGTTGCCACAAAAACAAAAGCAGATGAATGGGACCTAATTAAACTAAAGAGCTCCTATGAAGCAAAATAAACTATCAATAGAATAAGAAGACAACCTACAGAGTGGGAGAAAATGTTTGCAAACTGTGCATCTGACAAAGGTCTAATATCCAAAATCTATAAGGAACTTAAATTCACAAGCAGAAAAACACAAACAACCCCATTGAACAGTGGGCAAAGAACCCGAACACTTTTCAAAAGAAAACATATACGTGGTAACTGCATATGAAAAAATGCTCAACATCACCAATAAGTAGAGAAATGCAAATCAAAACCACAATGAGATACCATCTCACACAAGTCAGAATGGCTATGATTAAAAAGTCAAAAAGTAATAGATGCTGGTGAGGCTGCAGACAAAAGGGACCATTTAAACACTGCTGATGGGAATGTAAATCAGTTCAGCCATTGTGGGAAGGAGTTGGACAGTTTTTCAAAGAACTTAAAGCAGAATTACGGTTAGACCCAGCAATCCCATTATTGGGTACATACCCAAAGGAATATAAATTGTTCTACCACAAACACACCTGAATATGCATAGGAATATATTCACTGCAGCATTATTCACAAAAGCAAAGATACGGAATCAACCTAAATGCCCATCAAAAGTAGACTGGATAAAGAAAACTGGTACATATACACCATGGAATGCTACACAGCCCTATAAAAGACTGAGATTGTGTCCTTTGCAGAAACATGGATGTAGCTGGAGGTCATTATCTTAAGTGCATTAAGGCAGGAACAGAAAACCAAATACTGCACGTTCTCAATGATCAGTGGGAGCTAAACATTAAGTACTGTACTAGTCCATTCTTGTACTGCTATAAAAAACTATCTGAGACTGGGTAATTTGTGAATAAAACAGGTTTAATTGGCTCACAGTTCCGCAGGCTGTACAGGCTTCTGCTTCTGGGGGGGGCCTTAGGAAATTTACAATCATGGTGAAGGGCAAAGGGGAAGCAAGCACATCTTTATATGGCTGGTAGGAGGGTGGGGCGAGGTTCTGCACATTTTCAAACAACTAGATCTCACGATAACTCTATCATGAGACAGCACTAGGGGGATGGTGCCAAACCATTAGAAACCACCTCTATGATCCAATCACCTCCCTCCAAGCCCTTCCTCCAATATTAGGGATTACAATTTACATGGGATTTGAGTGGGGACACAGAGCTAAACCATGTCAAGTACACATGGACACAAACAGGGGAACAACTGACAGCAGGGCCTACTGGAAGGTGGAGGGTGGGAAGAGGGCAAGGATCCAAAAACTACCCATCGGGTACTATGCTGATTACCTGAGTGACAAAATTATCTGTACACCAAACCCCTGTGACATGTCATGTGCCTGTATAACAAGCCTCCACATGTACCCCTGAACCTAAAATAAAAGTTATAAAAAAGTGGTGAGTGAGCAAATGTGAACAAAAATATATTCTCACCTGGGGCAACATGTAAGATGCCAACCATCTGTTCATTTCATTTTCCAGGAAATGGAAAGAATGGGAATAAACTTCTTATTTTAATTGAAGAAAAAAGAAATGGTGAGGTCATTTAGTGGGTCCAGAAACTGTCATTTATTATGTTTTCGGATTTTCAATGGGCTTATCATACTATTGCTTAGCCCTAATAAACCCACTGCCTGGAAAATATTTTTCCCTTCCAACCCAGATTCATTTCTGCTGGAAAATCACCCCTGCCAGGCACTTAAACTGAAGTTGCTGTTGATGCTTCTGATGCCTGCACACCCAGGGCCATGGTTCTCAAAGTGTGGTCCCTGGACAAGAACTATCAGCCTCACTGAGGACTTTTAGGAATGCTGATTCTCAGACCCCACCCAGCCCTACAGAATTGGAAACTTTGGAGCTGAGGCTCAGCAACCTGTTTTTTTTTGTTTGTTTGTTTGTTTAATGTTTTTGAGACGGAGTCTCGCTCTGTCGCCCAGGCTGGAGTGCTGTGGTGTGATCTTGGCTCACTGCAAGCTCCGTCTCCCAGGTTCACACCATTCTCCTGCCTCAGCCTCCTGCCTAGCTGGGCCTACAGGCGCCCGCCACCACATCCGGCTAAATTTTTGTATTTTTAGTAGAGACAGGGTTTCACCCTGTTAGGCAACCTGGGTTTTAACAAACTCTCTAAGCGATTTAAATGCACCCTAAATATTCGAGAAACACTGCCTAAAGGGATGAGAGAGGAGAATATCTCAAACAAGAGGATCTCAATATTGTTTTTTCTCTCAAATTCTATATATTTATCACATGCTCTCCCTCCAGGCATATCTACAGACACCTGTAGCAACTGTGTTCCCACCTAGAAATGATTTGGCATTTTGAAACTGGATTCTATGAAGACACCAAGTTAATTCTAAAATAATCTCTTCAATTTCCTCCTTGGTCCTGCTTGCAAATGAAATTTTGGGCAGCAAATCTATTCTTTCCTGTCTAGCTGTTAATCACTTAAAGGAAGCATTATGTAGCATGTGTAGAATTGAACTGCCTTACCACCCCTAGCTAAGAAGACAGTAAAACCATTAAAAATTGTTCTCTCTCCAACATGTTATGTCCTAAGTGAAGAATGCCTGTTTTTGCTCTATGGTTGCGTCTTCCCCACCGCAATGACTGCATGGTGAACTGAGGAGTGAGTCTGTACCTGGTTCTCCCTGTGCCTGCTGGAGGCTTGTGCTCAAGCTGGGACCCTTGCAGTTGGGGCCATTGGAGAACCAAGTTCTTTTTCAGTCCTTGCTGAGGCCCAAGCTTCTGTAGGTTCAGTGAGTTCTGAGCATCATTTTCTTGAGTCCTCAAAGTACACTCCCCTGCCTACACAAACAGCCATGGCGTGCACATAAAGTTGTCATAAGTTAAGGTTACCCAGTATGATAAAAACTTTTACCATAGCTTCCAGCTCCATCCAAGTCCCTGTAAAGGACTCAATTTCATTCCTTTTTATGGCTAGATAGTATTCCATGCTCTATATGTATCACATTTTCTTTATCCAATCTATCATTGATAGGCTTTTGGGTTGATTCCATGTATTTGCTATTGTGAATTACCCTCAGCAAATTAATGCAGGAACAGAGAACCAAACACTGCATGTTCTCACATGTAAGTGAGAGCTGAACAATGAGAACACATGGACACGGGGAGGGGAACAACACACTGGGATCTGTAGGGGGTAGGGACAGGGGGAGGCAGAGCATCAGGATAAATAGCTAATGCACATGGGGCTTAATGCCTAGGCAATGGGTTGATAGGTGCAGCAAACCACCATGGCACATGTATACCTAGGTAACAAACCTGCATATCCTGCACATGTATCCCAAAACTTTAAATTAAATTAAATTTCAAAAAATCACCATAGTCGACCACACAATTTTAAAAGCTCATCTGACCTCTTATGATACTGTAGAAAGTGTGAAGGTCAGTTACTGTTTACACAGTGAAGTCCAATGTCTAAAGCCAGAAAACCTTGCTCCCACTAACAGCCTATCTTCCACAAATTCCCCTCTTCTGTTTATATTTGTCAGTGTTCCTTGTTCATGCACAAGTATTGAGGTATGTGACAGGTCCTAAAACAAAAATACACGCTTTTATCTCAGCTGGATATCTGAATAGGCTGAGAAATGAAACATGGAGTAAGACATAAAATGTATTATGACAAAGGCTTAGTTGGAGACTAAAGCTTAGTTCAGAGGGCAAATGCACAGCTTGTGAAAGCCGGGCTCACAGGCAGTGGCTGAGCTTGGGGGTGCAGAGGAAAATGGGAGTTTGCTACGCACCCCTACTCCAAGAGGAAGAAGGCAGAGCTGAGCCAAGCACGCTCCATTCATCCTTCCGGAAATGTATCTTCCTCAAAGTTGACACTTAATAGTCAGAGGAGTCTTCTACCTCCTGGGGACAAACTGAGCAAAGGAGCAGAGGGAGGCTCAGTCTTGGAATTACACCAACGGAGCTCCTTCACGTGGAAGGGAACAGCAGCATTGGTTTTTCCTTTGCAAAGAAGAACAAAATATTTTAAATAGTCTCTGTCCATGACGTATGTGAGCTATTTGTCTAAGATGTGGAGGGCCTGTGCATTCATGCCATCTAAGATCTATTTAAATATGCTTTGTAAAGTTGTGTCCAGCATTTAAAAGCAAAGCATTTTAAGAAACATGAGCTGGCTGGGCGCGGTGGCTTACGCCTGTAATCCCAGCACTTTGGGAGGCCGAGGTGGGCAGATCACGAGGTCAGGAGATCCAGACCATCCTGGCTAACGTGGTGAAACCCTGTCTCTACTAAAAATACATAAAATTAGCCAGGCGTGGTGGCGGGCGCCTGTAGTCCCAGCTACTCGGGAGGCCGAGGCAGGAGAATGGCGTGAACCCGGGAGGCGGAGCTTGCAGTGAGCCGAGATTGCGCCATTGCACTTCAGCCTGGGCGACAGTGAGACTCCATCTCAAAAAAAAAAAAAAAAAAAAAGAGAAACATCAGCTTTTTGGCCAGGCACGATGGCTCCCATCTATAATCCCAGTGCTTTGGAAAGCTAAGGCAATAGGATTGCTTGAGGCCAGGAGTTTGAGACCAGCCTAGGCAACATAGTGAGACTATTTCTCTACAAAAAAAAAAAAAAAAAAAAAAAATTAAAAAAAATTAATTAGCCAGATGTGGTGGCACATACCTGTAGTCCCAGCTACTTGGGAGGCCAAAGCAGGAGGATCACCTGAAGCCAGATATTTGTGGCTGCATTTAGCTATGATTGTGCCACCTCACTGCAGCCTGGGTGACAGAGTAAGATCTTGTATCTTAAAAAAAATTTTAAAAAGAAAGAAATATGAGCTTCTTGAGTCAAAATTTGTATCACAGGTTGGTGTATGAAACTGCACAGAAAACTGAAGAGTAAAAAAATACATTTTACAAAGGGCGCAATTTCAATGATTGGGTCAAGCAGGTCAAGTGGAAAGAATTTCTAGTTTCCTGCAAGGAACAATAATTGATTCTGCTTTGTGCCTTTCTCCCTTTTACAACTACAGATGAGTGGAGCAGAAAGCTCCATGGTGTCAAAGCTAGTTTTTCTCTCTCAAAAGAGTGCAACTTCACTGAATATTTCTGCTAAATAACTTGTTCTTCTCAGTTACTGAGTTTTTAAATGAGAGATTAGTGTTCCACATTCATCATCTGTAATCAATCTGCCTTTAAATATATATTACATGGGAAAGAAATGACTTCATGAGAGTTCTGCTTCGTGGCATTCCAATTTTGTAGAACTCTGATAAAAGTTTCTTAATGTGAGTATTAAGGAACCGAAGAGATTTTTAAGTAGCCTACCTTAAAAAAAAAAAACAGTAAGTCAAAGACAATTGCTATGGTTTAAATGTTTGTGCCCCATTCAAAATTCATGTTGAAACTTGATTCCCAAGGCAACAGAATAAAGAGGTGGAGACTTCAGGAGGGGGTTAGACCATGTGGGCTAACGGATTATTGCCTTATAAAAGGGTTTTTGCCATGTGAAGATATAGTATTCATCCCTTCTGAAGGATGCAGCAACAAAGTTGAATCTTGGAAGCAGAGAGGGCAACCCTTATCAACCATCAACCTGCCAGTGCCTTGATCTTGGATTTCCCAGCCCCCAGAACTGTGAGAAATAAATTTCTGTTGTTTATAAGTTACTCAGTGTCAGGTGTTTTGTTAGAGCCCCACAATCGGACTCACACAATAATACTATAAAAATTGGTCAGATTATAAAAATGTTTGACAAATTATTTACTGATTCAAAATAATTTATAACTATTTTTTGTATGTATGTGTATGTCTCTAATTTTGGGATGATTTTCTAAAATATCGGTGATTTTTACCCAAGATTCCTTAATAGTGATGGTATAATGCTAGTCATATAGTGACATCATTCAGTAAAGTACTAGCTCACAGCTGTAGTGTGACTCTAAAATCTGAAAGGTCTAAGAGTTTGTAAATTTGAAAGCACCGCACCCGAGGGAAAATTCAATGAAATTAATAGAAAATCACATTTGCTTTTTTTTTTTTTTTTTGAGGTGGAGTCTTGCTCTGTCGCCCAGACTGGAGTGCAGTGGTGCAATCTCTGCTCACTGCAAGCTCCGCCTTCCAGGTTCATGCCATTCTCCTGCCTCAGCCTCCCCAGTAGCTGGGACTACAGGCACCCTCCACGTCGCCCGGCTAATTTTTTGTATTTTTAGTAGAGAGGAGGTTTCACTGTGTTAGCCAGGATGGTCTCGATTTCCTGACCTCGTGATCCGTCTGCCTCAGCCTCCCAAAGTGCTGGGATTACAGATGTGAGTCACTGCACCCAGCCCACATTTCCATGCTTCTAACTGGAGGAGGAGACAATCTAAATGTAATGCCTTAGGGTGAGCAAAATTTTAACTGTTTTTACTTTTAATCTAGAAGAGAAATTGGCTCTTCCATATATCACTCACCAGATTGACTCATTCTTATAAGCAATTGATTTTTGCATACCGAAAGTGGCCAGAGAGATGGATATCTATGTGTGGAGTGTGGATTTCAGGCTTGGATGGGATGTTTAGCACCCAGGGCACACTGTAAGGAGTGCAGGCAGGCCAAGAGGCTGTAGACACTAAGGTAGCTCAATGATCCATGCGCCAGGTTTAGTCCTGATCACAAGGATCCATCTACTAAAGAATTGACAAGCCCAACGAAGCACAGGGGAGGCCAAAATTAAGTCCTGAAAATCAGGCTTTGAATAACATTGATAAAAGGAAACTGAAAATTCATCTTTTTTAGTGTGTTTTTGATGCGTTCTCATTGGCATTATTTGGTAGCATTGACTTTGAATGTTCATTTTCTTTTCTTTTTTTTTAAATTATACTTTAAGTTCTAGGGTACATGTGCACAATGAGCAGGTTTGTTACATATGTATACATGCGCCATGTTGGGGTGCTGCACCCATTAACTCATCATTTACATTAGGTATACCTCCCAATGCTATCCCTCCCCCCTACCCCCGACCCCATGACAGGCCCCAGTGTGTGATGTTCCCCTTCCTGTGTCCAAGCTTTCTCATTGTTCAATTCCCACCTATGAGTGAGAACATGCGGTATTTGGTTTTTTGTCCTTGCGATAATTTGCTGAGAATGATGGTTTCCAGCTTCATCCATGTCCCTACAAAGGACATGAACTCATCCTTTTTTATGGCTGCATAGTATTCCATGGTGTATATGTGCCACATTTTCTTAATCCAGTCTATCACTGATGGACATTTAGGTTGGTTCCAAGTCTTTGCTATTGTGAATAGTGCCACAATAAAAATACGTGTGCATGTGTCTTTATAGCAGCATGATTTATAATCCTTTAGGTATATACCCAGTAATGGGATGACTGGGTCAAATGGTATTTCTAGTTCTAGATCTTTGAGGAATCGCCACACTGTCTTCCACAGTGGTTGAATTAGTTTACAGTCCCACCAACAGTGTAAAAGTGTTCCTATTTCTCCACATCCTCTCCAGCACCTGTTGTTTCCTGACTTTTTAATGATCACCATTCTAACTGGTGTGAGATGGTATCTCATTGTGGTTTTGATTTGCATTTCTCTGATGGCCAGTGATGGTGAGCATTTTTTCATGTGTTTTTTGGCTGCATAAATATCTTCTTTTGAGAAGTGTCTGTTCATATCCTTCGCCCACTTTTTGATGAGGTTGTTTGTTTTTTTCTTGTAAATTTGTTTGAGTTCATTGTAGATTCTGGATATTAGCCCTTTGTCAGATGAGTAGGTTGCAAAAATTTTCTCCCATTCTGTAGGTTGCCTGTTCACTCTGATGGTAGTTTCTTTTGCTGTGCAGAAACTCTTTAGTTTAATTAGATCCCATTTGTCAATTTTGGCTTTTGTTGCCATTGCTTTTGGTGTTTTAGACATGAAGTCCTTGCCCATGCCTATGTCCTGAATGGTATTGCCTAGGTTTTCTTCTAGGGTTTGTATGGTTTTAGGTCTAACATTTAAGTCTTTAATCCATCTTGAAATAATTTTTGTATGAGGCATAAGGAAGGGATCCAGTTTCAGCTTTCTACATATGGCTAGCCAGTTTTCCCAGCACCATTTATTAAATAGGGAATCCTTTCCCCATTGCTTGTTTTTGTCAGGTTTGTCAAAGATCAAATAGTTGTAGATATGCGGCATTATTTCGGAGGGCTCTGTTCTGTTCCATTGGTCTATATCTCTGTTTTGGTACCAGTACCATGCTGTTTTGGTTACCGTAGCCTTGCAGTATAGTTTGAAGTCAGGTAGTGTGATGCCTCCAGCTTTGTTCTTTTGGCTTAGGATTGTCTTGGCAATGTGGGCCCTTTTTTGGTTCCACATGAACTTTAAAGTTTTTGCAATTCTGTGAAGAAAGTCATTGGTAGCTTGGTGGGGATGGCATTGAATCTATAAATTGCCTTGAGCAGTATGGCCATTTTCATGATATTCATTCTTCCTATTCATGAGCATGGAATGTTCTTCCATTTGTTTGTGTCCTCTTTTATTTTGTTGAGCAGTGGTTTGTAGTTCTCCTTGAAGAGGTCCTTCACATCCCTTGTAAGTTGGATTCCTAGGTATTTTATTGTCTTTGAAGCAATTGTGAATGGGAGTTCATTCATGATTTGGCTCTGTGTTTGTCTGTTATTGGTGTATAAGAATGCTTGTGATTTTTGCACATTGATTTTGTATCCTGAGATCTTGCTGAAGTTGCTTATCAGCTTAAAGAGATTTTGGGCTGAGATGATGGGGTTTTCTAAATATACAGTCATGTCAACTGCAAACAGGGAAAATTTGACTTCCTCTTTTCCTAATTGAATACCCTTTATTTCTTTCTCCTGCCTCATTGCCGTGGCCAGAACTTCCAACACTACGTTGAATAGGAGTGGTGAGAGAGGGCATCCCTGTCTTGGGCCAGTTTTCAAAGGGAATGCTTCCAGTTATTGCCCATCCAGTATGATCTTGGCTGTGGGTTTGTCATAGATAGCTCTTATTATTTTGAGATACGTCCCATCAATACCTAATTTATTGAGAGTGTTTAGCATGAAGGGATGTTGAATTTTGTCAAAGTCCTTTTCTGCATCTATTGAGATAATCATGTGGTTTTTGTCTTTGGTTCTGTTTATATGCTGGATTACGTTTATAGATTTGTGTATGTTGAAGCAGCCTTGCATCCCAGGGATGAAGCCCACTTGATCATGGTGGATAAGCTTTTGGATGTGCTGCTGGATTCGTTTTGCCAATATTTTATTGAGGATTTTTGCATCAATGTTCATCAGGGATATTGGTCTAAAATTCTTTTTTTTTTGTTGTGCCTCTATCAGGCTTTGGTATCAGGATGATGCTGGTTTCATAAAATGAGTTAGGGAGGATTCCCTCTTTTTCCATTTATTGGAATAGTTCCAGAAGGAATGGAACTAGCTCCTCCTTGTACCCCTGGTAGAATTCGGCTGTGAATCCATCTGGTCCTGGACTTTTTTTGGTTGGTACGCTATTAATTATTGCCTCCATTTCAGAGCCTGTTATTGGTCTATTCAGGGATTCAACTTCTTCCTGGTTCAGTCTTGGTAGGGTGCATGTGTCCAGGAATTTATCCATTTCTTCTAGATTTTCTAGTTTATTTGCATAGAGGTGTTAATAGTATTCTCTGATGGTAGTTTGTATTTCTGTGGCATCGGTGGTGATATCCCCTTTATCATTTTTTATTGCATCAATTTGATTCTCCTCTCTTTTCTTCTTTATTAATCTTGCTAGCAGTCTATCAATTTGGCTGATATTTTCAAAAAACCAGCTCCTGGATTCATTGATTTTTTGAAAGGTTTTTTGTGTCTCTGTCTCCTTCAGTTCTGCTCTGATCTTAGTTATTTCTTGCCTTCTGCTAGCTTTTGAATGTGTTTGCTCTTGGGTCTCTAGTTCTTTTAATTGCGATGTTACGGTGTCAATTTTAGATCTTTCCTGCTTTCTGTTGTGGGCATTTAGTGCTATAAATTTCCCTCTACACACTGCTTTAAATGTGTCCCAGAGATTGTGTTATGTTTTGTCTTTGTTCTCATTGGTTTCAAAGAACATCTTTATTTCTGCCTTCATTTCGTTATGTACCCAGTAGTCATTCAGGAGCAGGTTGTTCAGTTTCCATGTAGTTGAGTGGTTTTGAGTGAGTTTCTTAATCCTGAGTTCTAGTTTGATTGCACTGTGGTCTGAGAGACAGTTTGTTATAATTTCTGTTCTTCTACATATGCTGAGGAGTGCTTTACTTCCAACTATGGAGTCAATTTTGGAATAAATGTGATGTGGTGCTGAGAAGAATGCATATTCTGTTGATTTGGGTTGGAGAGTTCTGTAGATGTCTATTAGGTCCGCTTGGTGCAGAACTGAGTTCAATTCCTGGATATCCTTGTTAACTTTCTGTGTCGTTGATCTGTCTAATGTTGACAGCGGGGTGTTAAAGTCTCCCATTATTATTGTGTGGTAGTCTAAGTCTGTTTGTATGTCTCTAAGGACTTGCTTTATGAATCTGTGTGCTCCTGTATTGGGTGCATATATATTTAGGATAGTTAGCTCTTCTTGTTGAATTCATCCCTTTACCATTATGTAATGGCCTTCGTTGTCTCTTTTGATCTTTGTTGGTTTAAAGTCTGTTTTATCAGAGACTAGGATTGTAACCCCTGCCTTTTTATGTTTTCCATTTGCTTGGTAGATCTTCCTCCATCCATTTATTTTGAGCCTATGTGTGTCTCTGCATGTGAGATGGGTTTCCTGAATATAGCACACTGATGGGTCTTGATTCTTTATCCAATTTGCCAGTCTGTGTCTTTTAATTGGAACATTTAGCCCATTTACATTTAAGGTTAATATTGTTATGTGTGAATTTGATCCTGTCGTTATGATGTTAGCTGGTTATTTTGCTCGTTAGTTGATGCAGTTTCTTCATAGCATCGATGGTCTTCACAGTTTCGCATGTTTTTGCAGTGGCTGGTACCAGTTATTCCTTTCCATGTTTAGTGCTTCCTTCAGGAGCTCTTGTAGGGATGGTCTTCACAGTTTGGCATGTTTTTGCAGTGGCTGGTACCAGTTATTCCTTTCCATGTTTAGTGCTTCCTTCAGGAGCTCTTGTAGGGCATGCCTGGTGGTGACAAAATCTCTCAGCATTTGCTTATCTGTAAAGTATTTTATTTCTCCTTCACTTATGAAGCTTAGTTTGGCTGGATATGAAATTCTGGGTTGAAAATTCTTTTCTTTAAGAACGTTGAATATTGGCCCCACTCTCTTCTGGCTTGTAGAGTTTCTGCTGAGAGTTCTGCTGTTAGTCTGATGGGCTTCCCTTTGTGGGTAACCCGACCTTTCTCTCTGGCTGCCCTTAACATTTTTTCCTTCATTTCAACTTTGTTGAATCTGACAATTATGTGTCTTAGAGTTGCTCTTCTTGAGGAGTATCTTTGTGGCGTTGTGTGTATTTCCTGAATTTGAATGTTGGCCTACCTTGCTGGTTGGGGAAGTTCTCCTGGATAATATCCTGCAGAGTGTTTTCCAACTTGGTTCCATTCTCCCCGTCACTTTCAGGTACACCAATCAGACATAGATTTGGTCTATTCACATAGTCCCATATTTCTTGGAGGCTTTTTTGGTTTCTTTTTACTCTTTTTTCCCTAAATTTCTCTTCTCACTTCATTTCACTCATTTGATCTTCCATCACTGATACTCTTTCTTCCAGTTTATTGAATCGGCTACTGAAGCTTGTGCATTCGTCACATAGTTCTCATGCCATGTTTTTCAGCTCCATCAGGTCATTTAAGGACTTCTCTACATTCGTTATTCTAGTTAGCCATTCGTCCAGTCTTTTTTCATGGTTTTTAGCTTCTTTGCAATGGGTTCGAACTTCCTCCTTTAGCTCGGAGAAGTTGGATCTTCTGAAGCCTTCTTCTCTCAACTTGTCAAAGTCATTCTCCATCCAGCTTTGTTCTGTTGCTGGTGAGGAGCTGTGTTCCTTTGGAGGGGGAGAGGGACTCTGATTTTTAAAATTTTCGGCTTTTCTGCTCTGTTTATTCCCCATCTTTGTGGTTTTATCTACCTTTGGTCTTTGATGATGGTGACGTACAGATGGGGTTTTGGTGTGGATGTCCTTTCTGTTTGTTAATTTTCCTTCTACCAGTCAGGACTCTCAGCTGCAGGTCTTTTGGGGTTTGCTGGAGGTCCACTCCAGACCCTGTTTGCCTGGGTATCAGCAGCTGAGGCTGCAGAACAATGAATATTGCTGAACAGCAAATGTTGCTGCCTGATCATTCCTCTGGAAGCTTCATCTCAGAGGGTTACCCAGCCATGTAAGGTTTCAGTCTGCCCCTACTGGAGGGTGCCTCCCAGTTAGGCTACTCGGGGGTCAGGGACCCACTTGAGAAGGCAGTCTGTCTGTTCTCAGATCTCAAACTCCATGTTGGGAGAACCACTACTCACTTCAAACCTGTCAGACAGAGACATTTAAGTCTGCAGAGGTTTCTGCTGCCTTTTGTTCGGCTATGCCCTGGCCCAAAGGTGGAGTCTACAGAGGCAGGTAGGCCTCCTTGAGCTGCGGTGGGCTCCACCTAGATCGAGCTTCTCGGCCGCTTTGTTTACCTACTCAAGCCTCAGCAACGGTGGGCGCCCCTCCCTCACCTCGCTGCTGCCTTGCAGATTGATCTCAGACTGCTGTGCTAGCAATGAGAGAGGCTCTGTGGGCGTGGGACCCTCTGAGCCAGGCGTGGGATATGATCTCCTGGTGTGCCATTTGCTAAGACCATTGGAAAAGCGCAGTATTAGGGTGGGAGTGACCCGATTTTCCAGGTGCTGTCGGTCGCCCCTTCCCTTGGCTAGGAAAGGGAATTCCCTGACCCCTTCCACTTCCCGAGTGAGGCGATGCCTCGCCCTGCTTCGCCTCACGCTCGGTGGGCTGCACCTACTGTCCTGCCCCCACAGTCCGACAAGCCCCAGTGAGATGAACCTGGTACCTCAGTTGGAAATGCAGAAATCACCGGTCTTCTGTGTCGCTCACGCTGGGAGCTATAGACTGGAGCTATTCTTATTCAGCCATCTTGGAACCACCCCCTGAATGTTCATTTTCAAAGCAGGTATTTGAGATGAGCTACAGGCCACTTGGGATGATTTTGTGAAAAAAAAATATCCATTATGATTGGCAAGTTACTGTAGAGAGTTTGGGACAATTTGGACATAGAAAGTCCTATTCAGAGCTAGTCACAATTTTCTTCTATGTACACTCACTGTACTTTTAAAATACACCTACTACAATGGAGAAACAGCTCTTGCAATTCAATGTGAATTTCATGCCAAAGTTTGGTAAAAATTTTGAGCATCAACTGCCTGCAATCATTGAATAAGAGAAAATCCTGGCATTCAAGCAGCTGAGAGAGAAAATCAACAATTATAATTACAATGACAAAGATATGCAAAAAGGCTGTGTAAGGTAATTTTGTCTAGTCGGGGAAATGAGTGGAAGTTTCCTAGAGGAAATGCTGCTTGAATTGTGCCTGAATAAATAGTTCTTAGCCCTTCTTAGGATAGAAGGGAGGGTGAGCAGAGACTATTTCTAGTGGATGGAGCAGAATGGATAAAACCTCAGAAGTATGAAAAGAGAGATGGAAACACAGCAGTGTGTCCAGGGAGTCACAAGCCATTAAAAGTGTGACAGGGTAGAGTGAGAGACTGGAGTGGTGGTGGTTGAGGCTGGGTCATTGAGCAGGTCATGGTGAACAGTGTAAGAGCTCTGGTCTTAATCCTTAAGCAGTGCAGGAGCCATGGGAGAGTGTTCAGTGGCAAAGATGTCTTTAGAAAGATGTGGCTGTGGGGAGAAAGGATTTGAGGCAGACAAAACAAAATAAGGAAGCCATCAAGTGAACCATTGCAGCAGGAGGGAGATGACGAAGACTGAACAAGGCAATAGCCATAAGGATGGAGTGATGGGAGATGGATTTGGAAATTATCAGGAGCTAAAATTAATAGAATGTGGGGAAAGTGAAGGAGAAAAACTTGAGATGGTTGACTCAGTATCTGACTTCAGTAACTGATGGATTGTAATGGAAATATAGCCTACAGGAAAAGTAGACTTAGAGGAATGTAAGCTTATTTATGGATATTTTATGTGGGAGCTTCCCAGATGAAGATGTCCATGAAGACTTTGGATCTGGCCGTAAGAAGTATTGCCAAGGTCAAGGCTGTTGCTACAGATTTGGAAGTCAGCAGCTCAGGGATAGAAATTAAAACCACGAAGTAAGTGGGATAATCCAGGAGAATGTGTGGAATATAGAGGCCCATGGTCAAAGGTGGAACATGAATGGGAGGTCTTATAGGACAAAAAAAGTATCCATCAGCTCACAGAAGAATCAGGAAGACATGGGTTGAGGGGTGGCACTGGAGACGTAAGCCTTAGAAAGAACTAGTAGGACTGGAGAGAATTTGATCAAGAGTTGGGTCAAGAATGAGACTGGGAATTCCCACTAAAAGGTTAATTTTAATAGCCTCTGATTAGATATGCTTATATTAAGCAAGTTTTACCCACAAAGTAGCAATGAATCAGTCTGAGAAACAGGCTGACTTGTTGGGTAAGTCATCTGTATCAACTAGCACTGTGTTCTCCAGTAACAATAGCTACTATCATACATGACTCTATGTATTTGAATTAATTCAAATTAAATTAAAACTTAATTCCTCAGTAGCACTAGTGGTACTACATACTAGTAGTAGTAGTAGCACCAACACATTTCAAGTGCTCAATAGCCACATTTGGTTATGATCCTAGTAGCTATCATATTGAACAGCACAGATATATGATAGAAAGTTCTATTGGATATTGCTAATCTAGAAAATAATTGATGGATCTGTTATTGCCCAAGAAAGGAGCCATGGAATCAAAATGCAGCTCACCTGCAGGCAAATTAAAGATATCGTCTCAGTATTTACTCAGTTCTATGTTTACAATATAAAACATTACAGTATTGGTACTAAAATACTTTGAAAACTGAAATTATTTGGGGATAATTACAGGAAATTAGTATTTAGCAGTACTAAGTAGAGGTGAGTCCCCTTTCCTTGTGTTCACAGTTGATAAAATGTGGATATGCTGCCATCATCTGGTTAACTAGGAAAATTGAATTAAGTGTTTTAATTTCGCATTTACTTTCTCAAAATCTGCTGAATGACATAAACCTTATATGTACCAAGACATACTTTGCTTTTAGAAAAAAATATTTTTTACCATCTCTAATCCAAACCAATGATCTAGAGTGGTTACATAGTTCAGTGGCATAAAATGAGAGGTCAGTGGGCCCCAAAATACTCTTTTACTGAGAAAAAAAATGTAGGCTAAAAAGTAAAAGTATCTCCTTAAATTTGTGTTTTTAAATAAATCATTCTTCATATTGGAAAGTAGTAATGCTAGCTTCTACTGATAAACAATAATAATCACAAAACTTTAAAATGAAATTAATATCTATCATGGAAATGATTTAAAAGATAAAGGTAGGCATTCACCAAATATGGTATTTAATCCTGGTATGGTATTTGCTGTGGTATTTAATACTTCTTTTGATCATGAAACCATGGCTACCATGGAGATATGGTTTGGATCTGTGTCCCCACCCAAATCTGGACAAGGCATGGTGGGTCACACCTGTAATTTCAGCCCTTTGGGAGGCAGAGGCAGGTGGATCATTAGAGCTCAGTAGTTCTAGGCAAGCCTGGGCAAGAAATACAGGGAAATGAAACCCCGTCTCTCAAAAAAAAAAAAAAAAAAAATTACCCAGGCATGGTGGTGCGCACTTGTTCTCCCAATTACCAGGGAGGTTGAGTTGGGAGGATTGCTTGAAGCCTAAGAGGTCAGGAGATCTTTCTCAAAGAAAGAAAGGAAGAGAGAAAGAAAAAAGAAAGAGAAAGAAACAAAGAAACAAAGAAACAAAGAAAGAAAGAAAGAAAGAAAGAAAGAAAGAAAGAAAGAAAGAAAGAAAGAAAGAAAGAAGAAAGGAAGAAAGAAAAGAAAGAGAAAGAAAGACCCAATGCTGGAGATGGGTCTTTGTGGGAGGTGATTGGATCATGGAGGCAGCTTCTAATGCTTTAGCACCATTCCTATAGTGCTGTTCTCATGATAGGGTTCTCATGAGATCTGGTGTAGCACCTCTCCCCTCTCTCTCTTCCTTTCTACTACCACTATGTAAAATGTGTTTGCTTCCCCTTTGCCTTCCACCGTGATTGTAAGTTTCCTGAGGCCTCCCTAGAAGCAGAAGCCACTATACTTCCTGTACAACCCGCAGAACTGTGAGCCAATTAAACCTCTTTACTTTAGAAACTACCTAGTCTCAGGTATTTCTTTATACCAATGCAAGAATAGACAAATAATACACATGGGGATGCTGGCCAGGTGGAGGATGCTGCTGGCCTGGCTGATTTAAGCATGGTGGGAACAGCTGGTGCATTGCCTATGGATACCAAGTGCCGGCTTAACTGGCAGCAAAGTGCAATTGGCTAATTGTCTTTTTGTGAGAGCGTGTGTGTTTGTGTGTGAGCGCTCATGTGTGTGTGATCCCAAATAACTGGTATAGTTGGTTTTTCTGACTTGGCCAACTCTATAATGAAAATACATTCTCAGCTTTGCCATATGAGTCTATAAGAGCAATTAAATAGTATAATCAAAGTCTAGAAGAGTAGTGGTGAGAATATGAGGGGAAGGAAAATGAGAAAGAAATGCAAAGTATAAAGTAATGATGTCCAAGAAAAACAGAAGCTACTTAGCAAGAGCTGAAAAGCTGTTATTCTAAAAGTGGCCAGGAGGTGGTAGCAGACCTGCAGGTAAGACGGCATGGTCTTCCTAATACTGGAACTGAAACAGGTATGTGCACAACCTTAACTGTTTCTCTTTATGAGACAAAGCCAGTAGCGCAATCTAAATAGCCATATCCTCAAGAGAAATCTGCTTTCACTCCGAGAATGACTGATTTCAAGCATAATTTAAAGAACGTACACATAGTCTCTGCTTCAAAAGAGTGAGGGTGATATGGGGCGAGGACAGGGAGGAACAAGCCCACCATGAGAGAAGATGGACTATTGTCCCCCCTAGGAGAGGCCGTCCTGGAGAAGAACAACTCCCTATTGTATGTGGTTACATGAAACCCTCCTAGGTGGCTCAATGCATGGGAAGCAGCGATTCGAAAGCAGTCTCTCAGTCATCTGGGATGGAGGGACTGAACCTCTCACTGCTGGCACGTGTCACCAACGTGCACACAAGCAGCTTGTATTAGGACTGCTTCTGGCCAGAATGAGCAGCTCCTGACAAGGTGGTGAGGATTATAGAGGTGAAAAGCAGGTGGGGAGCAGGTGGGATGCCCGTGCCGAGGCAGACACCAGAACCGAGGTCCTCAGTCGGTGTGAAGAAGACACCAGAACTGAGGTCCTCAGACAGTGTAAGGAAGACATCGTTTCCAACTTGGGCTGCATCATACAAACCGTGGGGTGTTTTAAAAGAATTACACCCGTTACCAACCAAATCAAAATCTCCAGGAGCAGGACCAAGATATCTATGTTTTTAAATCACCAGAGGATACCAAAGTGCAGGCAAAGTTAAGAACTGGTGGCTTGGAGTTGACGTCTAAGACAAGGAAAGGGAGAGGCAGCTGAGGCCAGGCAGGATGCAGGAATGCAGGAAAGAGATTAGGTTGGTCAGCAGTGATCCAAAGAGATACACATTTTTAAACAAATCTGACCATTAATTTATTTATTTGTTTACTGCTTGATACAATTAAATGATTCCCAGCATTGGATTTAGCATTCTTAGAATAAGGCCTGTAAGCTTTAAATACAAAGCTTAGATAATTGATAAAACCTCACAACTCTAGAATATTGCAAATTTTCAGCACCATTGTATGTTTAATATATATGTTGTGATTTATTTTACATATGCTGTTTTAAAGGATTTGTGTTATTTTTACACGGAGTGCTCCAGACCTTCATTGCCTGGGTATTCCTCCCCTAGAATCTGGTCCTGCCCTTGGTTGCCCAGCAGTGCAGGTAGAAGGCAGGACCACAGCTTGGTGGCTCTGTAAGAAGATTACAGAGGCAGCTCAACAGGATGGTCTGAGGCAACAGGACATGCAGTCAGCGCATGCCGCTGCCCCTACTGGGACCCTCTACTGAAATTTTGTCCTTTGACCAGGCAGATAAAAATGACTGTACCCTGAGAACCTGTAATTTGGTGGGAATTCTGCTTCCCCATATCAATCACTACCTCTTTCTTCTCTATTGGGATGAAACTGGTCTATAATCCTAAAGTGTATCTCTGTACGAAGAACTAGAGAAAATGAATGTGCTTTATTTTAAAATTAGTTTTTCATCAAATCAGTATGAGTAAACCAACTCATTACTTTGGGTTTTAGAATTCTATCACGAGGGCTTTATACTTGGTAGTTTCTTTGGCTTCTTCTATTCTAAAGCCTCCACATTGGCATATTTAAATTCAGGATGGCATACAACTTAACACTGTTCACAGCTCAAGGTTTAACTGTTGTTTCTTTTTTTCTCTCTTTACCCATTCTATGTCTAGAAACATTTGCCATGGAATTAAACAATATTAAGAGTGTGGATTGGATTTTCTTAATTTGTTAGGATACAAATTTGTCAGGACACAATCTGTGATGTATGTTCTTGAGTGTTTAAATTTTCCAGGAAATTTCAGTTGACACCATGTTATCATTGTTATCCACAGGTTATTATATTATTTCTGTTTAAAATTACCCATGTTTACTATTCCTTGTCTACTTATGTAAAGAAAATTGGCTGCAAGGAGAAACAGAGGATTTAGAAGTCAATTGGGTGGCAAACATCCACTAGATCTAAGGGAGGAGACCACCGCTCATATTGTCTAATGCCCAATTTCTTCCTCCAAAGAAAAAAGAACTAAAAACTAAAAGGCAGAAATGAAATCCACAGGCAGACAGACCGGTGCCACACCCTGGGCCTGGTAGTTAAAGATTGACCCCTGACCTAATCGGTTATCTATAGATTACAGACATTGTATGGAAAAGCACTGTGAAAATCCCTGTCCTGTTCTGTTCTGTTCTAATTACTGGTGCATGCAGCCCCCAGTCATGTACCCCCTGCTTGCTCAATCAATCACGACCCTCTCATGCAGACCCCTTTAGAGTTGTAAGCCCTTAAGAGGGACAGGAATTGCTCATTTGGAGAGCTCGGTTTTTGGGACATGAGTCTTGCCAATGCTCCCGGCCAAATAAAGCCCTTCCTTCTTTAACTCGTTGTCTGAGGGGTTTTGTCTGTAGCTTATCTTGCTAACAGATCCAGAAATTGGTGGAAACATTTTTTTTCCAATATGGAAAATAAGAATCACTTTAATTTCTGTAGGAAGGCTATAATTTTGGCATAGGTGAATAGTGCTATAAATGTAATATTTTAGATAATTATATTCTTATTTTTATCAGTTATACATGTACATGTTTTAAACAACCAGATAATTTTACAAGACTTATAAAATAGTCTTGTTGATTAAAAAAACTCTGTATAATATTTAAAGAGATTTATTCTGAGGCAATATGAGTGACTATAGCTCTCAAGAGGTCCTGAGATAGTGTGCCTGAGGTAATTGGGTTACAATTTGATTGTATACATCTTAGGGAGACATGAATTGTGGATAAAAGCATAAATAAATACATGGAAGGAATGTATTGGTTCAAGTTTAGAGGTGAGATATCTTCAAGGGGGATGGCTACAAGTCATAGGTGGATTCAAAGATTTTCTGATTGGCAATTGTTTGAAAGAGTTAAGCTTTGTCTAAAGAGACTTGAAGTCAGTAGAAAGGAATGCTTGAGTTAAGATAAGGGGGTTTGTGGAGGCCAAGTTTCTTGTTATGCAGAAGAAGCCTCATTGGTAGCAGCCTTCATAGAGTATAGGTGGCAAATATATCTTTTCAGATGTTAAAAGCATCAGCTTCTCATTTAATCTCTCCTAGATCTGGGAAAGTCCTAGAATGGGACGGCCTGGCTGCTTTAATGGCAATGTTCTAAAGATGCAAAAAGACAGCTTTGCAGGGCCATTTCAAAATATATCAAAGAAACATATGTCAGGGTAAAATATTTTTATATTTGGGGTCTGCTGTTGAAGCAGCCTCATTGTCTAGAGTAACACCGAAATTTGTTGTCTTACAGCCATGGAGAATAAAAACACTGACACAGAAAGCATGAGGTTGGGAGCAGAATTTTAGTAGCAAGAGAAAGAGAACAGTCCTCTGCTGCAGGGAGTTGTGCTGGAAAAATGGGTTGCTGGGTCCATGGTGAAATGCCTGGCATTTTATCGATGAGCTAGTGAAGAGGTGGTGTGTGATTTATATATGCCATAAAGAAAGTGGTTAGATCATGTGTTTTATTTTCACAAGGCACGATCTCTGGTACCTCCCACCCTAAACATTTATTATGCAGGTGGGTCTCTGCCTGAGCGGCACCATGTTGCCTATTTTTTTCTTACTGAACACATGGTAATAAAAAAAGGGAAGATGGAGCCTCCATATTAGACATGGTTGGCCCCTAGGTAGCCTTTTTCTATTGGTGCAGCTGTTGTCATTCCCCAGTGTAAGCTTCCAGCTTGCTTATCTAAGTTTGTAGCTTGATATTTCAGGCTGCTTTTTGTTAGAAAAAAAAGAATAATGCTGTGGGCCACTTTTTGTTAGAAAAGAAATTCTGTGGAGGACTGTTTTCCACTCACTATCTGCCTAAACAATTTATTTCTACCTCCTATATCATATTTCCCCCTCAGGAGTGGAAATCCTAATTGCTGTTAGAGAAGGATGGATGATGACTCTTTCTGACTACTTCCTGCTGGAGAGGAGCACTGTGTAGGGAACAGTAGCTAAGGCTCATCCTGGGGTTGATCAAAGTGTCCTTGAAAGAAAGTCATGTCCATGTGTGGTTCCATCTGCAGCACTATTTGGAGTTTAACAGCTTTTAGGTGAAAAGAGGAAGGTTTAGAATATAGTGTTCAGATATGAATATTAGGATTACCACAATTAGTGGGGGTACTATAGGACACAACCATGACAGAAGAGTTTGATACCTGTTAGCCATTCTGAAGGGTTGTAATACTGGTTTGCCTCCACCAGATGTCGGTGTACTTTACCAGAAGCGTTAATAAAAAAGCAACTTTTTTTTTTTTTGGATAAGTGGCATTGGACTGGGTGACTAGAGTAACTTTAGTGTTAACTTTGGCTAAATCATTTCTATAATTATTAGTTTTACCATAAAGGTGAAAATTAGGCAGAATATTACAGCAATTAGAATTTTCCTCCTGGAATTTGACATCGCATGTGGCAAAGTGTATAGTCCTACTGCAAATAGCAGAGTGAGTATAGTAACTTCTGCAAGTATGGTTTAGTAAATAATTTTCATCTAAAATTTTACTCGTGAAGATATAGAATTTCCCTTTGGGTGTCTATAAAGTCACAAATGTAATCCCATGGATAATCAAAATGTCCCTGAAAGTATGCATGAAAAAGAAGTTCTAATATCTAATGGTGAATCTTGATAGGAAAGGTAGAAATGACTGAAAGTATCTGGTAAGGTAGGGGTTAGACTGAGTAGGACAAGTAGCTCTCACTCATTTACTTATCTTTTATGGTTTTCAGCTTATGATCCCCTATCTCTTCGCATTGATATCCAGGATATTCCTCTGGGCCATCCAGGGCTGCTCCCTCAGCTTTCCAAGATTTGACTCAATTGTAACGTATACAGAAGTTAATTTCTGTAAATGTTACCACCGATGGGGTTGAAAAAAAAGTGTAAGGCCCTTCCCAGCTTAGGTTTAGGGAAGAAGATAGGGAGAGGAGAGCCTTTATCAATACAAAATCTCCTGGTTTAATAAAAGGTTGTTCTATTTCTTGTGGCTGGACTTCTGCTACTTGCATTAATTCTTGTTAGAAGTGAGCTAGGGAAATTACATGCTTAACCAATTCAGAGGTCTCTTGGTCTATTGGAAAATCATTTGTAAGGAAAGGCCATCCATACAGCATTTCAACAGGGCCCAGACCTAACTTTGAAGGGGTATTTCTTACCTGCAGTAAAACCATGGGAAGAAGATTGACCCAAGGATGGTGAGTTTCTTGGGACAGTTTTCTGAGATGTCTTTGATAATATCATTTGTCTTCTTTACCTTTCCTGAGGACTGAGATCTCCCAGCACAATAGAGATGGTACTGTTTGGCTAGTGCCTTTGAGACCCCGTGTATGATGGCTGCCTTAAACAATGGGGCTGTTGTCACTTTGGAGGTACTTAGGTAGACTACAGTGGGGAGTTATTTCATTAACTAACACTTTAATTACCTTAGAAGCCTTTTCTGTACAGCATGGAAATGCTTCTATCCAGTTGGTGAAAGTATCTACCCACACAAGGAGGTATGGGATGCCCTTCATCCTTGGCATGTGGGCAAAGTCTATCTACCAGTCCTCTGCTGGATAGAATCCTATCCTTTGTATTTGACAAGGAAGGAGCTGCCTGTTGAGGGGATTATTTTTAAGACAGTCTTGACAAGCATTAACAACCTGTTGGACTCTTTTTAATAAGTTCTCTCCTGAAAACAGTTTCTGGACACAGTAAGTTTTATCCTTACTCAAGTGAAAAACTTGGTGAAGGATCTTAAGGACTTTCTACTTCCTGGAGGCTGGCAAGTGGAGTTTGCCATCCTCTGACTGTAGCCATCCTAAAGGGGTAAAAAATGTACCCCTGAGAAGTGGCCCATTCTATCCCTGTAGGGGTGTACTGAGTCTTAATTTCTCTTGGAGATTCTATCCAGATTAGAAGGGCTTTAAGAGTGTCGAGGCCCTTAGGCTTTCTTGCCAAAGACTTGGTTGTCTCATCAGCTAACTTGTTTTCCTTTGTGATTTCATCTGTTTCCTTCTGATGTTTCTGAGAATGCATCACTGCTAATTCTCCTGGAAGGAAAATTGAGGATAATAACCTGTTAATTTCCTGATGATATTTTATAGGGGATCCATTAGTGATAAGATAGTGTCTTTTCTTTCAAATGGCAGTTTGAGCATGAAGAACTAAGAAAGCATACAAGGAGTCCATGTAAATGTTACCTACCTTTCCCTTACTTCTTTGAAGTGCTCTTGTAAGAGCTATCAGTTCTGCAAATTGAGCACTTGTTCCTGGAGACAGGAGAGCACTTTCAATAACATCATTCAGAGTGGCTATTGCATATCCTGCCTTATGGAGACCTTGCTCCACAAACGAACTTCCATCTGTGAAGAGGGTCCAGTCTGGATTTTCTAAGGGAGTTTTCCTGAGATTCTACCTGGCTGCAGAGGTCTGTACCACAATTTGTTCAAAGTCATGTTGAGGCGCCCCAATTTCCTCAGGGAGGAAAGTGGCTGGGTTGAGGGGGGAACACAATCTTAAATGAATTGTAGACCTCACTAAAAGTACAGCCTGGTATTTAAGGAGTCATCTGTCTGTTAGCCAAAGGTTACCTATAGGGGACAGCAGTCTGCTACATTATGCGGGGTATAAACAGTTAAGCCATTTCCCAAAGTTAATTTGCTGGCTTCTGGTACAAGCAGGACCACCACAGCAATTGCTTGGAGTCATGCTGGCCATCCTTTAGCCGCCAAATCAAATTCCTTGCTCAGGTAGCCCCCTGGATTTTGAGCTTGTCCTTGAGCTTGAGTTAAATCTCCCAGGGCCATTCCCGTTTTTGCTGATAAAAAAAAGATTGATGGCCTTCCCTACTGGAAGTGTGAGAGCTGGTACCTTAAGTGAGACTTGTTTTAACCGGTTAAAGGCCTTTTGTGCTTCAGTTTCCCAGGTGAGGAAACGAGTTTTAGCCACTTGAGTTTATTTCATGAGGTGTTATAAGTGACGAGCTATCTTACGATACTCAGGTATACGTAGTCTGCAAAATCCTGTAATGCCCCCAAATTCTCTTAGTTACATGAAGGTTTTAGGGAGGAGGAAGGAGGAAATGGTCTTAAACCAAGGTACATGACATGCTTCTGGGGTCTTGCATCCCCTCTTCCCTGATTCTTCCCTTTGAGTGGGCTGCCTTGCATGTACAGTGGCCTGCAAGCACCTAGGAGGAGACACATGCACAATGTGTTTACTGGACTTGTACACATTCTCACTTGAGGTGTTCTTCCCTTACCAATTGAATGTTCACAGAGAAGGGTCATATTTCATTGAAACTCCAATGTTTTGCCTCTTAGTGTGCATGCATGATCCCATTTGCCCAACTCCTGAGATCTTATTGGGAAGCTTCTGATCACCAATTTTAGGTGTTTTCTATCTATTGAGAGACTGCCTTTCCCTGGTGCTGGCTGCAGCTAGCCATTTTACAGAGATAGCTTAATGACCACATGACCATTGCCTGATGACTGCCTTACATTCCTGAGTGGGTGGGGGAGCCCTCCCCTGACCTGATTATGCCTGATTAGCTACCTGCTGGAACACCAATAGGTAGTTTTTTAACCCTTTCCCCTCTCTTTCACCCATCAAATTGTTCCAAAGCTGAACCTTAAATAATAGTCAGACGTCTCAAAGCATGTTGACAATCAAGATAAATGACCTATTTTCTTAGTACTATGATCCACTTTTCTAGTTTTAAAAAAAATTGATAAAATACACGTACAATTTTATCATTTGAACTATTTTTAAATATACAGTAGCGTTAAGTAAATTCACATTTTTATGCTACCAATCTGCAGAACTCTTTTCATCTTGCAAAACTGAAATTTCATTTCCATTAAGCAGAAATTATCCAAACTTCTCTTCTTTCAGCCCCTGAAAACTGCCATTTTACTTTCTGTCTTTATCAATTTGACTACTCTTCATACATCATATAAGTGCAATCATACAGCTTTTTTTTGTAATTGGCTCATTTTACTTAGCATAGTGTCTTCAAATTTCATCCATGTTGTAGCATGTGCCAGAATATTTTTGTTTTCTGAAGTTGAATAATATTCCATTGCATACACACACACACACACACACACACACACACACACACACACACACACTCTTTTTATTCATCTTGAAATAAAACTTGAGTTGCTTCCATTTCTTGGCTATTTTAAATAGTGTTGCTGTGAACATGGGTGTACAATTTAATTCTTTTAAATTAGTTCTACCTTAACTCAAACCCTTTCTCCAAGGTCTCAAATTTCTTCCAGTAGGTTTTCTGTTGAAATTTTTTTCTTCTTTCTTCTCTCCACCCAATTTCTCCATAGCTCTTTTCTGCACTCACAGTCTCAAGGAAGAAAGCAATATCCATGAAGGCGCAGTGGTCAGCAGGGTTAGCTAAGCTTTCAAGGCACATGACTCACAGTAAACTTGAGCTCTCAAGATTAATGTGTTTGGTGCATAAGGTAAACTAATAGTGTTCATGATAGCAAATCCATATGGGTCTGCAGCAACCTCAATTCTTGCCTCCTCAGAAGAAAAAAATTGCCTGAGGGGCATGAGGCAGAGTGAGAGACTGAGGCAAGTTTTAGAGCAGAAGTGAAAGTTTATTAAAAAGCTTTCGAGCAGAAATGAAAAGAAGTAAAGTACACTTGGAAGAGGACCAAGTGGGTGACTTGAGAGATTCAAGTGCTCTTTATAAACTTTAACTTGGGGTTTTATACATTGGCATGCTTCCAGGATCTTCTGTTTCTTCTCCTCTGATTTTTCAATGGGGTGGGTTGTCCACATGCACAGTGGCCTGTCAGCACTTGAAAGGGCCACATTCACAGTGTGTTTATTGGAGTTGTATGCATGTTCAATCAAGACCTTTGCTAGTCTAGTGCTTACACTCCACAATTTTGCCTCTTTGCGTGCATGCTTGAGCCCCTTGGCCCAACTCCTGAGATCTTATTGAGAAGCTTCTGCTCACCAGCTTCAGGTTTTCTCTCTTTACTGGGAGACTGCTTTTCCCTGGTGCCAGCTACAACCAATTATTATTTTAGAGAAACAGCTTAACAGCTGTCTGATTATCATCTGATGGTTACCTGATATTCTTGGTGGGGCAGGGGGTGGCCCTCTCCTGCCTTGCTTATATCTGAATAGGGACCTTCTGTAACAATATGATGTCAGCTATTTTATGGATGTTATAGTTTTCTGTGATGCAGCCTAGAAACTTAACCATGGTTTGTATCAAATTTCTGTGGGAATAAATACTGAATAAATTTTTAGGATGTAAACTGTATTAATCTACATGTTCAGAATGCCACCTCTAGGTAATCTGTAAATTATAGATACTTGAAATAAAACTTTAGAAATAAATTTAGCTATATTGTAACAAAATAATATGGACATGAAGTTGTGTGCTGCTTATGATATTCAAGTCCATAAATATATTTCAGCAACTACAATATTTTAGGCACTGAATATAAGATTGGGTACATATTAATACATGCTTAAAATATTCTGCCATGTATCTGTATAATAAAATTGTGAGGTGAAAATTATCATCCCAATTCCCCTTATGGGGAGATTGAGACTGACAGAGATTACATAACCTACCATATGATCTGTATGAAAATAACCTATGCAGATGGTTCATATAAGAATCACAATTGTGTAATTCTCATGTGGGTGCTTGTATTAGTCTGTTTTCACACTGCTAATAAAGACATACCTAGGTAATTTATAAGGAAAAAGAGGTTTAATGGACTCAATTCCACATAGCTGGGGATGCCTCACAATCATGGTGGAAGGTGAAAGACACATCTCACAAGGCGGCAGACAAGAGAAGAGAACTTGTTCAGGGAAACAACACTTTGTAAAATCATCAGATCTCATGAGACTTATTCACTATTGTGAGAACAGCATGGGAAAGACCTGCCCCCCATGATTCAATTACTTTCCACTGGGTCCCTCCCACAGCATGTGGAAATGTAAGATGAGATTTGGGTGGGGACACAGCCAAATCATATTCTGTTTCTGGCTCCTCCCACATCTCATGTCCTCACATTTCAAAAGCAATCATGCCTTCCCAACAGTCTCCCAAAGTCTTAACTCATTTCAGCATTAACTCAAAAGTCTGCAGTCTAAAGTCTCATCTGACACAAGGCAAGCCCTTTTTGCCTATGAACCTTTAACATCAAAAGCCAATTAGTTACTTCCTAAATACAATGGGTTATAGGCATTGTGTAAATCCATCTATTCCAAAAGGGAGAAATTGGCCAAAACAGGTGCCATACAAGTCCAAAATCCAGTGGGGCAGTTAAATCTTAAAGCTCCAAAATGATCTCCTTTGACTCCATGTCTCACATCCAGGTCACACTGATGCAAAAGTTGGGTTTTGATAGTTTTGGGCAGCTCCACTCCTATGGCTTTGCAGAGTACAGCCTCCCTCCTGACTTCTTTCATGGGCTGGCATTGATTTTCTGCAGGTTTTCCAGGTGTATGGTGTAAGCTGTCAGTGGATCTACCAACCTGGGTTCTGGAGGACACTGGTCCTCTTCTCACAGCTCCACTAGGTGGTGCCCCAGTAGGGAATCTGTGTGGGGGCTCTGACTCCACATTTCCCTCTTCACTGCCCTAACAGAGGTGTTCCCTGAGGGCCCCACCCATGCAGCAAACTTCTGCCTGGATATCCAGGCATTGGCGTACAGTCTCTGAAATCTAGGTGGAGGTTCCCAAACCCCAATTATTGACTTCTGTGCACTTGCAGGCTCAATACCAAGTGGAAGCTGCCAGGGCTGGGGCCTACACCCTCTGAAGCCATGGTATGAGCTCTACATTGGCCTCTTTCAGCCATAGCTGGAGTGGCTGGGACACAGGGCACCATGTCCCTAGGCTGCACACAGCACAGGGACCCTGGACACAGCCCACAAAACTATTTTTTCCTCCTAGGCCTTTGGGTCATTGATGGGAGGGGCTGCCATGAAGACTTGTGACATGCCCTGGAGGCATTTTTATTAACATTCAACTCCCTGTTCTTATGCAAATTTCTGCAGCCAGCTTGAATTTCTCCTCAGAAAATGGGATTTTCTTTTATATCACATTGTCAGGTTGCAAATTTTCTGAACTTTTATACTCTACTTCCCTTATAAAACTCAATGCCTTTAACAGCATCCAAGTCACCTCTTGAATGCTTTGCTGCTTAGAAATTTCTTCTGCCAGATAACCTAAATTATCCTTCTCAAGTTCAAAGTTCCAGAAATCTCTAGGACAGGGGAAAAATGCTGCCAGTCTTTTTGCTAAAACAAGAGTCACCTTTGCTCCAGTTCCCAACAAGTTTCTCATTTCAATCTGAGACCACCTGGATATTATTGTCCATATCGCTATCAGCATTTTGGGCAAAGCCCTTCAACAAGTCTCTAAGAAATTCTTAGCTTTCCCACATTTTCTGTCTTCTTCTGAGCCCTCCAAACTGTTCCAACCCCTACCTGTTACCCAATTCCAAAGCTGCTTCCATGTTTTTTAGTATCTTCAGCAGCACCCCACACCTGGTACCAACTTACTGTATTAGTCCATTTTCACATTGCTAACAAAGATACCTGAGACTGGGTAATTTATAAGGCAAAAGAGATTTAATGGATTCACAGTTCCACATGGCTGGGGAGGCCTCACAATCATGGGGGAAAGTGAAAGGCACATCTCACATGGAGGCAGACAAGAGAAGAGAAGTCGTGCACAGAAACTCCCTTTTATAAAACCATAAGATCTTGTGAGACATATTCACTATCATGAGAACAGCAGGAAAGACTTGCCCCCATTATTCAATTACCTTACACTGGGTCCCTCCCATGACACATGGGAATTCAAGATGAAATTTGGGTGGGGACACAGCCAAACAAAATCAATGCTTTTACTACTATAGTATACAAGCAGAATGTACCAGAAAGACTAGAAAATTCTAGGTAACAGAGGAGAGAAGTCTCTCCATTACAGAATGGAGAGGAAGCCACTTCATAAAAATTTTGCATTTAACTTTTGACTTCATGTAACTAATACTCCAAAAATATGTGTTTCAAAAGCAATCTTAAACTGTACACATGATAAGATCACCATAGCACATGTAGTGTACGTTAGTTTTCCAAGGGGAATAGAACACTTCCCTGGTCTGTTAAGTGTTAGAACATACTGTCCCTCAGTTATTTATCATGACAATATGGCACTCCAACATAATTAATAGCCTAATATATGAACGTGAAAGACACTGAAAGCCAGAAGAAAATATTCCATTTATATTTAGCAAAGATCTTTAGTCATACTTTTAAAAAAATTCTATTTTATTATAATATTCTTAAACTTAGTGTTCTCAAAATATAGTTGGAACATTTTCACAAAAAAGAGAAAAGCACTTTTACTCTCAATTCTTTTGGATATAACCTAAGTTATGTGACTGAAAGTCTAGATGAAGGGTTATCCAGATTTTGATAAAAATTGTATCTGAGAAAAGTTGAAGTTATAATTTCTGTAAAGAGATATGAGATCAAGGTTTACTGAGAGAAGACTCTTTCTAATGAACTTAATTTCAGAAACTCAGTTAAGAGCTAATTCCCTTGTTACTGGTGCCACTCCCAGAAGATAATGGTGTGGAAATGATTTGAATACAAGAAAGAAAAGGGAATGCTGTTGGAAAGCTAATGGATTTTAAAAGCCACATCATATTCATCTAGTGAGAACCCTAACGGGAAACATTAAGCATAAGAAAGATGAATAGTTCTGAGAGCACAGTTTTATTACTATTAAGCTTCTCACAGTGAACTGAAATTTCTTGTTCCGAAAAGTGCTGAGGAAAACCTCAGGCCTGTTGAGTAGTAATAATGTAGAAACCCTGGGAAAACAACAACAAAATAGCCACAGTAATTGGAAGGGGATACATCAGTGAAATAGAAAAGCAGTGTTCCGACAAGTGTTCAGCAGCAATAATAATGGTGGGAAGAGAGATTTTTCTAGTTTGTTGTGGCTAGGATGAGATCCCCCTAAGTTGTTGAAGGAATGCCAATTAATAGTGGCAGTTGTGCAATTGTGATGTACTACTGGTATAACATTTCATCATTTGAAGCAAACCAGGTGTTCCAAGAAACAACAACAAAATAGTCCCTTCTCAAAATGTTAAATAATATTCAAATGCTTCAAAAGAAATAATATAATATTTACTTTCATAAAAACCACTCTCAGTAAGTATTACATGCTGGTTTAAGGTAAGGACATTCCTTATCCAGGTGAATTTCAGTAACTCTTAGTTTAAACCAGACAGAGCTCAAGGGAATCACTGGATGGAATGGGGCAGTCTTAGGTACAGACCCAGCTTCCTGCTCTGTGCTCATTTATACCCACCCCAGGATTTTCTCATGATGACTCCAAGGGTGGCTTCTAGTCCTGGCTCTCCTAATTCACTGTTCTTACTGGAAATAACTAACCCAAGGACATCAACATCAACCCAAGGGCATTATTTTTCTTGTTTCCTCAAAGCCTATTGGAGGCAATTTAAGATTTTCACAAACAATAATACTAAAAAGAGGCTGGAAAGAGCATGTTTAACAGCATATATCATTAGGTGTGATATTTCTATACAAGTCCAAAGCAGGCAATGACCAGTACAGAATCTTCACTTAGATTCCTGATTTCCTGAGTATCCTCTGTTTGGGTATCATAATTTTGCCACATTTTTTTTTTGAAGTTTGCATGTCTTTCCATGTTGTCTTTTTTGAGAAAATGGGACTTCCACCTTAATTTAGAACTTAAATCTGATAAAATAATAAAAAAGAACCAAACTCCTCTAGATGAAACTTCTAAGATTTCCACAGATCCCTCCCACTCAGTTCCAGGTTCCACCCAGTTTCCACTGCAGGAGGTCAAGGTTGATACCCCAGATCCTCAGGGAATGACCCAGCCCCATTATCAACTCAACACTTACCCTGAAAACTCTACTGAAGTTCAGTCAGTTTAATTCCATTTTTCCACACTATGATATCCCCAAAATACAACTGTTGAAGGGTTATAATTCGAAAATATGTTAAAACATCTGCACTAATTTGTATAAAATGTTTATTAAAATCAAAGACTCTTAATAGCTAAAACTCCTAATGAGAAATATTAGGCCTTTGTCTAAGGACAATTTTGATGAAGTCTGAAAAAAATTTAGCTTTCAAACTCTAGACATTTTTCATGGGAAGTATATAAAATCCCAAACAGTTGCTGTTTAGTTTTCTCTTGGTAATCACCAACGATGATGAAAATAATGCATAATATTCACTTTAGGGAGGTGTAACCTACTGGGTGCCAATTCAATTTAAGCATCATACAAATGATATGAGCCTGGCTTTATTAATGGTTACATGAAATTTCAACTTAGTGTGTTTTTGAATTATTTTTGAATATAAAAAGCTATAGATAATTTGAGGCTCTGGGTCGTATTATTTTCCTTCCATAAGGAATTTGTATCTGCTTTTAGCCAGCACACATGCTGTGGCCCTTGCAATTCCAGATCTACTAAGTCTCATCAGGGGCTGAGCTGAGTAGATGCTAAGCCCTTATTCTTAGGTTGTGACCCCTAGAAGTTACTACCCAAAGCCCTCATTCTTTGTAATAGACCTTTGTCAGGCCCTAAGTTTCCTTTGCATCCTCTTAGTCTCAGGATTCTGCTGGACGTTCTTTTAAGCTTCTCAGTTACATCTACCACCACTGGAAGATTCCTCAAGAAAATATGGGGCACTGCAGCCTTGAGAGTGCACCACTCAAAGCTTCTTTCCAGAGAACCCCTGCCATGAAGAGTGCAGTTAGCTGCCTGCTTCCATCTGCCACAGCTTTGGGGTCCTTGGCAGTATTAACACCAAGGCTGTGATCTCCCTGGCTACTTGTTGCTGCACTCAGCACGGCAGGGTACTAGAGCTGAGCTCTTTCTGCCCAATGAGGGACTCCTGTAATGGTCAATCATCACTGCCTCCACATTGGCCCATAGAAGACTTTCTCAGAGCTGCTCTGTGGTTTGAAGCTCTTCCTACCTGAGCCCCCTTCTATAGGACACAGACTTCCATAATGGAAGTTGAAGGCGCTTCTGGTGAGGGTGCAGAAAGAGTTAAGGAGCATGGTAGAGAAAGCTTCTTATACTTAGAAAATACATGTCATCATAAACAGAATGTTCCATAATTGTGCTTTGGAAGCAGATAACTTTTTTAGCTTTGATGTAGGACAGGTGAGCCCTAAAATTGGGGCTTAAACTAGGAAGTTTCCTTACTGTGCTCAGGAAAAGATTCAAGATTGAGCTGGTGATAGAAAAAAAAAACAGCTTTATTGAGATGGTAGTGTTACCGTTCCATGACTGCTCCTGCAGGGCAGGGCTACTGCATCAGCAGTGTGGAGAGTAGCAGCTCAGGGACAGTTCTGAAGTCATATTTATACTCACTTTTAATTACATGCAAATTAGGGGGCAGGGTATTCTGAAACTTCTAGAAAAGGACTGATAACTTTTATGTTGTTTCCATGGCAAGTAGTGGTAACTTCCAGGTGTTGCCTTCGCAATAGTGAACTGACAGGCACTACTGAGTATGTCTTTCAGAGAGGTGCCTCTTCCCTGTTTCAGCCATTCTTCGATCTGGTCCAGAGTTGAATCTTACCTCCTACCTCATTGCCTTCTCAGAGATTAGATATTCCTCCTAATCTTAGGGGGTTGCAGAAGGGTGGATATCTATCTTCTGTAACTGTTTTCTGTGGATTTTTTTTGGACATAGGCCCTGCCTAGCACCAGAGGTGTAAAATTCTCTGGGTACTTGATCCAAGGGGCCCAAAGGCAGGATGCTTTTAATCTCTGGGTCAGTAGATGGGATAGGTTGAAAGCCTTGTGCCAGCATAGTCTTTACCTGGAACTGCTGTCATCTAGAAGACACACATTCTACGAAACAAGCAAGGGCCAAAGTTCAATAATAACAGGACGGCTATTAAAAATCCTAGGAGAGGTAAAAAGCAGGTGAGACTTGGGAAAGGCACTATTCACAGCTGACCAGATATTGTTGAGGTCAGTGCCCTGGTTAGGTCTATGTAACCAGGTAGCTTGCTTATAGATTTGAATGTTAACCTCAATCTGTCCAGAGTTGTTAATATATGTGCAGCAGGTTTTATTAATAGTTAACACAGACTCCACCTTGTTCAGCCAATAAATAATCCAACATGAGTCTGTTATTTAGAACTACATTTGCCCAAGAGTTTGGGAGCTCCTGAATTAACTTTAGCGTCTGACGTGTGTTGGTGATTAAAATTTCTAGGGTTTGATTAAAGTATTTTAGTGTTGACTAGTGATAGGCAAAGCCTCATTGTGCTGCTAGTCCTATTGCCATCCCGATTCCTGCCAGAATTAATTCTATTACTCACTGATTTCTGGTGTTCCTGGGGTCTTATGGGATTATAGACTGTGACCCCTGGAGGATCAAGGGTTGCCAATGTACATTAACCTCCGTTCCAAGCTTTTGATATGCAAGGGAAAACTATTCCTAAAGAAACAGGTGGCTCCTTGGAAAGCTGGAAGTGATTATGGGTGTAATGTCTTCCCATTCATAGCCAAAAACAGAAATGAGTCCAGCTGGGCCACAGGGTGTGATGTCTATCTTTTGCTTCCAAGTTGGATGTATAGAGATATTTTTCCTCTGCTCCAATGGGATTGGCAAACAATGCTTATTTTCCAGAAAGTGGCAGTACTGTTACCTTCTCAGATTAGGCACTAATTTTTCTCCAGTATCTTCTGATCCAGTAGAAGGCACCATATATGGTCTCTTGCTTACAAGTGAAATCACATCTACCAAGTTGCAGCCTTGGGAACTTGGCAACTAGAGTTGGATCAGAGCATCACAGGGAAACTTCTGCTTTTGTGTCATTAATGCAACAGTGATTTTAAAATATAGAATCATTAGTGTGCTGGAGACATAGATACCCAAATTCCCAGGTCCATGTGAGCAGGGGGCTTTGGGGGATTCATGTGGAATCTGTGAGTGGGAGAGAGTCCCACCTCACAAGTAGGAGTCTGAGTACCCTGGGATCGTTACAGTTAGTTAGGTATTCTAGGGAGACGGCCATGAGATTCTCTGGATAGAAGATGGAAGTTTCTATCCTAGAGATGTTAATGACAAATCCATCACCATGAAGATGATTCCCTGATGCTATAATTTTTGAAATATTTACTATATGGTTTTGTTCCCACCCTCATTGGATCAGGGTAATTGGGAGAGCAAGCTGGATTAACAGTGACAGCTTGGTGCCTGGTTGGGCCTTAGAGTGGTCTCCACACACAACAAAGACAAAAGAGGTGTTTCCTAGAAGGAGGTATTTGGCTAAAGCAATAGAAAAGAAGTATTATAATCAGGAAGAAGAGAAAAGTTAATGTTCCTATTCCTGACCCAGAGCATCATGCTTATCACTTCTGGCTGAGTGTTGATTCTTTTAAATAGGTAGTGGAGGAATTCCAAAGGTTCACAGATGTAGGTCATGATGTACTGCTTTCATGCCTGCAACTCATAAGAAACAGGTTTAATCCTGGATAGGTGTACTCAATTAGTTACACCCTGAAGTTTAACAGCAGTGGGGTTACACAAAAGCACCTGATAGGGGCCCTTGCCTGTCAGTTGTTATTGATCATCAGAGGATTCTTCTTTCCAAATTTTTATTATTATTCTCCTGGTGGAATAGGGGGGTTAATTCTTTCCTTTGTGGAGGGAGCAATATTTTATTTCCATGTGATTGTAGGGCTTTTTGAACCTGGCCTAGGTTGATAATATGGGTGAGCACTGTATGTGTGTCTTCATAAAACAGGAGGTTTAAAGTTAAAAAGGGTCTCCCATAAGTCATTTCAAATGGACTAAATTTTAGAGTTCCCTTCGGAGCCATTTTCACATGTAAAAGGTTTATGGGTGGGAGAGAAATCCAGGCCTTTGAAGTCTCTTGACAGAGTTTCTCTGATGTCCTTTCAGAAACATGGTTAGCTTTTTCTAGCTTAACCAAGGATTGAGGTGTTCAGGAGAAGTGAAGATAATGTGTAATGTCCAAGGCTGAGGAAATCTGCTAGATCACTTTAGCTGTGAAAGAGGGTATATTATTTCTGGGTGGACTTTTTGGTAATCCAAACCTTGAGATTATCCCTTTACATAAGAATGTGGACACTTCTAATTCCTTTTCTGTCCTTGCTGGGAAAGCCTCTATCCACCTGGTGAAAGTGTCTATAAATACTAGCAGATATTTTTGTCCCCTGTATGGTGGCATCTGAGTGAAATCTATTTCCCAGTCTTCCCCAGGTTGTGTTCCTCAGTGTTGTA
The DNA here is from genome assembly GCF_000001405.40 of Homo sapiens. Classification (NCBI taxonomy): domain Eukaryota; kingdom Metazoa; phylum Chordata; class Mammalia; order Primates; family Hominidae; genus Homo; species Homo sapiens. The sequence continues at coordinate 72,268,867 of NC_000008.11, read as the reverse complement.
TAGGTTTGAGTAGGGGTAAGGAATGCAGTGGCTTCTTGGGTCATTACAAGTACAAAGTTCACACGCCCTGGTGACCCTGTTAACAGTGCTGAAACATTCTGTCTTCCTAATTCTCCTCCCTTTTTGCACCCTACTACTACAGACCAGGATTTATGCTCCTTCTTTGAATGGAAAAATTCAATAATGAGGAGGAAAATGTCCTCCAAAGCCAAATTTTAGTCTTAGTGCTGTCCCATCAGCAGGAAAACCTGCATTTAGTCCCTACATTATTTTAAGGCACCTATTCTGCCTCTAATTAAAACACTACTTAAATAGTAAGGATATTTTACTTTTGAAAGCTAACCAGAGCCACTGCCTAAGAGTAAATACTTTAGTCCAGGCCATAATAGCAGAATATAGAGGTCAACCCAGTACACTCCCTCTATTAAGGGGCCTTGCCCCAATACAACTGCTACATAGTCTCTTTCAAGATCCATCTATCAGACAGCCACACAGATTACACAAGCCTAGGGAGTCAAATTACTAGCAGAGGACTAGAGTCACGTGGGTGAAGGTGACTAATCCCAATTGCTTTGCTCTTCAGGTTCTATGGCTGAGGGTCATGTCTGCATCCATGGGGAGCACCTTTAATGGATGCTGAGCTCAGGAAACCAAGGAGGGGAAACAGTTGGGGGTATGCCCCTACTGTCTTCCCCTCCATCCTGGGCCATTTCTAAGGAAAGAAGGGATATTAAAGGAACTCCTTTTTCTCGCTTCCCTTTCTAGATGGGTAACAAACCGTCTTTGTCTGCACCCCTCTGCAGTGCATTCTGAGGCACTGGAACACCTTAAACACCAAGACTTTGAAAAGTGGCTCATTTTCTTTTGTACAAGGGTATGGCCTTCTTACTAAACCTTTGCAAGAGTTGCACAGTCAACCCAGCTTCACTCTTATCCCTGTAGGAAATGCCCAATGGAGGTGATGCCACTAGTGTTCAAGTTCCATTCTCATTTCAGGACTTTAGGCAAATAAAGGGAGACTTAGGCTGATTTTCTGACCCTCATGGAGGCTGAGTTAAAGTATATAGAAGCTTTCCAAACTTTAACTCAGGTGTTTGACCTCTCATGGAGGGATGTTGTGCTGCTCATAAGCCAAACATTAATCACAGCTGAGAGATAGGCAGTTCTACAGACAGGAGAGAAGTTTGAAGAAAGCAATATGTCTCACATAGCAGGCCAAAAAGGAAAAGAGAATATAGGGAAGGAGAAGAAATAGGAATTTCCTTCTCAGTAGGAAAAGAGGCAGTACCTCTTGACAACCCTGAAATAGCCAAAGGAAACAAGTTAGCTAATCAAGCAGCAAAGTCAGCAGCAAGAAAGCCTCAGGGCCTCAACACACTTGAAGCCCCTCTAATTTGTGAAGGCTTCATAAAAGAAATTAAGCCCCAGTACTCCCCTGCAGAGATAGAATTCACTATCTGTTGGGGGTACAAATTTCTAGCCCTCTGGATGTCTACAGTCATAGGATGGCAAGCTCCACTTGCCTGCCTCCAAGCAGTGGAAATTCCTTAAGATCCTAAACCAAGCTTTTCACTTGGGAAAGGATAAAACTTATCAGTGTGCCCAGAGACTGTTTTCAGGAGAGAATTTATTACAAACACTAAAAAAGGATGTTAATGCTGGTGAAGTCTGTCTTAAAAATAATCCCCTCAACAGGTGGCTCCTTCCTCCTCAAACACAAAGAATGAGAAGCTATCCAGGGAGGACTGGCAGATAGACTTCACCTATATGCCAAAGATGAAGGGCATCCAATATCTCCTGGTATGGGTAGATACTATCACTAGCTAGGTAGAAGCATTTCCATGCTGTACAGAAAAGGCTTCTAAGGTAATAAAAGTGTTAGTTAATGAAATAATTCCCTGCTTTAGCCTACCTAAGTACCTACAAAGTGACAATGGCCCCTCATTAAAGGCAGCTGTCACACGAGGGGTCTCAAAGTCACTAGGCATACAGTGTCATCTCCATTGTTCTTGGAGACCCCAGTCCTCAGAAAAGGTAGAGAAAACAAATGATAGTATCAAAAGACACCTCAGAAAACTGTCCCGAGAAGCTCACCTTCCTTGGATCACTGTTCTTTCCATTGCTTTACTGTGGGTAAGAAATACCCCTTGAAAGTTAGGTCTGAGCCCTTTAGAAATGCTGTGTGGATGGCCTTTCCTTACCAATGATTTTCTATTATACAAAACAACTGTGAATTGGTTAAGCCTGTAATCACTCTGGCTCATTTTCAATAGGAGTTAATGCAACTGGTAGAAGCCCAACCCCAAGAAATAGGACCATCTTTATTTAACTGAAGGGATTTGGTATTGGTAAAATTTCTGCCCTCTCTCTCTCCTTCCCCATGCCCAAACATGGAAGGACCCTACACTGTTCTCCTTTCCATCCACTCAGTGATTAAAGTACAGGAATGAACTCCTAGGTACATCACAGTCAAATCAAAGCCTGGAAAGCTAAGGGAGCAACCCCAGACAGCCTAGAGGAACATCCTGGATATCAATGCAAAGAAAAAAGAGATCTTACTTTAAAAACCATAAAAGAAAATTAAATGAGTGAGGGCTACTCATCCTATGCAGTTCCACCCCTACCTTATCAGATACTTTCAGTCTTTTCTACCATTCCTCTTGAGATTCACTATCAGATATTAGAGCTTCTTGATACATACTTGGAGGAAGATTTTGATTATCCATGGGATTACATTTGTAACTTCATAGACCCCCAGAGGGAAATTCTATATCTTGGTGAGTAAAATTTTAGATGAAAATTAAATACTACACCACCCTTGCATGAATTGTTATACTCACTCTACTGTTTGAAGTAGGACTATATAATGTAGCACCTCCAAAGTGGAATATTGGACAAAATTATCTCAATTGCTGTAGTATTTTCCTTAATTATTATCCTTATAGCTGGACAATAGTTACTGACAAGAAGTAAACATGAAAGTTTTACAATCACTAAGTCTGCTAGGACTTTTTATTGGCTTTGGTAATATGTCACCCTTTAGCTCCTATGATATCAACCCTACCTATGGAAAGAAGGTAGAAAAAGAAAAGGGATTTTATATAGGAAAGAATCTTGTATGGTAAATTCTTGTCCTCAAGGAAATAACTGGTCGTTTAAAGAGATGGAGGGATGTTTAGGACAAATCAGAAAGTTTAAGCCTGTCATAGATGGTCTGTGTAAGTCATGAAAGGATTAATAATTGCAGGAGGGACTTAGCCAAGGTTAACACTAAAGTTAATCTAGCCACCCAATCCAATGCCACTTATCCTAAGAAAAATGTTACTTTTACATTAGCATTTCGGTAAAGTACAGTAACATCTGGTGGGGCGACAAATCAGTATTACAAACCATCAGAATGGCTAACAGGTTTTAAATTCTAGTGTCATGGTTGTGGCCTATGACACTAATGACACTCCCACCAATAGTAGGAATCTTAATACTCATATTTGGAATTTATAAACTTCTTGTAAAATTTCTCTCTTCTCACCTAGAAGCTATCAAATTCCATATGGTGCTGCAGATGGAACAATGCATGGACACAACTTTCTTCTGAGATCCCTTAAATCAACCCCATGAGGAACCCTAGCTGCTGTCTCCCACACAACACCCCTCTCCAGTAGGAAGTAGCCAGAAAAGGTCATCATCCAACACTCCATAACAGCAGTTAGGGTTACCACTCCTAAGGGGGGAAATATAATACAGTAGATAGAAAGAAATTATGTAGGCAGATAGTGAGGGTAAGAGAGTTCTCAGCAGACCTTCTCTTTTAACAAAAAGTTCTCTTTGACTTTTATCAACCCTCAAAGTCATTTTTTTTTCTATGAAATAACAGCCTGAAAAATCAAACAGCAAACATAGATAAGCAAGCTAAAAGCTTGCACAGGTGAGTGTTGATAGCTGTGCCAATATGAAAAGGCTACCTGGGGGCTAGGTATGTTCAACATGGAGGCTCCAACCTCCCTTTTCTTTTTCACCATGTGTACAGTAAAGAAGCAGGCAACACGATACCAGCCAGGCAAAGAACCCATCTTCATAATAAAAGATTCAGATGGAAACAGACGGCTTTTCATGCTCTGTGCAAATGGCACACCTGGGCCAACCAATCATTCATGTCCTATGTAAATCAGACACAACATCCTTAAGATCATCTATAAAACTTCCTGCACTTCACCACAGAAGTGGCAACCATTTTCTCCAGGACCCCTCTCTGCCACAGAGAGCTCTTCTTTTTCTTTCACTTATTAAATTTCCACTCTTAACTTCACTCTGGTGTGTCTGTGTCCTTGTTTTCCATGGCTGTGAGACAATGAATCTCAGATATTTAGCCCAGATGAATGATTCCACTTCAATATGACAATAATAACATAAAATGGGGGAGGAAACAGTGATACATTAGAGCAAAGTTGCTGTAGTCTACTAAATTAAATAAGTATTAACCTAAAGTAGATTTTAACAAGTTAAAGATGAACATTGTATAAAAATCACTACACTATGACAATAACTTTAAAACATTTAAAAATTCTGCCAATGAATTAAAATGTATGTTAAAAGAATTGTTGAATACAAAAGATGGCAGTAGAGAAAAAACAGAGAGAAAAAGGTGAGACACAAAAAACAAATATTAAAATGGCAGTAGCATATCAACAATTACACTAAATGTCAATGAGATAATGAGTAAATATTGTAATCAAAAGGGAGAGAGACTGTCAACTTGTATAAAGGAGAAAAATTCAACTGTATTCTATTTATAAGAAACACTTTAAAAGCCAGGTGCAGTGGCTCACACCTGTAATCTCAGCACTTTGGGAGGCCAAGGTGGGTGAATCACCTGTGGTCAGGAGTTTGAGACCAGCCTGGCCAACATAGTGAAACCCCTTCTCTACTAAAAATACAAAAATAAACCAGACATGTTTGCATGCACCTGTAGTCCCAGCTACTCAGGAGGCTGAGGCAGGACAATTGCTTGAATCTGGGAGGCAGAGGTTGCAGTGAGCTGACATTGTGCCACTGCACTCCAGGCTGGGAGACAGAGCAAAACACTATCTCAAAAATAAAAAGCCAACAAAACCAGAAAACAGACAAACAAAAACACTTTAAAGACAACTAGATTAACAGTCAAAGGATGGAAAAAAATCTGCCTTGTGAACAATAAGCATACGTAATCTGGAATAATAATATAAGACAAAATAGACTTTAAAACAAGAAATATTATTAAACACCATAAAAGAAATTTCATAACGCTAAAAAGGAAAATATAGTGGGAAGACAACGATTATAAGTATCCATGCATCTAAGAACAGAGACACCCTCTCAATGGAGTATAAAACCTGACAGAATTGCAGGAAGAAATAGACAATTTAACAAATAGAATTTGAGATTTTAATACTCTCAGTAACTGATAACGTAATAGATAGAAAATCACTAGGGATGTAGAAAAGTTGAGCAACACTGTCATCCAAGTATACCCAATAACATACTCCGAATCTTAACTGAATGATAGCAGAATACACATTATTTTTAAGTGCATGTAGATTAATCTACAAGACAGACCATATGTTAACAACAAAACATGTTTAAACAATTCTACAATTAAATTTACATAAATTGAAATCATAGAAAGTATGTTCCCTGACCATAACAGATTGAACTGAGTATTAACAACAGGAAGAGATTTGGGAAATTCTCAAATATTTGAAAATTAAGAAATGCAGTTCCAAAAGTAATTTGTGAGTTGAAGAAAAAAACATAAATGAAAACACACCAAATCAAAATTTATGAGATGCACCTAATGTAAAGCTTAGCAAGTATTTTGTATCCTCAAATAATTATATTAGAAGAAAGAAAGATTCAAAATCAACAACTGAGCATTCTACCTCAAGGAGGTAGAGGAAACAGCCAACCAAACCCAAATAATTACAAAGAAAAATCAGAGAAAGAGAAAACATGAAACCAAAAGTAGAAAAACCAATAGAAGAAATCAGTAAAAACAAAAGTTGGTTCTTTGAAAAACAATGGACAAAACTTATAAACTATTAACTAGGAAAGATGACATAAATTACAGAAAACAAGAATGAAAGAAAGGGTGTTATTACAGACCCTACAAGAAATCAACTGATTAAATTGATTGTAAAGGGATTCTATGAATAACTTTACGACAAAAAATACATAGAAAACTAATATGAAATAGACAAATTTCTCAATAAATTATCAAAATTTACTCAAGCAGAAATATTAAATCAGAATAGTTCTATAAAAGATAAAAAATTGAATTAGTAATTAAATATCTTCCCAAAGGCCTGCACTGGTGAATTTTATTAAACCTTTAAAAAAATACCAATATTATACAAACTACTTTACAAAATAGAAGACAACATTTTTCAACTTATTCAGAGAGTCCACTTTTATACTAATACCAAAGCTATACAAAAATGCCACAAAAGAGGCAACTACAGACCAATATTATTCACGAGCCTAAACACAAAAATCTTTGACAAAATATTAGCAACCTGAATCTAGTAATATATGAAAAAGTTGATTTAATATTAGAAAATTTATAAACATAGAATAATAGAATAAGGGAGAAAAACATATGATCATCTCAATAGTTGTAGAGAAAGCATCAGATAAAATTCAACACCCACTCTCGATAAAAATAAAGTAAGAATAAAAATATATTCTCAACCTCATAATAGGCTTCTGTGAAAATCACATTTTAATGTCATATTTAATGGTGAAAGGTACTGCTTTCCCTCTAAGACTGGGAAAAAGGTAAGGATATCCACTCTCTCCACTTCTATTCAACAATGTCCAGAAGCTTCTAATCAGTGATTGAGGTGGAAAAATATTAAAGGCATAAATTAGGGAAAGGAAGAAACAAACTGTATTTATTAGCATTGTCTTATATGTTTGTTTCTTTTTAAAAAAATTTATTTTAAGTTCTGGGATACAGGTGGAGAATGTGCAGGTCTGTTACATAGGTAATTGTGTGCCACGGTGGTTTGCTGCACCTATCAGCCCATCACAATTTTCAGTTTTCTGCATATGGCTAGCCAGTTTTCCCAGCACCAATTATTAAATATGGTTCCCCATTGCTTGTTTTTGTCAGGTATGTCAAAGATCGGATGGTTGTAGACTTGTGGTCTTATTTCTGAGATCTCTATTCTGTTCCATTGCTCTATGTGTCTGTTTTTGTACCAGTACCATGCTGTTTTGGTTATTGTAGCCTTGTAGTATAGTTTGAAGTCAGGTAATGTGATGTATTTAGCTTTGTTCTTTTGCTTAGGATTGTCTTGGCTATATGAGCTCTTTTTTGGTTTCATATGAATTTTAAAGTAGTTTTTTCTAATTCTGTGAAGAATGTCAATGGTAGTTTGATGGGAATAGCATTGAATCTATAAATTACCTTGAGCAGTATGGCCATTTTCATGATATTGATTCTTCCTATCCATGAGGATGGAATGTTTTTCCATTTGTTTGTGTCCTCTCCTATTTCCTTGAGCAGTGGTTTGTAGTTCTCCCTGAAGAGGTCATTCACATCTTTGTTAACTGTATTCTTAGGTATTTTATTCTCTTTGTAGCAATTGTATATGTGTGTTCATTCATGATTTGGCTCTCTGCTTGTCTATTGTTGGTGTACAGGAATGCTTGATTTTTTGCATATTGATTTTGTATCCTCCAACTTTTCTGAAATTTCTTATCAGCTTAAGGAGCTTTTGGGCTGAGACAATGGGGTTTTCTACACATAGAATCATGTGGTCTGCAGAGACAATTTGACTCCCTCTCTTCTATTTGAATACCCTTTATTTCTTTCTCTTGCCTGATTGCCCTGGCCAGAACTTCCAATACTATTTTGAATAGGAATAGTGAGAGAGAGCATCCATGTCTTGTGTCAGTTTTCAAAGAGAATGCTTCCAGATTTTGCCCATTCAGTGTGATATTGGCTGCAGGGTTATCATAAATGGCTTTTATTGTTTTGAGATATGTTCCTTCAATACTAGTTTATTGAAAGTTTTTAACATGTAGGGGTGTTGAATTTTATCAAAGGCCTTTTCTGCATCTATTGACATAATCATGTGGTTTTTGTCATTAGTTCTGCTTATGTGATGAGCTACATTTATTGATTTGTGTATGTTGAGCCAGCCTTACATCCCAGAGATGAAGCCAACTTGATTGTAATGGATAAGCTTTTTGATGTGCTGCTGGATTCAGTTTGACAGGATTTTATTGAGGATTTTCACATCAATGTTCATCAGGGATATTGGCCTGAAGCTTCCTTTTATTGTTGTGTCTCTGCCATGTTTTGGTTTTAGGATAATGCTGGCCTCATAAATTAGTTAGGGAGAAGTCCCTCCTTTTCAATTGTTTGGAATAGTTTCAGAAGGAATGAAACCAGCTCCTCTTTGTACCACTGTTAGAATTTGGCTTGTCCTGGGCTTTTTTTTTTTTTTTTTTTTAGTTGGTACATTATTTATTACTGCTCAATTTCAGAACCTGTTATCAGTGTATTCAGTTATTCGACTTCTTCCTTGTTTAGCCTTGGGAGGGTGTGTATGCCCAGGAATTTAGCCATTTCTTTTCAATTTTTTAGTTTATTCGTGTATAGGTGTTTATAGTGTTCCCTGATGGTTGCATTTCCGCAGGATCAGTGGTGATATCCCCTTTATCATTTTTGACTGTGATTATTTCAATCTTCTTATTTTCTTCTTTATTAGTATAGCTAGCAGTCTATCTATTTTATTAATTTTTTTTTAAAAAAACCCAGCTCCTGGATTCATTGATTTTTTGAAGTGTTTTTCATGTCTCTATCTCCTTCAGTTCCACTCTGATCTTAGTTATTTCTTGTCTTCTGCTAGCTTTTGGATTTGTTTGCTCTTGCTTCTCTAGTTCTTTTAGTTGTGATGTTAGGGTATCAATTTGAGATCTTTCTAGCTTTCTGATGTGGGCATTTAGAGCTATAAAATTCCCTCTTAACATTGCTTTAGCTGTGTCCCAGAGATTCTGCTATGTTGTCTCTTTGTTCTCAATGTTTTCAAAGAACTTCTTGATTTCTGCCTTAATTTCATTATTTATCCAGGAGTCATTCAGGAGCAGGTCATTCAATTTCCATGTAGTTTCATGGTTTTGAGTGAGTTTCTTAATCCTGACTTCTAATTGGCACTGTGGTCTGAGAGAATGTTTGTTATGATTTCAGTTCTTTTGCATTTGCTGAGGAGTAAAAAAATTACTTTCAATTATGTGATCAATTTTAGAGTAAGTGCCATGTGGCAATTAGAAGAATGTCTATTCTGTTGATTTGGAGTGGAGGGTTCTGTAGATGTCTATCAGATCCACTTGATTCACAGCTGAGTTCAAGTCCTGAATATCCTTGTTAATTTTCTGTCTCATTGATCTGTCTAATATAGACAGTGGGGTGTTAAAGTCTCCCACTATTATAGTGTGGGAGTCTAAGTCTCTTTGTAGGTCTCTAAGAACTTGTTTTATGAATCTGGGTGCTCCTGTATTGGGTGCATATATATTTAGGCTAGTTAGCTCTTCTTGTTGCATTAATCCCTTTACCATTATATCGTGTCCTTCTTTGTCTTTTTGATCTAAGTTGGTTTAAAGTCTGTTTCGTCAGAAACTAAGATTGCAACCTCTGCTTTTTTCTGCTTTCCATTTGCTTGGTAAATATTCCTCCATTCATTTATTTTGAGCCTATGTTTGTCTTTGCATGTGAGATGGGTCTCTTGCATACAGCACACTGATGGATCTTGACTGTTTATCCAATTTGCCAGTCTATGTCTTTTAGTTGGGGCATTTAGCCCATTTACATTTAAGGTTAATATTGTTATGTGTGAATTTGATCCTGTCATTACGATGCTAGCTGGTTATTTTGCAGAATAGTTGTTGCAGTTTCTTCATAGTGTCATTGGTCTTTGTGCTTCAGTGTGTTTTTGCAGTGGCTGATAATGTTTTTTCTTTTTTTTCTTCCATATTTAGTGGTTCATTTAGGAGCTCTTCCATGGCAGGCCTAATGGTGATGGATTTCCTCAGCATTCGCTTGTCTGAAAAGGATTTTATTTCTATTTCTTCTTCACTTATGATGCTTAGTTTGGCCAGATATGAAATTCTGGGATGAAAATTCTTTTCTTTAAGAACGTTGGATATTTTCCTCCACTCTCTTCTGGCTTGTACGGTTTCTGCTGAGAGGTGCACTGTTAGTCTGATGTGCTTCCTGTTGTAGGTGACCTGGGTATTCTCTGACTATTCTTAACTTTTTTTTTTCATTTCATCCTTGGAGAATCTGATAATTATGTTTCTTAAAGTTGATCATCTCATGGAGTATCTTACTAGGGTTATCTGTATTTCCTGAATTTGAATGTTGTCCTGTCTTGCTAGGTTGGGATAATTTGCCTGGATGATATCCTCAAAGGTGTTTTCCAACTTGGTTCCATTCTCCCTGTCTCTTTCAGGTACCCCAATCATTTGTAGGTTTGGTCTTTTTATATAGTCCCAGAGTTAGAAATTTTGCTTATTCTTTTTCACTCTTTGTTTTTCTAATCTTGTCTGTCTGCCTGATTTCAGCAAGATAGTTTTCAAGCTCTGATATTCTTTCTTCCACTTGATCAATTCAGCTATTAATACTTGTGTTTGCATCACTAAGTTCTCCTGCTGTGTTTTTCAGTTCCATCAGGTAATTTATGTTCTTCTCTAAACTAGTTATTCTAGTTAGAAGCTCCTGTAGGCTTTTATCATGGTTCTTAGCTTCTTTGCATTAGGTTAGAACACATTTTTTTTAACTTGGTGAAGTTTTTTTTATTACTCACCTTCTGAAGCCTACTTCTGTCAGTTCAACCATCTCATCCTCTGTCCAGTTCTGTGCCCTTGCTGGAGAGGTGTTGCAATCATTTGGAGGAGAAGAGGCACTCCAGCCTTTTGAGTTTTCAGCATTTTTTTCATTGTTTCTTTCTCATCTTCATGAGTTTGTCCAGTTTTGATCTTTGAGGCTGATGACCTTTTGATGAGGTTTGGGTGGTGACTTTTTTGTTGATGCTGGTGTTGTTGCTTTCTGTTTGTTTGTTTTTCTTTCAGTAGTCAGGTCCCTCTTCAGTAGGGCTGCTGTGGTTTGCTGGGCACTCTCTTCAGGCCCTATTTATCTGGATATCCCCTGCACCTGGAGATGTCACCCGAGGAGGCTGGATAACAGCAAAGATGGGTGCCTGCTCCTTCCTCTGGAATCTCTGACCTCAAGGGTCACCAAGCCGATGCCAGTAGCAACACTATTGTATAAGGTGTCTGGTGACCCCTGTTGAGGGTCTCACCAAGTTAGGGGGGCCAGGATCTAGGACCTATTTAGCAAAGCATTTTGACTGTCCCTTGGTGAAGAGGGTGTGCTGTGTTAAGGGGAAACCCACTCATCTGGGCTGCTTGGATTCCTCAGAGCTCTCAAGGAGAAAAACTAAGTCCTCTCGTCTGTGGAGACCACAGCCACCCCTCTCCCTAGGAGCTCAGGCCCAGGGAGATCAGAGTTCTGTCCCTAAGCCCCTGGCTGGAGTTGCTGGAGTTCCCACAGGGAGGCCCTGCCCAGTGAGGAGGGATGGGTCAGGGTCTGGCCTAAAGAGGCAGTCTGGTTATGGTCTGTCACAGCCTGCATGCTGCATGGTGGGGAATACCTCTTTGGACCAAGCCACCCAATCTCCCTGGCACCACCAGGGAAAAAACGGCAGCCTAAAGCCACAGTGATGGCTGCCACCCCTCCCCATGGGAGCTCAGATGGCTTAGACAGCAGGCAGCCATAGTGATGATGGCCACCCCTCTCCCCAGGAACTCAGTAGTCTCAGGCAGATTCCAGCCAAGTGGCTGTTGAGAATCTGTGTGGCTCTGTGATTGGGACTCAAGGCCCTGGTGGTGTGGGCTCACAAGTGAGATCTTCTTATCTGTAGGTTGCACAGATCTGTGGAAAAATACGGTTTCCCAGGCTGGGCAGTACGCTCACTCATCATCTGCCTTGGGTGGGGCTGGGGGCTCCTTTTACCCTGTGTGGCTCTCAGGTGGGCCTATGCACCACCCTACTTTTCCTTGCTCTCCATAAGCCATGCCAACCACTTAGTTAGTCCTGATGAGAGTCCTGGATACTGGACTCTCCTGCTGGTGCAGGATTTGCACACTGTTTTTGTTCTCAGTGGGAGCCTCCAGCCACCACCGCTCTAATTGGCCATCTTGGCCCTGCCCCTATGTTTAAGTTTCTAAAAAATCTCCTAAAAAACTAGTAGAATTAATGAGGAAGATTAGCAACATTGTAGGAAACAAGATCAATATGAAAATTCAATTGTATTTCTATAAACAACAAATCATCTGATAGTAAAATTAAGAAAACCATTCCGGCTGGGTGCTGTCACTCACGCCTATATCCCAGCACTTTGGGAGGCCAAGGTGGGTGGATCATGAGGTCAGGAGTTCAAGACCAGCCTGACCAATATGGTGAAACCCCGTCTCTACTAAAATTACAAAAATTAGCCGAGCATGGTGGTGCGTGCCTGTAGTCCCAGCTACTTGGGAGGCTGAGGCAGAAGAATCACTTGAACCCGGGAGGCGGAGGTTGCAGTGAGCCAAGATTGTGCCACTGCACTCCAGCCTGAGTGACAGAACAAGACTCCATCTCAAAACAAAACAAAACAAAACAAAACAAAACAAAACAAAAACAAACAAAAAACAATTCCATTTAAAATAGCTTAAAACTAATAAAATACTTAGGAATACATTTAACAAAAATATGCATGAACTGTACACGGAAAAGTACAAAACACTACCAAGAGAATCAAGATAGATCTATATAAATCGAAAATATGCCGTATATGGATCAGAAGACTTAATATTTTAAAAATGACCCTTCTCACCAAAAGGACCTATAGACTCAATGCAACAGACATACCCAGAAATAATGCTTCATCAGCCATCAAGGCATCCTTCAATCTAGTCAAGTTGACACCTAATATTAACCATCATACTACCCATCTGACAAGGGATTAATAATTTGAATATATAAGTCAAGACCATATGGTATTGGCTTAAATATAGGGATATTGATCAATAGAAGAAGATAGGGGTCTAGAAACAAACAAACATATATATATATATATGCACACACACACACATCTCCAATTGATTTTTGACAGTGTTTCCAAGGCAATTCTATGAGGGATGTGTAGTTTTTTAAAACAACTATTAATAATTGTATATCTATATGTAATAAAAATGAACTTAGACCTCTACCCCACACCCTACACAAAAATTAACTGAAAATTGATCTAGTTAGGAGCTAACACTTCTAGAAGAAAACATTGAAGAGAAGCTTTTTAATCCTGCATAGGCAAAAGTTTCTATATATGGCACCTAAAACACAATATAGAAAATTAACAAATTAGAGTTTTATCAAAATTAAAAGTTCTGCTTTTCAAAAGGTACTATTAAGAAAATAAAGAAAAGTAACAGATTCTGAAATAATATTTGCAAATTATTCATCTGATTAAAGAGTTGTATTTAGAATAAAGAACTCTTACAACTCAATAGTAAGAAGACAATCCAATTTAAAAAGAGGCAAAATAATTTAATAAACATTTCATCAAGAAAATACACAAATGGTTAATAAGAACATGATAACATGGACAGTATCATCAGCTGCTACAGAAATGCTAATTAAAGCCTCAATGGTATATACCACTAAAATGAGTATAATAAAAAAGATTAATAATAGTAAGTTTTGTGAGGCTGTGGAGAAGTAGAATCCTCATACACTGCTGGAGGCCATATAAAAAGGTACATCCACTTTGGAAGGCAATTTGGAAATTTTATACAAAGCTAAAAACATACTTACCCATGACTCAGCAAGTCCACTACTGGGTATCTATTTAAACAAGAGAAATAAAAATGTATGTCCACAGATTTGTATGAAAATGTTCATAGCAGCATTATTTATACTAGACCCAAACTGGAAATATTTTAAATGTCCAATAACTGGTAAATGGATAAAGAAAATATAGTATATCCACACAATAAAATACTACTGAGCAATGAAAAAGAAGAAACTACTGACACACTGTACAATATGGGTTAATTTCAAGTGCATTATGCTAAGCAAAAGAAGCCAGATACTAAAGATTAAATAGTGTATGATTCCACGTATCTGAAATTTCTAGGAAAAGGCTAAACTATACAGACAGAAACTATGCTAAAAAGACAGATTGAAGGGTGCCTAGGGGTCTGGGTCAGGGAGGGAATGACTGCATTTGGGTTTAAGGCAACTTTTTGGATTGTTGGAAATACTATAAAGCTGGATTGTGGAGATAATTGTATACATTTATTAAAAACCATCAAACTTTACACTTTCCATGGGTGCATTTTATGTTTTTTTTCAAGATGCTATTTTCTCTTCCTTGGTATGTTTATTGGGCCCCTTTTCATTATTTTATTGGTTAAGGCACTTAAGGGAACCAAGAGGTTTTACCTTCAGTTCCAGGTATTAAAAACATATCTGGATTAGTGACGTTAAAAATAAATATTTATGTAATTAATTTAAAAACAAAAACATTTTTTAATTTAAGGAACAAAATAATTAAGGAGAATTTTTGGTAATTTAGATTTTTTCCATAAAAATTACCAAACAATATATGCATATATTTTCCCTGAGAATTTAAATAAAATCATTTATTATTATTACTTTTTATTTTCTTGAATAAGGTCTTGTGTAATATCAAATTGTAGTTTGATAATAAAAATTATCTTCAGGAAATTTCTATGAAGGGTCCTTTCCTCTTATCATTATCATTATTTTAAAAGTATAATTGATATAAAAAGATTGTACTTTATTGCTATTCATTAATAATTAAATTTCAAAAGAAATAAGATCCTGATTGTAAACAGCTAGATACCGTGTTGTTCCTGTCTACATTATGCATTCTAAGACCAAGATTAGCAGTTAATTTAAAAAGGAAGCTTCCCTGCCTGCCTATGAAATAGGTATTTTTGATGGGTAGGAAATAATTTAATAATTAAGAAGAAACAGTCATGAGAATTCCTGAGAGGTCTTAGAAAGACACTGCCTGAAAAGTGCCTAAAATGAACAAGTGCCCCAAAATATTTTTAAAAAATTAAACTAACATTTAATCTCTGCTTTTATAAGAGAAATCAGGAAAACATTCAGTTCTATAATACTAACCATCTATATTTTTCAGTGTTAAAGCTGGAGAAGACAAATTTAAAAGAATACGTGCTTTGGGGATGTCAATGGGGTACAGAAGCAAGAATGCAGAAAGCATCATTCTGTGCTGGCAGCTGACCCCAGGGGATGTCACAAAAAAGGGGTGCTGTTGACCTGGAGCCACTTTTCTCCCAGCATTCCCCTCCACCCTCCATTGCTGGAGTTCCCTGCACCGCCTCCCTCCCCTGTCTGTAAGGGCCAACAGAGCCATCTGATGACATGCCTTCTGCCCCAGCTTCCAAAATGACTGCTTTGAACATCCTCTTTATTCCCTTTTTGCCTTAGTGATCCTTTTCAGCTAAGTGTTGTGAGAAAAGCAATTGATCAAAGTAATCAATGATAAAGAATAAAAAGTCATCATATTCCTATGAGGTATTTCCATTTTAAAACATGAACCTGGTGTATGGAAAATGTCAGGTAGACAGCAGTGACTCAATGAGAGTTATTCTCTTTACCCATCCCTCTGATTCTTTTCTTTATTGGTTTCTCCAAATGCGTTACCTCCTTCAACTAAATCAGAGCAAGCTGTGCAACTGATTCCTATTCTGTACACCCTGAACAAAGATGCTGGTGGGAAAAGTGTGCGAGGGTGAAGCTGAACACCTGTATCTTCCAGCAAGCCATACTCATGGACTCATGATGTGGTTAAGTTCAATATTATCCTTCCAAGGAATTCCACTCCAGGGGTGGAATTGATGGCAACCTGCCATATCCATTGGAAGATTTGGGGGGACATTTCATGGTTCCTCAACATCATCATGTCCACTCTGCCTAGCCCTAAGCTCAGCCCACCATAGCCCCTAGGTCAGACAGTCCACAAACGGTTATTGAGTGCACCTATGCCAGGTCCTGGATCCACAGGGGTCTTGAGTTAAGTGCTGGAGATGAGCAGGTGAATACGACAATCCAGGGCCTTCAGGAAGCACAGTCTGTCAAAGCAAAAGACTGTCAAAGCTACCGTCTGTCCTGTGCAAAGTATAATCAGCCTTGGAAAGAAGGTTTTTTGCTTTCTAGCCTTGTAAACTTGAACTTACCGTCAACAGTTTCAGAGGCTCCCTTGTCTGTACATAAACATAGAACCAGCCTCTTCGATTGAGAGGGAACACGTTTTATTCTACACAATTGACACCTATGCACAGCAGACCTATGAAGATAAGTCTTTCAAACAAAGCTGGGGGCAAACAAACACACCAGTCAGCAGTGGCTTACCTTTAACCTAACCTTTTTATTAACCACCCTTAAACACCAAGGCATGACGGGGATCAATATTATTATCCGCAGGAAATGGGACCTGAGATTCATGAGGACTTAATCTGGTCCCTCAAACCAGTGCTAGGGTTTAGCTATTCTCCCAAATGTTTGGAATGAGAAGTTTTGCTAAAAACCTTATTTCCATACCAAAGAGGCCCCCAGAAGGAGGTGCACATGGAGGGAAACACAGGTCCATAGAATTTTAGTTGGAAAAAAATCCTGAAAACTAAAAAACTTTCCAATGTACCTTGTCATTCTCTCGTCCTGTCTCTTTACACACACACACACACACACACACACACACACACACACACACACACACACACGGTTGGAGGGGGCAGGGCGAGGCAAGGGGGCTCTTAATGTGTAGATTACAACAAATTCGCTGCATCCACACCGACCTGACACGCTTGACTCTGGGAGTGCGCTGCTGCAGCTGCAGGACAGCGGGACGGGGGAGTCACTTTGTTCCTGAAGGGGCGAGTCCTCGGCAGACGCTGCGCCGCCTCCCTCTTTGCTAGGGAGGTCTGTGTTTCTACCTCCTCTTCACGCCCCGCTTGCTTCCTGCACTGTAAGTAGCGCGGGCCTGAGAACTCCTTCCAGAAGTTCTCCAGGGCTCTCGCGGAGCGAGATTTTCGCTGCCTGTGAGCTGCAGCGAGGGAGAGCTCGGGCTCGCGCGGACCCCAGCGCCTGGCCGGCTGACAGCGCTCTCTCGCCCCAGGTGCCCGCGCTCGTGGGGAGCAGATGCACCAGATGGCGTCCGGGGTGGGGTCAATGAAGCGCAGCCCGAGGAAGATGTGGCGCCCTGGAGAAAAGAAGGAGCCCCAGGGCGTTGTCTATGAGGATGTGCGGGACGACACGGAGGACTGCAAGGAACCGCTTAAGGTACCCTGGGGGTTCGCGGGTCGGGACGGGTTCTGAAGTCCGGCCGCGGTTCGGCTCGAGGTTTCCTTGCGGGCAGCCCTTGGTTTGGAGAAAGCGTGGAGTGGCCAGGGGGTTGCAAGCTTTGGGGTGTGTTCACAGTCCAAGAGGAGACCCCGCTAATGACGCGCCCACACAGCGCCTGCTTTATCTATTTTGTTTGCTTGTTTGCCCAATCTATTCTTGCTCCTGGACAACTGTAGTCCAGGGAAACCTACTCCAAAAGTATCTGTATCATTTGGCACAAGATCGGGCAGCTGCCTAAAATCAGGGCAATTTGGAATGTGTGTCGTTTCACTTGAACTTTTTTGTAGATTTTGTTTAGAATCAAATAGCCGAAAGGCTGTGTCTGATTGTCGTCGGATAACTATTTAAGAGTTTTGGGGGTTGAGAAGGCTTCTGGTCTAACAGAGTGAAACAGAGAAACCAGAGAAAATGTCCCCTGTAAAACGGAGACAGAACTGGCGAATTCCTTCTTCAGGGGATGGAGACGTCAGGAAATGCTGTGGAGGAGGTGACCTTTTGAAGTTGGATGAGTGGCCTAAGGCTCTAGGATAGGTACTTGTTTGTTATGCAGTTCTCGGGACCTAAAGGCAGCACTAGCTACTACCTGATGGCTTAGTCTAAGGGATAGAGGCTGTTGGGTGCTCAGAGCCCACCACTGGATTTCATCAGATTGTCAACAGGAGAAAGGGGCTCTTTTAAAATGTTGAGACAACATTAAAGAGACTCTCCAAACCCTCATCACAAATCTCTTTCAACAGTGGAATCATGTTAACAGTTTCTTATGTATTTTCCAGGTTAAAAAAAATGCTTACACAAAAACGCATATGTTAATGGATCTTTTTTTATTTGCAAAAGTATGAACTCGCAGATTTCCACTTTGATTTACTCACAAAATATATTTTGGAATACATTTTAAATCGGCACTTGGAAATTTACCTGTTTTTACCAGCTTCATAACATCCCACTGTATGAATAGATCATGATTTATTTAACCAGTCTTGCACTGATGGACACTCAGGCTGTTTTATGTTTGCTTTGTTTTGCTATTATACACCTGACTGAGTGTGTCTGTGAGCGTAGACGTGACTTCTCTGTCTGTCCATTGTTACTTTTGCGGGACTGTCTGTATGTTAAAGTCCTAGCAGGGTCAAGAGGTACATACAGCCTTAAGTT
Source organism: Homo sapiens (assembly GCF_000001405.40). Taxonomy (NCBI): domain Eukaryota; kingdom Metazoa; phylum Chordata; class Mammalia; order Primates; family Hominidae; genus Homo; species Homo sapiens. The sequence goes on along the minus strand of NC_000008.11, from coordinate 72,250,239 downwards.
TGGTAGCAATTGCCAAATTGCTCTCTAAATAGGTTGCACAAATTGGCACTGTTGCCAGCTGTGTGTGTGAATCAGGCATGTATAGTAAATCACACACACCAAGTAGCCAGGCCTCCCAAGGTGAGTCTGTTGGCATATCCACCTTGACCACAGACATTTTTTGTCCTTCTTAATATTAGCAAGGTAACTGTGGCCTTTTGGCTTATTGCAGAGAACAGAGTCATGAATGGATTTCACCCTCCAGGATAGTATCTTTACAATTAATATGGGACTGGAAGAAATTTTAAATTTCTAATATCACCCATGTGGTTTTATTTATTTATTTATTTTTCTTTATTATTATTATTATTATTATTATTATTATTATTATTATTTTTTGAGACAGAGTCTAGCTCTGTTGCCAAGCTGGACTGCAGTGGCATGATCTCGGCTCACTGCAACCTCCACGTCCCGGGTTCAAGCAATTCTCTTGCCTCAGCCTCCTGAGTAGCTGGGACTACAGGTGCACGCCACCATGCCTGGCTAATTTTTGTATTTTTAGTAGAGAAGGGGTTTCATCATGTTGGCCAGGATGGTCTCAATCTCTTGACCTCATGATCCACCCGCCTCAGCCTCCCAAAGTGCTGGGATCACAGGCATGAGCCACCATGCCTGGCCTGTGGTTTCATTTTCTAGAGATATTTACTGAGGGATTTCTCAGCACCAAGTCTCAAAATTATTTTTCTTCATGTTTCTAATTGTCCTTATTTAGATTTATTGCCTAAGTAGAACCACTTACGTTATTTAAGGCTTTTTATTTTTATTTTTTTATTTGAGTTTGTAGATTGAGGGATTTATATATTTTATTTCATTAACTGTGGTACTTTCAGATCATCTTGTAAAAATCTCAGTGGTTGTACTCATTACAAAGAAACATATATAATACCATGAAGGGTTTTTTGAACTCTAGAGGGTTTTTGGTGGTTTCCTAAATTAAAAGAAAAGCTGTATAACATATTTTCTCCAGCACATACACAGTATCTCAGGAACACTAACAAAACTGAAGGATCACAGAAAACTTACAAGATGAGAAATGTGGAAAAAGAACAATTGGACTGATGCTTTTAGCCTTTTCCAATTATTTTCTTTCAAGATAGTGAATACTTCAGCATTTGATCTTCCAATTGTTATCTCTCACCTTAGTTTCCAACCTTTTGGCCACATTGCTACTTTTATGTATTTCATTAAAGCAACCTAAAACAGATGCGTTTGATATTTCTGTTTTAAGGGGTTTAGTTAGAATTAGCTTATCTAAAAGTGATCTAGTCTATTATGTTCTGAATCTAATCACATAGGTCTGAATCATAAGGAATCTGAAGTGACTCTGTGACAACATGAAACTACATTAAATGAATATATAACTTGTCTAAATGACATCCTTGGCTTACTTTCAGAACTTTAAAAAATCTTTTCAAAGCCTGACAATACCTTAGCTACTGATTGAGAAGATCTAGTACATCTGATATGCTCGTGTAAAGTATTTAGATGCTGTTTTGTTATTGTGAATTCAATAGTGCCTTGTGAGCATCTGAACCTAGTACTCCCTCTAAAGAGTGTGGAATTGGGTTTGTGTTGACAGCACATCGCTGAACAGACATCCCAAACTGCTCATTCTGGCACTAGGGAGTAGGCAGCACAATCTCTTTATTACCCAAATAGCGTATCAAATTCAAGTGCCAGAATGCTTCTAAATAGATTTAGATCAACATTTTCTTTGATAGCATGAGACATGAGAATACCCTATTTCTACAATAATCCCATTTTAAATTTATTACTGAATATGTGTAAATTTGGAAGTGGTTGGATGCTCATTGTCATATCCTATAGTCACTAAAGCCATATGTAGCTTATATAGAATTCTTTTTTTTTTTTTTGGTTAAAAAGTAACATATATCAGTTTAAGAGACTACTATAGAACAGTGATTTGTTAAGTACTGTTTTGTGATTCTAGAAGCAAAATCCAAAGTTCAAAAATTTAAGAAATTAAGTTTTATTTATTCCAATTTGACATTTACTGAATAAATCCTCATATCTTAAATCATTTCTTAGCTATATTAAGATACATTAAATACTTTAATACATCATTTTAATTGATAGCTTTTCTTTTCAGTAGTGAGAAATGCTCTAGTTATCCTTAAAATAACAAACTAGAATTTGAACACATATATTATCATGTGGCATATGTGACTAGTTATGGTCAATGGTAGAATTTAAGCAAGTATCTGATTCATTTGTTTGGGGAAGATTTCTTCATTTCCTTGGCAACAAAGAAGAAGGCCTTTATTTCTAAGCATATATGAGTTTATGGTCAAAAAATAAAAACATTTATTTCATATACTGAACAATTTGGGGGCATTTTTTCATACCTTCTTTGTATCTGTAAATATTTTGTGTATTTCAAGAAAAACTTTTACTTTATTATAAGCATGATAAAGAGTTTTGGATAATAAATTATTTAAGACTATAAAATGATTAACTTTATAGTCATAAGTTTTGCATATGCTTGTTTGTTGTAATGGTGTTTAAATACCTCTAGGAGGATTTTGAAGGAAGTGCATATGGATTACAAAACTTTAAGAAACAAAAGATATTAAACAATTGTGATGACATGAACGCCTTCTCTTCACAATATGCTGTAGGAAAAGGTCAATTCGACTAGATGGAGATGTTCTCTGAAGATTTCCTTCCTGGAGGTAACAAAACATTACAATGCATCTTCTAGAAATCTTTTATCCCATTCAATTCACTGGGAAGAGTGGAATAAAGTGATTCTTAAGGGTAATTAGTTTCAATTATAAAGAGCCTGTATATTTCACTTAGAAATGTGGGTTTTCCTACACACCAGCACTCCTCAACTTCTTCTACTGAAATATTGCAAAACATAGTGCAGAGATCTAGGACACCCCACAATAAGCACAGACTTTATTTGAATTTTTAGGTAGATTGTAAAAATGCATATATATTTATGTACTCTTCTACACTATTTCCATTGAGGTTATTCTACACCTAAATTATTATCATTGAAGAAAATGGACACTTCAAGAAGGTGTAACATCCCCCGACCAGTGATATTTTCCAGATGCCAGCCTTGTACACTCTGCCTTGTTTAAGCAGTTCAACTGCAGGCAATGAGGGAGGTGGATGCCACAGAGATGGAGGCAGTGAGATGGTGTGATAAGACCTTCACTATATAAGATAATTCCATCAATATTGTGGAAGATGGATTAGAAGTGGAAGCCAAGCTAAAAAGCTATTTTGGTAGTAAACAGAGGATAAAAGTTCACCAGGTTTGTGAGGCTACAATAAGGAGACAGGGAGAGGTTCAAGAGATATTGGCATGTAAAGTCAACAGTGCTTAACAGCAGAGTAAATGGGAAGAGAAAGGGGCAGGGAGTTGGAACTGACTTTGAAATTCTTAAATTTAGGAGATTAGGCTAATAATATAAACATCCCCCAAAAGGAGGAATATGAGAAAACAAAAAGTAAGTGAGTGCGAAGGTGTGAGATTTGGTCACTGTGAGTTTGAAAGGCCCAGGGGACATCCACTTGGAAATATCCAGCGGGCAATATCTATAATCTTCAATAATATCTGGAAATATCCAGAAATGTAGAATGAAAGGGTCTGCCCTACAGGAGCATGATTGCATAGGAAGTCGATGAGACAGTGGAAATGCATGAAAATACTTTAGGGGATCACAAAATTGCTAGTTAAGGTAGCTAAGAGTAGAGTACAAACACCAAGAGAGAGATAGCAGAGGAAAAGCCAGAAAAAGATGAAGATAGTGATGGATAAAAATTGATGATACTCAAACCATGGGAGAAGTTACTGGGACAGAAGAGTTAGAAGGAGCTCTTGCCACAAAGAGATCAGTAGGAAGGAGATCACGATAAAGCCCCTACATTAGAAGGCCCCAGTGACTTCTGTAAAAATGATTTCTGAAAAGTGATGAGGATAAAAGTGAAATTCAAGTTATTTAATTAGTGAATGGGAGTTTGTAAATATAGATCCCTGTTTAAGTTTGGTGCCAAATGGAATGATGAATGGAGTGATTCTTCTTGATCAGACGGAACAGTCAAGAGATGTGTGTGTGTGTCCATGCATGTATGTGTGTTGTTTAGAATGAAGCACTTAGATGAATAAAAGGAAATAGTGGAGAGATATATTTTAAAAAGGAGAGAAACAGAAAATGTGGCTACATGGTTCCAAGTACCATAGATGGTCCCCAAATCATGTTTATGAGACAATACTTTTTCTCCTTTTGTGGACATAAAGATAACACTGCCACTAATTTACAAGGTTGATATGTCCATTTTAGAATAGCTATAGGACTTTGCAGGATGAAAGGACCTATTACTTGTATGCTGAGCTCACAGGATAAATAGTGCCATATATCGTATTGTAGAAATATATGGAAAGCCGGTGTGGCATCAGGGACTCAAGCTCGAATTCTAGTCTTGTGGTTTATTAGTGGTGTGTCTTTTTTCTTATTAACATTTTCTGAGCCATTCCTACAGGCCAGGCACTCCACTGTGATCTTTGAAGACACGATTTAATATTATTGTCCCAATAACACTGCAACATTGCAAGGTGTCTCTCTCTCTCTGTGTGTGTAGGCATATGAATATATGTTTTGTATTTTTTTTTTTTTACAAATTTTGAATACGAGAAAGCTGAGGTTCAGAGAGGCATGGTAACCATACCTCCTTACTGGCTCTGTGATGTTGGCAAGACTTTTAACCTCTCTGGACCTCAGCATCTTCCTCCTGAACATTTGTCATGGTGATGCCTAGCAGGCTGTTGGGGCTTGAAAGAAATAATGGTCACGTGAACTTAGTAGAGTGCCCAGTATATAGTTCTTTGTTTTATGTAATCTCAATATTTTATCACAATACCCCAACTCATATAGATAAAAATATGTAGCAATTGGAGGATCTTTTTCTTATGACTGCTATGGATAGAAATTTAACTCAATTGATAAAGTCAGTGCCATGCTTCTATATATTCCCATTAGGTGCCCATTAAATGTTTCATGAGAATTGAAGCTGTGTTTTTAGTTTCCATAGAAAAGATGCAGCTGATTTCAGTTGCACTTGGCACTGAGTTTTGCAGTGGATAGGCACTCAAGAGGTGTTGAGCAAAATCTAACCCATATTTTGGTTTCTTTTTCTAGTGCTGAATGCAATGATTATGGATGATTATGGAATAGCCCTCTGCACTGTGCTGTAGATGAAAACCAAATTGAAAGCGTTAAGTTTCTACTCAGCAGAGGAGCAAACCCAAACCTCCAAAACTTCAACATGATTGCGCCCCTCCACGTAGCTGTGCTGGGCATGAACAATGAGGTGATGAAGGTAAGGCTACTGGCTGGCTCCAAAGGGCCTGACCAGCGGCGCAGGTGCTGGTACCCAGATCCAGCTCTCTCTGCCTGCACCAGGATGAGCACCTTCTGAGCTTCCAGGTCAAATGATATGTAATAATTACATTTGCTCTACTTCTCACCAACTAATGTTGATAATGATGATTAGTTCTAACTTTATTGAACAGTTCTTATTTACCAAGCACCTTTAAAGAGCTTTGTGCATGTTCGTTTATTGAATTCTCATCTAAATAAGCCCTCTATGAAGTAAGATCTAATAAAATACTAGTATTCCCATTTCATAGCTGAGTATGCTGAGGTGCCAAAAGAATTTGAATAGCTTGCCTAATGGCACATCACAAGTAAAACAGCAAGACTAAGGAATTTTGTTTTCATCTTTATGTTTTCAAGTTTAGGCTTTATCTCTTTTACCTGACTGATGTAATGACAAAGGAAGAAGGTATTGAGAGCCTCAGTGAAAGCAGAAAACATAAGTATGACTTGCTGTTTTAGTTAGAGTGTATGGCCTGTTAGATTAGTTCGCTGAAGACATGACAATACCATTGGGAGACATCTTATTGGTTTTCAAGGTGTAACAATAAGTTTGATCAAGTAGAGGAAATCCTGGAAAATTGCTAAAGGGTAAAAATTAGGCCATGGCTTTTAAACTACCTCTCAAAGTCTGTCAGACACACTAGAATACAAACATGTTTAACTGATGAAGAATGGAGTTTACAAATGGATCATGTTCCAGAAGTTCATTTCTAAGGTAGGCTTATTTGGAACTTACAATAAATTTTCTTGTAGAAATATTATTGCAAATGATGATTTGGCTATTTGTGGTAAGCCACAAGAAAACCAACTTCTCTATAAATCGCCAAAGAGATGCATGAGTTTCTGGCTCTCTTTAGCCCAAAAACCTTTTCTCTCAGCCTTCTGAGACCTTGGCTCCTTTACATTTGGCATGAAGGGTATTAGAGGAGCCACTTTCTGCTTTCCTACTGTTCCTTGTATATGGCTTTATCAAAATTCTTAACACATGATATTGGAATCAAACATTCAGGTGCTTTTTTTGCGCACTGGGTAATTATCCTTGAAAGAGGGCTGTGTCTTGCTAATCCAAATATCTCTTGTTCCTCAGCACTGTGGTGGCAAATGATGAATGAATGACTAAATTCGAGTTCTGGCTGACTCAGAAGGGGCGAGCTGAAGTCTCAGTACCTATGAGATAGGTCAGAGTGGCTCCCTGAAGAGGTTACTAGAAAGTCCTCTGGAAACAAGCTGGTTTTTATTGTTGTTCTTGTTGTTTTATTAAATATCTGCATTATTCATGAGCCAACTGTTGTTTCCATATCATCCAGGTTGGGCCACTAATGACTGCAGGGACTCCCACAGAGATGTCACGTATTTCCTCATGGAGCTCTGTGCTCCCTCTGAAGGCTCTTTTTAAGAACAAATACCTATTAACTCAATTAATATTGGCTCTGAAAGTGTGGTTTGGGAATATGAAGACAGACAACTGTTGAAAGACTATTGTTATTAGAAAGCAGAAACCTCCAGACCAACACATTCAGAAAGATAGGTATCACATAGAAATAGAAAATAAAGCTCCTAACTGATTCATAAATTCAGTGATGAACATAAAACAAATTTTCCTGATGACACCAGAACAAGCAGAAAAATAGAGTTCTAAGTAAAATTGACTCTCCCCTACTTGCTCTTACCAATCACAACTATGTGTAAAAATATTTTCAGACTCCTCTGGTTCACCAGAGATGACAGGAATAGAAGGAGGAGAACGTGTTTTGGAATGTCTCCCCTCATGCTTGCAAACAGCAGTCCTCTCTACCTGCCTCTCCCTGTTATACCCATGGTCCAGCCTGTACCCACCCAGCCCCTGCCAGTTTAGAAGCTGCTCCACTAACCTTCCCTCAAACCTTCCTCTGCTGCCTATAATGGTTGTAAAGTAAAAAGCTGTCATCCACGCATCACTTCAAGTTCTTCAACAAATGATTTATGGTATGCATAATATTCCCTGGGACACATTGGCCTGGGGATTAGGGGGTGGTTTTTTCTCTCAGTGGCCTATAGGCCTTAGTCCTTGGGGCTTTACTTCAAAGTATCCAGTTGTTTGACCCTTCCATGAGGCTTTCCAGATTCTCATCAAAGGGACCTATGGAGGGCTCATCTCCGAACTTTCCAGACTTGCTTGGTCATGACTGAATTTGGAGTAGGTGCACAGTTTAGTTGCTCTCTCTGGTATCTCTGCCACATATAACTGAACACAGCTTTTTGAAAGATTGTGCTTTTGGTGGTACAGTAATAACAGCCTAATGCTACACTTTTGTGGCCTATGTTTCTAAGAGGGCAAAGAGAGAAAAGCCTCTTCTATGATAGGTTATTTTCCATATGAATCTACAGCTTCTTAAGAAGAGAATGCAAAGGTGCCTAAAGTCCATGGAAGGAATCTTGTGTTCTCATTTCCCTTAATTCATCAATCATTTTCCCACGTATTTTTATGTACTAAAATCTCAGTTTAATTTTCATTTATGAGCAGAATTAATTAGTAAACCTAATTCATTTACTGACACTCACATGGGGCATGTTCTGTTAACAAGAGGCTCTGGTAAAAGGTTGTATACTTTTTTAAAGAAGTCAATGTTTTTGAGAAACAGCTTATTTAATAAATTCTTTTAACATTATTTAATTATAAGGACATGCCATTGTTTATCATAGTCTTTCTGCAAGAGAAAAAGCCTCTAGTAGGCCAATTTCAAGATTTGATAAGATATTTAGATGAGATAATTTTGTTACATTGAATATAAAAAAAAGACTGGTCAAAGATCTATAGACACTTGGGCAATAATCAGCTGGCCGTCAACCAGGTGAGGCAGTAACAGGTCTTCAATGAAATTCTATCAGAAAAATTACTTGACCATTTTATCAGGATGCTAATTTCTTATCTCTCTTTCTCTGTCTTTTCCCTTCCTTCCTTCCTTCCTTCCTTCCTTCCTTCCTTCCTTCCTTCCTTCCTTCCTTCCTTCCCTCCTTCCTTCCTTCCTCCCTCCCTCCCTCCCTTCCTCTTTCTCTCCCTCTCTCTCTCTCTTTCTCTTTTTCTCTCTTTCTCTCTTTCTTTCTTTCTTCTTTTTTTTTCTTGCACTGTCTCCCAGGGTGGAGTGTGGTGGCATGATCTCAGCTCACTGCAACCTCTGCCTCCCGGGTTCAAGCAATTCTCCTGCCTCAGCCTCCCAAGTACCTGGGACTACAGGCTTGCACCATCAAGCCCAGCTAATTTTTGTATTTTTAGTAGAGTTGGGGTTTCATCATGTTGGCCAGGCCGGTCTCAAACTCCTGACCCCAAGTGATCCACCTGCCTCAACCTCCGAAAGTGCTGAGATTACAGGCATGAGACACCGTGCTCGGCCAGGACGCTAATTTCTTACATTGTAGAAAAAGTTTCCATTGCAGACCAAGTTTGAATTAATTGAGTTAAGTCTTACCAAAGTGTTATGCAAAACTCTGTTTTGTTTACTGAAAAGAGTTTCCATTGACATTTCCTAGGATGCTTGCAATCTAAGTAAAAGAAAAATGACTGGCAGGGGGAGAAAAACTATTCCCTTCCTGTCTCCCTCCCTCCCTCCTTCTCTCTCTTGCTCTTACTTTCTTCCTTCTTCCCTTCCTGACTTCCTCCTTCACTGCGAACACATTCTAAATGGCTCCACAAATTTATTTTTCTGAAAATATTAGTTAATATAGCTTCACCTAATACTAGTCAGAAGTATTAAGTGAAGCTATGATAACTAGTATCTACAATTAGTATTTACAATGCTACAACTCATTATCACCTTAATTGTTGTGACATTGAAATCATGATTATTTCATCTATTTGAGAAATTTATTTAGTACCCACAGTATGCAGAATTTTGTGCCAGATTGTGTGGGAGAAGTATGAAAAAAGATAAATAGACATGGTCCTTGGCATCTGAGAACTTAAAATCTAGTGGAAGACAAGTATTTTATTTGGAAATCTGTAAAATTTTGACAATTATTCTCCACTTTTGTGTAGGTCTTGCTTGAGCATAGAAGTACTGATGTTAATTTGGAAGGAGAAAATGGAAACACAGCTGTGATGATCGCATGCACCAAAAATAATAGTGAAGCACTGCAGATTTTGGTTTGCATATTTGTCATATCTTTCTGCTTTCTTTATCTTTTCATGAATACAACATGGATTATTATTATTTACAAAAGCTGTTGAGTTTTTCTCCTTAGAAAAACATAAAATACAGAAACTATGTCAGAAAAAAAGTTGTTCTATGTGTTTTTGTGTACACACTCCCTGTCTTAAGTGGATCTGAGATTGCTTTTAGAGGACGAATAGTAAAGCGGTAATGAAAACTATGAGAAATTCAAAGTGAAAAGAAAATATAGGCAGGAAAAATTGAGATGAAGCTGGTGGTCAGGCTAGAATGCGAAATACAAAGTATAATGGCCTGTATCTTATAAAGATGGTTTGCACGTTCGATTCTGAGCTTCTGAATTGTCAAAGGAAAGATGAATATAATCAGTTCCAGACTTATCGGGCCCATAAAATAAAAGCCAAAAGAAGCATAGCCACTCCTGAAAACCTGAAGAAATTATTGCCACGTGTTCCCAAAAACAGTGCCCTGAGTGATGAAATGACAAAGGTTGTTAGCCACATGCCTGAGAGCAGAGCCAGCTTTGTCTCTGGCGAGGCTTCCTGACGTGGTCCAGTGAGGGGATGGAGATGCTTGTCTACATGACTTCCTCCTGATTCTGGCAGTGATCCATCTGAGTGTGCTGTTACAGTCCCAGCAAATAGCCTTGTTTCAAATATTCCTTAATCACTTGCATGTTATCCAGACCAGGATCTTTATTTTTACCACAAGATTTTGCCTCTTTACCATCCCAGAGAGTAAGAAAATGAAATAAAACAATTTAAAAATATTTGCCTAATGTTTAAATGTACCATACATGTATGTTTTAGCACCTTTACTAGATGTACTTAGAGACAGGTAAATACTCTAAGCTCTCATGATTGGACCGAAAAGAGAATAAATGATAAAGAGAATAAAAATAAATTAACTAACACTCAAACCAAGAATTTAGGAAAAGAACCTTAAATTAACCAAAGGAAAATCGGTATAAAGAAATAGTAAAGTTAAAAGTCCTACAGAAAACAACGTATTTTTAAAGTCTGATTTCCTTGCCAATTTAATTTTTATGTGTATACTGTATGACAATATTGTTCAAAAAAATTTTACTTAACAATATTCTTCTTGTTATTATTATTATTGTTTTTTTCTGAGATGGAGTCTCACTCTTGTCACCCAGGCTGGAATGCAGTGGCACATCTCGGCTCACTGCAACCTCCACCTCCCGGGTTCAAGCGATTCTCCTGCTTTAGCCTCCCGAGTAGCTGGGACTACAGGAGCATACCACCACAAATTTTTGTATTTTTAGTAGAGATGGGGTTTCGCCATGTTGGCCAGGCTGGTCTCGAACTCCTGACCTCAGGTGATCCACTCGCCTCAGCCCCCCAAAGTGCTGGGATTACAGGCAGGAGCCAACGTGCCCGGCCAACAATATTCTTTAATAATATGATTTTATAAAGTACATCTTTCATTTCTGGACTATATTATACATATATATTTCTGGGCTATTATATATATTATAGAAACTAAACTAATACTATCTCTAAAAGCTGAGATTACAGGTGGTATTTGGTTCTACACACATTTCTGTTTACTCAAAATATTTTCTTTTGAGATAATTAAAAGTACTTAAAACAAAACTGAAGGTTAATGATCTATAGAAAATGGCAGTTTAAAATGATTGGCTCAGATTATCAACGTAATATAACACTTAGTTCTTCTAACACCTTTTTAGTGAAGAACTATCATTAGTGAAAATACTTGATTTTCATGGCTTAACAAGAGTGCTGGCATATTCATTTATTAATTTTACATAAACAGAAGGAAAATCATCTGGGAAATATTGTCATTTTATTCGCATAAGAAATTGAAAATGGGTATAGAAGTCATGATAGTGTCTTTAAAAATTTTATTAATTCCATTGAAAAATATGTTGACTTTAGTTTGCTGGGGTATCAAAATTTATATTTTTGTGTCTACATTGTTACTTCTTTGGAAGATATAAAATGTCCCTATTTCAGAATCTTTGCTTAGCTCAAAATTACTTTCATGCTTAGATTTTATAATATATGAAGCTCTCTATGTACTTTTACATAGACATACAATGTAATTTGTGATTTGACGTTTAACTGGTGTCATTTTTAGTTTTGTCTTTTCTTCCAGCTTCACAAAGGAGCTAAGCCATGCAAATCAAATACATTTGGATGTTTTCCTATTCATCAGGCTGTACTTTCAGGTTCCAAAGAATGCATGGAAATAATATTGAAGTTTGGTGAGTAGAGGTTTTTCCATATATACACTATAAATAAGTCTACTCTGGTGGGTGCTATTACTTTGAAAAATGTTTAACCAAATTTACCACAGGCTTGTATGTGTCTCAGTGCCCTTCCTTTTTTAAAAAAATAAAAAACCCTCCCTATTATTCATTTTATATATTTGTTAAGTTGAATGCTATTTTCTTCTAAAGGTGAAGAGCACGGGTACAGCAGACAGTGTCACATCAACTTTGTGGATAACGGGAAAGCCAGCCCTCTCCATCTGGCTGTGCAAAATGGTGACTTGGAAATGATGAAAATGTGCCTGGACAATGGTGTACAAATAGACCTAGTGGAGGTAACTCTTCGTATTTTATATGACACTTTCATCTTAGAGTTGTCAAAAGCATATAAAATGCTTTATAGCTCTTTTATGGTTAATTTACATTGAAATACACACAAGAAATAGATATTATTTCCTTCTGCTTCTGCAGAAGCAGAACAAGGGGATACCCCAAGTTTCAGTCTATGTAAAGAATTTTGAGACCTCCCTAAAACAATTGCAGACACAAATACAGACAGAACAAAGACGATATCTAGTTCAATTGCCGTTACACAGTTAAGGCCTACCCTCAGAAGATGATAATGTTCAGCTAGGAACATTAAAGCCCAATCATGAATGTCTTTGGCTTTAGTTCTATTCGGAAGAGTTATCATTTTTAAAACTAAGGACCACTTAACTAATTTCTAAAAATATGTTTGTGAAAATGCTGACTGTGTTTGGGATCTGACCTTATGGCAGGCATCTCTGACCAAAAGTGTAGAGTTTGGGCCCTTTTCCCTTCAACATCTGGGTTTTGGGTGGCAACAAGCTCCCCTCCAAGGTACTGCAAAGGCCTGTGCTTTCTGGAGGAAGAGAAGATTGGTTATTAATTTCATGTGTCTTCTGGACACTAATCCTAAGTCCCTTCAATATAGAAATAAGAGCTGCCACTCTTGGTACGGATTCTGAAGTCACTTCCTACGCTGAGTGCTTACAGCAATGAATGAGACGTCGTTCTCATGTTCCTGGGGGAAAGAATGTTACCCAGACGATGATGGTGGAAGTATATGCCAGGAGTTGTTTTATTAGAAAGAAGCACACTTGTCAGCTACAAATTTTGTATGGATGCTCTTCTTTGTAGGTCCGTAAAATCAAGGAATATCTATTGCATTTCAGATGATTAATGGTGATCAGTTTCATCTGATCACCATTAATCATCTGAAATGTAATTGATATTCCTTGATTTTATTGACCTGGGACAAAAAAACTCACAGATGAATATAAGTTACATTCTTAAATTTGGATTTAAATATTGATTCTAGTATTAAAACCCTTTACAGAAGGCAAAGTGCACAGCCCTTCACTTTGCTGCATGGAGAGACTGAGATTATTAAATTATCGATATCGTCCTATTCTGGTGGCATAGATATTGTTAATGCAGCTGATGAAGTCATCAGACTGTGCTTCACAGGCAAGTTTTCTACCTATCATTCTGTATACAGACTTTTAGTCTTCACATGTTAAATTAGAAATTGCAAAGAGCAGTTAGTACTAATGGAAGCAAAGATTATGTAGTTTAAAAGAAAAGAACAAAATAGCAAAGACCCTGTGTATCAACTGGAATTGCTTGTGTTCCTGGGGAATGGGAGTATAATGTTAAAGAAATTTCACAGAATAAAATCTCCTGTGGCATATTCTGAATCAAGTCCAGTGGATATAGGATCAAGATTAATTTTCTATATGCTAAAGAAGTCTACATACAAGGTCTTCCAAGCCTTTTCTAATTTGTTCCAATTTCTCATATTTATTTTATCCCCATTTTTAATGACAATAATGGAGCAGATACGTATGGATATTTTACTTTTCCCACCATAATCCCTTTTGCTAATCCCCCAATTATACATAAATGGTTTCAAAAGATAAAGTTTTAGGAAATTATAACCAAGTTGCCAAAAACGCTAAAAAATTTCTATGAAGTTTGACAGAAATACACATCAGGGAAAATGTATTAAACTGTAGGCTTACTAGGTGCTAGGATAGGAAACAAGCAGTGTATATCGGAAATTCAATTCTTGTGGAAAGACAAGTACCAAATGCTCCCCATGTGAGTGAAAGAGTTGTCTGAGTTGAGCCTTCAGTCTCTCAGTCTCTTACACACACACACAGACACACAGACACACACACAGACACACACACACACACACACACACACACACACACAGAGTCAGAGTAGCCGATATATTTTCAATAGGTAACCAGACCTGGAAATCTATCTATCTAAATATCTCTTAGAAAAAAAGCAGATCACGAGGTCAGGAGATCGAGACCATCCTGGCCAACACGGTGAAACCCTGTCTCTACTAAAAATACAAAAAATTAGCTGGGCATGATGGCGGGCGCCTATAGTCCTAACTACTCCGGAGGCTGAGGCAGGAGAATGGCGTGAACCCAGGAGGCGGGGCTTGCAGTGAGCCAAGATGGTGCCACTGCACTCCAGCCTGGGCGACAGAGCAAGACTCCGCCTCAAAAAAAAAAAAAAAGAAAAAAGAAAAAAAGAATCTCTAGCTACCAATATAAGATCTGTTTCTAATGAATGTACACATTTGCAAAACCACCAGCCATGATAGGATATGTGTGAAGAGAAAGGAACTCCCACTTCGGATGAATTTGCAAACTAAAATTGTATAGCATAAAAGAAAACTTATTTTAAAAAAAAGTCAACAAAAAGCCAATTTATTTCCAAGAAAATATAACAGGGGAATCTGAAAATAATTTTGAAATAAAGATATTTGAGACCTTAAAAAATTTAAAGGAAGGGTAATAAGTTATGTAAAAGTAAGTATATGAAGACAACATAGAATTGTAAAAACAGGTTGTCATATATGAATCTAGGATTGGTGATATGAAAATGATACAGTAAAATAAAAAAGTTAAAAAGGAGCCATTGAAATAAAATTAAAACTCAATAGACTAACCTCTAGACCAGAGATTCTCAAACTGTTGCAGATTGGAATCATGTGGGTAGCTCCTAAAATCCCAGTACCAATTAATACCCTTTAATATATAAAATCTCTGGGATGAGTGGCAGGAATTTAAAAAAAAAAAACTCTTTGATTTGAATGTGTCGCTAATTTAGAAACCCAATGATTTGGTTACCGTTGAAGTGTATCTTTAGAAAACAGCCTTAATATATTAATATGCATGAGATGAAATTATCTTAGGTAGATGGGTACTTAATGTTATAATTTATTCCCTAAAATTACTAAATATAACTAATATGTTTTAAATATAATGCAACATCTTGTCATATTTTGGGTGAAAATTAGCAAACTGATTCTGAAATTTATATATAAAAGGCCAAGAATACTTGAGACAATCTTGAAAGAAAGAAATGAGATTTGCTAATCTCAGCACTTTGGGAGGCCAAGGCGGGTGGATCACGAGGTCAGGAGATCAAGACCATCCTGGCTAACACTGTGAAACCCCGTCTCTGCTAAAGATACAAAAAAAAAAAAAAAAAAAAGTTAGCAAGGCATGGTGGCGGGTGCCTGTAGTCCCAGCTACTCTGGAGGCTGAGGCAGGAGAATGGCGTGAACCCGGGAGGCGGAGCTTGCATTGAGCCCAGATCGCGCCACTCACTGCACTCCACCTGGGCGACAGAGCGAGACTCCGTCTCAAGTGGCGACAGAATGAGACTCCGTCTCAAAAAAAAAAAAAAAAGAAATTGTTAACATGTCTTAAGGAGGCGCTTTAATATAGATTGAAAACTTTTACTTGCTTTTTAAATTAACATTATCCTTATGACTGGCTGTGAGATGATACCAAAATGTTTTCTATCCTCTCCATAATTATTTTTGGCTTCATAAAAAACTCAAGTTAACACTGCCATTTAACTTTTGCCAAAGAGGAGTCTCCCAAAGAGGGACTTTTTGAACCCCGCAGGTGAATTTGAGACATACTTTGCGTGTAGCTATTGTTATTCCCCATGATCACAGCAGTACCAGCGATTTCTTTGTCTCTTCTATCTTGGGACAGATGTTACTACTCACTTCAGAATATCTTCATGGTGATTTTACAGGAGAAAACAGTTTCCTAAAGGATAAGGAAGAAAATATTGTGATGTATTTGGTGTTTTCCTATTATTATTACTTTGAAAATGCTACCCTTATCAGAATCAAATTATAAATTTTGAAAGCTTACTAATTCTTTAACATTCTATCATGTTATTCTATGATTAGCTAAATTCACTTTCTGAATATAGTAGCTTTATTAAATACATTTGTATTTACATAAGTAGTACTTTAATTATAATGTTTATAATTCTGTTTTTTCAGAGCTTCATTATTTGATCACTGTGACCTGGCAGACTGTTTAATTTCAGTGGTAAGTATTCCATTTACTGGTTTATTTTTGTTACTATTTATAGTTGAAAAAATCATATGATTACATAATAGGGATTTTCAAAAATAAATCAAATTTTAATTTATTGCTTATCAGCAAAAAATGTGATGTGTACAAAAGGATGATCGACACACTTGGAAGCAGAGTATATTGTACATGAATATGTAATGGCCAAACATTACTGTGAACTTAGAAGTGTCAAAGCGTGCTTTTGGATATCCATGTCAGTGTTTTTAGTGCAGGAAGTTGGCAGGTACATTGCAAGGAAAGCTGTTCCCATGGCATGTTAGAGGGTCCTAGGGGAGTGTGATCTTGGGTGGTGATCCTTCTTCAGCCCTGATTGCTTTGAGGTGGAAGCAGGACAGGCAGCACTGGGGGAAGCTCCTACCCCAGCTGCCTCAGTGCCACCTTTACAAACAATGAAAAACTGAGGAGCCAAAAAATATTGTCAAAGGTTTACTACAAGAGAAAGCATGAAGCCTGAGATCTTTTTCACTCTAAGAAGTGGAATCAGTCAGCTTTTGAGTTGAACTTTAATAAGCCCGTTATAGAGATCAAAGTGTGGTGAATTTATTTAAGTGGCACCATATCAGCAATGACGGATTTCCGTTGGTAGTATTGAACATTTTGTGTTGTCAATAACAACTATTGAAATTGTCACACGGTTTCCTGCAAAGGCTGCCATCTCTTCGCCAGGCAAGAGAAATGTGGCCTCACTGACCACCATGGAGCTTGCCAAGGGGATGCTGCCCCCATTGTCATTTATATTCAGTGGGTCTCAAAAGAACATGAAAATATCCACATTTGGAGTTTAAGCTATTAATATTTTTTATTACTCTGTGTAAGGTATAGAATTCTTTCCATGGAATTTTAAAAGGGCTTTGATTTCTTGTCATATCAAATATTATAATACATAATGGTTAACATTGACATTCATTTTAACAATATAGGTTTAATGTGATTTTTAAACATAAATTTTCTCAAATAAATGTTTGACTAAAATTTTATTTTAGGATTTGAGTGATGTAAATTTAATTATTTCAGTTCATCTATTTCAGATAAAATAGGATTTTTTATAAAGGGAATTTTTTTATGAATTTTTCTTAAGTCATAGATGTAATAAATTTGGAAGACTTATAGTCATTTAAAAATTATAATTATAGTCATTTAAAAATTATAATTATAGTCATTTAAAAATTATTTCTTACAGTGGATACTAAACTATTGGTCTAGGTAAAAGGATATCATTTTTATGGTTTATGTAGCAACTAGAGCTATTGCCGGGTGTCAGTATAAAGCCTAACATGTGAGAATAATTTCTTACTGAAATTATTAAAGAATGCCTTGATTTCTGATGATACAACATATGAATTATGGAGAAATTTCAAATGGTTCTATAATTAGTCATATACTTTAGTGCTAGCCATAATATAGACACTCTGTATCAATAAATTAACCTTATTTAGAGATTGCAATGTATGCTGATTTATCTGTTTGTAAGCTCCTTGTTGAATGGCTTGATTTTTAGGGAGCAGATATTAATAGCATTGATTCTGTAGGATGCTCTCCACTTAGCAACTGCTTCTGCATCTTAGAATATTGTAAATTTGCTACTCTCTAAAGCTACCAAGAGGGACCAAGCCAAGTCTTGGGAAGTATTACTCAATTTGGTTAGATGAACATTTATTAACCATCTATTGTGTGCCAGGCCCTGGGCCAGGTGCTGTGAATACAAAGATAAACAGAACACTTTTCATGTCTAGAATAATTTTCAGTCCAGTAAGGGAGCAATGCTTAAAAAGATAATTTCAGAACAATAGTAGATAACATTTATAAAGCAATTGTTATACCCCAGGCATTTATTGAACAATTAATCAACTGTCTTTCAATGTATCGGTCCCATGTGGTGTAGGTACTATAACTATCCCTGTTTTCGATTCTAACCTGGGCCTCTGAAAAGAAAGAAGTGAGGTGTCCTTCTCTGCTATCCTCTTCTTTCTTGATCTCTAATGTGTCTATATTTATATTTTTATATTTTATGCTCTGAAAGGTAAGGCCTCATGTATTTATGTAATGCATCACATATTTTCTACCCCACTTACACATACAGACACACACAGACACACACACACACACACACACACACACACAGGTAGTAAGCCCATTTTTAATTATGCTTAGTTTTCTCATCTAAACATTTCCTGTAAACTAAAAGTCAGCAAAATTTTAAGTCAAAATTTTTTTGCAAGTTGAAAATCCACATAAAGGATGCATTAAATAAGTGAATAGAATTTATATTTACATTGTGCTTTTTTTAGGTGCCCAAGTAGACATTAAAGGTAATTTTGGACGTAATTTTCTGCATTTAACTGTACAGCAACTTTATGGATTAAAAAATCTGCAACCTGAGTTTTTGCAGGTCATATATATCTATGGATTTCCATTAACTAAGTTCGGTTCAACAGAGGATAAACTAATTTTGTTTATTATAATTTTTATTATTATCAAAGCTGATTCTGGAATTTTAACAGTGTTTTAAAATAAAGATGACATGTTTGAATAGTTATAACAGGGTGATGGTGGTAGTGATGATGATGATGATGATAATTAATTGTATTGAGATTGAGTTTTTTAAGTTACAGAAGGATTTCATATGCTATCATGTATGATAAGTATACATCCTTAATTAGTTTCATTTTCTTCATTCTTTGATCATTAGGATTTGTATATCAGTGGAAAAGCCAACTATGGGTATGAATTATCAATACTCCACCATCAATTAAGAAAAACTACTCAGCACACTTGACTTGCTGAGGACAAGTTAAAAGCATTATTTTCATATTTATATTCACCAGCTAATACTGAGTGACTATCAAGTGCATGTGAAATACAACATATTTTTTAGTAAATAGAATTCAATATTGTCACTGTCTTTAATAAAGAATCAAGAATATATATGTATTTGAAAAATTTCAGCAAAAATAGCAAAATGATAATTGATTGGACTAAGCTACTCATTTGTCATTCATTTTTAATTTACTATACATATAAAAGATAAAGTAAACCTAATTTTAACATCCCTTCCATTTTACCTAACAGAACTTATTAACATAAAGCTGTTAGGTGTTACTTAGGAGCGGGAGGAAGTGAGAGGAGGAGCAGAAGGAAGGGCTGTGATCAAATATATTTGAAAAATACTGAGTTAAAAATGTTAAGTTTTTATTATTATTTATATTAAATAATATTAAATTTATTATTTAATATTTTCCCACTTGCAGGATCTCTCAGAGCCTTTAATATGGTAATGTACATTACATGAAGACAGAGCATTCAACTTCATTCATATTTATTTTACTCTCAAATCCTTTAGGTTATTTACAATTTTGGCCCCAAGGAATACATATTGACCCTTGTTGGAAAATATTTTCCTACAGAATAGTTTGGAAACCATCATTTTAGCATAACAGCAGAGTTATTTGTATGATATTAATTTTTTCCTGTAGATGCAACAGATCAAAGAGCTGGTAATGGATGAAGACAACGATGGGTGTACTCCTCTACATTATGCATGTAGACAGGGGGGCCCTGGTTCTGTAAATAACCTACTTGGCTTTAATGTGTCCATTCATTCCAAAAGCAAAGATAAGAAATCACCTCTGCATTTTGCAGCCAGGTAAGGGTCAGTCTAGCATTGTATGAACCTGTCTTCTTTCTGTTTAATATTTGCCTTGAAAATATGAAACCTAATTTTTTCCAAGTTATGGGCGTATCAATACCTGTCAGAGGCTCCTACAAGACATAAGTGATACGAGGCTTCTGAATGAAGGGGACCTTCATGGAATGACTCCTCTCCATCTGGCAGCAAAGAATGGACATGATAAAGTAGTTCAGCTTCTTCTGAAAAAAGGTGCATTGTTTCTCAGGTGAGGATATATGATTGGGGTGTTTATATAGTTTCTTTAATTAGCCATTTTCAGGCTATCTTTTCATTATATTTTTAATTATGTTGTCTAACTTTATATTTCACTAAGTAGTTTTATACATTTTATTTTATCATCAACACGTAACTTCTTAAATACTGGAAGGGGGCCGGGCGCGGTGGCTCAAGCCTATAATCCCAGCACTTTGGGAGGCCGAGGCGGGTGGATCACCTGAGGTCGGGAGTTCGAGACTAGCCTGACCAACATGGAGAAACCCCATCTCTACTAAAAATACAAAAACAAAATTAGCTGAGCTTGGTGGTGCATGCCTGTAATCCCAGCTACTCAGGAGGCTGAGGAAGGAGAATCGTTTGAATCCGTCTCAAAAAAAAAAAAAAAAAAATGCTGGAAGGGAAGTCAGTATATTTCCAACTGACAAAGATTTTGAAGTTTATAGACTTGAAGAACCTTGTTCAAGGTCACAGAATAAGTGGCTTTGTGCAGAGTCTTTTTCAGAATCTTTGAAATACAGTTTCTCATATTTTAGCTCATCATGCTGCCATTTTCCTATGTAGATACAAAACCATGGTTGTGTATGTGTATGTGTGCATGTACACACGCACACACAAACATACAAGTTCAAATATGCTACTTTTTCTTCAGTCTGATGAATGGTAGACATAAAAAGCTCCCCTTGAGTGACAACGGGAGACAGTAAAAATTTCTGAACTTCATTATACCTAAAGGAACTCAAGCACAAGAAACAAAACCAAGTTAAAATATGTAAGCATAATAAAATATGTGGCATAGGTAAATGATATTGTTGTTAAAAAAAAAAGAAAAAAACCTAGGAATATTTTACAGAGGTATTTCATTTGGTATTTCATCAAAGCAGTAGCAAAGAGCTTATTAGGCTGTTTAGAAACACATTTTCTTAACAGAATATTGATGCCAGCAAATTAAGTGATATAGCTGCAAAAATGAATGCTTTGCTCAGTTTCTTCTGGTTTACAAGGAAATGCCAAGCAACTGACTTACAAAGGGGACCCAAGTAGAACCAGACCAGACAGTTGTTGCTTAATTACATCATAACTGGAATGGCTGTTATACCCTAAAACATCTGTTCACTAGCACTGAAATTAAATTGTGTCAGGAAATATTTTCTATGTTTAGTTTCAAAAAGTATTAGCAATATGACAAGGCTTCATTATATTTACACCTCAAATTTCTGTGAAAAAGAATTAGCAGTTTTCAAAGTGATTGGGTAAGCATCTTTGAGAGCACAAGAGGAAAGTGTTTCAGACTTGAACTCTTAGAATAATAAGTGACGCTAAGCTAAATATCTTATAGCCATGTACTATATTATTAGTAGTATTACTAATAACTATTGATCACAAAGACTAACACCACTTCAAAAAATTTTTTTGGATGCAATGTTCAATGAAAAAATAAAACATGATTTAAGTTAATGTGTATAAGTTCATTATAGCTTTGAAAAAATTATGCATGATACACACACACTAAGTGTACTTCTCCTACCCCGAAGTGTTTGGTAATGTGTTTATATACTTTCATATCTTAATCCACTAAATAAAAAATATGAGTGAATCACATTACAAATAGATTATTTACGATCATTGAGCTTGAAATTCACTCATTCATTATAAATATTTCATAAATATTTAGTTGCCAGACCTCATTATACTTTTTGTTGTCATCAGATTTACCTAGAAAGAGCCAAGTGGCATCCCATCCCAAATTTCATCTGTTAAGTGTATGCACACATCTTTTCTTAACTCTTTATCAGTGACCACAATGGCTAGATGGTTTTGCATCATGCATCCATAAGGGTACACTCAGACCATGAAGGTCATTCTTGATAGTAATTTGAAGTGCACAGATCACATAGATGAAGACGGGGTATGTACCATGGTCCTCACACTTACCCAAAATCTCGACATACCAGAAACTTCCAGCATTGCCAGAAAACCCTCCTAGATACCTTCTTCCCTTCCTTGCTCCTTTCCCAGCCTTTTTGGGTGTTTAGCAAGCAGACTCTTGAGGTGAAGTATGAGTCAAAAGGCAACAGAAATGGGAGAATACCAAGGGGTGGATGAATGTTTAGGAAACCACTAGACTCACAGAGGTTGGTCCACAGGCCATTGTGAGTTGATGATAAAGCTTTTACTCCCTGGTAGACTCAGAAAAATAAAGGAAGGTGTAAGTTTTCACTAAAATAAGTGCTTTATTTTGAAGTATATTGACTTGAAGGACTGCCCTTTATTGTGCTATTATGTCATTCCTTCTTTTGGGGAGAGTAACTATTGAAATGTACATTTGTTCATAAAATGATGGAGATGGACAATTGTTGCCTTTTTCAAAAAAATAGTCTTCATGTGGGGAAACTAAAAACTGGCAACCTTATAACAGTCTCTGAATTTTAAAAAAGTTTACAAGCTTGGGAAACCCCAAATTTGTAAGCCACTGCTCTACAAGATGATAAATCTCAGGAGTATTTTCTTCTGTGTTCAACCCAACATCCGTACCCTGATAGCTGGTCCTCTGTCCTTGTGGAATCATCCCATTGCAAAAGCAGCACAAAACAACCCCCTTGGAATTCATTCTCTCTGTTTTTTTTTCTCTCTCTCTCTGTTTCTCTCTCTCTCACACACACACACACACACACACACACACACAGATCCACTTCCCACACATACACAAACAGACCCACTTCCCACACATGCACACTCACACCATGTTTGAACTATAAACTCATTAGTTTGAAGCTTGAACACCAGTTTTAAATGCTATGTATTTTGGTATTAAATCATTAGTGTTGCAAATGTCTTTTAGGCAGTTCAGCCATGAAACAAAGCAGATTAGGCATTGTCACCACATTTTCTGTGTCCGTTTCTTCAAAAGAACACTGCACTTCACTTTGCTGCAAGGGAAGGCCATGCCAAAGCCTTTGCACTTCTGAGCCACAATGCTGACATAGTCCTGAACAAGGAGCAGGCAGGCCTCCTTTTTGCACCTTGCACTTCACAATAAGAAGAAGGAGGTGGTTCTTATGACCATCAGGAGCAAAAGGTACACTGTCTGCCTGTCCACTGTCATTTAGTGTTCTCTGGTGTCAGGGATGATTCGAAGTCTGAGAGAAAAGAAATGAGTTTCAGCCATTAATCACAATTTTAAAATATCAGTTGTTTACCTAAATTTTTAAGAAGTCTTTTATTTTTAATTTGTGTGGGTACATAGTAAGTGTATATGTTTATCAGGTACATGAGATGTTTTGATACAGGTGTGCAATGCATAATAATCATTTCAAGGAGAATGGGGTATCCATACTCTCAAGCATTTATTCTTTGTGTTACAAGCAATCCCATTATACTCCTTTAGTTATTTTTAAATGTTTACAGAATTTTTAAATGATTTTTCTTAGTGACAACAGGCACATTACTTTACCTCGCCGATCTTCAGTTTATATTTCTTAACAAAATAAAATATGGGCACATTAAGACCAAGCTTCGCAGCACTCTTACGAGATTCCAGGGATTCAGGCATGTGTATTGTCTGGCACCATGTCACTGTCAAGCAAACTTCACACTGCCCTCCCTGAACTTGCCTGACATGTGCCAGTAGAAACCCTGAAAGTGGATGCTGGCAAAAATATTACCCAAGGTAAATTCAGATTGTTATCCATGCCCTTTAATGGGATATCTTTTAGCAAATAATCTTTTGTGGTTGTGGGTTTCTAATCCATGTTCTAAGAGTTTTAATTATGAAGTTAGAGGGTACTTTGTCTAATTTCTCATAATATCTCATAATATCACTTTCTGTATAATCACAGATAGACATGCATTAGGGACCAGTGTCACCCAATAGTAGACACAGAATGAACAATTCCATATTCAAGGCAGATCAAGCCCTTGTTTTTGAGCATGGACAGCCTCAAAAATCTCCTGCTGATAGTTCCTTTTTAAAGCACTTTTTAATGAAAGTGTTCAACCAGAACTTTTCTGTCGATAATACAGATATACTAGATGGGTTTTACTGATAGAGTTAATAGAAAATTAGATAGGATATTGGAGATAAAAGAGCTCCTCTTTGCATCCTGCTGTAGATTTAGTTCCTCCTTGGTATGGTAAGCACCTTCTTACCCTGTTCAATTGGATGATAATGAAGAAAAGGGGCAAATTTTTCTTTGCAGAGGCTGTGCTTATCAATGCACTTTACATGTGTTAATTTGTAGTTTAATTCATGAATTAGCTATTAAATATTGGTCCAGTACTGCTTTGATGGTGTAGGTATGTGAATGTGGAATCTGTACCGAACATGATTAGGACTGTAAGTACTTCCTATTTTATGACTTCAGGAGAGAAAGAAGATATAGTCCCAGCTTCTTTGAAAGACATTTAGAAGAAGAGACAGAACAATAATTGTAACAGCTATCCCAAAATTTGCCCATATTCCTAATGCCTATTAACAGACAAGGATCCTATTACTGGGTTGATCTCGGTTTACATATTGCTTCCATCAGAACTAAGGGCAAGCATTGCATTTCATGAATAAGCTTAAGTTTAGATTTCTCCTAAAGATATAATCTTGAGTTTCAACTGTTGTGCAGAACAGAAGGTTGAAGACCTGTGCTTGTCTTATGTATTCATTTTTTACAGATGGGATGAATGTCTTAAGGTTTTTAGTCATTATTCTCCAAACAATAAATGTCCAATTTTGGAAATGATCGAATACCTCCCTGAATGCATGAAGGTAAGCTCTCTAAAACAAAACTCTTCCTGGGTTTATGTTTGGCATATATGATGTGAGGATTTATTGTTGTCATCACAATCTAGTAATAATAATTTCCATCATGAAATAAAGCTTGTAGTTTCCCATAGGCTATAAGGGAATTTAGACAATAAGTATTTAATGAGGACCTTCTTGAATTAAAGAATCCTATTAATTATTTTGTGTAATACAGGATAATATGGTAAACAGATTTTTTTATTCAAACAATCCACACCTGTAACAGAGACTATAAACTGGTGTTTGCTGGCTGAATAAAACCTTAATATGTGTTTTGTTTGGCATGCATGTTATTGCTCTTTCAAATTTACATGAATTGCTAACATTTGAAACCAGGATGCTTTCCTTAAGGTTCCAGTTATCTGGCTTCTCATAAGAATGAAATTTGGCACCTAAGCCTGCCTTCTCACAAGGCAGGAATTACTGGGTTCAGCACCAGATGCTTCCCATGGATGTGGCAATCACTCTCCTATTTGAAACACCCCAGTTCTCCCTTTTGTACATTGGGCCTAGTGCCCGGTGTTAGTTGTCACATATAGCCGTTTTTGTGCAATTGCTTTCCTTAGAGTACAGAAGTATTGAATTATGGCTCTATCCTAACTGTAAAGATGAAAGCTTGCCCTAGGATAGCCAATATCTCAAGAACAATGGGAAAAAGCTCTTACATTTGGCATTGTTCCTTTATTTGCATGACGTGCCTGGCCTCTGTGGGTTTTTAAGCATGTAACTCTCTATGCTACATTAAATACACACCCCGCATATGACCTGACACTCCATACAAGACAAATATGCACAAACTGTTGAGCAGATGAGTATTAAAGGATGCAAATAAAAGATCTAGGAAAGTTGGGATTTGAGGGTTGGGACAGACAGAAAATCAGAATCACTTCAGATTTCATGCAAAGGGAAAAATATATTCAAATGCTGGGGGAGGCAGTAAGATATAGTGACAGAGGGAATAAAAGCCCAGATTTGGAGCCTTCTGGAGGCCATGGGATCTAATTCTGGTGCTGTCTCTTGCTATACTGCTTTAGATAAGTCATTTCACCTCAGAATTTATTTTCTGTTTTATTTATGTCTAAAACAATGATGCTGATGCTGAGTTTACAAAGTGATTACAAAAGTAGGGGTAAAATATATAAAATGCTAAGGGCAATGGTCAGTACATAAAATTTACCTCCTACTGTTTTATACTGCTTATGTGGTTATTTGTAGTACTAGTATTTTGTTTTTATTTATTGAATAAGGACTTACTATGTGCTAAACATTGTGTGCATTTTTTTCTTTATAATGCCTAATAAAAACTGGAGCCAGTCTAGTACATATGTACTAGTACAAATAGTGTACAGATTATCTTGTTAGGTGGCTGAATCTCATCGAAGGACACATAAATACTCAAGGTTGAAACAATCTCAAACTTTCTTATTCAGTGATTATAGTTGTTGAAATCTGTCTTAATGAATAATCAGAGATACAGACAGATTTATATAGAATGTTTCCTGCAGCATCATTTATAATTATAAAAAAGGTGAAATATTCACATGTGAAAACATAGTAAAGAATTGAAATTATACCACAATGTTAATAAAAATGGTCTGTTATGCGATTATGAATAGTTTTTAATTTCTTCCTTAAGCTACTATATTTTCTAGATAATTTTCTATGATGACTTGTATTATTTTGGTATTTTGAATACTTTTTAACAAAATTAATGAACTTAAATGTCTTAATTTAGCTCAACATAACACATTTGAATTACTTACACAACATTTCTGAAAAGTTGCTCCTGCAATCTGCCCAGCCCCCAGCCAAGGCAGCCCATCCTTTATTTTGCCCATGTTGATTATTAACAAGTTTACAAGCTATAATAAATAACCAGACTTGCCTGTTTCTGCCTTGAACAGCACTACTGACTAGTCTTGTCTTTATTTTTCATAATGTTTGTTGTGATCCCCAGTACTGACATCCAGTCACCAATAGAATCTTCCTTGAAGTTTTCTTAGTCCCGTTGGTACCTGACACCACCCAGGGTCCTGTTTCTTCCCTTTTGGATATAGTCTGACCATCTACCCTCAAGTTCTGCAGGTGACATTCACCAGAAGCCCCAGGAGCTCCTGGATGCATTGATGGCAACATATGGGGTATTGTGTCCAGTCCTGGTTCTAAGAGGGCAGCCTGGCCAAGTGGTATTTCTTTCTCAGGGTCATAAATATGGGCCACTAGATTTGAGGTGTCTCAAATTGTTTATGCAGCCCCACAAAAATAGTTCCTTTCCACACACCATAGGGGTGGCTCTAGTGTGACCCTATAAGTGTTCTTTCCCTGAGTTAACTATCTAGAGGGTCTTCATCTATTTCTTGTTACAGCATCTATCCCCCACTATCCTGTCCGCTCCCCTCTAAACACATTCTCTGTGTTGCTTGGCATATGAGGTATAGAAACAAACACATTACTCCAGACTGGGGCAATTCAGAAGACTGAACCTAAATCATGGAAAGACTGTAGACCTGGGATGAAAAATCTCAATTAGGGACAATAAGTTGTTACTGTAAGAAACTGAGTAAAGGAATCAGACAGATTGACTATCCCTTATCCAAACTGCTTGGGACCAGTCGTGTTTTGGATTTCAAGATATTGGCCTATATATAATGGGGTATCATAAGGATGAGATCAAAGTGTAGATACAAAATTCATTTGTATTTCATATAATCCTTAAAAGCATAGCCTACAGTTAATTTTATACAATATTTTTAATAATTTTGTGCATGAAACAAAGTTTGTGTTAAGTACTTATGTGTGGAATTTTCCACTTGTGGCATCATGTGGGTGCTCAAAAAGTATTGGATTTTGGAGCACTTAGAATTTTAGACTTTCAGATTAGGGTTGCTCAACCTGTAATCTGTATACCCTTTAGAAGCCCAGAAAGACATCAAATCTTAGGCAAAACTAGTGGAATATCTCTTACCCAAATATTAGTACATGCAATTTTACTCTCAAGCACATGGTATTTTTCTGAATCACCTGGTTATTTCTGAAACATGCAGATGTATTTGTAACACTTTGTATTGTAAACTTTGTTCCTGGATGAGATAGATTATAATTTATCCTTGAGATGCAAGAAGCCAAGAAAAGGGAGGGAAATATCTTGTGTGTTATTCTAGAAATGGGATAAAATTCTTTCTAATATATAGTGGCCTGCCCAATATCTTAGGTGGTTTTTCTGTTTGAAAGATACTTTTAGACTTCTGCATGTTGCCTTCCCCAGAGTATAAGTCCTGCAAAGACTACCACATAAGTCTATTTTATCATAATAATTTGAAATTTGCTTTCTTTATGTTCTTTGAAAAATATTAAAAATGTTGTTACTATCGATGTGTAATCTACTGGAGATGGCAAATACTGGTCTCGTTTTTTTCATATTATAGTATTATCTACTTGTGAAATAATTTTTCCCTTACCTCCTCAGTTTTCCTCTCATATTTTAACAGTTCCTAATAGCATCATTTAGTGTTATGTCTAGTCTTTATATTTCCTTGGGTAGTTTTGCCTTAATAATGAAGATCTAAAATATCTAAATGATCTTTTGAGAATTACTCTTTTTCCATGACTGTGAGATATGAAGCAATTGAATAACAGCCTTCCAGGATGTTTATTTTTATAATTAATATGCAATAATATATATCTTTTTTCGACTCGAAATGTTTCAACTTTGTTCAAATCACTTAATTTTTAGCAAAATTGTATACTTGTATATTTGATTTTTCAGGAATTATTTTGGGGATTCTGTACCTGACTAACTACTTTGTAAAAATTTTCTACAGATCAAGTATAATTTCAGATATCTTCAATGCCCATTAGAATTAACAGAAAATATAACACCTACAAAGAATATCACATATAAACCTTTTGCAGCCCTCAATGTAAGTTCGGTGTTTTCATTATCTAGGTAGTTTCTAGCCGGGTTCTAAAATGTTTTAATACAATAGTCCCACATTAGGTGGATGGGGAGAATTCCAGTTTTATAATTCTATGTCCATGTCTGCCATGTGACTCAACTGTTTATTTTTTAATAAAGAAAGCAATCATTTTTTTCAATTGCTAGAAAGTTCTACCCTTCTTTTCTAATGTTCACGTAAGACCTGCTCCAAACCAGAATCAAATAAACCATGGAGAACACAGGTAACGCTTGCCACCTCTATCCACCTGCATATTCAAGAGTTTCCTCCAGTATAAACCCCAGGAAAATGCAAAGGGTGATATTTTACAGTCACAGCTTTCAAGTTCGGTGAGCCGCTGGGCTCCAAGACAAACTGACCATGGAGAGGTGCCTTCCAGAGGGATGAACCCAATCTAAAGTAGGCTTTGAACACACACCATGGACTTGAACTTCCCAAGTAACTTGTTCCAAAGCAGCTCTTATTTCAAAGATACTTTTACATTTCTAGCCAATGAAGCAATCAAAACCAGGCATATGATCCCCTTCAGTCTAAATCAAAGGTCTCAAACTGAAATAACTACAGAGAAAACAATAATAGACGAGTAACTTAAGCTCCTGGTTAAAAGGACAGTGGCTACTAGGTTCAACAAATCATTGCCATGTGGCAATAGCAGCCCATACTTGTGTAAATATTGACAACAAATTAAAATTGTGTGCATGCAAAACAAAACAGAACAAAACAGATTTGAGGACTGGATTTTCAAATTTTTGTCTAGACTCGTGCTATCTAATATGGGAGCCATTAGTCACATGTGGCTACCTGAATTAAAACTAGTTAAAATTAAATGAAGTTTATAATTTTTTCAGTCACACTGGATACATTTCAAGTGCTCAGTAGGCCATTTGACTTGCAGCTCTTATATTGAACACCACAGGTAGAAGACATTTTTGTCACTGCAGAAAGTTCTACTGGGCAACACTGCTCTAGGCCAATAAGGAATTTTCATTCACCTTCAATGAGTTCATTTCCCTACCCTGAAGCCTTTCGTACAGACCATGGCAGTAGTCATCACCCAAAGTTAAACCTTTAAGACTTACCGAGCACTTGGAGTGTGAAGGATGCAGACTCATGGGGATTTTATGCCCTCAACACTGGTGATGGCAACTGACTCACCTTTGCTGTAAGAACTTTAGCTCTCCTGGAGTATGTTATGTTTTGCTATTAGTATAGTTCATAATCGATATCCAGTGATCCAATAGTAACTACATTACAGTTATACTTAGAACAATTGTTGCATATGTATGTGTTTCTTAATTTTAATTTTTAAAATAGGCAATACTTCTATCAGAAAGAAAATGTATCTTTTTTTTTGGTCTCCACCATCAGAATAAGAATAGGAGGAAATAAGATCTATGTGGCATCTAAAAAGAAATAGGCAATATATAACAATGGGCAATGTATAATTTAAATGAAATAGGCTCACTTGGATAAATACAGTGCACTCAGTGTCAAACCAGCACAAGAGTTTATGACGTCTTAATAGCTTAGCAAACCTTGCCTTAGATATAAGTGAGCTGAGTGGGGCTTTTCAGGAAGGCAGCTGGCCTGATGGGAAATTATTTTGCACAGAAAGTTTGAAAGTCAGATGGACCAAATAGGAGAACATAAGAAATCAGATACTGAGATTAAGACAAACTGGATCCAGTGAGAGGCTATTTCATTAATGGTTCATGCAAGAGTAGAGCTTCCTTAGAAGCTCTATTAGCACAGCTACAAACACGTTGGATACTTTAACTCTTATTTACTCTTCATTTGGGTGATATTTAAACTTACATTGTACTTATATACCCTAAGGGGTAGGTTTGCCATATTTGTTATTAGTTTAAAAGCAGAGTTACAAGATTTCAAAACATAATAAGAGGATTGTTTTAATGAAAGCACATGGAAAACAACTATCTGTATGTGTCTCTAGTATGGTTTTTGAATATTAGTAACATTTTAAGTGAGTTCCTCTTACAAATATGTTTCCATATTTTTCATTTTAGCTTGAGAAAAACATTAATTTTAAACGGAAAAAAAGTCACATCTACATGGAAATTTAGTTCAGATCTCAAAAAACAATAGTTAGATCCTGTAAGGTTTTTTTCCCCCAAGAATAGCTAGATATGTAGTTTTATGGGTTCCACTGAGCATCCAACTGACAACAAATATTTGCAACAAGGGGTTCTTTAATTCCCCAAGAATACTGTCTACCAGTATATCTCAATTACTTTTCAAATGGTTAGGGTAAAAATAAGTTGAAAATAAAAACAGTGAACCTAGAAATACTCAGTTGTTGATGACACAGTAGTAGTTTTTAAACTGGAATCTCTGGCTGCTTGAATCATAATTACTGTGGTTCGTTTATTAAAATGAAGGTTCATAAGGCCCATCTTAGACCTACTAACCCAGAATATTTGGGAGTAGACCTAGGAATCTACTTTTTAAATAAGCCTCTCAGAGGATTTTTATGAACACCAGGATAGAAAAAGTCTAATACAGTGCTGATGAGAATTATAGCAGAAGGTTTTCCAAAATGTAGGTGGGTGTTCAGTCCAAAAATGTAGAAGTTGTTTGGTGGAATAATTTTGGAAACTACAAACAAATCAAAGTTAATACAAGGAGGCTAAAACAAGAAACCCTAACTTCTATCTAAAAGTAGTTCCAGAAAGATGGATTTTTTTTTATTTTTAGAGAGAATGATGGAGAGAAAAATTAAGCAGAATAATGTCTGAGAATTTTCCAGAAATAAAAGATATAACTTACCAAATTAAAAAAAAATCTTCTCCAGGGGCTAAGCAGACGATCCTGGCTGCATCATTTTTACTTGCAAAATGTTAAACAGTAGTGGTGTTAATCAACAAGGGACAGTCTAAATAAACTGCTAAATCCATACAATAGAATATTAAGCAGTATTTAAAAACAATGTTACTGATAATCTTTAAATAACTTTGATATATTTGTAGGCTATGTTGTTGAATAAATAAGCAAGTGGAAGACATAAGTTGAGTAAAAACGTAAATACAAAATAATCATATTTTCTATAACTACATGTAAGTTTTTGTACATGCATGTTTGTGTTTAGAAATATAGAAAAGGATTTGGGAGGATGAACAAGTTAGTAATGATGATACTACTGGGGAAATGACATCATGCCCAGAATTGGGGCATAGGTGTGGTGAGAAGTAGGGCCTTACCTAATGTTTCAGTATTTTAAAAAAGAATTTGTTTATATATTTCTTTTCTTTTTTGCTTGTGGCAAAAAACATAAAGTTAAATTTACTGTCTTAACTGTTTTCAAATGTACAGTTCAGTAGTGTTAATTATTTTCATATTGTTACTCAAGAAATGTCTAGAATTCTTTCATGTTGCAAAACTGAAACCCTGTACTTATTAAACACTAATTTCCCCTCAACCTTCCCCCAGCCCTTGGAAACCACTTTCTATTTTCTGTTTCTATGATTTTCACTAATTTAAGTACTTCATATAAGTGGAATCTTAAAGTATTTGTATTTCTGTGACTCGCTTATTTCATTTACCATAATCTCCTCAAGGTTCATCCATATTAGAGCATGTGACGTGACTTTCTTCTTTTTTAAGGCTGAATAATATTCCATTGTATGTACATACCACATATTCCTTATCTTTTAAAAGAAATACTACATATTACTTATTTGAATGGAATATGTGAAAGGATGGAATATTTTTCCATCTTTTCACTTTCGGTGTGTTGTTCTTATATCTAAACTGAGTCTCTTGTAGACAGCATATAGTTGAATCCTGTGTTTTATCCATTCAGTCAATCTTTGTATTTTAATAGGAGAGTTTAACCAATTTACCTTTAAAGTAATTACTGACAGGAAATCACTTACTATTGCCACTTCATTAATTGTTTTCAGTATGTGGTAGCTCTTTCATCTCTTTTCTCCTATCTTGCTGTCTTCTTTTGTGTTTCATTGATATTTTTCTTGTAGTGATATGTTTTGATTCCCTTACTGTTTCCTTTTGTGTATATTATATACATATTTTCTTATCAGTTAACATTGCAATTACATCAAATATCTTAAATGTATAAGAATCTATTTTAAACTGATAACAATTTAACTTCAACTGCATAGAAAAACTCTACTTTGTATTACTTCATCCACATCCACTTTTACGTTCTTGATGATGCATAATACTGCTTCTTAATTGCATATCCATTAACATAGATTTAGAGTTACTTTCTGTGCTATTGTTTAAATACTTTTATGCCAGATTTAAAAGTAATTTTTTTGCTTATAATATGACAGAATTCTATAATTGTCTATATGTTGACCTTTACCAGAGAGTTTTATACTTTTGTATCATTTTGTGTTGCTGTTTAACATTTTTTTCATTTCAATTTGAAGAACTCTCTTCAGCATTTCTTATAGGGCCAGTCTAGTGGTGATGCACTTTCTCGCCCTATGTTTACCTGGGAAAATCTTATTTCTCCTTTATTTTTAAAGGACCGTTTTTACCAGTTATAATATTCTTGGTTGTCAGTTTATTTTCTGTCAGTAGTTTGAATATATCATTCCACTCTCTTCTAGCCTGCAATGTTTCTGCCTAGAAATTTGCTGATAATCATATTGGAGCTACTGGGTATGTGATAGCTTGCTTTTCTCTTGCTGATTTCAAAATTGTCTCTGTCTGAATTTTGACAGTTTGATTATAATGTGTCTCAGGATAGCTCACTTTAAATTTATGCTAGTTGAAGTTCTTTGAGCTTCTTGAATGTGTGTGTTCATTTCTTTTCTCAGATTAGGGAGATTTTCAGTCACTATTTATTCAAATAGGCTTTCTAATCCTCCATCTTCTTTTTCTCCTTTGGAACTTTTCATAATGTGCATGCTGTTCTGCTTGTTTTCTTTAAATCCCTTAGGCTCTCTTCACTTTTCTTCTTTTCTTTTCTTTTTTCTTTTTGCTCTTCAGACTTGATAATTTTGAATATCCTGTCATTGAATTCACTCATTGTTTCTTCTGCCTGGCTACAAATGCTGGAGGCCTCTCAAGCCTTTTCTAGGCATTCATCTTCTCTGGGCTTGTGCTTGTTATCTACCAGTTAAAGAGGCTTACCTCTCTTTAGAAAAGGCTGGAGACCTCTCAAGCCTTTTCTAGGGATTCATCTTCTCTGGGCTTGTGCTTGTTATCTACCAGTTGAAGAGGCTTACCTCTCTTTACTCAGTACCTCCCCTCAGTATATGTCTGTGGTACTACAGCCTCTCTGGTGCTGTAGCAAGTCATGATACTGGGACACTGCCTAGTGTCTGTCTGTGACACTGTATCTTCTCTGGCATTAGACTAAGTCCCAGTGACCAACTTTGTTATCAGTGATCCTCTCCTGGCACTTATTCCTTTCAGAGCTTAGATTCAGGCAAGATAAAAAACATTTTCTTGGGTAGCCTCTCAGAAATCAGAACATTGGATGTATCTTCCACTCTTTTTTTTCTCTTATTCCAGGGAGAAACCAGGAGTTGAAAGTTTTTTTTTCCCAATGACACTGTGCTGTGCCAGAGGGAAGAGCTGTGGTGAGTAAAGGCCATGAATTTTTCTACTGTCTTTGATATGGTTCTTTTTGGTTACATGCTCACCTAGGGTTTAGGCATCTCTTAACTAGGTTCTGCATTGCTCACAAAGGTAATGGTCTGTGTATTGTTTTTAATTACATATCTCTGTGGAGGAGGACTTCCTGTTTTGCTACCTTATTGACATTCATCCCTCTATGTATTTCTTGAATAATTAAAAACCAATTTTTAAATAAATACTAGTAGTTACAAATAATTCTAATGAAAATTTATAGTCTAGATTTAACTTAACAAATATTTATGTGTATTCTACTATATAAAAACTTTCTGGAAGGATAAGCCTGAATTCCTTCATGGACAGAATGAGGATATAACTCTTGATAATTTACCTTTAATGTCATTTCCTGTTGTAACCCTATATAAGATTAAAAACCTTATGTTACCTCTAGCAGTCAGGCATCTAAAGTGACAAACTGTGTCAAATAATTGTACTTGCGTGAAATGGTTCTCTGTTTTTTTATCTTGATGTAATTTTTAATTTTTCCAATTTTCAAAAATAAGTGTCACTTTTACAATATCAAAATAAAGTTATAAAGCCAGACAATAAAAATATTAGTTTATACTCAGTAATTTATTATTATTGTATTTTTATTACTCTTTATTTCTGAGGCAGTGTTACAATATAACTGCACAGAGCTTCTCCATCATCCTGTGTGTAAAGAGTATTTACTCATGAAATGCTGGATATTAAGTAGTATTTATTGTTTAATGCTGTGCCTATTGAATCTATTTAAAAATCTTCAAAACAATTATGTTTTAGTGGTATTTTAATGTTTTTGATTTTGTTATTTTAATGTTTTACACTTTAAAAAGAATAAGCATCAAAGGCAAATATTGGTATTGAAATACTGGCATTGTTTACCTTTATCATTAAATGAATTATTTAGGAGGTGGGAGAAAATTACTATGTAAGACATGAAGAAACTTCCTAGAGCCTACAATTTGTTTATCTTTAACATTAAATTGAATATTTGGGGAATGGGAAGGAATTATTATGTCAAACATGGAGAGGCACTCTGAAGCCTACAGTGTAGTGGACATAGAAGTGAGAGGTGTGTTCTGGGAAGAGCGTTCATCTTGGTTTCGGATTATGTGGGCTAAAGATCCTACTCTTTCATTAATTTGTGAAGTCATAATTTCCTCAGAACTTGAGATTCCTTCTCTGAAAATGAAAAAGGTGAATTAGAAGATTTACTTGATTTTAAACTTCAGTGAATTTCCAAACTAGGTTTCTGAAAGAGATTACTACCACTTTTCCCACAGGTATCTGAAGTAAATATTTTTGTTTAAAACAACTCAATTCTGGTTTGCTTATTTTTTTTGTAGGTTGGCTTACGGATTTATAGCCCATATGATAAATCTAGGATTTTACTGTCTTGGTCTCATACCAATGACCTTTCTTGTTGTCAGAATAAAACCAGGAATGGCTTTCAACTCTGCTGGAATCATCAATAAAACTAGTGATCATTCAGAAATACTAGATAACATGGTAATTTCAAATTTTGACTTTTTAAAATACAGGATTATAAAAAGTGTATTTTTTCTTAAGAATACTAAACCATAATAAATCTGAAATATCAAAACTTTGATTACTATAGATAGCCTGTAAAAATTTGTATATGGTATGAATTTCTTCTAAAATCCTTTGTAGAATAAGAGAGAATATAAACAAACAGGTCAATAAATGATTTTATAAACTAATTTAAAAGGAATTGGCATTTTTAGATGCTAGCTTAAATGCTGAAGTGTATAACTTTAAAATAGGTCTACAAGAAATCACATTCGTAGTTGTCAGGGAAAGTGGGGCATGGGAATGGGGAGAGATGCTTTGTAGGTATGTGATTTCCATTTGAAAAGATGAAAAAGTTATGGAACCAGATAATGGTGATGGTGGTATAACATTGTGAATACACTTATTGCCACTGAATTTTATATTTTAAAATGTAAATATACATGTAAAATGTAACAATTTTAAAATGGTAAATTTTATATATGTATTTTACCACAATAAAAATTTTATGTAGGTCTACAGATTCATATTCTTTTATAGTTCCATTGGCAATTTTTGAACTTCTCTTAATAAGGACATTATGAAATGTGGGTGTGTTCATCTCTAGTAAATTATATGAGTATTTGCATCATTTAAATTTTCTGTTTAACGCAAATGTAGACAGTATAAATTAAGCAAAATAAGTAAAAAATTTAATAGTGAAAATTTTGGAAATGTTGAAGTGTTTTATATCCTCATAACTATGTATCTTACCCTTTTTTGTTTTAGAATTCAAGTCTAATAACAATTTGTATGATTTTAGTTTTTTGCTCAAGTATATTAGGGTATGTCAAAGAAGTGGTTCAAATTTTCCAACAGGTATGAAATACATTTTGTATGTCTAAAGTTGCAAATATTTTAATATTCAGAACATAAATTAATTGAT
Organism: Homo sapiens; assembly: GCF_000001405.40. Lineage (NCBI taxonomy): Eukaryota > Metazoa > Chordata > Mammalia > Primates > Hominidae > Homo > Homo sapiens. Next base: position 72,213,222 of record NC_000008.11, on the reverse strand, counting down.
AAGCTGTTACTTGAGATAATACTGTGTCATAATAAATTCACATAGCTTGACTAACATATAGATTAGAAATACCAAGCATAAATGTTTCAAAATGTAGAAATCACATGATTTTGGGTAAGGTCACTGCCTGTTTGATATATCTATATATATCTATAAAAGAGATGTTCCACTTTTACTGGTCCATAAAGATCTGTCTAGCTACACATGGTTATTATGGGTGACCTTTTGGTTATTATGAGTGACTTTTCTGTCTTTCCTCTTACATAGTTTTTAAAGATTTTGCTAACATAATGGTTAGATTTTGAACTTGATAATTTTTAATGTAAAAGTTTATAAAGAAGTTATCTAGCCCAAGACTCCATTTCAAATGGGTCTGTCTTTGAATTCTAACAGAAATTTTTCCTTTTAAATAAAATTCCAAGTTTTAATACAATTTTGGAACTTTTTATAGCATAATTTTTACTTTATCTTCTATTTTTTTAATGAGTGAGCCAAGTTCAGATCAGAACCAAGTATATAAATTATGTATAGGTCCTTCCTTTGGTTGATAAATGGTATGGATCCTTCATTTCTCAGTATGGAGGTTGAAAGTCTTTTATAATTTTTTTGTATATTTTCATGAATATTATTTTTATAAATCATACATCTTTTATACAACACTTCACTTTGTGTGAAAATTTTCTTTGTTGCATCGTGTAAACACATAGATATTTGCATTTATAAATTTGATGATAATAATGCTTTGCATTTTTATCATTGCAGAGTGGTCTCCACAAGGAAAGCCCAGCAATTTGTAGGATTTCCTTAGGCAACAGACTCCCATAACACCAGGTTAACAGAGGACTCTGGGCCATCTCCAACACCGATCTATACCCCAAGGGCTCTGAAGTCAATCCAGGATGGCATGAGGTTACTCCTTGGTCCTAAACTTCTCCCCAGATAGCTGTAAAGCTAGAAAAATTTTATTACTGGGTACATGTATATAATCATCCACAGATGCAAGGTCTCTATATGTGGTAATTTTTTATTCTTTTCTATCCCAGAAAAGGAATTACTTTATGGATATTAGCAGTAGTACTGAATGGATTATCAACACGATGGGCCCCATTTTAGTGCTGCCCTTGTTCACTGAAATAGCAGCCCATCTGCAGTGGCAATGTGGAGCAATCGTGGTTTATTTTTATTGGATTAATTTCTTATTGTGTCTTTGAAGGTAAAAAAGCTTTAATGATTTCCCCATCTTTAAGCATTTTTAATATCAAAAGAAAAACTATTGTAAGTGGTGTACATTTGAAACTGGCTTATTCCTTTTCCAGTTGTTTCAAAATGTGAAGAATTTTTTATGCCCTATTAAGGAAAGGCTGGAGCATGATTCCAGAGTTCAGAATGTAGACCAGGGTTTCTCAAACTCGGCACTATTGTTCTTTGTGGCCAGATAATTTTTTTCCTCCCTTCCCTTCCCTTCCCTCCCCTCCCCTTCCCTCCTTTCTCTTTCTTTCTTTCTTTTCTTCTTCTTCTTCTTCTTCTTCTTCTTCTTCTTCTTCTTCTTCTTCTTCTTCTTCTTCTTCTTCCTCTTCCTCTTCTTCTTCTTCTTCTTCCTCTTCTTCTTCTTCTTCTTCTTCTTTCTCCTTCTCCTTCTCTTTCTTCTTATTCTTTTTTTTTTGTAGAGGGGGACTGTCTTGTATAATTTAAAACGCTTAGCAGCATTCCTGGCTCCTGGCTTCTACCCACTACATACCAGTAGCATCCATCCCACTCCAGTTGTGACAACCAAAAATGTATGCAGACAATGCCAGATGTCTCCTGGGTACCAAATGAGCCCAGGTCAAGAACATTGGTTTAGACAAATCTAGATTAAATGGGGTAAGTAAGTGGGAAAAGTGTTGGCTATTCTTGTTTTACCTGATATTATATGTAAGCATTTACTTTGCATTAAAACAGTCAAAGTGAACTGATAGATAGTATGTGGAATCGAAGTGGTATAAAAGAAAAAATAAGCCTAAATAATTTAATTCTAGAGAAGGAAAAAAGGTTGAGTTCCCCAGCCTCTGAAAGTTTCATGTTATTTCACATAATCTTTCCAATAACGAGGCCAATGTTGTTACTCGAGGCCAATGTTGTTACTCGCATCGTCTAAAAGAAGCTGAAGCACTGAGTTCAGTAACTTGCTGAAGATCTCAGCTATTCATTCACTACATAGGTATTTAATCAAAGTCTTTCTGACTCCAGGGGGCGTACTTTTTCTACCATATCGTCTGCATTACTGTGTCAGGAGCACAGTGGCACAAAGTTGAGTGTGTCCTCTTGGAGAGGACATGGTATGGTAACAAAGGCAGTGGCTAAGGAATAAGAGGATTTAAGGCAGGTTCAGACACTGTCACACCCTTGGCTCTGTCATTATTAGTGGCTTTAGTGAGTTACTAGGCATCTCTGTGAACTTAGCTGAAGTCCCTTTCAGCTTTATAGTATTGTGATTTCCTCTTTTAACAAGTTGTCTTTGCCAAATGCAAAGTACAAGTTAGTGGCCAGATGACAAACCCATTATTTATCCAGACATTTCCCAATATAGGATGCAGTGGGTAGAAAAGAAAACTGAAGGAGATAAAAGGATCAAATACAAATCATATGTTGTGTACCCTGCATTAGGTGTCTTCCAGTTCATGAACTCAGTTAATCTCTGCTTGATGTAGCACACCATTTACCTCTCTAATTTCTTTATTACCAATTTGGTAGCATCTTCTTTGATATTGGGAAGCTGTTATTTTTCTCGCCTACTTCAGTTGAAGTAATGTCCAGTTGCCAAGCGGTAAAATGATTTAAGATAACCTTAGGGCCAGGCGCAGTGGCTCACCCTTGTAATCCCAGCACTTTGAAAGGCCGAGGTCGGCTGATTGCTTGAGACCAGGAGTTTGAGACCAGCATGGGCAACATGGCAAAATCCTTTCTCTACAAAAAAAATGCAATAATCAGCCAGGTTTGATGGCACACACTTGTGGTCCCAGCTACTTGGGAAGCTAAGACAGGAGGATCACCTGAACCTCGGAGGTCAGAGTTGTAGTGAGCCATGATCACACCTCTGCACTCCAACCTGGGTGATAAAGCAAGATCTTGGATCCAAAACTAGATAACATTAATAGTAAGAAAAAATAAATTTGATTAACACATTGAAAATGAGATATGATTATTCAATTAATGTTTTCTTTTTCAAAATAATTGGCCTCAATGATCTCATCTATGAAATCTAATACCTGATTTAATACACGATGGTTTCGCTGTATGGATACACTTTGACCACAAAAGTGAGTATATATTTTATTTTTTCATTTTCCTAGATTTGAGAATTGTGGAATTTTCATTGTTATATTGGAGGTAATTTTTAAAACTTTGTTGAGGTCTGCAGTTGTATTTTTCTTCCTTCTTTTGGCTTTTGGACTCAGCTTTTACGTCCTCCTGAATTTACAGGTAAGGCAGTTGTATCAGTAGTTGATTTTATCACTGTGAATTATGGAAATATACATTTATATGTAAATCTAAATAGTCTAGAAAATTTATAATTACATAACAACAGTATTTTAATACTTTAGTTTTTTTCATCTGCTATATCTTTCAAATGATTTTAGAAAAATCATTTTCCTTTTTTGAATTCTACAAAAAAGTAGGGTCTTGTTAAGTAACTTTTTCCATCGTCAAAAAGTTTAGGCCAGGCGTAGTGGCTCATGCCTGTAATCCCAGTTACTTGGGAGGCTGAGGCAGAAGAATCGCTTGAACCCGGGAGGCAGAAGTTGCAGTGAGCCAAGATCGCACCATTGCACTCCAGCCTGGGCAAAAAGAACAAAACTCCATCTCAAAAAAAAAAAAAAAAGTTTATGTAAAGTGCACGATGATTTATTCTTTATGCAGAAAATATACTTTTGATGACTTTGCCACTGCTTATTAATATTTTATCACTGCATACCTCTGAATTTTAAAAAGTATTCTGAAACATTTTTTCAGAATTCTACTCTCCAGGAAACATTTTTTCATTGTATACACCTCGCATTTCAGGATGCCTTTAGTTCTCCATTGCTGTCTATAATACAGACCTTCAGCATGATACAAGGAAATATCAATTATTGAGAGTCCTTCCTAGAACCATTTCTGAAGAATAAATTGGCACATCCAGTTCTGTCCTTTGCACAGCTTATTTCCTTCACAGTATTTGCCCCAATTGTCCTCATGAATTTACTTGTAAGTAGTTTTTTCATGTATTTTCTGTTCATTGATCATTTGAAACATTTCATAATGATAATTATTTTTAACTTCTTTAATCTCCCTCCACTGGGGAGATGAGAAAGGATCTACCACAAAATCTATTCATTCAACACTCATTTGGTGCCTGGGGAGCACCAGGCACATCAAGAGGCTCAGGGCGTGCACAGATGCATGCACTTGGCAAATACCGAGAATCTACTAAATACCATGAACTGTTGCAAGTTCTGGGAAACAGTGTTGAAGAAAGCAGACCAATATTCAGTCCTAGTGTGATTACAAAATAGTCAGGAAGTTAAATAAACAAATAACTGTGTAGCATAATGTCATGGGGGTGATAAATGCTATGAAGAAATAAGAAGCAGGGAAAGGCAATAAAGATGAAGGTGTGTGATGCTTTGGAGTTGGAGAGGGGGTCAGAGGTTAGGCAGAGACCTTTACGGAACATATTGTCTCTATGCTCAAATTTACCATTGACCAGACATCCAAGTGGAGAAGTCTCTCATGCAAAGGGCGTCTGCAACGTTCAGATGCCACCCTGAACCCTGCCAAAGCCTAGACCCTATCAGCAGACATGAGAGTGCCCTTCCACATGGAATTCTCTAGAGAATCTGCCCAAGCCATGAGCATGCTGGCTGATGCAGGCAAAGGTGCATCCCACTCTAGGTCTGTGGTGGTTGCTTATTGGCATTTTCATGCCTGTTTTTCCTTTATCCATTTATGCACACATGTACGTATTCCACACACTTTCTCTGAGTCTGACTATGTACCAGAGAATGTGCTAGTTAGTGCTTCTGGAAAGAAAAAAATTATGCAGGCTCGTAAGTATTTTGGTCCACTTATTTGATACAACTCCAGAGTTTTATTTTGGTGACCTAGAAAAACAAAGGATGGCAATAGGAATAATGGAGAATGACACAAAGCCTACATTGTTCTCTGATAATTGTTTATGTTTTGGGAGATAATTATCCAGAAGAGAATTGGGCTTAGCAGTAGTACAGGTTGGCCCCATTCTGAAGATCCAAACATCCAACACCCACTGTGCATCTCTACCTGGATATCCTGGTGGAAAATCAAAACCAACAGAGCCAAGACTAATGTTATCTTTCCTTCAGAATCTCCACTGCCTCTCAGTAGAATCTCCTAGTCATCCTACTAAGATCATTGGCAGATAGTCTCTATTTCACTCTCCCACATTTTTCATCAGTTCTTTCAGTAATTCTTTGGCTTTCACATCTGCTTCCAGTTGGCTTGGACTGTTACGGTTCCTCATCCAAATTGATGCAGCAGCCTCAAGAGCATCTCTACCTTATCACACTGCTTTGTCTAATTCTTCCTACAAATGGTCACCAGAGTGACCATCTGATAATTAAAAACTGAACCCATCAGTGACTCTTTTAAGTATTTTTTCCATGCCTCTTCAAAAGCTTTAATTCAGTCCAAACCCATCAGCATAGCAGGCAAATGTCCCTATGAGCTGGATTTACCTATATCTTACCCAATTCCTACTGTTCCCAGGATTTACCCAGAAATGCACATTCCCTGAGTGTGCCACTCTTTCCTTCATGCTGCCTACACTCTGTAGAGGCTCTTCCTTTTGCCTGGAAATCCTCCCACCATGGGTTAACGCTACGCTTTCAAAACAGCACAAGTATCATTTCTTTGGGGTAGACTTCCAATTACCTTACTCTATTGGGTGCTCTTTCCTTGTGTTACCATAGCTTTGAGGATACAAACAGATAATAATAATGAAGCCTACTTTCTAGATTATTGCAAAGATTAAATCAGCTAATACAAGGGACTTAAAACAGTACTTGGCACATGATAAGCATTTGATAAATGTTAGTGACCATTAAAAGTTAATAATTGATCTCTTCTATGGCTTACAAGTTCAAATGTCTTCAGACCCCAGGCAAGTATCTAAAATATGTGAAGCAGCAGGTATGAGATGGTTAGCTTTGGGTATTTTTTTTTTTTTTTTTTTGAGACAGGGTTTCAGTCTGTGACCCAGGCTGGAGTGCAGTGGAGTGATCATGGCTCACTGAAGCTTCTACCTCCCAGTCTCAGATGATCCTCCCACCTCAGCCAACCTAGTAGCTGCAACTACAGGTGCTCACCACCATGCCCAGGTAATTTTTGTATTTTTGTAGAGAGAGGGTTTCACTGTGTTGCTCAGGCTGGTCTGGAAGTCCAGGGCTCAAGTGATCCTCCCACTTCAGCCTCCCAAAGTGCTGAGATTACAAATGTGAGCTGCCACGCCTGGCAAAAATCAGAGATGTTTGGTTTTGATGGCGACTGTTGTAAATCGGTGAGAATACCCAGCTGAAGACTTGCAAATGAAAAACCAAACAAAAGTTATTCTGCCCAGTAAAACCTATTTCCTGACTATATCCAGTTCTCAATGCTAGTTTGCAAGCCCTAGAATATATTCTCCCTGTCTTCATTCATTCTGTGACTGTTTTGTTTACCTATTATGTGCCCTGCTCTATACTAAGCACTGGGCATACAGTGATGACCTTGACAGATCACTTTTCACATATGGTTTACTGGACTTTGAGCTCCTCAAGAGCAGTCACTGACTTTTCTTTCTGGTGCAGCATGCAAGACACTGGCTCAGCAAAGACAGGAACTAAGTGCCTGAAAAATAAATGAGTGAGTGAAATGAGCTAATTCATCAGATTGAGTAGAACTGAGCTAACACCTTCCCCCCACCTAATCCTATCTAGCCATAAATTTCTGGTTTCTTACCAGAGCCTCTCCTGCCCCTATAATATATGTTTTCCTTCTGAACATATACAAGATATAAAATGTATCATTCTCTCAGTTTAGTATTTGTTTCCATGTTGTTAAATCGCTCTTGTCTACCTTAGTTACTAAACTCCTGGAGTTTCCTGCCATGTTGTGTGGCCACACCCAATTGCATGTAATATCACATCATCCTTGTCCTTGCAAAAAAAAAAACAAATAAAACAAAACAGATTTTTATCTTAAATGAAATGAATTTCAGATTAATGTGTGTGTCTTAACACTTAAGAGTACTGAACCTCTGAATGTGTCCGTCATTGTTGCAGAGGTATATAGGCTTTGTAGTTTTCTGTAAGGTGTATTACCAAAGTATTCTGCAGCTACTACTAGTAGATCATATGCCCACTCTCCCACTTTAGCCACAGAGGCCTTGCTATGGTTTGAATTTTTATGTCCCATCCAAAATGTATATATAGAAACCTAATCACCAAGAAGATGGCATTAGAAGGTGGGGCCTTTGGGAGGTGATTAGGCCATGAGGGGAGAGCCCTTATGAATGGAATTAGTTCCCTTATAAAAGAGCTATGAGGGAGCTTATTAGCTTCTTTGCCCTTCTGCCATACGGGAACACATAGAAGGTGCCACCTACGAGGAATGGGCTCTCACCGGAAACCAGTTCTGCCTGAGTCTTGATTTTGGACTTCCCAGCCTGCAGAACTGTAAGCAATTAACTTATGCTATTTATACATTACCCAGACTAAAATATTTTGTCATAGCAGTCTGAATGGACTAAGACAGACCTTACATGCATTTTTAGGTGGACCATTCAACTGTAGTGATTTAATTTTGTGTCATACTTCAGATTGGTTTGGCAGTTGGTGACATTGCTGAGGTCCAGAAACATGCATCATTGAAGAGGATAGCTATGCAGGTAAGTGCAGTGCCTCCCCACTTATGACAGTGTTATCTTCTGGTAAACCCACAATAAGTTAAAAATATTACAAGTCAAAAATGGGCATTTTGTAGGAATATGCCAGTTATAAATTTACACCACTTACACTGTAAAGTTGGGCTATTTTCCCTCCTGATCATGTGGCTGACTGGGTTCTGTGGCTCGCTGCCACTGTCCAGCATCCCAGGAGAGTACCACATACCGCTAGCCCAGAACAGATCAAAGTTTAAAATTTGAAGTTTAGATTCTACTGAATGTGTATCACTTTCACACCATCATAAAGTCAAAAAGACATGAGTTGAACCATCCTAAATTAGGCATTGTCTGCATTACATCTATTTAAACCTACTGAAATTAACACAATTATAATTACTTCCTTTTCTGAGAGCACAGTTATTTAGCAATGGATGTTTTCTTAATCCTGAGGAGTCACATCCTGTGTCTTTTTGCATGTTATCTGGTATACCTGCTGTAATCAAAGATGATGAAAAAAATGTCCTAGAACAATTTTAGTAGAGAAATTAAGAAATTGCCTGAGCATCTTTTGTTATGTTAACCTGTGGCCACCCAGGTAGCTAGCCGCTTGATCAAGAGCATCACTGGCATCCTAGCCCCGCTGTTTTAAGGAGCTGCTTCTATTTTGTGCAGGGAATCACAGGGTCCCCACAGCAAGATTTATATTGAAGTTTTAACTGAATCTATGTGGTTTTGTTCTCTTGTGACATGTCTCTTATTTTTATGGACAATTTGATGTAAAATGTGGTGTCAAAGTTTCTTGGCTAGGTCCTTGGCTATTGAATATTGTGAGTTACTTTTCTGTAATACAACACCAAGTTATTTACCTGTTCTTGACTGGATTGTCTTTAAATTTCAAATTCAAGTGGGCATTTTTGATGCTTCAAGGATATTTGTTGACCAGTTTACTATACGCATTCAGAAACTTTGGCCAGTTTGAGAGATAGAAAAATCGTGTTATGTTATAACTTTCTATTCACTCTTGTCTCCTCTTCACTCTTATTTGTCACAATTTTCTTCTCTGTTATTCCTTCAGCCATACATTAGCATTTATTTATTGAAAAACAATGTTTCAATACATAGAGTGTACAAAGTGCAGCATCCCAGGAGATGCTGGGATGCTTAGCATGAGAGCCCAGAGGAAACGGAGGGATGTGATCCCTGACTGTTAAGTGAACTATGTCTACTTAGCACACCAGCTAGGCATTCATAGAATGAAATATCAAAAATCAACTGAGAACTATTCTTAAATTCTATCCTGTATGACATGGCTGTATATTATTACAGAGATACAGAGTGATTGGAACATTTAGAGAACAAAAACAATTAAATGATTATCAGGTACAGAAAAAAATGCAAAAATAAGGGAATGCTACATGGAGGGGGTGAGATGAGTCAGTGTTGAAAGATGGTTGGGATTTAACAGGACATCGATACCGTCCCGAAAGGAGGGGCCAGTAAGAGCCAAAGGCCACATCAGAACAGGGAAAATGGCCAAGGCACTGGCCCAAGGCCCCCTTGCCTGGAAGGATCATTCATGTTAGTGGGTGACTAGATTGCTCCAGATGACAGGGGGGTTTATTCAAAACTAGCAGAGAAAAACCTTAGCAAAAGGGCAGTAAATTATGAAGTGCTTCAAGTTACTTTGTAAGTTAGTGGAGAGTTATTATTAGCTCTTCCACAATGAAAATGGTGCGTATGTGATCTGCTGTTATCTTGGTTTAGTGGGGAAAGATCAGAGGTAGGAAGAGCTAATGACAGGTTGTTAGTGTCACAAAGATGGGGTTTAGGACTCCAGGTATGTTTATATGGAGAGGGGATGTATAAACTTCTTGGCAGGTATGTCAGCAATACCTCATAAATGCCCTAATACCTCTTTAAAATACACTGGGGAATAAATAAAAATAATAATACAAGCAGTAGCACCAAATAAAATATCTTGGGGAAGCTCACTCAACTACAATGCCAGTAGCGTTGAGCTGAAAAGTACGATGCTATATTTTGTTTACTTTGCTCCCTGAAAGTAAATAACACAAATCCTAGTACCCCCATGTTATCTGTGCCTTGTTTCGGATCAAAAACAGAATCGACTAGAAAACCAGGAAGCCGTTCTCCTACTTCCCCTGAGTTGTTTCTTAAGCAACTCTCTGCATCCATTCTGAAACCTATGTCTGAGCCCACAGCAGCAGTGGATATGTAGCATGCATTTCCTACAGGGTCATTTAATGCTCTCATAGAATCCTCTGAAATGAAAGTGAGAGGTCAGCCCAGCTGCTGTCCAGAAGTCAGGAAGTAGGAATCAGTTTTCATTTTGCTGTACTAATGATTGCCTCTGTGCCATATAAGAATTTCAGATACTAATTAATGGTTCTGTCAATAAATCCAAAATGCATTTTAGGTGAAACTCCATACCAGCTTAGAATAGAAGCTGCCATGCTGTTGCATACGCAAAGTGGATCGGAAATCCACCGCCGTATGTCCCAACAAACCCAGATGTGATGGGACATTATTTGTAAGTACACGTAACAAATAACATCAATAATCTGACACTGCTTGACATCCATTCCTTGTGTTATTCCTAAGGGGGTCATTTTACAGACTTTGAGCCGTCTCTGCCTATGAGAAAAAAGTAGCTGTGCTTTAAAAAAAATGAATATGATTAACTCAAGATGTGAAAGGACTAAGTGACAGAGGGTGAAATTTGCCCTCATGTTTTGGGTGGCTCATCCATAGCATCTGTGTTAAATACACACTGTCCCTGTGAGAGCAGATGGGTGGGGGACCAACCTTACCCTTTCAGTATCTTTTATTACAGCAAAGATATACTTCATTTGTTTTTCCTAGTCACATGTCACTTACATTTGTGTGCAGATATATATGTGTGTATGTACAGCTAAGTGTTTATAATATACAATAAAGAACACACATTTACACACACACACACAGTATTAATCCATTTTCACACTGATATAAAGAACTGCCTGAGATTGAGTAGTTTATAAAGGAAAGAGGTTTAATTGACTCACAGTTGCACATGGCTTGGGAGACCTCAGGAAACTTACGATTATGGTGGAAGGCAAAGGGGAAGCAAGGCACCTTCTCACAGGCAGCAGGAAGGAGAATGAATGCAAGAGGAACTACCAAACACTTATAAAACCATTAGATCTTGTGAGAATTCACTCACTATCATGAGAACAGCATGAGGGAAACTGTCCCTATCATCCAATTATCTTCACCTGGTCTCTGCCTTGACATGTGGGCATTATGGGGATTATGGGGATTATAATTCAAGATGAGATTTAGGTGGAAACACAAACCCTAACCATGTCATTCCAGCCCTGGCCCCTGTCAAATCTCATGTATCTTTCACATTTTGAAGCAAATCATGCCTTCCCAACAGTCCTCCAAAGTCATAATTTATTCCAGCATTAACCCAAAAGTCCAAGTCCAAAGTTTCATCTGAGACAAGGGAAGTCCTTCTGCCTAGGGGCCTGTAAAATCAAAAGCAAATTAGTTATTTCCAAGATACAATGGGAGTACAGGCATTGGGTAAATATTCCTGTTTTAAATGGTAGAAATTAGCCAAAACAGAGGGGCTACAGGTCCCATGCAAGTCTGGAATCTGGTTGGGCAGTCATTAAACCTTAAAGTTCCATGCAACTCAATGTCTCACATCTAGGTCATACTGATGCAACAGGTGGGCTCCCATAGCCTTGGGCAGCTCCATCCCTATGGCTTTACAGGTTACAGCACCCCTCCCAGTTGCTTTCACAGGCTGGCATTGAGTGTCTGCAGCTTTTCCAGGTGCATGGTGCAAGCTGTCAGTGGATCTACCATTCTGGGGTCTGGAGGATGTTGGCCCTCTTCTCGCAGCTCCACTATGCAGTACCCTAGTGGGGACTCGGTGTTGGGGCTCCTAGCCCACATTTCCCTTCCACACTGCCCTAGCAGAGGTTCTTCATGAGAGCTTCGCCTTTGCAGCAAACTTCTGGCTGGACATCCAGGCATTTCCGTACATCATCTGAAATCTAGACGGAGGTTCCCAAACCTCAATTCTTGACTTCTCTGTACTCTCAGGCCCAACACAACATGTAAACTGCCAAGGCTTGGGGCTTGCACCCTCGGAACCAAAGGTTTGAGCTGTACCTTGGCCCCTTTTAGCCATGGGTGGGTCATGAGGTACAAAGTTCCAAGACTGCACAAAGCAGCAAGGCCCTGGGCCCAGCCCACAAAACTGTATTTTCCTCCTAGGCTTCTGGGCCTGATTGGAGGTGCTGCCATAAAGACCTCTGACATGCCCTGGAAACATTTTCCCCATTGTCTTTGGGATTAACACTTGGCTCCTCATTACTTATGCAGATTTCTGCAGCTGGCTTGAGTCTGTCCACAGAAAATAGATTCTTCTTTTCTGTCACATTATCAGGCTGCAAATTTTCCAAATTTTTATGCTCTGCTTCCCTTTTAAATATGGGTTCCAATTCCAAGCCATCTCTCTGCGAATGCATAAAACTGAATGCTTTTAAGAGCATGCAGGGCACCTATTGAATGCTTTGCTGCTTCGAAATTTCTTCTGCCAGATACTCTAAATCAATCTCTCTCTAGTTCAAAGTTTCACAGATCTCTAGAGCAGGGGCAACATGCTGATAGTCCCTATGCTAAAGCATAGTAAGAAGCACCTTTATTCCAATTCCCAAGTTCCTCATCTCCATCTGAGACTATCTCAGCCTGGACTTCATTGTCCATATCACTATCAGCATTTTGGTCAAAGTCATTCAACAAGTCCACACTTTTCCACATCTTCTTGTTTTCTGAACCCTCCAAACTGTTCCCACCAATGCCTGTTACCCAGTTCCAAAGTCACTTTCACATTTTCAGGTATCTTTATGGCAGTACCCCACTCTCCCCAGTATCAATTTACTGTATTAGTCCATTTTCACACTGCTATAACGAACTGCCTGAGACTAGGTAGTTTATAAAGAAAACAGGTTTAATTGACACAGTTCCACATGGCTGGGGAGGCCTCAGGAAGCTTACAATCATGACAGAGGTAAAGGGGAAGCAAGGCGCCTTCTTCACAAGGTGGCAGGATGGAAAATGAATGCAGGAGGAGCTACCAGACACTTATAAAACCATCAGATCTCATGAGATCTCACTCACTATCATGAGACCAGTGTGCAGGAAACTGCCCCCATGATCCAATTACCTCCACCTGGTCTCTCCCTTGACAAATTATGGAGATTACAATTCAAGATGAGATTTGGTTGGGAACAAAAAGCCTAACTCTGTCTCTCTCTCTCTCTCTCTCTCTCACACACACACACACACACACACACACACACACACACACTCTCACAGTTGGAATGTCCACTATAGAAAGTATATGAAGTGATCAAAGACTAAGCAAGACCATTGCATTATAATGGAAGAGGGACCATATAAAGAGCCAGAATTACTGGGTGCTAATTCTAACCATGCCTGGGCTGCCCTCATCTCTATGACTGTTCTTCCTGAGTTCTTTGCAGGTTAATTTCCTTTGTGTAGTCATAAAATGATAAATTCGCCCTGAATAACAGTCTAGGCTCTACTCTAACCCCACACTATCTTCTGAGTAGGCTTACAAAGCCTAACTCTTACAAAGCAGAGTAGAATCAAGCTGTCAAAAGTGATTAGAAATTTTAAATGATCACTCCAGCCTTTAATTTGGTATATGCACCATATTAAGTCATTTAAGTGAGTCAGTAAATGTGGCTTGTAATATAAGAATGACAGTAATATCTATATGTGTATATTCTTTGATTGTCAGTGATGCATCAATTTACCAAAAACAGCAGATAACAACTTAAAATATACTTTACTATTTTCAAATTGCAGTTTGATTAAGTACAATTGCAATTGTACTTAATTGAAAAAAATCAAGTTTTATATGAACAAAAAAAAAGGGCCACTGGAAAAGCCAATATTATTAAGTTCCATTAAGATCTGACTTTTTTGAGTATACAACAAATGATCCATTGTATTTTGGCAATGAGTAAATCCTCATTTGTCATAGATTAGCTATTTACCTTCTTTGTTCTCCAATATTAAAATTGAGTAGCAGTCTGATTACACTCATTTTTTTCTTGGCTGAACTCGTATGTATATTTTTCAGTCACAGTTTTTGTGAGATCCTCTGATTAATATTTATTTATTAAGGCTTTTGAAGTATGAAAATTTATAGATCAATTCCATTAGAGAAATAATAAGGTTCTTTGCCAACATTAGAACACAGTGATTGTAAATTAGTCTTTTGAATAAATATAAAATTAAGATAAAGTTTCTATTACTGAAAAGGGGATTGCATTGTTTTTAGACTCCCCTCCCAAAGGGAAAAAATATATATATAATGTTGTTTTAAGTTTTTGTAGCATCTTAGAATAGACTTCAGACATTTACTTGATTTTATAACAATTAAGGTTTGAATGGCAACATTTGGACGAATAATTCTTCTTGGTGTAAATTGAACAACAAAATAGAAAAAATACATTTAGGATAAATAAATACATGTATCCCTTACTCTGTTTTAATTACTTGTGCTGTCTCATTTAATACACTGCAAGAGACATACTATTTTCCTAATTTTTGAAGATGAAGAAACTAAGGCTCAGAGAAGTTAAGTAACTTGTTTAAGGTCAGAATAATATTGTGCTGTCCAGCAATATGCCTAAGAGTTATACAACTGCATACTTTTCATTTGCTTATTGTATGCTAGTTTCTTTCAGTAGTTTCATTCACTGCACAGTTCAAATTGCTCAAGGCTGGAAAATCTTGCAGAAACTTTGAAATCAGATGAAACACTACCAACTCAATATTAGCTCAATTTTTTTAACACTAAACATGTATCCACTTACGTTTTGCATAACAACAATAATTTCACATTTTAATTATGCCATTACATTGACCAAATTTTGATTATGATTATGATTGCCTAAAATAAATACATATGTGAGTGGCAATTTGTGAGATTTTGGGTAGAAAATCTCCTTGGGTCCATGGCTGCCCATCAGATAGTCTCACAAAGAATGGTATATTTGCTATAGTTAAGTTAATCAAAGTCCCTTGGACCACTCATGAATCTAGAAATGCTGTCTTGTATCTAGATATGCTACGCAAATAAGACGGGGAATTTTGAAAATTATAAGCATTTTGTGTCCTTTAATAGCTAAATTCCTAACCTCTTACCTCAAGGCATCATCCTGTGCTTCCCAGCAATAATTCTGTTTCCCTAATTTGTCTGTTTCTTTGTTCTTAACTCTATTTGAATACTTCCCCACTTGACTCTAAACTTTTGCCCATAGCAAGTCCTACTCGCTCTAGGCCCCCTACCCCTAGAAGAAAATAGAAACATAAAAAGGTAACCTACCCTACACCAAGATATTATACTCTAATCCCCAGAACCTATGAAACTTATATCACTTTCACTGTTTCGTTATGTTATGTTATGTTATGTTATGTTATGTTATGTTATGTTATGTTATGTTATGTTATGCTATGCCATGTTATGTTGTGTTATATGGCACAGTTAACCTGAAGATAGGAGACTATTTGGGTGTACCTAATCTAATCATGCAAGTCCTTCAAAACAAAGAGTTCTCCCTGACAGGTGGCAATAAGGGAAGTAAAAGTTTTAAAGCATGAAAAGGATTCAACACCCCATTGCTGGCTTTGTAGATGGAAGTGACCACATGATGAAGAATGCAGGCAGCTTCTAGGAGCAAAGAGCAGGCCCTAACTGATAGCCAGCAAGGAAACAGGGACCTCGGGTCTACAACCACAAGGGATTGGATGCTTCCAACAGCCTTTATGAGCTTGGAAGTGGATTTCCTCCCAGATCTTCCAGAAAAGAACCCAGCATGACTGATACCTTGACTTCAGCCTTATGAGATTCACAGAACTTAGTCAAGCGTTCCTGGATTCCATCAAGTTTCTCAATTTGTGGTAATTTGTTATTCAGTGATATAAAACTAGTATGTCATCATATTTGAGAGGCCCCTGTGGCAAGGAACTCTTGCCAACAGCTGGCTAGGAACTGAGGCCCTCGGCCCAACAGTCCTGTGGGGACTAAATTCTGCCAAGGATCACTTGTCCCTGGAAGCAGCTCCTTCCCAGACAAGTGTTTGGATGAGACTCCACTTTTGATTGGCACCTTGACTGTTGCCTTCTGAGAAGCCCTAAAGAAGAGGACCCAGATAAGTTGTGCCTAAATTACTGACCCACACATACTGTAAAATAATGAATGTGTGGTGTGTTAAGCTGCTATGTTTCGGGGGTTGGGGGAGATCTTGTTATGAAGCAACAAATAATGAATACAGATGGAAAGTTCCTCAATTTCTTTCCATCAAACCTACAACTGATGACCGTGAAAATGCAATGTGCTGCAACCGGGCTTACTCCTTCACCACCAAACGTGCCAACTAACTTCATGCCAAATCCAATGGGCACTTGATATCTAAGAATGTTTGTAATTGCTGCCCATTCTTTCTTTGGCTTCCACCACACCCTGCTTTCCTAGTTTTCTTCCTACTGAGATCACTGTTAAGAGGACTCACGAACACCTTCCTTCTGCAGGTTTTGGTCATCATGGGAAACATACCTTGTCCTTGCTTTTGGTAGAAGAGTGGCTTCCTCTGAATGTAGTACACTCCTCTTGCTCTGCCTTCAGAGTGGTTGGCCAGATCTTTCCCATTAGACATTTTCAGGTAGGCATCAGGTACCAGTCGCTTCCTCCTCCGAATACTAATGGGCATATGCCAAGCTCTGTGAGTGGTCTTCTTGCAGCTTCCTTCCACTCACCCACAGCAAGGAAAGGGAACACGGTGACAACCCTCAACAAATAAATATACTGCTGCCTTTAACTTTCTTCTTTTAGGTGATATGGAGGTGAATGATCTATCAATGCTGGGAAAACCAGAATCACAGTCTCTTAGCATATCCTGCATAGCCAGCAACAGTGAAATGCATCACTTAATATGGTATTACACCCATTATTGAAAGGATGCAATCTTATTCTATAAGGATGAAGCAGCTAATACAATTCATTCAAATTTTAGCTTTGGATAAATTTATTAGCATTGTATCAGAGAACTCCAGCATGTAGTAGGTTCTGTAAATATAACAGGAACATTGCATCAAAAATACTTTGTAGTTTTGCCCCCAAGATCCTGCAACATATTACACCACGTAAAATATTTCTTTGTTTTCAACAGACCAGTGTCATGGCACTATGCACACAACCAAATAGTATGCCAACATCATCACTATTTATAACATATTTGGAAGAAATTCACTACATGTGAATATTGTGGCTGATTCCCCCACATTCACTCCACCCAGGTGACTGACCTGAATCATTGCAGATTCATTCCTCTTGCCAGTGAGTGGTTTCAAGCCTGGGCATATGACCAATGAGATGTGTGAGGAAGTCTGCAGGGACCTTCAAGAAACATTTCCTTGGCTCAAAGAGAGACCTCCAGAAAAGGATGGTCTCTTCCCTTCTAGATATTGTGTCAGAATTAGAAAACTTGAACTGCTGCAGCTATATTTCCACCAGCCTGAAAATGGAGCCTAAACTGAGAATGGCTGAGAAGAGATGAAATGATCCTGGATCGTTGATGACATCACCAGGTCAACCAAACTTGAAGCCTGCATTTTCTCTGGATCTCCTGCTATGTGGAATAATGGATAGTTTAAGACTGTTGGAATCCAGGTTTTTATGACATGCAGCAAAAACTATTCTTCTGATAACATATTATAAGCACCAATATAATGTGCTGAAAAAGGACTGCTTATAGTTAAATATATGGAGACATACCTAGGAAGAAAATCAGAGGATTTAAGAAAAACTTAGAATAAACAGCAGGGCCTACTTTTAGATTCATTCTTATGAAGAACTAATTTGGTGCCAAAATCAAGATGTCAGACAAGAACCAGGGCAGAAATAAATAGATGAGAAATATAAATGGAGTCAGAAGTTGGAAGTGAATGTTATGTGTTTGCATCCCAAAACTATGACCTCAAGCCACTGTAAAAGTCCAAGTAAGAGAAGCCTCTAGGCCAATACAGAGAAGTTTTTGAAACATTAAAGGCCCGGAATGTTCTGCTTTCTTATATGAAGAACATAGGTCATTGTTTAACTTCCTGATTGGCAAGTGACCTAAAAGAGAAGATAATATCGAACATCCACCTGTTGGGTCCTGATGGGACCAGGCACAGGCTGTAAGCCCCTGGTCTATGGTAAGATTGGAACACCAGAAAGTTCTAAACATACACTGAGAACTATAGGATATTCCATAAGTTCATCATTAAGTCATTTTACATGACTGGTTTTATTTCAATATATTCAATGAATTTTAAAGAAGATGTGGTGTATGTGCCAGAATTTATATTCTAAATATTAATTCATTTTTATTGTTGCTATTGAAGTGTAGGTCTCACTTATGACAAAACATATCTACAGCTACGATTAAACCACATTTTCAATTGTATGATTGTTGATGTGTTGTTAGGTGTACATGGTTTTACATATTGTAGAAAGTTATCTCATTATTCTAATCCTTTCCTCTGCCAGTGCTAGAGGAAGAGTCTTCTGTTCCATGCATGTGTCAAGGATAGATTAAATTTTACAAATCTAGAAGTAGACTTTTAAAATTAGATCGACCATAGCTCAAATTCCAGCATTGACATTTTTCTATGTGATCTTTGAAATGTTACTTAATCCCCCAAATCTGTATTCTTCTTAGGAAAATGGAGATAATATGTCTCTCTAAGAGAGACATAAGTTTCTTATAAGACCTGAAGAGGAGAATGTGTGTAAATTGCTTATCAGTCAGCCATGCACATAACGGAGACCAAATAATGCCAGCTGTCATCCCATTTTTCCTAAAAAGGATTTACACTGGAGAGAGCAAAGTAATTGAGGGGATGAGGGAATTTTATTAGCCAATGAAAATATGTTTTTATTTATGGAGATTCACATTTAAAATTAAGTACTCATATATCTATTAATTAATTTCCTTAAGCAAAGTTTACACAAACGGCTATAAGTGAAAATATTTTTGCGTGGATAAAAATTCTAGGTTACAGATATTAAAACATGGCACTATTTTTAGCTGGATTATACTTAACTCTGTGAAAAAGAAAAAATCTGGCTGCACCATATTTTTTGAACTCTTAGAATAAAGAAAGAGATTCTGTTGAATGGCAGTATGCCTAGGAGTCCCTCTTTTTTTTTAGCTCCTAGTAGCTGACAGTTCTAACTCCGAGAGATGACTACGAGACTGTGCTCCAGTGTTTACCAACAGAACTAAATCAACAAAATAAGTGTCTGACAAATTTCTATTCACAGAAGGCAAGCCACTGAAATCTGGTGTGTGCGACAGAAAACATGGCTTAGAGAAGAAGTAAAAACAATAGTAACTCTCCCTCCGTTCAATCCTATGTAAACCCTTTCCAAGGGAGGTTAGAGGTGCATATGTCTCATGGATGCTCAGGATCACAGGATGCTGATCTCCAGTAAGGGCTCTTCAGCAGAAGCCTCGACTCAGGAAGGGAATGGAGGAGGATTAGAAGGAGAGGGACGGCCCGGTGCGGTAGCTCACACCTGTAATCCCAGCACTTTGAGAGGCCGAGGTGGGGGGATCACGAGGTCAAGAGCTCAAGACCATCCTGGGCAACATGATGAAACCCCGCCTCTACCGAAAATACAAAAATTAGCTGGTGGCGCACGCCTGTAGTCCCAGCTACTCGGAAGGCTGAGGCAGGAGAATCACTTGAGCCCGGGGGACAAAGGTTGCGCCACTGTACTCCAGCCTGGCAACAGAGGGAGACTCAGTCTCAAAAACACACACACACACACACACACACACACACACACACACACACACACACACACACAAAACAAAAAAGCAAACAAGCAGAGGGATGCTGAGGAGAAGAGTTTCAGCGAGGGCTCTTCTTCACGACCCTGTGGGATGAGGGGCACTCTTCTCATGCAGCTCTTGACCAAGATTTAGAGGGGTGTGGGGAGGCAGAAACACCCAGCCCAAACCTGTTCCATTTTCTAAATGTGTAAATAGATCATGTCTTCCACACACTTAGAATCTATTCACTGAATCTCAGTTTTATTTGCCTGAATTTTGACAGGAGCTCCATGACTTCTAATTCAACTATTTTTCTTGTGAGTGCAATGGTACTGATATTTTATGTTGCTGACTGAGGAGAGACTCATCTATTTTGACTAGCAGGAGAACAGTTTGCAAAGCACCTCAATGGTACTTCTTTTTGAAGACTAAGATCTGTCCCGTATTGGAATTTCTTGCCCCTTTTTTTCTTCTCTAACAGCAGTATGTATAGATATATATCTGTAAATATTTCTGAATCTCCTAAAATTATTTACAAGTCTCTACTCCATCAAAGTGTCAATTCTCTGAGGTCAAGAACCTGGTATTATTTGAATTTAAACTCTCAGCACCTAGCAAGTGACTGATAAATGATAAGCCCCCAATACTCCTGTTGCATGGGTAGATAAATGCTGACATTCCTTTGCCATAATTGCAAAGATGGAAAGCAAATATGACTGGAAGGGAATTTTACAAAATCTTATATCCTTATAAGATCAAGTATATCTTTGGTTTGTTTATGTTCAATAAATATATATTAAATATCTGTAGGTACCAGCCAATGTTTTAGGTATAGAAGTATATATCTAGGATAATTAAAAGACATTAGTCCTACTTAAAAGTAGTCCAACACAAACTATTACTTTTAAAATTTGGTCTAGAGAAAAATGATGCCTAGACGTGTCCATGTAGCTCATTTGTATGTCTGATGGCACTTAATCCATTTCAGATTATGATACCATTTACAATGGTTTTCTTATTCTAAACAACTATAATCAATATTATCAATAGATCATAAGACAAAAAACAGTAAGATTTTAAAAAATTGCTCATTTCTACGTACTATACAGTTTCATGAACTTGTGCACTTCCTGTCTTGGGGTACCTAACTATATTATTGTGGTTTTGTAGTTATCTGTTCATATATTTGGTGCTTCACTTGTCCTTTACTTGAGACCTGCAACACATTAAGGCAATTTGCAAAACTCCTTTGATTTTTGAGTCATTGTTGCCATCCAGTGGGAGAAGATGGTATTTTATTAAATAGAAAGAAGTCCATTACCCTAAATAACTAACATTATAATGTTAATTCAATTTTTATAATCAGAAACCACCAAAAATTAATTTTCTCATACTATTGAATTAAAACCAAAGCTAATAAAAACAGTTATTTAAAACATTTATGACTGTAAAAAATTTTTATCAGTATTACAGATACTGTAATTGACATGATTCATGCTTGGATTGCGGACACATAGTTGAATAATGTATGTCCTTTATGTTATTCTACATTTATTACAGTTAGAGGTGTATTCAAATCTGGTAACTCTTTATGATTACTCTTCCTGCTTCCAATGTTTCTTCTGTTTCTTTAGGGTTCTCTGTGAAAGATATATATAGCTTCATGTAGGTTCATTCTAGTCCTGCTGCTCATTGAAGTTCCCTTTAATATTTTCTTAGCCTTTTTTCTAGGTTTCTTTCAGAATTCTATTTCAAATTACAATGATGGTTCTACTTCCTGTAACTCTTTTTAGATAAATAAATGTTTGAAAACAAAAAAAAAACTCATAAATTTTTTGCACTGTTTAAGTATAAACTAGCTGATGTGCTATAGAAATTTGAGCTTGATTTTTTAAAAGATTAAACAAATAAATGCTCATAAATTCATGTATTTTCTACATACAGTCACCAACTGCCTGTAACCTGGCAGAATCCAGATTTATAAACAAGCAAAAATAACCTTTATTTATCAATGTATTTCCGAGAGCGTGTTGTCCAGCATAATTAGAAACTACCTCTGAGTGTTACAGAGAAAGTTTTGCCCTAATCCCTTGTCAGAGAGAAAGTCGCAGAATCGCTTGTATGAATTCCTCAAAGTACTACCCAGTTTAGATGGGTCTTTCCAGCAAATCACATATCACATGCTCCTCCCCAAGCCCTGCCTCTTCAGTGGGTAGGCTATGAGAGAGAACTTCTCCTATGACCAGACAAGAAGAAATAAAACTTAACAACGGCGTGCTATTGTCATTCCTTTTAGGGTGAGTTTATTTTTCTCATGATATACTTGACTGACTTTGAAAGCACAACTTTTACAGAGAACTGCCTTTTTGGGAAACTTAAAGAAATTCCATTAAAACTGTCTCTTATAAATATTTTCTTTGTAATTTTAGAATTGTTTTTCATAATGTAAAACCTGATTATTTATTTGTCTATATTAAAATTGTTAGTGATAAAATTTCTAGGGCTTTCTTTTGGAGACTGTTGCCTGAAATTTAAAATGCTGAAGTGGGCATTTTATTGGGATTATTTAACATGTGCTAATCTAAAATGGCCAGATAATTTTTAAATATTATGTCATCATTTCTAGTGTGACTTCATAAAAATTGGTCATAATTGTGTTAGTATATTTTGGATGACTCTCTCTTTATGTGATTTTTTTTCTGTGATTTTCATAGATTTTTTTAAATTTTACCTTAAGTTCTGAGATACATGTGCTGAACGTGCAGGTTTGTTACATAGGTATACATGTGCCATGGTGGTTTGCTGCACCCTATCAACCTATCATCTAGGTTTGAAGCCTCGCATGCATTAGGTATTTATCCTAATGCTCTCCCTTCCCTTTCCCCCAACCCCCACAACAGGCCCCGGTGTGTGGTATTCCCCTCCCTGTGTCCAAATGTCCTCATTGTTCAGCTCCCACTTATGAGTGAGAACATGAGGTGTTTGGTTTTCTGTTCCTGTGTTAGTTTGCTGAGGATGATGGTTTCCAGCTTCATCCATGTCCCTGCAAAGGACATTAATTCTTCTTTTTTTTTTATTGAGATGGAGTCTTGCTCTGTCGCCCAGGCTGGAGTGCAGTGGCGCCATCTTGGCTCACTGCAATCTCCGCCTCCCAGGTTCACGCCATTCTCCTGCCTCAGCCTCCCGAGTAGCTTGGGACTACAGGTGCCCACCACCATGCCTGCCTAATTTTTTGTATTTTTAGTAGAGACGGGGTTTCACCATGTTAGCCAGGATGGTCTCAATCTTCTGACCTTGTGATCCGCCTGCCTGGGCCTCCCAAAGTGCTGGGATTACAGGCGTGAGCCACCACGCCTGGCAACTAATTCTTTTTTATGGCTGCATAATATTCCATGGTGTATATGTGCCACATTTTCTTTATCCAAGTCTATCATTGATGGGCATTTGGGTTGGTTCCAAGTCTTTGCTATTGTAAATAGTGCTGCAGTAAACATACGTGTGCATGTGTCTTTATAGTAGAATGATTTTTAATCCTTTGGGTACATAGCCAGTAATGGGTTAACCCAATTGCAGGGTTAAATGGTATTTGTGGTTCTCGATCCTTGAGGAATTGCCACACTGTCTTCCACAATGGTTGAGCTAATTTACATTCCTACCAACAGTGTAAAAGTGTTCCTGTTTCTCCGCATCCTTGCCAACATCTGTTGTTTCTAGACTTTTTAATGATCGCCATTCTAACTGGCATGAGGTGGTATCTCCTTGTGGTTTTGTTTTGCGTTTCTTTAATGACCAGTGATGATGAGCTTTTTTTCATATGTTTGTTGGCTGCATAAATGCCTTCTTTTGAGAAGTGTCTGTTCATATCCTTTGCCCACTTTTCGATGAGGTTCTTTTTTTTTTCATAAATTTGTGTAATTTCCTTGTAGATTCTGGATATTACAGCTTTGCCAGATGGATAGATTGAAAAATTTTTCTCCCATTCTGTAGGTTGCCTGTTCACTCTGATGATAGTTTCTTTTGCTGAGGAGAAGCTCGTTAGTTTAATTAGATCCTATTTGTCAATTTTGGCTTTTGTTGCAATTGCTTTTGGTGTTTTAGTCATGAAGTCTTTGCTCACGCCTATGTCCTGAATGGTATTGCCTAGGTTTTCTTCTTTGGTTTATTATAGTTTTTTGGTTTTACTTTTAAGTCTTTAATCCATCTTCAGTTAAATTTTGTACAAGGTGTAAGGAAGGGTTCCAGTTTCTGTTTTCTGCATATGGCTAGCTAGTTTCCCCAGTGTCATTTGTTAAATGGGGAATCCTTTCCCCATTGCTTATTTTTGTCAGGTTTGTTGAAGATCAGATGGTTATAGATGTGTGGTATTATTTCTGAGGCCTCTGTTCTGTTCCAGTGGTCTATATATCTGTTTTGGTAGCATGCTGTTTTGGTTACTGTAGCCTTGTAGTATAGTTTGAAGTCAGGTAGTGTGATGTCTCCAGCTTTGTTCTTTTCGCTTAGGATTGTCTTGCCTATATGGGCTCTTTTTTGGTTCCATATGAAATTTAAAGTAGTTTTTTCTTCTTCTGTGAAGAAAGTCACTGGCAGCTTGATGAGAATGGCATTGAATCTATAAATTACTTTGGTCAGTTTGGCCATTTTCATGATATTGATTATCATGGAATTTTTTTCCATTTGTTTGTGTCCTCTCTTATTTCCTTGAGCAGTAGTTTGTAGTTCTTCTTGAAGAAGTCCTTCACGTGCCTTGTAAATTGCATTCCTAGGTATTTTATTCTCTTTGTAGCGATTGTGAATGGGAGTTCACCCATGATTTGGGTCTCTGCTTGTCTATTATTGGTATATAGGCATGCTTGTGGTTTTTGCATATTATTTTTTTATCCTGAGAATTTGCTGAAGTTGCTTATCAGCTAAAGGAGTTTTGGGGCTGAGACAATGGGGTTTTCTAAATATACAATCATATCCTCTGCAAACAGCAACAATATGAGTTCCTGTCTTTCTATTTGAATACCTTTATTTCTTTATCTTGCCCGATTGCCCTGGCAAAAACTTCCAATACTGTCTTGAATAGGAGTAGTGAGAGAGGGCATCCTTGTCTTGTGCCAATTTTCAAAGGGAATGCATCCAGATTTTGCCCATTCACCATAATATTGGCTATGGGTTTGTAATAAATAGCTCTGATTGTTTCTAGATATGTTCCATCAATACCTAGTTTACTGAGAGTTTTTAGCATGAAGGGGTATTGAGTTTTATCGAAGACCTTTTCTGCATCTATTGAGATAATCATGTAGTTTTTGTCATTGGTTATGTTTATGTGACAGATTACATTTATTGGTTTGTGTATGTTAAACCAGCCTTGCATTCCAGGGATGAAGCCGACTTGATCTTGGTGGATAAGCTTTTTGATGTGCTGCTGGATTCAGTGTGCCAGTATTTTATTGAGGATTTTTGCATAGATGTTCAGCAGGGATATTGGCCTGACATTTTCTTTTTTTGTTGTATCTCTGCCAGGTTTTGTTATCAAGATGATGCTGGCCTCATAAAATGAGTTAGGGAGGAGTCCCTCTTTTTCTATTGTTTGGAATGGTTTCAGAATGTACCAGCTCCTCTCTGTACCTATGGTAGAATGTGGCTGTGAATACTTCTGGTCCTGGGCTTTTTTTGGTTGGTAGGCTATTAGTTACTGCCTCAATTTCAGAAGTTGTTATTGGTCTATTCAAGGATTAGATTTCTTCCTGGTTTAGTCTTGGGAGGGTGTATGTATCCAGGAATTTATCCATTTCTTCTAGATTTTCTAGTTTATTTGCATACAGGTATTTGTAGTATTCTCTCACGGTACTTTGTATTTCTGTGGGATCAGTGGTGATACCCCCTTTATCATTTTTTATTGTGTCTATTTGATTCTTCTCTCTTTTCTTCTTTATTAATCTGGCTAGTGGTCTGTTTTGTTAATCTTTTAAAAAAATCAGCTCCTGGATTCATTGATTTTTTGAAGGGTTTTTTGTGTCTCTATCTCCTTCAGTTCTGCTCTGATCTTAGTCATTTCTTGTATTCTGCTAGCTTTTGAATTTGTGTGCTCTTGCTTCTCTAGTTCTTTTAGTTGTGATGTTAGGGTGTCAATTTTAGATCTTTCCCACTTTCTGATGTGGGCATTTAGTGCTATAAATTTCTCTCTAAACACTACTTTAGCTGTGTCCCAGAGATCCTGGTACGTTATGTCTTTGTTCTCATTGGATTCAAAGAACTTATTTATTTCTGGCTTAATTTCATTATTTACCCAGTAGTCATTCAGGAACAGGTTGTTCAGTTTCCATGTGAGTTTCTTACTCCTGAGTTCTAATTTGATTGTAGTGTGGTCTGAGAGGCTGTTTGTTATGATTTCCATTCTTTTGCATTTGCTGAAGAGTGCTTTACTTCCAATTATGTGGTTGATTTTAGAATAAGTGCTATGTGGTGCTGAGGAGAATGTATATTCTGTTGATTTGAGGTGGAGAGCTCTGTAGATATCTATTAGGTCCACTTGGTCCAGAGCTAAGTTCAAGTCCTGAATATTCTTGTTAATTTTCTGTCGCATCAATCTGTCTAATATTGACAGTGTGGTGTTAAAGTCTCCCACTAGTATTGTGTGGGAGTCTAAGTCTCTTTGTAGGTCTCTAAGAAGTTGTTTTATGAATCTTGGTGCTCCTATATTGGGCGCCTATATATTTAAGATAGTTAGCAGTTCTTGTTGCATCAATCCCTGTACCATTATGTAATGCCCTTCTTTGTCTTTTTTGACCTTTCTTGGTTTAAAGTCTGTTTTATCAGAAACGAGGATTGTAACCCCTGATTTTTTTTTCTTTCCATTTGTTTGGTAACTATTCTGCCATCTCTTTCTTTTGAGCCTATGTGTGTCTTTGCATGTGAGATGGGTCTCCTGAACACAGCACACTGTTGCATTTTGACTCTTTATCCAACTTGCCAGTCTTTGTCTTTTAATTGAGGCATCTGGCCCATTTACTTTTCAGATTAATATTGTTATGTGTGAATTTGATCTTGTCATTATGATGCTAGCTGGTTATTTTGCACATTAGTTGATGCAGTTTCTTCATAGTGTCATTGGTCTTTATATTTGGTGTAGTTTTGCAGTGGCTGGTACTGGTTTTTCCTTTCCATATTTAGTGATTCCTTAAGGAGCTCTTGTAAGGCAGGCCTGGTGGTGACAAAATCCCTCAGCATTTGCTTGTCTTTAAAGGATTTTATTTCTCCTTCACTTATGAAACATAGTTTGGCTGGCTATGAAATTCTGGGTTGAAAATTCTTTTCATTAAGAATGTTAAATATTGGCCCCCTGACTCTCTTCTGGCTTGTAGGGTTTCTGCAGAGGGATCCGCTGTTAGTCTGATGAGCTTCCCTTTGTAGGTAACCTGACTTTGTCTCTGGCTGCCCTTAACATTTTTTCCTTCATTTTAACCTTGGAGATTCTGACAATTATGTTTCTTGGGGTTGCTCTTCTCCTTGAGGAGTATCTTTCTGGTGTTCTCTGTATTTCCTGAATTTGAATGTTGGCCTATTTTTCTAGGTTGGGGGAAGTTCTCCTGGATAATATTCTGAAGTGTGTTTTCCAACTTGGTTCCATTCTCCCCGTCACTTTCAGGGGCCCCAGTCAATCATAAGTTTGGTCTTTTCACATAGTCCCGTATTTCTTGGAGGCTTTGTTCATTCCTTTTCATTCTTTTTTCCCTAATCTTGTCTTCATGCCTTATTTCATTGAGTTGATCTTCAGTCTCTGATATACTTTCTTCCACTTGATGGATTTGGTTTTTGATACTTGTGTATGCTTTATGAGGTTCTCATGCTGTGTTTTTCAGCTCCATGAGGTCACTTATGTTTTCCTCTAAACTGGTTACTCTACTTAGCAGTTCCCGTAACCTTTTGTCAAGGTTCTTAGATTCCTTGCATTGGAGTAGAATATGCTCTTTTAGCTCAGAGGTGTTTGTTATTACCCACCTTCTGAAACCTGCTTCTGTCAGTTCATCAAACTCATTCTCTATCTGGTTTTGTGCCCTTGCCAGAGAGGAGTTGCAATCATTTGGAGGAGAAGAAGGATTCTGGTTTTTGGAATTTGCAGCATTTTTGCACTGTTTTTTCCTCATCTTCATGGATTTATCTACCTTTGATTTTTGAGGCTGATGACCTTTGGATGGGGCTTCTGTGTGGGGTCCTTTTTGTTGATGTTGATGTTATTGCTTTCTGTTTGTTAGTTTTTCTTCTAATAGTCAGGCCTTTCTTCTGCAAGTCTGCTGCAGTTTGTTGCAGGTCCATTCCAGACCCTATTTGCCTGGGTATCACCAGCGGAGGCTGTAGAACAGCAAAGATTGCTGCCTGTTCGTTCCTTTGGAAGCTTCGTCCTAGAGGGGCACAGGGCTGATGTCAGCTGAAGCTTTCCTGTATAAGGTGTCTGTCAACCCTGTTGGGAGGTCTCTCCCAGTCAGGAGGCGTGGGGGTTAGGGACCCACTTGAGGAGGCAGTCTGTCCCTTAGCAGAGCTCAAGTGCTGTGCTGGAAAAACCTCCTTGTCAGGATCTGCTGCTCTCTTCAGAGCTGGCAGGCAGGAACGTTTAAGTCCACTGAAACTGCACCCACAGCCATCCCTTCCCCCGGTTGCCCGGTCCCAGGGAAATGGGAGTTTTATCTATAAACCCCTGACTGGGCTGCTGCCTTTCTTTCAGAGATGCCCTGCCCAGTGAAGAGGAATCTGGTGAGGCAGTCTGGCTACAGCTGTGTTGAGTTCTACCCAGTCCTTAGCACTGTGAGGGGAAACCCACCTGCTCAAGCCTCAGTAATGGTGGACACCCCTGCCCACACCAAGCTCAATTGTCCCAGGTTGACTTCAGACTGCTGTGCTGGCAGCAAGAATTTCAAGCCAGTGGTTCTTAGCTTGCTGGACTCCCTGGGAGTGGGACCCGCTGAGCGAGACCACTTGGATCCCTGGCTTCAGCCCCCTTTCCAGGAGTGTGAACAGTTTTTGTCTCGCTGGGGTTCCAGGTGCCACTCAGTTGGAAATGCAGAAATCACCTGCCTTCTGTGTTGGTCTCACTGGGAGTTGCAGACCGGAGCTGTTTATATTCGGCCATCTTGCCAGATCCTTCCATAGATTTTTTTTTAAAGGGTACCTGCCCCCATGTTTCTGCTCCTTGGTCTTTCATTTGTTATGGGACCTAGCACAAAAGTTTTTTGTATTAATCAGAAATTTCACAATGATAAAAGTTACCTTTCCTGTTCAATTTTCAACCTAATAAATCTAAAAAAAAAATTTATAATGTGTTTTCTCTTTAAAGTGTAAAATCAGAGAATATCCACCTGTTCAAGATGATGGCTCCACTGAATTGACTTTAGGAAGGATCACAGGCTTTCATTGGTTCATACACTCACTTAATGAAGAGTGGATGGAGGCCATGGCATGGGACAAGCTTATCTTTGAGATGGTGGAAATTGTATGTTATATAGAATGCTAGTTCAAAGTTAATGAAAGTAGCCAATCCAATTGAAAGAGATGGGTGAATGCCTAAGCTTGTCTCAAAAACAGTCAGAAAACAGAACAATCTGCTTTATATTTTTCTACAGTGGATTCATGTGAATGAGCCGCACACTGGCAAGTAAGCTCGATCCCTCCAAGTAAGCTAGAAACATCAGTGTACAATACAAGCATCCAGGTCTCTAAGGCAAACTAGGACGGGGAGGGCCATGTGCCTTCTCAGTAAAACACAAACAAAACCTACCAAAAGACACAAGTACAAAACAAGAACTATTATTCAAAATAGAATAATTTGGAACAGGCAAGTCAAATAATCCATCCCAATATTTGCATGATTTCATTTTTATAGGGCATTGACAAATGTAAGTTGTTTTATTAACTTAAACAAAAGTAATTACTACTATCAAAAACCATGTTGAGCACTTCCTATGTACAAGTAGACACTGACAATGTGAAGAGGGCTTAGACTGGTCTCTCTTACCTCAAGAGGATAGATATAAGCAAGATAGTGATGCCTGCAAGGGAAAGAGATGACGGCAGAACAAAAAGAACTTTTAATTGATGTATGACTAAGGGATTATTTGTCAGGCTTCTCTCTGTCTTTTTAAAATTCTGACTTTAAATAGACAAAACTATAAAAACAAAATATAAGGCAATACAAGAAAACTTGAGTTGTAATTGTATTCTCTTATATTCTAACTAACATCTAATTAGCATAGAGAAGATAATACATATTTTAGACTCATGTAGGAAAATAGTGCAAAATAGAAAATTGATTTTTGTATTTCAAGTGTCCATTTCTCAATATTGTATGAGCAGAACTCCTCTAGTGTAAACATCATTTAAAAGGTTTTGAAGGCTGAGGTGGGCAGATCACAAAGTCAGAAGATCGAGACCATCCCGGCTAACACAGTGAAACCTCGTCTCTACCAAAAATACAAAAAATTTAGCTGGGCATGGTGGCAGGTGCCTGTAGTCCCTGCTACTTGGGAGGCTGAAGCAGGAGAATGGCGTGAACTTGGGAAGCGGAGCTTGCAGTGAGCTGAGATTGCACCACTGCACTTCAGCCTGGGAGACAGAGCGAGACTCCATCTCAAAAAAAAAAAAAAAAAAAAAAAAAAAAAAAAAATATATATATATATATATATATATATATATATATATATAGAGAGAGAGAGAGAGAGAGAGAGAGAGAGAGAGAGAGAGAATATCTAGAAATCTCTGAGTTGGGGAAAAACTTGATTTAAAGAACTCAAAAGTGAGAGGTACATATATTCCTTATTAAAACAAACTTAATAAAACAAAATTTACTCATTTTGGAAAACAATGCAAATATAGGTTGACACACACTGTGTATCATTTAGGGTACTTGGTGATGGCAGGATTCATTTGCCTCATTGAGCCATAATCTCTTTATCAAATGTAACTGTGTCATAGAAGGTATTTTTATTGCAAAATAGTATTGAAATGCTCTTCAGTTTAGCTTAAGCATGTTGGTCTCTGTATACACATTTGAATAAAAATAATGAGCCAGGATTCATAGCATTTATAAAGTATGTGTGTAAAAGCAGTGGTAGCTAGAACCCACACCATTCATAGACACTGTCACAAAAAGTGTGACCAACAGCACTCACCTGTGAGATAGTCTGTTGACATGGAAAGTGATTAATCTATGTGTAATTTATAGAAAAATTAGATGACATCTGTGTATTAGTCAGAGATTTCCAGGGAAACAGAATCAACAGAATATGGGTGTATGTTTGTGTGTGTGCATGTGTCTGTGTCTATCTGTGTATCCCCTATTATCTATCTATCTATCTATCTATCTATCTATCTATCATCTATCTACCTATATATTTATTATAAGAAATTGGATCATGCAATTATGGAGGCCGACAAGTCTGCAGTTGGCAACCCTGAGACCCAGGAATAGTAATTGTGTATTCCAGTCCAACTCCAAAGGCTTGAGAATCAGGAGAGCCCATGGTATAAGTTCCAGTCCAAAAGTGAGCAGTCACAAGACCCTGGAAGAGCCAATGTTTTGACTAGAAGAAACCAATGTCCCCAGCTTGGAGGCAGTCAGGCAGGAGGAATTCCCTCTTACTCAGGGGAAGATCAGTCTTTTTGTTCTGTTAAGGTCATCAACTGATTGGATGAGGCCCACCCATATCAGGAAGGGCCATCTGCTTTACTCAGTCTATTGATTTAAATATGAAACTCATCCAAAAATATCCTCACAAAAGCACTCAGAATAACATTTGGTCAAATATCTGGGCACCCCATGGCCCAGTAAAGCTGACATATATTTAGCCATCACACTCTGTATTGCTTAAAACATACAATGCTGAAAGTGTGTGTTAAATCTAAAAAATTGGCGGAGGTAAAACTATGAAACATGTATCACAGTGAAAATGTATGGACCAAAACGTTGATTTAATAAATGTTTACTGTGACTGTACGTGCCAAGCACCCACTGTTCTAGGTACAAGATATAAGGTGGTGAACAAAGACAGTTTTCCAGGCCCAACAGAATTTACACTCAGCGAAGGACAGAGAGTAAAAGAATAAGCATATACTTGCAGAACATGATTTCAGGGAGACATAAGTGCTGAGAGGAAAAGTAAAGTATGCCCAGTAGAGAGAGACCAGGTGGGTCAGCAATCTGGACTGCCAGGATATGGGGAGAGGAAAAGGCTGTCTTCAAAGTAAGCACTTGAGCAAAGACTGTAATGATGTGAGGGAGTGAGGCAGATGGAGATATTACGAGGAGCATTCCAGGCAGAAGGAACAGTTCCTGAGATGGGAACAAACTTAGTGCGCTTGAGGATTAGCAAGAAGTGTGGCTGCAGCACCACAGAAAGCGGCAGGGGTGCAGGTGGAGGTTGTCAGAAGCCAGATCAGATAGGAAGCAATTAGCATTTATCAATTATCAATTAATAAGCATCTCTGCATCAATATTTTCATTCTCAACTTCCTTCGTTATTTATTTAAACACATTAGAAGCATATTAAAAACCATAGAATAGAAAAAGGAAAAAAAACCCAGGATTTGAAAATATCTACAAACACAGTGTTAACACACAACATGCCATGAAGACAACAGTTTCCAGTTAAATAAGCAAATATTATATTGAAGATAAACGTATCTCAGCATGAGAACACTTTACTTTGTAGCTGAATATTTAAGTACTGAATTAAGTGTTTCATATTACTAGTTTCTGGATTATGGATTGCTTTTCATTGATCACCACTAGAACTGTTAGCACTATACTAGTTTCCAGATGTTAACAAACTTTGATCATATGCATAGTCTTCTAGAGAATAATGCAGGTAAAATGCAGTAGTTTCATGTATTTCTAAAATATATAGAGATAAAAAGAAATGTTTGGGGAATATTTAAGCTTGTTGTTTTCCAAAATGCATCTCCATCAAGCCTGAGTATCTATTATTCTTATTACTCTCAGGGAAAATAGGAACCATTTTAATGATTTAAACTAGAAGAGATATAATATAGCGAATGATTTATAAAGTGATTAGGAGGACTGAAGAACAAAAAGGAGAAGTAGGGGATGCTAGAGGGGTTTTTGAAAAGGGGGAAGAATAAAAGTACAAGATCAGAAACTTTCTAATACCCCTAACTGGAACTTATGTGTTGCACTTGCTTGCTGTGCCATGGGTAGCTCTGCAGCTGCCAGCACTGGAAATGCTGAGAAGCTATTCTTTCTGACAGCACTGGAATCAAAGAGGGGTAACCAAGGTAGTAGAGTCACCAGAGAGGTGGTACATTTCCTGGGTTGCTGAGCTCACAGCAGCCTACCCCTTCTTGCACTGCCCTCATTGCTGGCAACTGTCACTACTGTCAGAACAAGGGCTATGCAGGTTTTACCTTCTAGTCTCCTCCCAATGCCACCCATTGGCAGAACAAATAGCCAGCTGGTAAAGGCATCTGGGAAATGTAGTTTCCAATTCCCAAACCCAGCAGCATTGATCAAAGTATAGAAATATGTGGGGGTTAAGACCTGACAGAAAAATAACCAGCCCAGCCCAGCAATTTGGCTATTCAATATTCGAACACTGCCTTTACCCACATTTAAGCTTCCATGCAGCAAAAACATCCTCTTTATGCTTCCACCTTGTATGATGCAATTAAGCTTCATACAAGCGAAGATGGTCTTATCCTGTCTTAAAAACAAGCTGAGATACAAAGATCCATCAATTATGTTATTCATCTCTAGATGGTGGTAATTTCCTTTCAGTTTAGCCACGATCTCATCTGATTATTCTGTAAGTCCAAATTATTATTATTATTATTATTATTATTATTATTATTATTGAGATGGAGTCTAGCTCTGTTGCCCAGGCTGGAGTGCAGTGGCGCGATCTCGGCTCACTGCAAGCTCTGCCTCCTGGGTTCATGCCATTCTCCTGCCTCAGCCTCCTGAGTAGCTGGGACTACAGGTGCCCACCACCACGCCCAGCTAATTTTTGTATTTTTAGTAGAGACAGGGTTTCACCGTGTTAGCCAGGATGGTCTCAATCTCCTGTGTAAGTCCAAATTATTAAGTAAACCACCACAGTGGTCATTATAAAAAGTTATAATAAGAAAAAGGGGGATTAGCTAATATTTATATATATGAATATAACAAGTGCATTATTTACTTATTCCTGTATAACAACTTAATCCAGGATGTAAGAGGTTAAAACAAAAAACATCTTTCACTAGGTTCTGAGAATAAAGAATTAAGGAGCTTAATGATAGTTTAGGCTCAGGGCCTCTCATAAAATTGCAATCAAGATATTGGCTAAGATTGCAGTCATATTGTCATGGTTTGACACTTGTCATGGTTTGGCTCCCCACCCAAATCTCATGTTGAATTGTAATTCCCAGTGTTGGGGGAGTGGCCTGATGGGAGGTGACTGGATCATGGGGGCAGATTTCCCCCTTGCTGTTCCCATGATAGTGAGTGAGCTTTCACAAGATCTGGTTGTTTAAGTGGGTGTAGCACTTCCCACTTCACTCTGTCTTCTGCTCTTCAATAGTAAAACATGCTGGCTTCCCCTTCACCTTCTGCAATGATTGTAAGTTTTCTGAAGCCTCCCAGACATGCTTCCTGTACAGCTTGAAGAACCATGAGTCAATTAAACCTCTTTTCTTCATAAATTATGCAGTGTCAGATAATTCCTTATAGCAGTGTGATAATGGAGTAATACACATCTGAAGGCTAGACTGGGGCTGAAGGATTCATTTCTAAGCACATGGTTGTTGTCTGGAGTGCTTAGTTCTTTGCCATCTAGGCTCTTCCTTAAAACTGTTCATGTCCTGGTAGCTGACTTTTTCTAGAGAAGTAGTGAGAGAGAGAAAGAGAATGGATGGAAATACCAGGAGGCAGGAATCACAGGGACTACCTTGGAAGCTGGTTACTAAGACAAGAAAGAAAGAAAGTATGCATGGATGCTATAATTGTTTCTCTAATATGTCATAAGGCAGAAGTTAATATCTATAACTTCCTGCCCCACTACCCTTTCTGTGTTCTCTTTGTGCTCAGTTAGCACTTTAGTAGGATGTTTTACCTCAATACTCCAAACTTTTATTCCTGGATGATCAAAGTCCCCAGTGAGTCTACCTCAACTGGATTGTTATTGTTTTCTATTAATTTTACTAATTGACATGGAAATATCAGGAGGCATCTCACAAAATCCTCTGGGCTCCAGACATACTTCTCCCTTTCCACCTCTTTGTGTTGAAGCAACCATATTTCCTCTTGCTAATCAGAACAAATAATAATAACCTGCACAGTAATCTCCTTCAGATATTTATTCTATAGCATGATAAGACCAAATTACCAAATGGCAGTCCTAGTTTCCAATTGGAAACAATTGTTGTGTTCTCTGAGAACATACAAGAGTCCAAAACACGAAGATGAGAAACAAAAATTTTGTGAATGACTTAGGTAAAATAGTTAGACAAGCCCTTTCAATTATCATGCTTTGATTCCTGGACTCTCATATTCTGGCTATGGGAGAAAACTATATAGTGGCAGTGATTTTTTGGATACCCCATGTCATATTGGAGACCACATTTATTTTGCAGAGAATTAGCTCCATAACTGGGTTTTTCACTAAGCCAATTCTATCAAGTATGTTGAACGAGCAAGAAATTCTTTGACTGTGGTATCATTGCCACTCATCTTTTTGTAAAATGAGTTTCTTTGTTAGACGCAGTGCTGTATCAGAAAACAGGATGGTAAATATGGCACTACATATAATGAAGCTAGGAGAAAGACAGTGGACAAAAAGACAAACCTATATCCAGAATAAGTCTCTAGTCCAGTGAGGACATATCATTGTTCCCTGTAGGGTAGAAAGGTCTGTTGCAACTATCCTGCCTCCAGGTAGCAGGTGTTATATCAGTGTCTTTGTGTTAGTCCCTTCTACTGGTCATTTGGGCAGTCAACAATGGTGGTGTTCAGGTTGGCTTCAGTGAGGGGGATCTATGCTGTTGGACCTATGCAGATCCTCTATATCTGCCACTATAGGGACTTGTAAATGGGTCAATTGAGCGAACAGTGAAGTGGCTAGAGGGAGAGTTAG